>NC_000004.12:178296381-178921381 GCF_000001405.40 Homo sapiens | reverse complement strand
TTTCAGAGAAAGAGAAACTCTTACTTTTTTTTTTTTTTTTTTTTTTTGTGAGATGAAGTCTGGCTCTGTCGCCCAGGCTGGAGTGCAGTGGCGCAATCTCGGCTCACTGGAAGCTCAGCCTCGTGGGTTCACACCATTCTCCTGCCTCAGCCTCCCGAGTAGCTGGGACTACAGGCATCCGCCACCACGCCCGGCTAATTTTTTTGTATTTTTAGTAGAGACGGAGTTTCACCATGTTAGCCAGGATAGTCTCGATCTTCTGACGTCGTGATCCGCCCACCTCAGCCTCCCAAAGTGCTGGGATTACAGGCTTGAGCCACTGCACCTGGCCAACTGTTACCTCTTGGTGTTTAATTTTATGTCATATATGTTCCATGTTATTGCTCTTACACCTCTTCTGGGTAAAATTTTCTTAGAATATTTATGTTTTCTTGACTTTTACCAGTTTATCATTCATATTTAAGAAGTCTCTTTGTGTATAAAGTTATATAGGACTCTGTGAAACTATGAAAATAACTATGAAAATAAAAGCAGACAGGTATGGTGGCTCAGGCGTGGAAGCTGGCGCCTGTAATTCAGCTACGTGAGAGGCTGAGGCAGGAGAATTACTTGAAGCAGGGAGGTGGAGGTTGCAGTGAGCCGAGATCGCACCACTGCACTCTAGCCTGGGCTAGAGAGCAGGACTCTGTCTTAAAAAGAAAAAGAGAAGAGAGGAGAGGAGAGGAGAGGAGGGGAGGAGAGGGGAAGGGAAGGGAGGGGAGGGGAGGGGAGGGGAGCATACAAGCATCCGGTTCTTTCTTATGCCCCTTCCCCCACAGGTTCGGAAGTGCCTTCTGTATGACTATAAATTTTAAAGGAGATTACTTCTTTCCTTTTTTCTTAGTTGAAGCCAAATCTTTATTTTTTAGTACCCCATTCCTTCTTATTCTACTAATCATGAAGTCTAGTCTAGCTATTTGATTTATTTCTTTATTATAGATAAGAAGATTTCTAAAAAATATTCTTACTGCATGTTTAGGACATCATATTTTAAGTTCTAATTTGTAATTAGCTTTCACATTAGATCCCGTTACATACACAAACATATAGTAATTAGAGATAAGTAGTTAAACTGTTAAATGAATTGTTGAAAACTACATGCTCCTACTTATAAGTTCAGTAGTATTCGTAAATAAATAATGTGGACAATAAAGTCCTATAAACAAATAAATAAATATATACATATATATTTTTTCCTATTCAAACAGATTTGGGAAAGTATCTGTTCCTGAGGGAGACACTAAGGCTCAGACAAATAGTGTCTTCATATTTTGCCATTATAAATATTTTGGTATCAAAAATTATTTAAACTTATTATTACTTTATAAAGAAAAAAAGTTGCTCTTAAAGTTTATCTCTTCAAACTATATGAGATGAAAACTGCAATATTTGCATTTCTGCAAATCTGGTCAGAATCAGCACATTAATTTTGCTAGTTTTGCTGGCTGCGCATAATTTTTGTGCCACTATTAATTTTGTAGGTATATGCAATGAGGTTGTTCTTTGCTTGGCTTTGAAAACTACATTCATTTGGTATACATTTTTAAAAGATGTATTGTGAAAGAGAATACATTTAAAGGAAACAGAAATATAAGTTAAAAAAATAGAAATTTATGTATAATTACCCTAAGTTAACCTTGACTGTAATAAGAGTAATATAATACAAAAATGTACTAATCATAAAATATTTAAAACTTCATAGGAAAAATATGAAAGTAGCAAGGCTTATCTTATTTACTGCTATTACCTCTATACAGAGAAAAAATAACTGGTACATTATAAGTGGTCAATAAATATTTGGTAAATGAAAGAAAAAATGAGTTAACAATATTTATAAAAATAATGTATTTTTTAAATATAAAAATAGGTATCAAGATATTCATACATACATTAAAAACTAACTCAGTGACTATTATTTAATCACAATATCAAATAAAGCAAAATATTTGAGGTTCAGAACATTATTCCCAATTGAAAATAAATCTATTTTATTTTATAATTTAAGAACTAATTCAGTTTTAATTTTTGGAACTTAGGAATTGAATATAATAAAATAAATAATTCTAGATCTGAGCCTTCTTTAGAGATGAGTGCCCATAATAATCAGACTTTTGATGTTTTCTAAGATATACTTTGTGTAAATACAAGAGTAGAAAATATTGAATTCTTAAATAATATACTTGGCTGGCAAGTGAAATGAGTTCTCTGGACTATATTGAAATCAATATTTTCAGAAATGTGTTCAGGAGAAAGTGTCAAATATTTTAAAAACTATATGCAATATAAACTATTTCTATACAATCTATGGACCTAATTAGTGTTAAAAAAAATGGTCAACAATGAAGATTGAAGAGAATTGACAGAAATGAAATAAGACAAATAATTAAAATCCCAAAAGGGCACATGTTTTAGGAAACAAATCTATTTCTTAATAAAGTTGAACTTATTGATAGAGAAAGATGAGAAACTGATTGACAAGAAGGGAACCAAAGCCCTATATTAATCCCTAGAATTCATAGAGGGATGGAGAGACATCCACGTTGACTTGTCAAAACCAGCACTGACAATAGTAGTAGTATCTTTAAGCTTTTTCTACTACAAGTCCCTACAGAAATCACCTAAATACTGCAAATTAACAACACAATGATAATTTCTCATACTTAGTACAATTATAATATAAATACAAAGTCAAGCTTTTTAATTTTTGAATATGTGGTTAAATGTTTTAGTTGAAAATTACTTTTTTAATTCTTAATGTATAAATGCTTTTTGTAAAAGTCTTATACAAACAGAAATTTTCTGATTTTCTTAGTAATTACTTATTGTTTGATGAATTTTTGTAAATAAATTTGCATTGTAAGGTTTAGGTGACTTCTAGCCATATTTTATAGCCATAATACATTATAAAGTATGTGTGTGTGTGTGTAGGCACGTTGGTGAGTGTGTGTGTGGGTGGGTGGGTGTGTGAATGGTTCAGCCTCAGTACATGGGAAACAAATCAAATAGAATTTTAAGTTGTGGCAATATTTGAAGGAATACCTGAGTTAATAGAATATCTTAATTCTTAGATTCTATGTTTATAATGTTATAAACATCTGGTAACAAATTTCAAAACTAATCGGTCTTTCCGTTGCTTTCTGTCTTAGTATGTTTAGTGCTGCTATAAAAAAAAATACCTGAGGCTAGTTAATTTACAAAGAAAAGTTTATTTGGCTTTTCTGTATTCTATAGGCTAGAAGATTGGACATCAGGTGAAAGCCTCAGGTTGCTCTCACTCATGGCAGGATGTTTAAGCCAGCATGTGCAGAGATCATATGGTGAGAGAGAAAGCAAGAGAGAGAGAGAGCAGGGAGGTGCCAGGCTCTCTTTAACAACCTGTTCTCAAGGGAAGTGATAGAATGAGAACACACCTCTTACTGTGAGAAAGGCATCAAGCTATTCATGGGGGATCTGTCACAAACCTCCCACAAGGTTCCACCTCCAACACCCGGGATCAAATTTCAACCTAAGGTTTTGGGAACAAATATCCAAACTGTAGAATTTTCAATTGGTAAAGCATTCTCTCCCAAAACCTAAAAAACTCCTCATCAACATTTTCACCAGTCATGTTTTTAGTAGCCACACAATTTTAGGGATCTCACACTAAATTAAAAAGTATTGTTATAAATTCATTTTCATTAATGGTAATCCTCTTTTCATTATCCTTGCATGTTATTCTGATTTTTCTCTCACTAAGAAATGTGCTAAAACTGTATTTTCATAACTGTACTTTCCATTGCTTCAAATAATAATTTGGTGAATGCTACATCAAATCACTAGCCTTTATTTTATTATGTAATTAGGAAAGAAATCCAATTATAACGAAATGGGCTTGATCTTTTCTTCAGTGTTTAGAAATGTGTGTGTATGTATATTATTATGTGTGTGTATGTATGTTACTAAGAAAATCACAAGAAAGAGAAAATACATTGAATATTCATTCGATGGAAGTGGTTTATATAAAGGGGTTCACCCTCATCATCTTCACACTGAGTAGGATGAGGGAAAAGAGGAAGTGGGGTTGGTCTTGCTGTCTCAGGGGTGGCAGAGGCAGAAGAAAACTCATGTATAAGTGAATGTGCACAGTTCAAATTCATGTTGTTCAAGGGGCAACTGTATACTCTCTATATACATATTTCTGCATAGATAACGTTCTACATATTTCTAGACATTATTTATATTTATTTCTAGCATATGTTTTCTAACATAAAATCTTTCTAATTGGAATTTTACAATGGTGAATAGTTATAGTTTTATCAGCAGAAATTATATTTTAGTAGAAATACCAAAATATGGCCAATTCTATCAGCTCTCTATAAAAAGAATGATAGCAGATTAATGCTCCAATGTTATTACTTATAGTTTTGTCCCTGAAACTCATGCTTAGTGATAAGCTTTTGCACAAAATGGAAAAATCAATTTTACGGCCACATACACTACAGGGTAGGCCACTTATTCTCACTCAGCCGATGTTTAGTGTCATTGTCCAAGGCATTCCATTTTCTTAGTTTAAAATTTATGTACTTCAGCTCACTATATAATATAATGCATAGTATCCATCCCTTTCAAAATTACATGACGCGTTTCTGTATCATATCACTTCACTTAGATTTTCTTTGTTCTAATATCACTGTTACTCTCTCAATGATCATCATGGTGCAAAGGAAGCCATGGTAAACCCACGTGACTCTCAACTCTCAATTACAGTCAAAACTTCCCGGATTTTAAAAAATATTAATTAATTTAATGGGAGAATAAGTAATCCAACACAGTCCCCAGTATATAGCAGTGTTTAACAAATATCAGTTTTATTATTTAACTATTTAATGTAATTAATGAGGTTTGCTACCCCTTACAAATTAAGATGTGTGAAATACATTCAAAAGATAGTAGCTACCAGTGTAATAAAAAAGTTGACAAAATAAAGAATGACAATAGGAGGAAAAGGATTTAAACAAAACAAAAATAGACCATGTGTGTTCATTTCTTATACACAATCCATGGTCTCTGTTAATGTCAAAAGACATTTATTTGCAGTGAGTTATAAGCAAAAGAGTTAAACTACTGAGCTCTGTGATAAATCAAATATGAGAGTTAATTGGAAGGTTCAGTGTACATAATGCATAGATTACTTGTGTTCAAAGAATAAGAATTTAATAACATATTAAACTCTACTGATTATATTTTCTGTGATGAGTATAAACAAATGTTAGTTTTTTACAGCATCTCCTTTGATTGATAGAACATTAGCTTTACTTTGAATTGAAACTGCTATAATACTGTTATACTGCAGAAGCACTGGTTGATGGTAATAGTTGGTAACATCTAAGGTAATGGATGTTATTATTCAAGGAAAATAGCAGTGAAAATTAAAATATTAATATATCTTAAACTTTAAAATACTAATGTTTAGCTATAAAAACTAAACATTATGTGTCAAATCCAAATATATTATTGTTAAAAACAATTATAAGCTGACTTCATCAGATATAATTGTTATACAGAATATTTTGTTTTGGTTATGCATTTAAAAAAAATTATATAATGGAAAATATCTAATTGCAAAAATGAGAAAATGAATATGTGCCAATATACTCTACATGAAGAGTTAGTACTTAGTAGATACGTAATATTTTAATTAAGATGTTGTAATTTCTTATAATTAATATACAAATGAGGAAGAAATAAATAATGGCAAAATAAATTTTCAATCTTTTCTTAATTATTTTAAAATGACAAGCTTAGGGTATTTAAAAGAAATTTAAACAGTACAATTTTGGCAAATATCAAAATGTCCTTTATATTGTTTCTTACAGGTAGCTTTATATTACAACATTAATCAAACATGGATCATTCCTCCTTATTTTATAGGAATTACAAACACTTGTGAATATGAAGTTGTCACTTCAACAGCTGTATTGTACAAAAGATTTTCCAGCATGATGGTAAGAATTTCAAATAATGATTTTCTCAGTGAAACAAAAACAGAAGTTTAATAAAGTAAGTTGTTTATGAAAATATGTATGAGAACATATGTTCTTTTGAAAAACAACAAGTGGAATATTTCCTTACAGGAGTATTAATGATGATAATGCCATTAAAATAAAAAAGAAATTCTGTAACTACAGAACTATAAATTCAGAATATCAACTGGAGGATACAGATGTCTTGACAGATGTGAAACGCAATACAACAAACTTCAAAAAGACAATAAACTGAAAAGAATCTTGCTAGTCAGACATACACACATCATGGTCTCTCATATGGGTCCATGTTACACAATGAGGTCCACTTGAAGGCTGTGTGGAAAAACTGAAATCTATGTGTATATAGTTTACTTATAAAAGTAATTATTATCAAGATATTTAAAAATTACTATTTTTTAAGTTTTACACATTATTAACTATAATCTGTTTTTACTTTATATTTTTATTTAGGTAAATTTTTCATGAACAAAAGAGAATATGTATCTTCTATGTTAATAAGGAATGAATATATACTTAAATTACATCATAATATTTTAAATAAGTTTTTATCATTAACCATGGAAATTTTGTAATTTTGAAGGACTACATATTTATTTATATACATGTACATGTGTGCTTTCCTACATGTGTATTATACTTTAATAATAAGTCTAAAATATATAAAGTTGAAAATCTGTAATTACTTAGGATTATAGCATTTATTAATCTGTCATTACTTAGGATTATAGTATTTATAACAGAACATTTATTTAATATATTTGTGCATATTTCGATGATTTTCTTATAGGGTCATGTATAACTAGTAAGAAGGCCAATATCTCATTTTTCTAATTAGCACTAGTGGTTAATACCATGTAACCCTGAAAATTTCCTGCATACTTTTTAAAATACATTTTTAGATTTAATTTTTCAAGCATAACTCATAAGTCTTAGAATAGCTAAAATTAATCCATATACAACCTGGCACTTTGCAAAATTTTAATAACTTGATGTAGTGATCCCTTAATGCTAATCAAATCTATTTCTTTATTTTAGGTTAGTCCTGTGATTTATGATTCAGACAGTGGAAAATGGCTTTACATAGCATCTTATGTAAAAATGTTTTCTTCTCCCTTCCTGTAGGCTCTTAAGCTGGCAGTGAATACATTTTCTTTTTGACACAATGTACTAATTTTGATATTGGCATATCACACTTACTGCAAAGTACAAGTTATTAACATGATTGTATTTTTATACTTAAAATTAAGGTAAATGGTAATTTCACACAGTGCTTCCTTCCCAAGTGCTATAAATGTTTTATTAATGTAGTTTCAATAAGTAAAAGTGTTAAGCTCAGACAAGTTGTTATATTTATAAATTCAACAATAAAACAAAGGCTCTAATTCAAAAAATAAAACAGAGACTCAAATTCCTAGGATTTGTATGTATGGTAATTGTAACATGAAAGTCACAATATGGGATAATGATCATGTTTACTGCTTATGTTAAAGCATCTTCCATAATGTTGTAATGTGTCTTGGGGTCACATCCTGTTTCTAATATGTTCCAATGAGAAGTGACCTTGAGCAAATTGTTTAATCTGTGTTTCAGTTATTAGTTCACTTACCTGTTAAATGATTATAATAATATGTTCAGGTAGATTTTTGAAATTTAAATCAGAGGTTGAACTAAAACCTTTACAATAAAGCCCAAAAATGTAAATATCAATTAAAATATTATTTT
This sequence comes from Homo sapiens, assembly GCF_000001405.40. Classification (NCBI taxonomy): domain Eukaryota; kingdom Metazoa; phylum Chordata; class Mammalia; order Primates; family Hominidae; genus Homo; species Homo sapiens. The sequence goes on along the minus strand of NC_000004.12, from coordinate 178,913,594 downwards.
TTATTATCATTGTCATTCTTGGTTATTATTTTTATATTGTGCTATGGCAGAAGTTCTGGAAAGCATCCTCAAATTACAATATGGGTGAATATGAAATAAAATATTTTAAATGTCACATTTGAATGTAAACAGCATTCACACCCCTTCAAAATTAAAAATTTCCAAGTCAAATATTCCTATATTCATTAAAATATCAACAAAATTCTGCTCCTTGAGATGAATTTACTGATTTTGGTGTGAAAAAACAGCATTAAGTGATAACATCAGATAAATCCAGTCCAAAATGTAAAGATATATTTAGGTAATTCTAGATTAAATTGAGCTTCACTGAGGTTAGGATCTGAAAAGAATGAAGTCTTCTAGTAATCAGAAAAGCCCCATGTACAGAAAAGATTAATAAGTCATCCATACTATTTGATTAAAAGTCCATGACGTTGCCTTTAAAGTTCTTGGAAAAGTTGATGGGGCCAAATGTGTAGCAACTTCACTGATAGCTGCTGTATTTTAATTATTTTGAATAACTTGATAATCAGCAGAGACATATGAAAATATTTTTTCAGATAGCGATTGAGATAACCCAGCACCAATTTTACCATAGTTCTTCAAATTTTTCATTATTATTTTAAAATAAGAGTAATAATGACTTCTTTTCTCTTTCTAAAAAAAAGCTATTTGAAGAGAATTAAGTCAGCTTTACTCACATGGAGAGTAAATTTAAAAATTATATAAATAAATGAATTTGGTCTAGTTAATTAAGGTTTGGGGATTTTAGTTGCAATCCTCAAATGATAGAGGTTTGCATACTGCACACATTTTTAAAAAATTAAACTTAGTAGCTTATAAAACTTAAAATTTACAAGATGCAAAGATTTATGGAGAAGGATGGTGGTGATGATTGTGCAACACTGTGAATGCATTTAATGCCACTAAACTAAACACTTGAAATGGTTAAAATGGTAAATTTTATGTTATGTACATTTCTCACAATTCAAAAATTAAGCTTACTGTTTGAAAATTAAGCTCTTATTGAATCATGCCATTCACATATCCTATTGAAGTTGCCTATCTATAATTTACCTTTGTTTATTATCTAGCATGTGTTTTATCACCTTATATAGGTCAGTCTATAGTTAAATTTGCTGGTAAAATTATTTCAAATTTACTGTGCAAATTACTTATTAATTCATTTGCTATACCTAATTATGCTTTCATTTGGATTTTTGAATATATTCCCTTCACTTTTGCCATCTTTTAGAATTCCAGTTACATCACTTTTCCCTTACCTTTCCTTTCCTTTTTTTCTTCTCTCTCTCTTTTTTGTTTTGTTTTTTTCTTTTTTTGAGATGGAGTCTCATTTTGTTGCCAGGCTGGAGTACAGTGGTGCGATCTCGGCTCACTGCAACCTCCGCCTCCCGAGTTCAAGCGATTCTCCTGCCTCAGCCTCCTGAGTAGCTGGGACTACAGGCACCCGCCACCACACCCAGCTAATTTTTGTATGTTTAATAGAGGCAGGGTTTCACCATGTTGGACGGGATGGTCTTGATCCCTTGACCTCGTGATCAACCAGCCTTGGCCTCCCAAAGTGCTGGGATTACAGGCATGAGCCACCGCACCTGGCCTACCTTTCCTTTCTTTTTTAATTCACATCAGGTAATGTCTAATTTTTCTGTCTTCTTATTCTCTCTCTTCTACAAGGGAACACAGGCTCTCTTCTCTGCCCACAGGCTTCTCTCCACTTCCCCCTGTCTGATGTTCTGCCTGTTTGTCTCCTAGGACGTTATTTCCCTTCTGGCAGTCAAGCATCTCAATTCTCAGTTTGTGTGTGTGTGTGAGTGTGTGTGTGTGTGTGTGTGTGTGTGTTTTGTCCATTTTTTTTAACTCTATTTACCCCATTTCTGCCAACATATAATGTTCCATTTGGTTATTGTTTTCATTTTTAGAAAAAAAAATGTTTTCTGCTATCCTTTCTTTTTTCAATTGACATGAAAATTGGACCAGATTTAAGAACATTTTTGAAAGAGAGAAAGATAACGGTCAGTAGACGTCTTCTTGGACTCATCCCCCAACTAAGCTTTGATTTTATCGGATCTACTGATTTGATATGATGTTCCTTCTTGACACGACTATGGTGACTACCCTGGGAACTACACATTCCGTTCTCCTCATTCCTCTTCTTTTCCTACTTCAACAAGTCTTGTCTATTCCTCTTTAGCAGAAACATCGTGGTAGCTAAGGTAGTTATGAAGGTAGGTTGCATATTAGTGAGATCTGAGAGACAAAAACAGATGCCCTTTTATCAACCAAGGTGGACTCTGAAGTTAAAGAAACTAAAGTTCTCTACAGTTTGAGGGCTCAGGTGTCTGCTGGCATGGCAACTCTCTAAGTTCCTACAGCTACAAGACAAAAACACTCTCTTGCTAAACACCCTAATGATAAGAGCTGTCATGCAATTTAGTAGACCTCTCCTGATTCTGACTTACAACCTGGACCACTACAACTCTGACTGGAGAGATGACCAGCCTTACAGACATTCTTTCCTGAGAAGCAACTGCAGGTCTTAAGCCCATTCCAGCAGCTTACAGAGGCTGTGCACAAACTGTCTTTGTGTGCTCCACTTCACCTTTTGGTTTAAATAGCCAAAGTCCACCATATTTTAATACTAAAACCTGCCCCAAAGTAAACATGGGATATATGTTACATATATGTTCATCCATTCCACGTGTGCTTGGCTCACCTCATAAATATCTATAGCTTTTACCTCAAACCTGCTGAATATGTATGACTCTACTGTGTGCTACAGGTTCTGTGAGGCATGAAACCAACCCGTTTTGAAGAGACAGCACCCAGCAAACTCACACAGGAACAGAAAACCAAACACCACATGTTCTCACTTGTAAATGGGAACTGAATTATGAGAACATACGGACACATTTGGGAGAATAACACACACTGGGACCTGTTGGAGGGTTGAGGGTGGAAGGAGGGAGAGTATTAAGAAGAATAGCTAGTGGATGCTGGGCTTAATACCTAGGTGATGGGATGATCTACTCAGTAAACCACAATGGCACACATTTACCTATGTAACAAACCTCCACATCCTGCACATGTACCCCTGAACTTAAAATAAAAGTTGGAAATAAAAAAAAAATACAGAGCACTTTTAACCCATGATGGAGGCTTTCACTTCCCAGTGTGCAAACTGATGTCACCAATAAAGCTCTCTTTTCTACTATTTAGAGAACATGGTTATCTTTTGGGCAATGTTAGTTAAGAGAAGAGGTGTTGGAGAAAGGCTAGTTGGGGTAACACCCTCTTTCTAATATGTTCCAATTAAGTGAACTTAGGCAAATTGTTTAATCTCTTTGTTTCAGTTATTAGTTCACCTACCTGTTAAATGATTATAATAATATGTTCAGGTAGGTCTTTTGAAGTTTAAATGAGAGGTTGAACTAAAACCCTTACAATAATGCCCAAAAGAGTAAATATCAATTAAAATATTATATTTTATTATTGTTGTTATTTTTGGTTATTATTGTTATATTGTGCTATGGTAAACATGAAATAAAATATTTTAAATGTCACATTTGTTCGTTGTTTCTATGACCCCATGATGTTTTACACCATACAACATTTTGAAAAATAAAGGATTTATATTTCAATTCCATCAGCATTTCAATTAAAAGCTATGTAATTGATCATAAAAAATATTTTTAAACTACCGAAAAACTGGAAAACAGTTTAAAAATAATGACAATATTTTGGAGCCAAAGCTCAAACTATTTGAGAAAAGGCAAAAACGTTTCACGTTTTAGGATAGCATGAGATCGTGATATTATGCAACATATAAAACATTCATAAATATAACATCACTTTAATATTAAAATGAAGTTAAATATGGGAAAGATAAAGGAGAATTTATGATTAAATAAAGATGTATAAAATATATATCCATGGGTGAGGAAAAAAGTTGGAAAAAGAGAGATTACAGGTAGTGGAGTGCCATTAGACATTTGCATATAAAGGGAACTTGTAGCAATGTTGGTACGAAAGTTACTTAGTGTACTGGACCCAGCTGCAAGAAAATATATTGATTTTTCCACTTACAGACCATGTTGTAGAAATTGTTACAACCTGACATTTACTGGAATGTAGGATCATGTATCCAATAAGTCCTCAAGGGACAGAGGACAGTCTGAGGAGAGACAAACCTGGATGTCCCCAGAGGCTAATTTTTTCTCCTCTTGTCTAATTTGATAGATCTGCAGAATTATCACAGCAGAAGAACCAGAGACCTCTAGCTGGTACCTGAACTCTAGATTAACAAGCCCATATCTCTGTCCAGAGATGTTCCTTTGTTATACAATGAACTACTCAAGGGATGTGCCATGGGCTCTTCTCACCTTGCTATAGATTTATATAGTGGTAGGAAGGTTGGATCCTTCCCTTGGAGCAATTTCCACAGTGGTATCTGGTATGTCACTTTCAAGGAAAGCTGAGACATCAGAGAGCTGTGGACTACACTGATGTTTCTGCCTATGAATACTTCCATAAAATGTACATTTCATCTTCCCCTGAATCTGGTGTGATTCTTTGTCACTATTTGCCATGTATACCTTTTTTCTAATACAACATAGAGTAGATATAAAATAATTAATTTAAACACTGCCTGTTGATGAACATTTAGGGTTGTAGACATCTCTTGATTTTCATTCATTTTCCATGCCTAGTATTGATTCTTGGCAACATTATTACCATCACAGATAACTTAGGGGGCTGATCTACCATGCACCTGTTAGAAGATTCTGTTAGTACTGCCAATTATACTAGCCCTCCCCTACCCAGTGGGAAATTGGAACTGCAAATGTAATTGCCCCAAATTGTGCGCAACCAATCAGGTCAGGTTCTTCTTCCTAGATTTTCACACCTGAGCTGAAGCACTGAGCGATGCTCAGCACTGGAGTTTAGTGCAGTAAACTTTATGAAAATCTATGAAATCCTTAAGTTGAAAACAATTTTTAATATTAAAATAAACCTTTATTTCAGAAAAATACAGAAATTATAAAAATGCAGCTCTATATATTCCACAGTATGAACACACCTATGTGTTCATGCCACAGGATCACACAAAGTTCTCAGTTTGCTGCAGGCTGTGTAGAATGTAGCCATGAGTTCCCACTGGTAGATTAAATAATTTGCCCAGGTTCACTGACTCAGAACATAGTAGAATGAGGATTTGATCTCCAAGGAACTTCACTATGAGGCTTTTTCTCTTAACTAATAGGCATGCTGCCTCACTATCTTAGCTAGAACAGTTTTTCTGATAAATCTCCAATATGAAAATAAGGTCTGTTTTCTGATTTGTTGTATTTAGCATAAGATGTTGATTATGTATTTGTTTATTTATTTTTGTGGAGACAGGGACTGTCTATGTTGCCCAGGCTGGTCTCAAATGATCCTTTTGGTTGAGCCTCCCAAAGTGTTTGATTATAAGCTTGAGCCACCACCCCCTGCCAGTAATGAGAATTTATGACAAATGTTTCCAACCTGTCTTAAAACATTTTATGTAAGAATATTAGAAGAGTATTTGAAAGCAAGTAAGAGTTACTTATTAAGAGTAAAGAAACAAGAGGAAGGACCATGTGTGGTTCCTAGGGCACAGCCACTGTGTGCAAGCACAGGTGAGTCATCCCAGTGAAATCAATGGGTACAATAAAGCTGGTAAGGGATGGCTGGGGATATGCACGTTCAATACACTAAATACTGTCAAAAATCCTCCAAATTGATACTCCCCTCAGCAGTGTATAAGAGCTCTGCTTACTTCAGGTCCTCACTTAAAACTGGTGTTTCAGTCTTTGAAAAAAGAATGTATTACCTGCACTGATGTATGTGTTCGTACTTCACTGTTGTTTTATTTTGCATTTTCCTGATGACCAGGTGGTGCAGCTTTTCGTATGTCTTTGTTAATCTACAAAGCGTTTTAGCTGAAGTCCTTTTTCCAATGTCTCTCCATTTGCTCTACCACATTTCTATTTCTTGGTTATTTAAAGGGGTTTTTATATGCTAGAAACAAGTCCTTTGCTAGGTATGGTACTATACATATATTCTGTTCTTTTGTGTAGATAGTTTTTTTATGAAAAGTTGTTTTAAATTTTAAAGGCTAAATTTACCAATCTTTTTCTTTATTTTTATAGCTCTCTTTATTTTTTCTTTTTTTTAAATTTTTCTTTATTTTTATTGCTCTTTATGTTTTATTCTTCTTTATTTTTATTGCTCCTGGTGTTTAGTCTTGGCAAAGGCATAAACATATTTTTCTATATTATATTCCAAAATATTTATATAATTTTATCTTCTACAATGATATCTGTAATCTAAGTGTTTGAGGGTGTACAGTTAGGCAAACTACGTATCTTGTTCTCTTTTGCTTTGTTTTCCCAATATGGCTAACCAGTTTACTCAGCAAGGTTTATTGGAAAGTCTAATCTTTCCTGAGTGTCCTGTTGTGCTGCCTTAATTATAAATCAAGACTCTGTACATGTGTCGTTCTGTTTGGGGGCTTGTCATTCAATTTTGGTGGCTTAAATGTTTATGCTTACACTAGTATCACACTGTCACTTTACTGATCTTTCTAGTAAGTATTAAAGTCTGGAAGTGAAAGTTCTTTATTCTGTTCTTTCTTTTAGATTTTCTTAGCTATTCTTAGCACTGTATTTCCATACAAATCATCTTGTTAATTTACACACACACACACACACACATACAAACACACATGTTGAAATGTTGATTGGGATTTCATGAAATCTGAAGAACAACATGGGTAAAATTCTGTCCTTTGGGATACTGAGTCTTTCAATAATGAACATAGTCTTTACATTGATTTGGTTCTTTAATTTTACTCCCTTATTTTTATTATTTTTGGCATAGAGATTTTGTAGCTCTTCCATTCAACTTATTCCTAGGAATGGGATGTTTTTGATGTTATTGGAAGTAATAGTCATATTTTTTTCTTAAACTGTTGTTGGTACAGTGTTTAGAAACACAGTTTTTAAAAATATTTACTTGCATCCAGTAAGTCTGCTAAATTTAGAAATTCTAATAGCCTATCTGTAGATTTTTAATATCCTATTTTATATTTATGTAACTTTCAAGTAATACTATTTATATATTTCTATTTGATATTTATTTATCATTTATTTATTTGCTTTATTAAACTAGCTGAGGCTTCACTACAATATTACATAGGAGAACAGAAGTAGTAACAGTGGACAGCAATGTGTTATTTCTGATCTTGCAAGGAAAGTTTTTAAGTTGTTTTAATTTAATCTGATATTTACCGTAGGATTTTTTTTTTTTTTTTTTTTTTTTTTTTTGCCTCTTTTTTTCCTCACCTTGGCTCTAATAAAAACTGAAGCTCTGGCGGGGCGCCGTGGCTCACGCCTGTAATCCCAACACTTTGGGAGGCTGAGGCGGGCGGGTCACGAGGTCAGGAGATCCAGACCATCCTGGCTAACAGGGCGAAACCCCGTCTCTACTAAAAAATACAAAAGATTAGCCAGGTGTGGTGGCGGGTGCCTATAGTCCCAGCTACTCAGGAGGCCGAGGCAGGAGAATGACGTGAACCCGGAAGCGGAGGTTGAAGTGAGCCGAGATCGCGCCACTGCACTCCAGCCTGGGCGACAGAGCGAGACTCCGTTAAAAAAAAAAAAAAAAACTGAAGCTCTTAAATAGGAAGTTTCTTCAATCTTTAGGTGGATAAGAAATATTATGATATTATGAATTTTATGAAATGGATTGTTTCTGCCTTTATTGAAAATATAACAGAAGTTTTCTATTTGTCTTAGCTTCTATTCTGCTATTGTTTACTTACCTTTTGTGAATATGGCATATTATATTGGTTGATATATGAATGCTAAATCCTTCTTGCATTTCTAGAATAATCCCAGCTTGATCAAGATGCAGCATTTTGTCATTTCTGTCACTGCGTTCATTTTTATATGAGGATTAATTTCATTTTATTATTATTATTTGTGATAGAGTCTCACTCTGTCACCCAGGCTGGAGTGCAGTGGGGCAATCTTGGCTCACTGCAACCTCTGCCTCCCGGGTTCAAGCGATTCTCCTGCCTCAGCCTCCCTAGTAGCTGAGACTACAGTTGTGCACCACCGTGCATTGCTAATTTTTGTATTTTTAGTAGAGTCAGGGTTTCGCCATGTTGGCCAGACTGGTCTCGAACTCCTGGCCTCATGTGCTCCACCTACCTGGGCCTCCCACAGTGTTGAGATTATAGGTGTGAACCATGTACCCGGCCTCATTTCACTAATTTTTAGCATACATGTGTTTATTCCCTTCTCTTATTGTTCTTTTGATGACCATAAATTTTAAAGTGATATTCTCTGTTTTTATTACTGGTACTGATAAATTATGCCTCTAGACTACTTTAGGGCAGGGAGTGTTGTGCATTTATTTTTCATTTTATTAACCCACACCGTCAGCATTTTGACGAGTATGTATTAGTCTTTTCAAAAGACCCACCTTTGATTTAATTATCCATACTATATTTTATATTTCATTATCTGCTATTTTATTTAAGATTACAACTCTCTTCTTTGAACAAAATGCTTGAATCATTGATTTTCAGCTTTTCTTTTATCATAGATGCATGAATGTCTGCAAATGTTTCTCTTTTGGATGTGTTCGGTGACTTTCACATCCTTAAGTATCTGTTTTTTGTGTGCATGCACTCAGTGGAATATATGTCCTACCTTAATCATTCCTTTATGATACATGTTTTATGTTTAAATGCATTGCTAATTACTAAACATTTTCGAATTTTAAAAGTTATTGTTTTGTACTTAATTTCTGGATTAATTCCATAATGGTAAGAAAACCTACTCATTATGATTTCAGTTCTTCAACATTACTAAGTTTTCTTTATAGCCTGCTGTTCAGCATAAAAGTTTGCTAAGTGCTCCTTGTGCAGTTGACAAGCGTGAATGCTGGAGTCATATGTTCACTTTTGACATTATTGTCTTACATTTCTTAATGACATTCCAATTTTCTATTTCCTTACTGACATTTTTAGTCTGCTTTTCTTACTATTTTGTGTTAGCTGCTTTGAATTTCTTTAAGATTTTAAGGCTACGAAGCTATGTTATGTACATAGCAGTATAAAATTGTAATATTTCCACAATGAATTGATTCATTATTGTGAAATGTCCTACCTTAACTCTAGCTGTGCTTCTTGGTTTCAAGAAGACGTTAGGTTGCTTTAGTATAAAGGCACCCATTTCCTTAGGTTACTAATCATAAATACCTTTTTATATACTTTTTACTTACAACATCCTTATTTTGAAAGTCGAACAGAAATGATTTATGTATATGTGTATATATGTAAATCTTTGCCTTTTAATTTCAGCATGTGATACATTTGTTTTTAATATCATGATTAATACCAACTTACTATTCTTTTTCCACTGAGGCCACTTTTCTATGTTACTTTTTTTCTACTTTCTTGTCTCTTTTTGATTAATCTATTACTTTCATTTTTATATTATTATTAACTATAGTCCCCATGTTGAATAATATATCTCTTGAATTTGTTCCTCCTAATCAATTATTTATCATTTCTTTTGCAATTTTATTAATGTGATAATTAGACTATTGCTATTTCTTTATTATTTTAGTAGACATAAAGTTTATCCTAACTTACCTTAGTCTAAAACAAATTAGGACTTTTTCTTCCTTCCAAAAAATAAAAGACTCTTGGAATATTTTAATTGTATTACTTTCACTTTTGCCACACTAGATATTAAGTATATGTATATATACACATATATACATGTATATATATATAAACACATGTATATACACATGTATATATATATACATAAGTATACATATATATACACACACAAATACATATATATATGTACACACACAAACACTCCACCAGACATTAGTATTCTTATTTTAATACAGTCAGTATTTATTTAGATGTATCTGTAGCTTTATCTTTTATATTACATTTAATTCTTTCTTTATCCTTGATTAGTAATTTTGAATCATTTTTCTTCTACCTGATGGATGTTCTTTTTAGTAATTTCAGGGCAGACCCAATGAAGACAGTGCTCCCAAAGTTTTTTGTCTGTCTGAGAATGTCTTCAGCCTTCTTTAATTTTGAAAGATACTTTCATTAGTTTGGAATACTGGATTTCCAGTTTTTGTTTCTTCACACTTTGAAGGTGACACTCAAATATTTTACAATTTTCAAAAGCAGTGGTGGCATCTGGAACTGGTCTGCACTTACTGTTAGACTCAGTGTCGTTTAAGGCTGGCCTGGCAAGGAAGCAACTAGGCTTTGCTGTCTTCCTGTTAGATGCACGCACTCACACCCCACACCACCACCAGCAAAGCCCACTCTACAGCCATGGGAAGGTGAGACACAAGAGCTCACTTTATAATTTTGTGTCTGAGCGTGGGCAAAACCAAAGTCACTGTGCAACCCACAAAATACCAAACACAATCCTCTACTGGCTAATATGACTGCTCTGCTTTGCAAATTGAAGCTCTATTTTCATTCTAGGCGTTCCTCTTCCTAGGTAAGATTTACTGAAATAACCAGTCATAGAATGGTCCTTACTTCCTAAGAGCACCCAATGCATAGTGAGTGCCTGCTTCCTTGGATGGTCTCCAAAATCATCCCATCAAAGTCCTCCCTAATACTCACTACTGAAAAGCCAGCTGACTTCCCATGATGAGTGTCCTTGCTCACTGAAAAGAACAATAAACCCAATTTGTTCAACTACAGGTGTGTTCCTGGTGATATATGACTGAGTGGCATTGAAATCATAATTTCTTGTAATAAAGTCATGGTTCATTTGATTGTTTATCTTTTCATTGTAATCTGCCTTTTATCTCAGGCTTTTAGATGTTTTTCTTTGTACTTATTTTATGCATTCTTACCACATTGGACCTAAATGTGTTTTTCTGTTTATTTACCTTGCTTGAAGTTTGCAGAATTCTTCAGTATGTGAGTTTCTGACTTTAATGAGTTTTAGAACATTCTTATTCATTATCTTTTCAAACATTGCTTTTGCTCCGTAGTCCCTGTCCTCTCTTCTTAAATAGCAAATACACGAGTCAGATTTATTCAGCATGCTCCTCATGCCTCTTGCAATGTTTCTGAATTGTTCTCATATTTTTTTCTTGGCACTTTAGTTTGTATGTGTACTACTGACCTGTGTTCCAGTAAACTGGTCCTATTTCCTTCTGTGTGTTGGGGGGTCTCCAGTGTCACTGGACTCAGACAAGTTGGTAATTGATGCACGGTGAACATGTTTCATGAGCCTCTTCAGCAATTTGTTTTTCATTTTTTTTTATTTCACTCAATCCTTTTTAGGTGATCTTTCTCTTCTGGAGCAAGTTATGCCTTCTTAATTTTTCCCTTCCAATGCATATTAATTGTTAGTTTACACATGTTAATAATTTACTCTAAAAATAAAACTTTTTATAGTTTTGCTATTTTACTATAATCTTATTCATCCATATGTTCTACTACCTCTTTCATTTTCTTTCCTATAGCTTATGTCACTGTTTCTTTTTTGAGTGTTTACTGGAGTCAGACATTCCATTAATCTAATTTTCTTATACAAGGCTTATATTCTTGTAGAACATGTATTTTATGCTCTGTTTTCATTTGTATACTACTTTAGCTCTGTTCCAAGATTCTAAAACATGATGACTTCTTTATTGTTATTTTTCACATGGTCTAGTCACATTCCTATTTGGCCCACAGTTATGAAATGTTCCAAAATGCCCCAAATCTCTCTTTCTTTAGGAACAAAATACACTGGGGCTTCCACCGTCATATTGAAATTTACAATAGATTTTTGGATCTCTGGAGTGAGAGAGTACCTTAGTTTACTTTTGTTCTTTATATTTGTGTATGTCTTACTTTTTTACATTAAATATAACACTCTTTGGTAGAGTATTCTTTAATCATCATAATAGAACATTAAGCATAATTTTTATAGAAAGATTAATTGTTTAATAATTGTATTAGTTAGCCAGGATGGTCATAAGAAAATGCCACAGATTGCTTGGCTAAAACAACAAAAAACACTAGAAATTTATTTCTTTTTTTTTTTTTTTTTTTTTTTTTGAGACGGAGTCTCGCTCTGTCGCCCAGGCCGGACTGCGGACTGCAGTGGCGCAATCTCGGCTCACTGCAAGCTCCGCCTCCCGGGTTCACGCCATTCTCCTGCCTCAGCCTCCCGAGTAGCTGGGACTACAGGCGCCCGCCACCGCGCCCGGCTAATTTTTTGTATTTTTAGTAGAGACGGGGTTTCACCGTGTTAGCCAGGATGGTCTCGATCTCCTGACCTCATGATCCACCCGCCTCGGCCTCCCAAAGTGCTGGGATTACAGGCGTGAGCCACCGCGCCCGGCCTCCATTTCTTATCAGATCATAAAAGACTTAAGAAATTACCCTGAGTGGGTGGGAAGAAAAGGCCATTTTTTTTCCCTTTTTGTATTTTGTTTCTGCATAGAGAATCCTGTGGAAATTACATTTTTTATTCTTTTTTACTAGGCACATTCCACTAATAGATAGTTTGTGATATGTAAAGCTTATTTCCAAAGCTCTCCAACATCCTTGTTTATTGAATCTTCTTCCCTTCAGAGGTAATTACTGCTACCTTTTCTCCTGAGGCAGCCACTTACCACTGTTCAATTTCTATACTTAACCCCTTCCAGAATTGACCATGAAATATTCATCCCCAAGTATAATAGAGTAGCACTTGAGTGTAAGTCTTTATCACTTGCTATTGCCCTTCTTTACATCTGATACTTGCATTAATTGAAATCAAACTCCTAGCAGGGAAGAAAGCCCTGATATTACACCTTCAGATAATCTGCTATACAAAAAAAAAATTCCTTAAGGGGGATCAGTTCTCTCCAATAGCTTTAATATATATTCTTCACACAAAGTCTATTTATTTGGTAAAATGCAAATTATATTAGAATATTATTTTAATTTGTTTCCTTTTTTATTCTATGTTTTGAATGGATATTAAAGATAGAAATTTTATTTCATACTTTGTGGTATTTCTACAACCTAAAATAAGACTGATACATAGAAGACACTCAATAATAATTTATTAATGAATGAATAAATGTAAAACCTCATTCCTTTAAAAGTAATTAAAATTTTCAATTGTGTAGAAGAAAAAAATTAAAATTGCATAGGGTGTCAGGGATTCTCAATACAACACGAAGGCTCACTGACTCACTAGAAGGACTCACAGGCTTCAGAAAAGCTATTAAATTCAAATTAATTCTCCCAGCAATTGATATGGACCGGACACAGAAATACTGGGTTGAAGAGGGTAGTTCCCTGGCAAAGGCCCGGCCTTCAATCCTGGAAACCTGTGGCCCTAAGTGAGAACAGACATTCTTGTTTTTGTTCCCAAAAGTTACCTTTTGGCCTGTCGTGACCCCCATCCTATACTCACATAAACCCCAGACCCCAAGCTCTAGAAGCAGATGAGAAGGAGACAAACAGAAGAGCCGGAGAACAGCAGAGCGGCTCAGCAGAAAGAAGAGAAAGAGCATCTGAATGCTGAGAGGAGTTTGGCTGTTGGCGGTCAGAGAGGAGATCGGCCACCGGACAGCCAAATTCCTAGGGAAGATCATCTTCCCAGCTCCATCCCCTTCCAGCTCCCCATCCATCCTGATGAGCGCCACCTCCACCACTCAGTAAAACCCCTGCGTTCACCATCTCCACATTCATGTGTGACCTGATTCTTCCTGGATATCGGACAAAGACCTGGGTACCAAGAGGGCACTGAGCTGGTGAACACTTAAGCCGTCTGTGGAAGGCAAAGCTAAAAGAGCACACGGTTAAGACAGGCCACATCCACGTGGGCTTTGGGAGTCGCAGGCACTCACCTCTAGATGCTACCATGGGGCTGGAGCCCCAGAGCACTTGTCTCAGCTCATGTACCTGCCAGTCTGCACGCTCCCCCTCCTGTAAGGGGTTTGAGTGTGCAAAGGGGTCATTAGGTTACGGTATTTAAACATATGGCTCGTTGCCTATTGTATTCAGAAAACACAACTGCTAAAATGAAGAACCCTAATGTATCTGTAATAGTTTTCCTCTCTTTATCTCTGTAATTAATGCCAAAGCTGAAAACAAAACAAAACAAAACAAAAAATGCTATGCTACCGCCCCTATTAAGCAGTCTGGAGAACACAGGTTTACTTTGCTCCAGTTTCCTTGATTTTTCTGTCTCTGTCCACAGTTTCTCATGAATGAGGAGGTAACATGCCATCAAGTGATGGTTGCTATGAAAGTTGCAAGCCCCTTGGACATACCCCACTGAGTTGCCTTGACCATATCACTTAAAAGAGTTACTAGAGTTAAACATTTCATTGCCTGCGCTATAGCAACAGTTTTTGAAAGATGGCTAGGTTGTCACTAACAGACATTACCTTGCTTGACATAAAATTTATGTTTCATAGCTGAAGATAGTTACATATCTATCAAAACAGCTGTAGTAACAGAAAGTTAGCAGAGTGATAGCAGTTATCAGTTTTGTATTTTTAAAGCTACTGTCAGGACCTTTTATCCGAGAAAATTTCTTCCTAGCTATAGATTTTTTCCCTTAATGGCCACTCCCTTCTTTGCTAAATTATTGTGTATACATAACCTAAGATAACTATATCGGGGTAGAAAACTAACTCATTTGGTGACAGAGATAGAATGTGTGGTCTATGCCCATGGCCTGTCTTTCACCTGAATTGTTATCTTGTATAGAGTTATTTAAAAGATTACTATTACCATTGGCCCCTTTTAAGCTGTGAATTTTGTATAAATCTTTCTTCAGGGTTTCTCTTTCATTGGCTCACATAGTTGAAGAAAATATTGATGTTCAGGACTGCAAATGTTTTCTTGTTTTTGGCTTATGTCGTAAATCTCATAGTGTACATTTGGCTTTTCACTTAGTGACACAAAACAATATTCATTCTGTGTCTTATAACTTGCACTTGCCCCCTCACTACTTTAGATTCCCTTCCATATCTGAAACATATTAAACTTTGCCCACTATGCGTCAGGTTTCTTGATAGATGGGTGATATTTCAGTGAAGTTGAGCACTGAAGGTGCCTAGCTATACTCTGGTTAAGTCAAGAACTGTATTGCTTTCTCCAAAATGTCTAGCATATTATGTGTCAAATACATCTTGGCCTAACTCTTTAGAGAATATTAGTTGCTGAATTACTTTCATCTCATGATATAATATTTTTATTATGCTGATGATTTTGATGGGAAGCTAGTTTCTCACTTTAAGGAAGAACTTAAACATTTTCAGTTCAATTTATGTGAGTGCAGCATTTCTCATGTCAGAAAACAATAGGTGGATTAACAGAAAAGTTAGCAGGTTGTTTTAGAAACTGTATTGTTAAAATACTTCCAGAATGGAAACTTTGGGGATCTTGGATGCTGTCATCTTTATTGAAACAAATAGCTTTAAAGCTCACAAATATATACTACACGCACACACACACAGTCACCCACCCAATACTGTTGCTACTAATTGCCACATTTAGTCACTAGGGATAGACTAATGAAACTTTTTATTAACACAATAGAAGCACTATCTACAAAACAATCTGTTTAATTCAAAGTAAAAGCTCATTTGCCTGATGTGTCTCAGAAGGGAAACAAGAAACTTGGAAATAGTAACTTGCCAAATACTAAATGGATGGACACATTCTGTCACGAGATTTCTGAAGCTCTCAAGATTGGAAATGTTTAAACACAGTCAAATTTATTTCATTGGTAAAGTTACTTTGAAAAGATCAGGTAGGATAATTCTTATTTGCAGGCACATAAAAAAGTATCTTGGGAATTCAACTGATATTTAGTATTAATACAAGATTTGTGGAATAAAAGAAAAGATGTGTAAAATAAAAATATGTGTTGCATTCAGAGTGTCTATACATAAAAACACACATATATCATGTATATGTTTTGATATAGGTTTATATTTTTAAAGAAAATAAGCAAAAAGTATTATTTATAATATTTCAACCCACAGTTTATAATTTTCAAAGTTGAGCTTAAAATTTTAAATGAAATGAATTCTGTGAAAAAAACTATAGGTGAAGCATTTAATCAATTAATATACAAATGTGCAAGAGATTAGTACAAATTAATTTTAACATATTTGCAACAGTTTTCCAAAATCCATACATTATCATAAACTGCAGACTTCCTCAGTTACGATGGTTCAATTTATTTTTTTTGACTTTACAATAGTATGAATGTCATCTGCATGCAGTGATACACATTTAAAAACATACTTAGAGTACCCATAAAATCATTCTGTTGTTTACTTTCAGTTCACTATTCAATAAATTGCATGAGATATTCAGCACTTTATTATAAAATAGCCTTTGTGTTAGATAATTTTGCCCAAATATTAATGCAAGTGTTCCGAGGATGTTTATGATAGGCTATGCAAAGGTGTAATGTTTGTAAGTTAGGTGTATTAAGTGCATTTTTGACTTACAGTATTTTCAACTTACGATGGGTTTCTGCGATGTAACTCCACCATAAGTCAAGGAGTATCTGTATTCATGTAACAGAAATAACAGATTTATTTTAAAAACAACCACCATTATAAAAGGAAAGACTATACCTCTTAAAATTCTTAAGCACTAATGTATATTTTATGAGAAAAGAAATGATCATGCCAAACAAATTAAATGTCTCAAACAAATTAAACTGTTTTTTATTTTAACAAATAAGCATATATTTCAAGTTTTAAGCCTGATTAAGTCATATGGTACCAAAGTTAGTTTTTAACAAATTGTCTAAAGACAACATATATTTTAATTTTATTACGTGTTTTTTACAACTTACAAATCAAAACCTAGTGAACATATTTGCTTCCGGTCAATATGGAATATAGAGACCAAATATAGTCAACTGTTAAAAACAACTAAAATCTGGGCAACATATTTCAAACAGTGTTGTTTTAAGATGCTGAATATCAGTAAATGAAGGACAGTGATTCTTGACAGACAAGAAACAAATGAAGCAAGTTCTCTGTTTGTCTCAGCTTATTGCCTTGAGAGAATTTTCATGCTGTAGGACAGGGAGAAGAAACCCAAATTGAACCCCTATAGTTTTTTTCACAGAATTCATTTCATTTAAAATTTTAAGCTCAACTTTGAAAATTGTAAACTGTGGATTGAAATATTAGAAAGTATAAAGAATACTTTTTGCTTATTATTTTCTTTAAAAATATAAACCTATATCAAAATATATAAATGACATGTGTGTGTTTTTATGTATAGACACTCTGAATGCAACACATTTTTTGTACACTACATCTTTTCTTTTATTCCACAAATCTTGTATTAATACTAAATATCAGTTGAATTCCCAAGATACTTTTTTATGTGCCTGCAAATAAGGATTATCCTACCTGATCTTTTCAAAGTAATTTTAATAATGAAATAAATTTGACTTTGTTTAAACATTTCCAATATTGAGAGCTTCAGAAATCTCATGACAGAATGTGTCCATCTATTTAGTATTTGGCAAGTTACAATTTCCAAGCTTGGAATATAGTAGTTGGAATTGAGACCTTAGGGAGTTCAAGAAAGCTTGAGGTCATAGGACAAATCACCAGAGAGGAGTGAGAACTGCATAGCTCTGAGAAGGGTCTCTATCAAAAATTCAGTGGTGTATACATAGGAGAAGACAACCCAAATATGGAGAAGTGAACACATCTGAATTGAGTTACAGGTAACAGTACCGGTGACATAGAGGTCCAGGAACTGTTTCTTTTTCTAGACTGAAAAACTTCATGATGCACAAAGCATGGGCTCAGTAATTAGCTCTAAACTAAATGCTATTCTGGTCAACCCTTAATAAATCTTAACAATACTGTCAGAAAGAATCAAGTGGTTCCAAAGAACTTAAATGAGTCCCAAAATAAAACTATTCAGTACCTAAAAAAATTAAATACAATGCCTCAAATCCAATGAAAAAATATTAGACATGGCGAGAAGCAGAAAAATAAGTTCGATGATGAGAAAAAACAACCAAAATACTGAAACTGAAGTTAGAGTTAGAAGACAAGGATCTTATACCAAATATGCAACTGCATTATATATGTCTGATATGTTGAAAACAGAAAATGAAGACTACAGAAGATCCAAATTAAAATTCGAGAAATGAAAACTACGAAATATGTGATGAAAACTTTTCTACCCATTAGACATTGCAGAAGAAAATATTAGTAAAATTATTGAAATACAGTAGTTGACACTATTCTAATAACAGAAATGATTCAGAAAGAAAAAAATACAATACAAAGGGTGAAAAGAACATAAGTAAGCTGTGAGATGACCTCAAACAGAAAAATATGTATGCAATTTTATCCCCAGAAGATACTGATAGTGGCAGGAGGCAGACAAATTCCTAGGCAGAAAGGAGCAGGTCCCCAGTGAAGCCCAACCTTCAAGCCAAAAGACAGCCTGAAGCCTGAAATCCAGGCTGCTAGTTCTGGGTAGAGTCCACGTGCTGAAGTGGGAACTTCCTTGACGTCTTTTAGCCAATCAAATGGTGCTTTTTCCAGGCCTGCCCATGGACCAATCAGCACACACTCTCCCATTCTCAGCCCATAATAACCCGGGACTCAGCCACATGATGGGACCACCCACCTTCATTCAGGACGGGGCTACCCACACTTTGGGTCACCTCTCCGCTGAAAGCTGCTTTGTAGCTCAATAAAACTCTTCTCCACCTTGCTCACTCTGGTTATCCACATAACCTCATTCTTTTTGGATGCAGAACAAGAACCTGGGATCTGCCAAATGGTGGGTGCCAAAAAAGCTGTAACAATGTAGCCCTCCTTCCCTCCACCGGTGCTGTGCGGCTGCCCCACATGATGGGAAGTGGCAGCAGGGCCAGGCCAGCCCAGGAGCCACGGGAGAGAACTGGGTGGCAGGATCAAACGAGATATAACATGAGCGAGCTGAAACATACCCGCCTTGATTGCCGTTCTGTAAACAACGGTAACGAACGAGCTGTGACACACTGTAACACACCCTTGGGGCTCCATAGTTGCTGGTGTCTCCAAGATTTCAGGCTCCACTGCGTTCCCCTCATCCAGACTCTGGCACTCAAGGTGGAAGCCACTTGAGGTATGAGTGGTCCAGCCGCAGTCTCACAGGGAGCCGGCACCAGTGCCAGCACCTGGAGCTGCCTGCCCCACTTTGCCTGGCTGTACACTCTGGCTGGCTGGACCCTGTGCTCACTCACTCACACAACCCTTGCCACTCTTTTGCCTAGCTCACCCTCAGCAGGCATGGGATCTGTGCCAGTAGTGCAAGCCGAGTGCTGCCTGCCAGGCCAAGAGTCCAGCAGTACCGAGTAAAACTCAAGCAGAAGCACTGCCAGCCACAGAGCTTTCAGGCAGGTGAAGTGGCACCTAAATAATCCTGTGTCAATAGAAGAAGGGTACAGATAAAAACAATTTTTAATAAAAAACTACTTTAAGTTTCCAATCTGATAACATCTTCTTGGGAAGAAAATGCTCATGAGCATTAATTTTTCATTGTGTCTCCTCTTGTAATTGTCAGGTTATTTTAGGCCTGGTGAACTCCCAGCATCTTTTGTTTAATTAAATTAAACAATTCCTATTATGTCAATTTACCCTCATCTTCTATTCATCAGCTAAAATCTGCTGTCAGAGAACATTGAAATTGACATAATTTGTTTTTAAATCTATCAAAAATTAATATTTTGACTTAGATCTGTGCATTTTTCTGTCAAGGCAGAATATACATAGGTCAATATTTTATTTTAACCTAAAATGAGTTAGACAATTTTTAATCCGGACTGATTCAGGCCTTCAATTTAGTGAATAAGAAATGGTTTCTTCATAACTATCAAATTGTTGTGAATTTAAATACTCTGAAAGCGAATTATTTTGTCCTGCATAAGTGACGTACAGGTATCTCTGTCTTAAAAACGTATTTAAACAAAATTGGTTCCCAACCTTCCAAATATAGTGAAAATACACGGATTTGAGAACATCGGTAAACTCAAAGCTCAAGAAACATGAACATTACAGTAATTTCATAATAATCAAGTAGCCCCAAACTATTGATTAAAATATATAATGGAGGCAACCAGAGTTCCAAATTCACATATGTTATAGAAGAAAAATGTCAAAGATTACATCAGGTTTCTCATCAGAAAAAATGAAAGTAAAATGACAGTGGAGGAATGACATAAAAAGACTGTCAATGTACAATGTTATAGCAGTGAAAATATCTTGCAGAAATAAAAGCAAATAAAGCTTTTTTTCAGATGTAAAAAATCAGAAAGTATCCATCACTAGTAAACACACTACAATGCTAAAGAACTACATCAAGTAAAAGGGAAATGATATCAGATGACAATATGTATCTATACAGAGAAATAAGAAGCATCAAAAATGGTAACTGCGGGTGTAAATAACAATGTAATCAGTGTTCTAAAACAAATGCAAAAGGAACTGTATGAAAAATACCCAGTGGCTGGGAGGAAGCAGATGGAAGTGAACCATTTTAAGGTATTTATACCACATGAGAAATGATAATATCATTTGCAGGGTAGACGGCCACAAATTAAAGGCCTGTACTATGAACATTAAATAAACCTATCATTAAATTAACAAAACAAAAATTATAACTAGTAAACCTACAAAAAATAAAATAAAATGCAATTATAAAAATTATCCAATTCCCCAAAAAAGGCAGAAAAAGAGTAAAAGGAGAATGAAAAGCAGATAGGACAAATAGAAAGCAAATAGCAAGATAATATAATTAAAATTAAATAAATAATAATCAAATTATAATTTAACGAACTTAACACCTCCATCAAAAGGAAAAGACTGTAATATTGGATTAAAAATAACCAACTCTATGTTGCCTACCAGAAACACACTATAAATATATAGAAAATTAGTTTAAAAGTAAAGAGATGGAGAAAGATTTACTATGCTATATTAGTTTTCCATTGATGTTTAACATATTACCACAAAGTTAGCAGCCTAAAACATCAGTAATTCATCAGCTCACAGTTCTGGAGCTCAGAAGTCCAGGTATGAAGTGGCTTAGTACTCTTCTCAGTATCTCAGAAGGCTAAAATTAAGATGTTGGCCTGCTATGTCCTTATCTGGAGGCTAAAGGAATAGATTCATCTATAAGCTACTGGAGGGTTTTGGCAGAGTTCAGTTCTTTGCGGCTGAAGGACTAAGTTCTTGTTGTCCTGTGGATAGAGATTGTACTCAGATCCTAGGGCCACCCACACTTTCTTCCTATATTGTCCCGATTTATAGATCCTCTCCTGCCTCCCATATCTCTGACTTCAGGAAGGCCCCAGTGCCTTTTAAGCAAGGCTCACTCATGATGAAGTCAAAGTCAATTTGTTCATAACCTAATCACAGGAATGATATACCATCTGGTTCACAGGTTTATTCATACTCAAGAGGAGGGGATTACACAGGGCATGCCCATGAAGGGAACCAAATCATCTTATCATTTTGCCTATCATAGCCCACTCTCTGGCTCCCAAGCATTCATATTCCTCCAAAATGAAAAATAAGTCCATTCAATTCCAGTGTTCTCAAGTTTCATCTCATCACAGTGTCAGCTCTTATGCAAAATCTCTTATCTAAATCTAATCACATCTCATCACCACAAAATACAAAATCTCATCTAAATTGTCAGTTCAAATTTCAAAAACCTTGTTATAGAAGTCATTCAAATCCACTAACTACCACTGCTGGTATACAATTATTCTCCATCTGTGGACATATGAAATTAGAGAGCCAAGTTATCTGTCCTCAAAACTTGCAACATACAGTGCTGGCAATGCATGTGTTTAAACCCACAGTCATTTTAGTTCAAAAGGGGGAGAACAGAAGAAAAAACACACTTAATGTGCAAAGCAGTTGTGAAATCCAACCAGAAAAAAAAATGGGTTTCTTAGTTAGGTTTCAAGACCTAGGGATAATTTTCTATGGCTCTTGGCTGCATCATCTAGGTTCTACCCTTTTAGTAACCCTTCCATTGTTCATGAAGGTTAACTCATTCATAGTTGAGTAGCTTTATTAGCCTTCTTCCTGATCAGCCAGTTGGGGGTCCATCAGCTTATTTTCCTCATTTACTCTCTTTTCCTTTTAGGATACTTCATTCGATGAAAGCCATGTCCAGAGATCTTTTCGTGATAACTCCTTCTCTATCTTTGGCTCCTGGAGAGATGGCTGAGAGATAATGTCCTTAATACTCCTATAGCCTCTCTGGTTTGATTGAAGGAATCTGAACAGAACAGCTTCAATCTCTTGAATGAGCCCGTTTTTGTGACTGAATACTTTGACCTTTTGGTATTTCTAAGGTTTTTGCAAAAGATTGCTCAAAGAGAACTCAACTTTTTCTTTAAACCACACTGTTTTAATTTCAGTAACTTTTACTATTTGGAGAGGCTGTGATTTTTTTCAGAATCATTCAGTTCTGGTTGCTTGTGTTAAACAATTATTTTCTTAATTTACCTCCTTTTACTATGAGCATCAAGAAGGAACAAGGGAACACTTTAACACTTTGTTTGTGAAACTCCTTAGCAAGATAACCAAGTTCATAAATTATCTTAAAAATTCTGCTTTCTACATAACTAGAAGTCATTTTGTAAAGCTTTCTGTGACTACATAATGAGGATTTCTCTTTCTCCAGTTTCAAAAAAATTGAACATAGATTTTTGTAATTTCTATTTCAAATATTTTCTTGAAATGGAAAATTTTAAAATGCACATTTTTTAAACCAACATTTATTGAAGGATAGTATGAAAAACTTTCAGGGAATTACTTTTCATTAGTAGTTTGAGCAATTTGGGTAGAATTGGTGAGAGACTGGTGGATGTCCCATCATTGATGATAATTGTTTGTATAATTGTGTTAGTTGTGGATATAGTGTATTCTTCTCATCTGCCATTCACCACACATGCGGCAGCTGATTTAATCATCATATTAGGCAAATGACAGTGTGGACATTTATCCCAAACCCATATATTTTTGTGGCTAAACTTCTGTCAATGTTAACTATTTTATTTTGTGTTAGTAGCAATAGCAGTAAAATCTCAGTAGCATTTTTTTTTTTTTTGATAAGGTTTCTAGGTCTGTTGCCCAGGCTGGAGTGCAGTGGCGCGATCTCCGCTCACTGCAAGCTCCACCTCCCAGGTTCACACAATTCTCCTGCCTCAGCCTCCTGAGTAGCTGGGACTGCAGGTGCCCGCCACCACACCTGGCTAATTTTTTGTATTTTTAGTAGAGATGGGGTTTCACCATGTTAGCCAGGATGGTCTTGATCTCCTGACCTCTTGATCCACCCGCCTCAGCCTCCCAAAGTGCTGGGATTACAGGCATGAGCCACCGCGCCCGGCCTTCAATTTTATTATTATTATTATTATACTTTAAGTTCTAGGGTACATGTGCACAACATGCAGCTTTGTTACATAGGTATACATGTGCCATGTTAGTTTGCTGCACCCATCAATTCATCATTTACATTAGGTATTTCTCCTAATGCTATCGCTCTCCCAGCCCCCTACCCCATGAAAGGCCCTGGTGTGTGATGTTCCGCACCCTGTGTCCATGTGTTCTTGTTGTCCAACTTCCACCTATGAGTGAGAACATGCGGTGTTTGGTTTTCTGTCCTTGTGATAGTTTGGTTAGAATGACGGTTTCCAGCTTCATCCACATCCCTGCAAAGGACATGAACTCGTCGATTTTTATGGCTTCATAGTGTTCCATGTTGTATATGTGCCACATTTTCTTAATCCAGTCTATCATTGATGGACTTGGGTTGGTTCCAAGTCTTTGCTATTGTGAATAGTGCCGCAATAAGCATACGTGTGCATGTGTCTTTATAGTAGCATGATTTATAATCCTTTGAGTATATAGCCAGTAATGAGATCACTAGGTCAAATGGTATTTCTAGTTCTACATCCTTGAGGAATTGCCACACTGTCTTCTACAATGGTTGAAATAATTTACACTCCCACCAGCAGTGTAGAAGTGTTCCTATTTCTCCATATCCTCTCTAGCATCTGTTGTTTCTTGACTTTTTAATGATCGCCATTCTAACTTGTGTGAGATGGTATCTCATTGTGGTTTTGATTTGCATTTCTCTGAAGACCAGTGATGAAGAGCATTTTTTCATATGTCTGTTGGCTGCATAAATGTCTTCTTTTGAGAAGTGTCTGTTCATATCCTTGCCCACTTTTTGATGGGGTTGTTTGCATTTGTCTTGTATATTTGTTTAAGTCTTTTTAGATTCTGGATATTAGCCCTTTGTCACATGGTTAGATTGCAAAGATTTTCTCCCATTCTGTAGGTCGACTGTTCACTCTGATGATAGTTTCTTTTGCTGTGCAGAAGCTCTTTAGTTTAGTTAGATCCTTTTTGTCCATTTTGGCTTTTGTTGCCATTGCTTTCGGTGTTTTAGTCATGAAGTCTTTGCCCATGCCTATGTCCTGAATGGTATTGCCTAGGTTTTCTTCTAGGGTTTTTTATGCTGTTAGGTCTTACATTTAAGTCTTTAATCCATCTTGAGTTAATTTTTGTATACGGTGTAAGGAAGGGATCTAGTTTCAGCTTTCTACATGTGGGTAGCCAGTTTTCCCAGCACCATTTATTAAATAAGGAATCCTTTCCCCGTTGCTTGCTTTTATCAGGTTTGTCAAAGATCAGATGGTTGTAGGTGTGTGGTGTTATTTCTGAGGCCTCTGTTCTGTTCCATTGGTCTATATATCTGTTTTGGTACAAGTACCATGCTGTTTTGGTTACCGTAGCCATGTAGTAGAGTTTGAAGTCAGGTAGAGTGATGCCTCCAACTTTGTTCTTTTTACTTAGGATTGTCTTGGCAATGTGGGCTTTTTTTTTTGGTTCCATATGAAGTTTAAAGTATTTTTTTTCCAATTCTGTGAAGAAAATCAGTGGTAGCTTGATGAGAACAGCATTGAATCTACAAATTACCTTGGGCAGTGTGGCCATTTTCACAATATTGATTCTTCCTACCCATGAACATGGAATGTTCTTCCATTTGTTTGTGTCCTCTTTTATTTCGTTGAGCAGTGGTTTGTAGCTCTCCTTGAAGAGGTCCTTCACATCCCTTGTAAGTTGGATTCCTAGGTATTTTATTCTCTTTGTAGTAATTGTGAATGTGAGTTCACTCATGATTTGGCTCTCTGTTTGTCTGTTATTGGTGTATACAAATGCTTGTGATTTTTGCACATTGATTTTGTATCCTGAGATTTTGCTGAAGTTGCTTAACAGCTTAAGGAGATTTTGGGCTGAGATAATGGGGTTTTCTAAATATATAATCATGTCATCTGCAAACAGAGACAACTTTACTTCCTGTTTTCCTAATTGAATTCCCTTTATTTCCTTCTCTTGCCTGATTGCCCTAGCCAGAAATTCCAACACTATGTTGAATAGGAGTGGTGAGAGCGGGCATCCCTGTCTTGTGCCCGTTTTCAAAGGGAATGCTTCCAGTTTTTGCCCATTCAGTATGATATTGGCTGTGGGTTTGTCATAAATAGCTCTTGTTATTTTGAGATACATTGCATGAATACCTAGTTTATTGAGAGTTTTTAGCATGAAGGCTGTAGAATTTTGTTGAAGACCTTTTCTGCATTTATTGAAATAATCATGTGGTTTTTGTTATTGGTTCTGTTTATGTGACAGATTACATTTATTGATTTGCATATATTGAACCAGCCTTGCATCGGGGGATTAAGCTGACTTGATTAAGCTTTTTGATGTGCTGCTGGATTCAGTTTGCTAGTATTTTATTGAGGATTTTCGCACGATGTTCTTCAGGGATATTGGTCTAAATTTTTCTTTTTATTGTGTCTCTACCAGGCTTTGTTATCAGGATGATGCTAGCCTCATAAAATGAGTTGGGAGGATTCCCTCTTTTTCTATTGATTGAAATAGTTTCAGAAGGAATGGTACCAGCTCCTCTTTGTACCTCTGGTAGAAATCAGCTGTGAATCTGTCTGATCCTCGACCTTTTTTGGTTGGTAGGCTATTAATTATTGTCTCAATTTCAGATCCTGTTATTGGTCTATTCAGAGATTCAACTTCTTCCTGGTTTAGTCTTGGGAGGGTGTATGTGTCCAGGAATTTATCCATTTCTTCTAGATGTTCTAGTTTATTTGTGTAGAGTTGTTTATAGTATTCTCTGATGGTAGTTCATATTTCTGTGGGATCGGTGGTGATATCCCCTCCATCATTTTTTATTGCATCTATTTGATTCTTCTTTCTTTTCTTCTTTATTAGTCTTGCTAGTGGTCTATTAATTTTGTTGATCTTTTCAAAAAACCAGCTCCTGGATTCATTGATTTTTTTGAAGTTTTTTTTGTGTCTCTATCTCCTTTAGTTTTGCTGTGATCTTAGTTATTTCTTGCCTTCTGCTAGCTTTTGAAGGTGTTTGCTCTTGCTTCTCTAGTTCTTTTAATTGTAATGTTAGGGTGTCAATTTTAGATCTTTCCTGCTTTCTCTCATGGGCATTTAGTGCTATAAATTTCCCTCTACACACTGCTTTAAATGTGTCCCAGAGATTCTGGTATGTTGTGTCTTTGTTCTCATTGGTTTCAAAGAACATCTTTATGTCTTCCTTCATTTCATTATTTACCCAGTAGTCATTCAGGAGCAGGTTGTTCAGTTTCCATGCAGTTGTGTGGTTTTGAGTGAGTTTCTTAATCCTGAGTTCTAATTTAATTGCACTGTGGTCTCAGAGACAGTTTGTTGTGATTTCTGTTCTTTTACATTTGCTGAGGAGTGTTTTACTATCAGTTATGTGGTCAATTTTAGAATAAGTGTGATGTGGTGCTGAGAAGAATGTATATTCTGTTGATTTGGGGTGTAGAGTTCTGTAGGTGTCTATTAGGTCTGCTTGGTCCAGAACTGAGTTCAAGTCCTGAATATCCTTGTTAATATTCTGTCTCATTGATCTGTCTAATGTTGACAGTGGGGTGTCAAAGTCTCCCATTATTATTGTTTGGGAGGCTAAGTCTCTTTGTAGGTCTCTAAGGACTTGCTTTATGAATCTGGGTACTCCTGTATTGGGTGCATATATATTTAGGATAGTTAGCTCTTCTTGTTGAATTGATCCCTTTACCATTATGTAGTAGCCTTGTTTGTCTCTTTTGATCTTTGTTGGTTTAAAGTCTGTTTTATCAGAGACAAGGATTGCAACCCCTGTTTTTGTTTTTGTTTTTGTTTTTGTTTTCCATTTGCTTGGTAGGTCTTCCTCCATCCCTTAATTTTGAGCCTGTGTGCATCTTTGCAAGTCAGATCGGTCTCCTGAATATAGCATACCAATGGGTCTTGACTCTTCACCCAATTTGCCAGTCTTTGTCTGTTAATTGGGGCATTTAGCCCATTTACCTTTAAGGTTAATATTTTTATGTTTGAATTTGATCCTGTAATTACAATGTTAGCTGGTTATTTTGCCTGTTAATTGATGCAGTTTCTTCATAGCATCAGTGGTCTTTATCATTTGGCATGCTTTTGCAGTGGCTGTTACTGGTTTTTCCTTTCCATCTTTAGTGCTTCCTTCAGGAGCTCTTGTAAGGCAGGGCTGGTGATGACAAAATCTCTCCACATGTGCTTGTCTGTAAAGGATTTTATTTCTCCTTCACTTATGAAGCTTATTTGGCTGGATATAAGATTCTGGGTTGAAAATTCTTGTCTTTAAGAATGTTGAATATTGGACCCCACTATCTTCTGGCTTGTAGAGTTTCTGCTGAGATGATATCTGCTGTTAGTCTGATGGGTTTCCCTTTGTGGGTAACCTGACCTTTCTCTCTGGCTGCTCTTAACATTTTTTCCTTCATTTCAACCTTGGTGAATCTGAAAATTATGTGTCTTGGGGTTGCTGTTTTCAAGGAGTATCTTTGTGGTGTTCTCTTTATTTCCTGTATATGAATGTTGGCCTGCCTTGCTAGGTTAGGGAAGTTCTCCTGGATAATATCCTGAAAAGTGTTTTCTAACTTGGTTCCATTCTCCCTGTCACTTTCCAGTACACCAGTGAAATACACATTTGGTCTTTTCACATTGTCCCATATTTCTTGGAGGCTTTGTTTGTTTTTTTTCACTCTTTTTTCTTTAATCTTGTCTTCTTGCTTCACTTCATTAATTTGATCTTCAATCACTGATATCCTTTCTTCCACTTGATTGAATCGGCTATTGAAGCTTGTGCATGCATCACCAAGCTCTTGTGACATGGTTTTCAGAGCCATCAGGTCATTTAAGGTCTTCTCTACATGGTTTATTCTAGACAGCCATTCATCTAACATTTTTTCAAGGTTTTTAGCTTCCTTGCGATGGGTTAGAACATGCTCCTTTAGCTCAAAATAGTTTGTTATTACTGACCTTCTGAAGCCTACTTCTGTCAACTCATCAAATTCATTCTCCACCCAGTTTTATTCCCTTGCTGGCAAGGAGCTGTGACCCTTTGGAGGAGAAGAGGCACTCTGTTTTTTTGGAATTTTTGGCTTTTCTTCTCTGGTTTCTCCCCACCTTTGTGGTTTTATCTACCTTTGGTCCTTGATGTTGGTGACCTACAGATAGGGTTTT
This sequence comes from Homo sapiens, assembly GCF_000001405.40. Classification (NCBI taxonomy): domain Eukaryota; kingdom Metazoa; phylum Chordata; class Mammalia; order Primates; family Hominidae; genus Homo; species Homo sapiens. Next base: position 178,884,896 of record NC_000004.12, on the reverse strand, counting down.
GGTGTGGTTGTCCTTTTTGTTGATGTTGATGTTATTCTTTTCTGTTTGTTAGTTTTTCTTCTTATAGTCAGGTCTGTCAGCTGCAGGAGGTCTGTTGGAGTTTGCTGGAGGTCCACTCCAGACCCTGCTTGCCTGGGTATCACCAGTGGAGGCTGCAGAACAGCAAATATTGCTGCCTAATCCCTCCTCTGGAAGCATTGTCCCGTAGGGGTACCCACTTGTTTGAGGTGTCCATCAGCCCCTACTGGTAGGTGTTTCCCAGTCAGGCTACACAGGGGTCAGGGACCCACTTGAGGAGGCAGTCTGTCCATTCTCAGAGCTCGAACACTGGCTGAGAGAACCACTGCTCTCTTCAGAGCTGTCAGACAGGGACGTTTAAGTCTGCAGAAGCTGTCTGCTGCCTTTTGTTCTTCTATGCCTTGCTCCCAGAGGTGGAATCTATAGAGGCACTAGGCCTTGCTGAGCTATGGTGGGCTCTGCCCAGTTCGTGCTTCTGGGCCACTTTGTTTACATTGTAAGCTTCTCAAGCCTCAGCAATGGTGGACACCTAAACCCCCATCAAGCTGCAGTGTTGCAGGTCAATCTCAGACTACTGCACTGCAATGAGCAAGGCTCCGTGGGTGTGGAACCCACTGAGGCAGGCATGGGAGGGTATCTCCTGGTGTGCCAGTTGCTAAGAATGTGGGAAAAGCACAGTGTTTGGTCAGGGGTATACATTTTCTCCAGGTACAGTCTGTCACTGCTTCCCTTGGCTAGGAAAGGGAAATCCCCCAACGCCTTGCACTTCTGGGGTGAAGTGATGCCCCGCCCTGCTTCAGCTCACCCTCCATGGGTTGCACCCACTGTCCAACCAGCCCCAGTTAGATGAAACAGATATCTCAGTTGGAAATGCAGAAATCACCCATCTCTTTCATCGATCTCGCTGGGAGCTGCAGACTGGAGCTGTTACTATTTGGCTATCTTGGAAGCAAGGGCTCATCTTCTATTTTTATTGTATTCCCTTAACTTATACTCTATAAGGATAATCACTCAGATTATTTAAGTTAGAGAGAAGTTTACAGTGTGGTCAGCACAGCAAGACCCCATCACTACAAAAACTAAAAAAAAAAAATAAAAATTAGCTGGGTGTGACATCGTGTGCCTATAACCCCATGTACTCAGGAGGTTGAAGCAGGGGTGTTGCCTGAGCCCAGGGAGTTCAAGGCTGTAGTGAGCTATGATCACGCCACTGTACTTTAGCCTGGGTGACAGAGCAAGAATCCATATCAAAACAAACAAACAACAAAAAACCCAGAAATCTACATATGGTTGAATGTTTATTTATTTATTATGCTTCTTTAAAAACAATTTTTCAATATATACATATTTATGACCTCTTTTAATAATTCTCTGTGAGGATTTATAGAAATCAATATGTAACATTATATTAGTCTGTTCTCACATTGCTATAAAAAATTACCTGAGACTGGGTAATTTATAAATAAAAGAGGTTTAATTGGCTCACAATTCCACAGGCTGTACAGAAAGCATGGCTAGGAGGCCTCAGGAAACTCACAATCATGGCAGAAGACAAAGGGGAAGCAGGCATGTCTTACATGGTAGGAGCAGAAGAAACAGAGTGAACAGTGAGGTCCTACACACTTTTAAACAATGAGATCTCATGAGAACTCACTATCACAGGAACAGCAAGGGGGAAGCCCAGCCCCATGACCCAATCTCCTTGACCATACCCCTCCCTCAATATTGGGGATTACAGTTCTACGTGAGATTTTGGCAGGGACACAAATCTAAACCATATGATTCCACCCCTGACCCATCCACAATCTCATGTCCTTCTCACATTGCAAAATACAATTATCCCTTCTCAACAGTCCCCCAAGTCTTAATTCACTTCAGCAGTAACTCAAAAGTTTACCTCCAAAGTCTTGTCTGGGACAATGAAAGTCCCTTCTGCCTATGAGCCTGTAAAATAAAAAAAATCAAGTTGGCTACTTTAAGATAAAATGGGGGTACAGGCACTGGGCAAATACAATCCATTCCAAAAGGGACAAATCAGCCAAAACAAAGGGGCTACAAGTCCCATGCAAATCTGAAACCCAGCAGGACAGTCATTAAGTCTCAAAACTCCAAAATAATCTTTTTTGACTCCTTGTTTTACACCCAGGCCACACTGATGCAAGGCATGGGTTCCTAAAGTCTTGGGCATCTTCACCCTTTGACTCTGCAAGATACAGGTCCCGTCATCTGCTTTCATGGGCTGGCATTGAGTGCCTGCAGCTTTTCCAGAAGCATGGTTCAAGCTGTTGGTGGATCTAACATTCTGGGGTCTGGCGGACAGTGGCCCTCTTCTTACATCTCCACTAGGCAGTGCCCTAGTGGGGAATATGTGTTGGGGACTCCAACCCCACATTTTCCCTCTGCACTGCACTAGTAGAGGCTCTCTGTGAGGGCTCTGCCCCTGCAGCACACTTCTGCCTGGACATCCAGGCATTTCCATACCTCCTCTGAAATCTAGGCTGAGGCTCCCAAGCCTCAACTCTTGTCCTCTGTGCACCTGCAGGCTTAACACCACTTGGAAGCAAACAAGGTTGCAACTTTTACCCTCTGGAGCAGTGGACTGAGATATATCTGGGGCCCTTTTAGCCACAGCAGGAGCTGGAGCAGCTGGGATGCAGGGAGCAATGTCCTAAGGTTGTGCAGAGCAGCAGGGCTCTGATCGTGGTCCTGGCCCACTAAATCATTCTTCTCTCCTATGTGTCTGGGTCTGTGATAGGAGGGATTGCAGCAAAAGTCTCTGAAATGCCTTCAAGGTATTTTCCCCATTATCTTGACTATTTACATTTAGCACCTCTTTGCTCATGCAAATTTCTGCAGCCAGCTTGAATTCCTCCCCCAAGAATGGGATTTTCTTTTCTACTACATGATCAGGATGCAAATTTTTCAAACTTTTATGCTTTGCTTCCCTTTTAAATGTAAGTTTCTGCTCCAGGTAATTTATTTGCTTATGAATATAAACATACACTCTTAGAAGCAGCCAGGCCATATCTTGAAAACTTTGCTGCTTTGAAATTTCTTCTGCTACATACTTTAAATCATTTCTCTCAAGTTCAAAGTTCCACAGATATCTAAGGCAGGGACACAATGCCTCCAACCTCTTTGCTAATGTATAACAAAACTGACCTTTGCTTCTGTTCCCAATAAGTTCCTCATCTTCATCTGAGACCCCCTCAGCCTGGACTTCATTGTCTATATCACTATCAACATTTTGTTCACAAGAATTCAACACATCTCTAGGACATTCCAAATTTTTTGTCATCTTCCTATCTTCTTCTACACCCTCCAAACTGTTCCAACCTCTCCCCATTACCCGGTTTCAAAGTCTTTTCCACATTTTCAGGTGTCTTTATAGCAATGCCCCACTTCCAATACCAAATTTCTGTATTAGTTCATTCTTGCATTGCTATAACGAACTACCTCAAGCTAGGTAATTTATAAAGAAAAGAGGTTTAATTGGCTGACAGTTCCACAGGCTGTACAGGAAGCATGGCTGGGGAGGCCTCAGGAAACTTACAATTATGGCAGAAAGCAAAGGGGAAGCAGGTACATCTTACATGACTGGAGAAGGAACAAAAGAAAGCAAATGCGGTGGTGCTATACACTTTTAAACAACCAGATCTTGTGAGAACTCACTCACTATCATGAGAACAGCAAGGGGACAGTACACCCCCATGATCCAATCACCTTGACCAGGCCACTCACCCAACATTGGGGATTACAATTCTACATATGATTTAGGCAGGGACACAAATTCAAACCTTATCAAACATTATTCAACTTTCTTTTTTCAGAAATATTTCATATAAGCTTACATAATTTCTAATTTATTTATTTCTCATGTTCTTCAGTTTTGTGTCATGTACATTCCTACAGTGATGTATTTTGATTCTTGCTTTATGCTTCAGTATTTGGCATATGTTTTGTTTTATTATTCCAAAATTAATTCTTATTCTTATCAATTAATATAAAGACATATACACACACATAATATAAAAACTGTATTTTTTATTTAATCAAATCAATATAAATGCTGTAAATATGCCTATCATTAATATATATGTGGATTATGTAATGTTCGTAAAAGTAAGGCTGAAACATTAAAATACATTAGGCTACCTTCTGACTGATAATAATATGGCTATAATTTCTTGTAATGTAGAAATTCCTTTTGCTTTATATCTTGCTACCTGTAGGAGATATCATGAGATTCTACTTATTTTCATTTTCTAGAATTTACTAACTTTGTTCCTCTGTACTTTGAACATGAAACACAAAGTCTGAATGAGATCTATCATACTTAAGACTTATTTTACTATATTCTTTTTCAAAGTTTTTTTTAAGTTTTAAAATTTCTAAATAACTATACAAATATATGTTAATCAGTGTTTTGGGGAAAATACTTTTATAAATAACTGACAAGTTAAACTACTTTTTGAGTTATTACAGCTATTTTTCTTTAATAGTTCCAACTAAGATGACAAAATAATCATTAACAAAAATAATGACACTTCAATGAAGAAGATGACCATTCATATTTAGCTCAGTTTTTTTGGATAAAATTCAAAGAGCTTATGACAAGATGCCAATCAAGGGCATCAGTTCTCAACTGCAGTGATTCTAGTTTGGTGATATTATTGAGAAAAGTTTCCAATAAGCTTTTACTTACAGAATAAAAGTACATTCACTATTATTTCCATACAATTTAACAGTCACTCATGAATATTGCAAGACGTTTTAATATGTGAAAGTGGAAGGGGTGAGGTTACAATTACTCAACAAAATATAATATTCTATTTCAAGTTTGTTGAAGCCAATGATGACAAAAGGTTACATGTATGCCTTAAATAGAAAGGACATTGATTATCTTTGGCTTTTGAGTTATAGTTATTCTCATATTTTAAACTGACAATTGTGATTATGTGTTAGTAAGAAGAGGATAGCTGAAGGAAACAGTGAAATTACACATGTATGCAAAACTACCAAGAAGCATGGATATGCATATTTCTTTTAGTAACAATAAAAAGCTGTTACAAGCAAATCAAATGCACACCATAGTGCAAGTGAAAGCTTCAGATACAAGATTTATGTCAAATTTTATAGAGCTGTTAATAATAGTTATTATAGCATTTAATATTATTTACCTGTGTGATTATTCTTTAATAACTAACACACTTCGTTAGGCACATAAATATTACTTTTAGAGTAGTTCTAGAAAACACACATGGAAATCATTTTAACTTTATTTATTTTTTCTTGCGCTGACAAATTTAAGAATTTAAGATTTACTCAAGTGATAATGAAATCTATAAAATGCTGTTCCTCCATTAGGAAAAGTTGCCTGAGATGTTCTTAGACTAATTTCTTCATGTATTTTGCAGGAGCATATTGTCAAATATAGGCATATTTTTGGAAGTGTCTTGCAATTGAGAATATCTTTGAAAGGTGTCCTCACCAGAAGAGATTATGAACCATAGGTTATAAAGCACAGATATATAGCTGAAAGGTGATGTCAGGGTAGTAGGTAAAATATGTTGAATTCATAAAATTTTCAACAATTTTGATGAGAGTCATATGCCTCCTAAAGTAAATTATACTTAAGGATTCAACTAGAATCATTTGTTATCTCTTCCATATATGTATTTTTACTGATGCTCACATGATTTAAATCACTAAGTCTTGACTAGGCTGGTAGTAATTTGAGATTCATTCCTGCCTACAAAAACATAGGTCTTATTTTTCAATTAAAAAAAAAGCCCTAAACCTACATTTTAATGTAAAATAGAATAAAATATTTATTTGTTTACTTAAAATATTTGAACAAGCTGACGTCTTATAGACTTCAATCTTCCCTTTTTATGATTTGCTTCTAAAATAGAGGGTTAGGTAATTTCTTATCTAAGTTTCACTTTTTTGTATTAGATCTCAGCTGCCATATTCTTTGTAAGATTCTCTCATACTTTGTAAATTCTTTGCTTACATTTTAGCAACCTTTTATTGATTTCTGCAAATAAATAACAAGAAAGAACAGAATGGAGGTAGTAAAATGTTTTACAAAGTTTGTTCTCATCTGACTCTAATCAGGTATTCTAATACTAAAGCTGTGATGTAGTTTTCCCTGATTTGAGCCATTTCTTTCCCTTTGAATGTACCTACTCAAAGATTGGCCAGGAACCTATTCGTTAGGCCACGAGAGATTATAGTCATTAATAAAGATTACTTCAGGATAACTATTTCTTTTAAAAATGTACTGGTTTTCACCTGCACAATGTGCACATGTACCCTAAAACTTAAAGTATAATTTAAAAAAAATGTACTGGTTTTTAAAATTTATTTATTGAGCCATTCTATAGCTGCTATGATTTGGTTATTTATTGGTTTGGGCAGATAGTAAGTTCATCTCTCCATTGGCCAGGGTTAAGTAAAGAATGGTGAGTCTTATCATTGATTGCGGTTATATTCTTACTCAAAACCAGGCAGGCATTCGGAGAATAGAATGAGGAAAAATACAGTATTTTAGATCTATTATTGACTGTAAAGAGTCACATGTAACAGATTACAGTTACTAGGTAGCAGGGGTACCCATAACACTTAGGTAAGTTCACACAGCAAGATAACACAAAACAGAACACACAAAGACCAGGGTCCTTTATTTTAATGCTAGTGTGCATGTGTTTCTAAGTTAGAAGGGATCAAAACTTGTATACCCAGTTCATGAGGGATGTAGGTTTACAGAAAGATGTTTATGATTCCTTACAACATTAGAGTTGAAACATATGTCAAGATTAGGTTTAAATGTAATTATAAAAAATAATTTCAGCCAGGCGCGGTGGTTCACTCCTGTAATCCCAGCACTTTGGGAGGCTGAGGTGGGAGTATCATGAAGTCAGGAGTTCAAGACTAGCCTGGCCAACATAGTGAAACCCTGTCTCTACTAAAAATACAAAAATTAGCTGGGGTGTGGTGATGTGCAGCTGTAGTCTCAGCTACTCAGGAGGCTGAGGCAGAAGAATCATTTGAACTCTGGAGTCTGAGGTTGCAGTGAGCCGAGACGGCGCCATTGCACTCTAGCCTGGGTGATAGAGCAAGACTGTCTGACTGTCTCAATAATAATAATAATAATAATAATTTATAAGTATCAAATTAATCTTTACAAATCCTGAATATTTCCCATTAATTAATAAAGAATATTATTTTGTGTATATGATGCTGTATCTGTTTTTCTTAGTTTGATTGGTATTTTATGTTTCTCAAATTTGTTCTTCAAATTTTTCTTCAAGGTTATTGATGGAGCCAAAACATTCTAATTAACTGGGAACTTGAACAATGCATTCAGTGTTTCTCATGATTAGAAAAGTATTTATAATTATTTATATATTGCCTAAATGTAACCAATATGCAACAAACATATAACCTATGTTTTATTACATCTGTTCAATTAATGCAAGTGGAGCATTACTAAGGCCATATAGTTGAGATATCAAAAATTAAGTGCACATATGTGCTAAATAAAAATTACATCCTAATTTTAAAAACACATAAGATCTATCATTTCTGATATACTCATTCCAATAACTAGAATATAGGTATCAGTATATTTTTATCATAAAAGAGAAGATAATAAGTTTCAAAGAGGATAAGTAAATTTACCCTAATCATATAATCGATATAACATTGTTGAATAAGCATTTCTTTAATGTTTCCCATGGGGAAGACATTACACTAGTCTTTGGGATCATTTCATTAAAAGAAAAAAAATGAATAATTAATAGTTCTTATTCTCAAAGGTTTCATATTTTGTTATTTGAATTCATATCTAGTCTTTTCCAGTACACTATACTTCATTGAAGAATATCAGAAACTCTTCTCTGGATTGTTTAAAACAATGGAACCTATGTATTACTCAAGAATTTTATCTTTTATAGAAAACCACTTGGATTGTAAGCAGTAGGAAAGGCTTCGTCAAATTTGAATATTTATACAATGTCATTGCAAATTACAATACTCCTCTGGTATATCTACATCAATGTAAATAACTACATAAGTATTATACCGTGTGAATTTTGATTTTTTTATATCTCATTTCCTCAGCTAGCAAATGGGAATAATAATTGTACCTGTGCCATTTGATTATTGAGGGGATTAAGTGTGTTAAGCAATGTAAAGCATTTCAAATAGAACCTATCTCATTGTAAGCATGGACAAAAAAATCATAGAACTTATTTCCACTCCAAGTAATAACAAATTTCAAAGCAATTTAACCTACATTACTTAATACAATAATTTTGAGATAGGTACAAATATCATGATGTCACATGAAAATAAATAAACTAATACAGTTTTATTGACTGTAAAAAAAACATGTTATTTCCTATAGGAGATACTAAGGTATCCTAAATAATTTGGTAGTCTGTAAGAGAAGACAACATGAAACATCTGAATCTAATGCAAAGGAGAGAGAAATATGTGCAATATTGGAGAGAAAAATCAAACTATCATGGGGAGCAAAGAAGGGGGGTTCTAATCCTGCTCATGTGGCTTTCAAAAAAAGCAGTATGTATTCATGGAGTTGATTATCAATTTTTTCCTTTCTTGTCCTGAGAAGCATCTTGAGGAACTTTTAATATGGTCCCTGCCATTCTAATACAAGCCTAGAAGCTGCTGAAGTGCATTTAATCATAAGAATTTATTTTATATGAACTTATTTCCCAGTCAAAAAAGAAAATATCTATTATTCCTATCCCATAACCAGTGGACTTTAATGTTTTACAATGACTGTCTGATGGTAGGTTCTCAAATCAGATTTCTTAATCCCACAGTCCATAATTCCTGGCTGCTTCACTCCTTTTTCTCAGAAACAGAAATTCTCCAACCACTCAGTAACTTTTGTCTTTGGTCCAAACCCAGAACTTTATGTTAGTCATTTTTCTGACTTTGCCTCTTTCCTTGACTGATGCTCCCAGCATCTGCTACCAAAGACCTCAGGCTGGATTCCTCTTCTAGCTCAGTGTTTCACTGAAATTGCCTAGAATTGCCATACTTAAAGTACGTGGTTGTTAGTTCTGCTCTTAGGCTCCTACACCCATCAGGATTTTTTTCCCCTTATTGATTACTTCTTATAATAGACTTTCTGCAGCCACATCCTTACTCCACTTAAGCAAGTTTTACTTCAGAAGCCATGTAACAAACCATGCTAAATTCCACTGGAAAATCCACACTAAGATTGGGAAACAGAAGACAAGGATTATACTCTCAGTTGTATTATTTGTGTAAGCTCGAACAAGCTAGTCCTTCTCTAAATGTCATTTCTTATTTGAAAGACACATTATTTGAATGACATATCGTCTTTCTTAGATCTAAAATATAATGACTTTATAGATAGCAACTCAATTTTCTGTAATAACATATTCATCTATTGTCCAAGTACACAAGTATGTTACTATTATATTTCATTATCATATGTATTTCATTGTGATATATAAAAATTTTAAACTACTATCTTTGAAGATGATCTCAATACATAGAATATACTTTGCTTACAGGAGTGAACCAGGATTTAAAGGGAAACCAGAAAGATACATTTTAATGCTATGCTTTTGTGAATTATTATCTTGAATTAGGTGAAATATTTCAAAATTTTTGTTCTATAAAATGGCAATCTTACATGGCTCAATATAATAAGGTTTGAACATAAAATCTCTTTTTTGGCATCCCCAAAACATTGAGATTTTGATACAGGCATGCAATGTATAATAATAACATCAAGGTAAATAAGGTATCCATCACTTTAAGCATTTATCTTTGTGTTTCAAACAACTCAATTATACTCTTTTAATTATTTTAAAACATACAATTAAGTTAGCTTTTACTACAGTCACCCTGTTGTGCTAGTAAGTACTAGGTCTTCTTTATTCCCTATTTTTTGTGCTCATTAACCATCCCCCTTCCCCTACCCATTATCCTTTCCTCTCTCTGGTAATCATCCTTCTCTCTATCTCTATGAGTTTGTTTTAATTTTTACGTTCTGCAGATAAACGAGAATACACAATGTTTTTTAATGTTTACAAAGTTTAACATTCATCGTAAATAGAATTTCTTTTATTTTGGTAATTTATCATAGTTAATAATTCACCTTTCTTTATCTGATTTGTTCCTTTGACCCGCACATTATTTCCATTGTTGCACATTTAAAAGTTCACTTAAAAATTACATTATCTTCTAGGTGCTGTGGGTCACGCCTGTAATCCCAGCACTTTTGCAGGCCAAGGCGGAAGGATCATGAGGTCGGGAGTTCGAGACCAACCTGGCCAATATGGTGAAACCCCGTCTCTACTAAAAATACAAAAATTAGCTGGGTGTGGTGGCGTGTGCCTGTAGTCCCAGCTACTTGGGAGACTGAGGCTACTCGGGAGGCTGAGGCAGAAGACCACTTGCACCCAGGGGGCAGAGGTTGCAGTGAGCTGAGATTGTGCCACTTCACTCCAGCCTGGGTGACAGAGCGAGACTCTGTCTCAAAAAACAAAAAAAATATATTTTCATATCATATTTTAAATAGCATATTTGAATAGAAAATAAGTTTTCAAGGGAAACATAAAACACTAGTAGTATAATATAAATTGCTATTCCATGCAATGCAAATGACACCATATTACTTATAAAGTCTATCATTTGGGCATTATTAATATTCAAAATCAGTGACATGAGAATAAATACCCTTGACACATTATTTTACTTGAAAACAGAAATAATTGTAACCAAAAATGATATATAGAGGGATGCTACTACAGTATGTGCATTTTATTTAAATATTTCATTTTGAGAGTCAAATCTATGGAAGAAAAATAAAAAATAAAATGTATACCTATTTGAGAGAAATATTTATTTCTAGAATAGAGATAGAACTAAAAACTCAAAGAAATATATCTACACATACAACCAAGGTAATAATTTCTAAGACAGCTTTTTTCCCTATCTTAGGATGAAAAGAAAATTAACCTGGCTAAGCTTAGTATTTATGACAAGTTTTCACTTTGTCATTTTACTAATCCATGAATATAAGGATTAATCACTTCTTCCAGTGGCACAATATGTTCCTGTCAAGTTGAATTCTTCTTAAAAGAAAATCCACTAGCCTGAACATTCAAGATAACAAAAAATCAACCTAAGTTTGTTAAACTTTCCCATACTTGCAAGTAAATATGTCTTACAGATACATTTTTAAAAATAATATAATCCTGATGCAAAAATTAAATTACATTGTAACCCCAAATTGTATATGACCTATAATATTAATAATCAACTTTTGTAATTATATGTTATTTAAATCATTTAATGAACATATTGCTAAATATGCAATTAGTGCTATATACATTGATATACTATGTTATTCTGAATTAAAACAAAATTAAATACCCCAGATTCTGATGCATAAAATGTTAACCTTTCAATTATTTGGGTATAAAATATTCCTTATGAAAAGTACTCTTTACATCAAAAGATATCCAACTCCTACCTGCCAATGACTGACAATTGTTTTTATTACTAGTAGCTGAACACAGATTAATTCTAAAGTCATATTTCAAACACTTGGAGACCAAACACAATAACTAGTATCTTATAGTATATTAAAAATAAAATACAAAATTAAAAGTAACAACCAAAACACTATTTGCTCATGATGACAAGGACTGCATAATAATTATGAGCACTCCACACTAAACATCTGACCAACTCTCATGTTATTTATTTCAGTTTAATTTAAAAACTATACTGAATATTTGTGTGAAGAAATGTGCTAAAGAAATACAGGGGGAACTGCATTTTGTCATTATAAATTAGGTTTGTTGAGTTCAACAATTATTATTATTATTATTTTTTTTGAGAGAGAGACAGAGTTTCATTCTGTCACTCAGCCCAGAGTGCAGTGGTGTGATCATAGCTCACTGTAGCTTCCAACTCCTGGGCTCAAGCCATCCTCCTGCCTCAGCCTCTCAACTATCTAGGACGACAGACATCTGTCACCCACCTAATTTTAGAATTTATTTTTGTAGAGACAGGGTCTCACTTTGTTGCCCAGGCTGGCCTCAAACTCCTGGCCTCAAGCGATCCGCTTCCTCCAGCCTCCCAAAGCACTGGAATTACAGGCATAAGCCACCACACCCAGCCCCCAACAACAATTTTTTGAACATCAGCTAGGTGCTAGACACACTATCTCTGGAAGAACAAAGATACAGTAAATGTGAAGGTTATCTTGAAAAAATTACAATTATGAAAATGCCCAGAAAACCATGATCCATTGAAAAAATTCAACAGCAAAAGCAAGAAAAAATAATTTTATAATTAGGAGAAAAAGATAACATTTAGTAAGTGTGTATATGGTGGGGTTTTGTTTGTTTGTTTGCTTGTTTGTTTGTTTGTTTGAGACAGGGTCTTGCTTTGTTGCCCCAGGCTGGAGTGCAGTGGCATGATCTTGGCTCACTGCAGTCTCTGCATCCAGGTGTCAAGCAATTCTCATGCCTCAGCCTCCCAAGTAGCTGGGACCACAGGCACTCACCACCGAGCCCAGCTAATTTTTTTCTTTTGTATTTTTTGTAAAGACAGGGTGTCGCCATGTTGACCAGTCAGGTCGCCAATTCTGAGCTCAAGTGATTCACCCTCCTCAGTGAAGTGCTGGGATTACAGACGTGAGCCACTGCTCTTGGTCAAAGTGTATATGTGTGAATAACCTCTTTACTTAAGATATTTCTCTATAATTTTACAGGTATTATCCACTTTCCCCAGATCAACTATACCAGAATATAAAAGTAATGTGATTTTCTTTTTTTCTTTTCTTTTTTCTTTTTTTTTCCCCAGCAGTTTATTTATAGAAGTTCTGAATTACGTTTACTTAGTAAATGGACGAAATTCTTATCTACCAATCAGAGTCAAAACCTTGTCGGTGCCAAGTCAACTCCATTAACATCCTTTCAAAAAAATTATTAGTAGAAAGCATTCTTATGAATCTGAATAGGTCATATTATACTAGTTAGCTATTGCTAATATCAATGGAAAAAGTAACAAAAATCTCTAAATTTAGAAAGGAGACCTTATTTCTTAAAAAGATTATCACAACCTGCAGACAGGAAGCAGAGCTTCCTGATAAAACCAAAAAGCAGTTGCTTCAAAGGAGGAAAAATGAAACAGGAGTTTATACTAAAAGAGTTGGCTAAGTATTCATATTCAACAGGTTATAGGAGGAGCTATGAATATTCATGAGGGGGCACCATGCTCCATTTGAGGTGGAGATTTAACATGTAACTGTACAACAATTCGGCTGTATATGTCAAAAGGTGAAGCAGGTGACACATGAGGCACTAACGGTGCAGCTTCCAAAAGCTGCTGAGAGCCAGCCCATGGTCAGGACTCTCTCATCAGGAAGGAAAGCTGGTCCTTTGCTGCGTTGAAACTGCATAAAGGAAGGGGCAGCGTCACCCCACTGGAGCAAGTCTAGAAATCAGTGGTGGAGCAAGACTTTCCAAAGGGTGGGTTTCTGTTGAACTCTTAGGAAAAAAGTCCTGATGGCTGGAGGGAGTAGAACGAGGATTGTCTTGACCTCGTGTCCTGTCAGGGCTGGGAACTCAGATTGTAAAGTTTCTCTGGGGTCTCCTTGCCCATAGAGAAAATCTGTTCAGTTGGGAGGGGGCTTAGGTTTTTATTTTGATTTCTTATTATTTATTTCTCAAAAGAAATAAATAAAAATGAATAGTATTGGTAACTTATTGGAACCAGTTAAATGTGTCATAAAAAATGAAATCTGTAGACCTTTCTGTACTGGAGGAATCAATATGATTTCTTAAACTATAGGAATTCCAAAATACAAGGTGAAATAGGCCATTCATTCCTCTCCATTGTACATTCTTATTTATCTATAACAAAGTAAGGCAATTTAGGGAAAAGGGTGCGGGGGGAGAAAATTGTTTTGGCTTCCTTTTTCACAAATTTTTTAGCAAGATCATTGGCATTGAAGTGCATTCTTGTCTATAAAGTTTCAGCCTGACTCTAGTCATTTGATACACTGATGCACAATAGAAATAAATTACTTTTGCCTTTGCGATTAATATTTCTTGTTTTTCTGTACCTTCTTGATGTTCTTCAAATTGAAGGTTTAAAACCTATAAACTACATATCCCAAATTCTATTTAGCCTATGACAAAATTCTATTTTAACCTATTGCAAAATTCTATTTTAACCTATGGCATTGATATACATAACCTTTAAGGAGTTTACAATTTTATTTATAATTGCAATTAAAATATTTGAAATTATTATAACATGTAGGAAAACAATTTAAAATGAGTTACTTCAAAAATTAAAAGTGTTTGTGTGTTTGCTCTAATATAACCTATTATTACCAGCATATGGTAATGCTGTATGAACCACATATCTGAATTTTCAGAAGTGTATAAGGAAAGGGTTGAAAGTAAGTACATCATACAACAATGACAGATTTGATAAAGCGTATTTTTCTAGTAAGTAAACAATTCCCCATGAGAGCAAAACATAAACAACAGATACTGCAATTCAACTTGAAATCCTAGTTAGTTCAAATTGGCAGTTTAAGCATTTAAGCAGCATTACTTCACTCAGGTCATCATTGTTGTTTGTTTGCTTGTTAAAACAACCTTTGAGACTGTATAAGTGTGTGTGTGCCTGCATGGGTGTATGTATGTGTGACTTGGCACAGTTATGGTGATTCTAATTACATTAAGCAATGGCAAGAATCTCTTCTAATATAATACTAAATTTCTTCTAATACAAACATAACTCTTAAAACCCCTCTGTCACTCAGAATATTAGAGGAACTATCAACATGATTTTCCAAATAAATACTTACATCTGTAAGGTGTGCCATTTCAATAAAGGTATTCAATACTTTTAAGACCAAAATGTTTTCCCGTGTAATATATTTAAAGAATTGGACACACAATAATGGCAATATTCTTGAAATGCAGCAATATACTAGCTATAGTATATGCTAAACTGATATGGGGCTTGTGTTCTCCTGTATATAGGGTATATGCTAAACTGATATAGGGGCTTCTGTTCTCTTACTGTGAACTCTAATGATTTCATTCAGATTCCTCTCACACATATGATGAAACAATGATTTTTTAATATAATTTAGCAACATTGATACTAGCCTGAATTATTGCCTCTGATTCCAAAATAATTACTTCATGCGCTGCCTTCTCCCTTATACTGAATTACTGAATTCCACTTTTAAACTTAAATATATTGAAATTATGAAAGCATATCTCACGACTGCAACTACAAAGTAGTGACACAGAAGTGTCTGTGAAATATGGAGCATCAGTTTAGATTGTCTTAACACTCTTTAGATGAAGTTAATTCCTAATTCTAAAGTACAGGAAGTAATTATGGGGAGAAAAAACATAAACGGGCCGGGCGCGGTGGTTCACGACTGTAATTCCAGCACTTTGGGAGGCCAAGGCGGGTGGATCATGAGGTCAGGAGATCAAGACAATCCTGGGCAACATGGTGAAACACCGTCTCTACTCAAAATACAAAATTAGCTGGGCAAGGTAGCATGTGCCTGTAATCCCAGCTAGTCGGGAGGCTGAGGCAGGAGAATGGCGTGAACCCAGGAGGTGGAGGTTGCAGTGAGCGGAGATTGTGCCACTGCACTCCAGGCTCAGCAACGGAGCTAGACTCTGTCTCAAAAAAAAAAAAAAAAGCATAAACAAAAGTTAATGAAATAACATAGTAGGTATGCTAAGTATAACTAAAAACTAGTTAAAATCTCACATAGAAGGAGCCAATCAAAAACTGTTTAGATGACAGTTTCTTGTACTTTACTTATCAGTAGTGTTGCTTGCCCAGGTTATTGGTATTAGAACTTCTGTGAGGCAATGGAAAGGAAATGAAAATGAAGACAAAAAATTTTTTTAAAAAAAACCTAACACAAAGTATTTCTGCAAATTTATAAGTAAAAGAACGCAGGTAACTGGCATATAAAGAAATCTTAAAGAATATTAAACATAGGAAAAGGATCTCAAATTCACAATATGTTCCAAAAATTAAAATAAAAATGAGATATTAAGTATATTTGTACCTATATTGTCAGCACTTAAGAATACACTAATTAATTATATTTCAAGTAAAAGATATCTATATATACATATATATGAAAAATGTCAAGATATAAGGCAAACTATATTATTTATCCTTAGGATATGGAATTGTAGGAAGCAATAATATAAAATAATATGTTTGTCTCTCAATTTCTACTGAATACAATTTTATTTTTGTGACCTTTTAACTTTATATAGTATTTATTACAATTTTATATACAGAGTGATTGCTACCTGGGAATGTATTTTGTTATTCTGAGAAAATACAACTTGCAAACACTGTAAATATTGAAAATCAATTTGGAAAATATTACAACGACTTTAAAATAGATTATTAATATAGGTCTTTTTCTCTTCAGATGTGAGAGATCGGTTCTGTGATGCATTACAAAGGTGTCCACTGCAATGTTATCTATAATCTTAAAATGTAGAAAGAATATATATTATTTCCAGCCATATCTATAATAGGAAATACATATTATAAAACCATTAAGTTAGACTTGCAGAGAAAGGAGCAGAAAGCCAAATATATGAAGTATAAACTCCAATTGATAAAAGATTTAGGTTTTATAATTTTATTATGTTTTTCCTGTGTTGTTTGAAACCTAGCTTACATATCAGGTACCGGTAATATATTTCAATTGTATAGGAAGACAGTAAAACAAAAACAAATTTTTTCTTTGTTTTTCAATTTCCAGACTTTCGACACAAAATGTCCTAATGACAACTATTTTTTTCTGAAATAAAAGTAAATGTCAGGTTAGTTGTCTCATTATTTATGTATGTATTGAACATATACATGAATGAAGTCATACACATTAATTTGCAGTTTATTTATTGGAAATATTTTGTTACCACATATAATTTTGCTTTTGTATTTAAATCTGTATATTATTCCATTGGCTATATTTTATAGTTTATATGACAATTGTTTTATTCACGAATTTTTATAGTCTTCAGATTTTTCTTTTATTACAACTAACATTTCAATGACTAACCTCACAGATATATTTTAATGTACTTTTCTGCATAACTAGTCAATTGACAGCCAAGTCATTTCTGGTTTTAAAAATATATACATTTTAAATTTTTTAATGTGTTGTCAAATGCTCCAATTTATTGTCTCAACCACAGGTATGAAAATGCACCACCTTTAAACCATTAAGAAAAATGAGTGTTATCAAACCTCTTCCAATTTGATAGGTAAAAATATTTAACATGTTTTGAAATTCTCTTTTGCTTAATTTTCAGTAAGATTGAACAACTTTTACTGTATACTCTTAACAGATTTATTTTTCTATGCATAAGTTCATGTAAATTAATTTCACTTGAAAATCAATAATTTTTGTAAAGTTGTTTATTCTTCATTTTGATTTCTATTAGAGCTTTGTATGTTATAGTTACATATATTATGTAATTTTTTTCAAAATATATATTTTTTAACTTTTCTAAAGCATGGTAAAATTTATCAGCAAGGATTGCACTGATGCTGGGTCCTTTGTCCTTTATGGCAGTAATTTCTTTACATTATATAAGTGTAATTGCATTTTATTGTGTGGTTTTGTTTTTAGATTTAAAACTTTGATTGACTAGCATTTTTTTTACTGCAGAATAAGGTAAAATTTCAAATTTGTTTTTTCCCAAATAACTTATAAGTTACACTAACATCATTATTATGTTTTCTCTAGTTATGTAAAATGAGATTATTTGCTGTAGACAATCCCTAAAGTTTTTAGCATCCAAATCTGAATTCTGATATCTGCTTTGAATATTTTTTCCAGAAGTATTCTGGTTATCTTCATTTGTTTTTTAAAGATGACATTTTTTCAAATTCAAACATTTTGTCAGTAATTTTTTGTGATCAGATTGTTTGATTAAAAATTATCATTTTATTACAAAATTGCCTTTCCAAACATGAACATAATATATATTTCAATGTAATTATCTTTTTTAAACCCAAGAAAAGAATTGTAAACTACTCTTTATATATATCTATCAGCTGACTATTGCTTATTACCTCATTTTTACAGATATTTATCAATGCTATAATAAATGCAATAATTTATTGCCTATTATTCCTAATCAATTGGTGGTCTGTAGGAAACTTACTGGTTTTGACCTGTTATGTACCTAGTAATCTTACGGAGTTATCTATTTCCTTACAGTAGTTTTTGGATTTTGAATTTTAGCTTCTCTGGATATAGAATATGCCATATACAAAATGGCAATTTTTACTTATTACGAATTTTATAGCCGTTATTTGTTTTTATTAATTGCATCAGCCAGTTTTTTTTTAAAGGAAAGATAAATCATGTTAATACCTTTCTTGTTTCTGACTATATTGGAAATCTGTTTTTAATGTCACAGAATTGGCTTTAAATAACATATTTGGAGAAGAATTCCAACGCATAAAAAGACACAGAAAATATGAAGTCAAATTGTCTAGTTGTTACTCTTGTTTAATTTTTACTTTGTGTATAATACTGGGAAAATTATTAAAATTCTGTAGTTCAATTGTCTTATCTATAATAATATCTAATTCATAGACTTACTATATTGAATATGATGTAATTACATGTAAAGCAATTAGAATGTCTGTTCTCAGTAAGTGCTTAATAAATGTGTTTGTATATATTTGTCAACATCCACATGTGTATATATATTTATATAAATATATATACATGCATATGTGTTTACATAAATATATATTCTTCAGTGTATATATGAACTTTTTCAATGTAACCATTTTAACTACAGATATACATATAGATATAAATGTAGATGTGTTTTTTTTGGTGAATATAAGAAATGCTTTAAGATTTAATGAAAAAAATACTGAAAGTATTTGTTTTATTTGATTACATATTTTTGTTTAAAAATACACATCTACATATGGCACATGTATACATATGTAGATGTGTATTTTTAAACAAAAATATATAATCAAATAAAACAAATACTTTTTAAATATGTTTGGAGATGATCCTGTGATAGTTTTCTTGACCTATAAATTGGAAGAATTGTATTAATTACTTATATTGTTTTGAATTATTATTTCATATCATTTTTAATAGTACTATAGAATTTTATTCACTAAGGTTTAATTTAAAAAGCTATATACTTGTTTATCGATTAGATTTCCTGATTTTATATTTCAATAGACTTTTAGAGAAGTGTATCATAGATAGAGACAAGGACACAATTTATAATTGCAATAATGGTGATATAATTACACAGAGAGCAGGCACATGTAGTACCATCCAGATCAAGAATCAGAAAGTAATCAGAACTACAGAACACATTTTCCTTCCTATTAGTATCCCACTCCAATGACAAATATTTCCAGACTTTTGAAAATATAGATTAGTTTTGCCTGCATTTGAAATTTATTCAAATGGAATCACAAAGTGTTACAATTTAAACTGTATTCTAATGATGTTTTGTCATTAATATTAGACTGGCTTTATATAAAGTGCTTTGAGAGTTTGAGGGTATTCTTGAAGTCTGACACACAATCAATTTTCCATTTATAGCCTCTTTTTCCAGTTAGAAGAGTCAGTTTATATCCACTAGTAAAAAATAATTTTCTAATCTTCTTCATACTTGCTTTAGTTCTACTTAATTTGACATAGGTTGACAAAGGATAGTTAACACTTCCTGTTTCTATTGTGTTTCCATCAATTCCGTTTTAAACCTTTCCTCTGCCATGCATGCATTATGAGTACAAAGGCTGTGCTATTTAGTTCATAAATATTTGTATTTCTTTCTCATTGTAGATTGGAAATGTCATCTTGTTAAAATTACTTTAGTTACCCCTTTAAAACCACTTTTCTAATTCTGGAGACAATATTGGTGATATTTCTATTAAAACTTTTTTTTTTAGTTATCAAATTATACCTTTAAATCAAACACAGATTATACAAACCAAAAAAAAAAATCTATATTTTAATAATCAAAAAAACAGTCAAATTGCTTTTTATGTTGGGTGCTCACTGTTTGGGATCTGGGGATGATCTCACCATACCATGTATGTTGTAAATGATTAATTGAAGTCATTACAATAGCGGCAGGAGGGGCCGGTCCCTGATGAAACCTCACCTTCAAACTAAAGACAGTTTAAAACTGAAAACCAAGCTACAAGTCTCAGATAAATCCACCGACCAGATTGTGAACCTCCCTTCTTGTTTGGTGCACTTTCCTCTAATTGATACTCACCCTTCACCTATTTTACACATAACTACCCTTCCCTAATTGTTTTTTTTAACACTGCTGTGCTTATCTTTGAGTGGCGTCTTTGTTTTAGCTTTTTTTTTTTTTTTTTTTTTTTTTTTTTGGCATACTTACAATCCAATCAGCATGTACTCTACCATTCTGAGCCCTTAAAAGCCCCGGACCCAGTCATCAGTCATACTCAGTGAGACGACCCGACTTGAGGTGGGGGACCACCCCCACATCCCCTCTCAGCTGAGAGCTGTTCCCTCACTCAATAAAGTTCTTCTCTGCTCTCCACACCCTTCAATTTTTTTTTTTCTTTTTTTTTGAGACGGAGTCTCACTCTGTTGCCCAGGCTGGAGTGCAGTGGAGCAATCTCGGCTCATTGCAAGCTCTGCCTCCTGGGTTCACGCCGTTCTCCTGCCTCAGCCTCCCGAGTAGCTGGGACTACAGGCGCCTGCCACCAGGCCCGGCTAATTTTTTGTATTTTTAGTAGAGACAGGGTTTCACCATGTTAGCCAGGACAGTCTCTATCTCCTGACCTCATGATCCGCCCACCTCGGCCTCCCAAAGTGCTGGGATTACAGGCGTGAGCCACTGTGCCCGGCCCTCACCCTTCAATTTTTAGCATAAACTCATTCTTCTTGGATGCGGGAGAATTCAGAAACTGCAGAACATGGGTACAAGTTTTAACACAGGTGGGCTCTGGTACACAACAGCCAGTGTGGGACCCAGGCTGGTGCGCAAACCAGGCGTGGCCCAGCAGGCAGAGTGGACAGGGCGCCTCTTGCGGCAGGTGTGGGGGCCAAAGGAGGCCCAAACAGGGACATCACCAGCTGTGGAGGTCCCTGGCCTGCAAAGTGACCAAGAAAAATCCTGCATCATTTTGATGAACTGAATAACTTGCCAGGAGTCTCCTTTTTTCATAGTTTTGTGGGAGATGATGGCATTTGCACATTTGGGAGGACTTCTGTTTTTACAGAAGTGTACAGGTAGTAATAACATTTTTACAATACTACCACTCACATTTCATGACGTCTTTGTAGTAATAATTAGAAACGGGTTAGTCATTGGGTAGACTTTGGATACAAAGATGAACTGTAAAGTAATATTATCAGCTACATGATGCAATCTGTCAACATTATTAAAACACATAAAATGATTTTAAATTCTGAGATCCATAAACAAAATTCCTTATGGAAGAGTTATTTGGGCAGGGTGCAGTGGCTAATGCTTGTAATCCCAGCACTTTGGGAGATCAAGATGGGTGGGCTTGAGTCTAGGAGTTCAAGACCAGCCTGGGCAACATGGCAAAATCTGGTCTCTATGAAAAATACAAAAATTAGCCTGGCGTGGTGGTGCAAACCTATAGTCCCAGCTACTTGGGAGGCTGAGGTGGGAGGATCCATTGAGCCCAGAACGCAGAGGTTGCAGTGAGCCATGATTGCCCAACTGCCCTCCAGCCTGGGTGACAAAGCAAGACTCTGTCCCTTATAAAAATAAAAAGAAAAATAAATAAAAGTTATTTGTATAGTCAAACACTTTGGAAAATTAATCTGCAAAATTTTTCTTCCAAAATAAAGATGACTTGTATTATTTTATTACATCAATTAGTATATTTTGGAATAGATATGGCGATATTTTTTAAAAGATACTTCTATAAGCATAAAGTAAGCTTTTAATTTTTATCATATAAAAATATGCTACTTCTTGACCTATTCATAGTTTTTTCTACACTTTCATAAATCTGCTTAAAATAAAAAAGTGAAAACACCTTAAAGAGCTCCTGAAGGAAGCGCTAAACATGGAAAGGAACAACCGGTACCAGCCGCTGCAAAATCATGCCAAAATGTAAAGACCATCGAGACTAGGAAGAAACTGCATCAACTAACCAGCAAAATCACCAGCTAACATCATAATGACAGGATCAAATTCACACATAACAATATTAACTTTAAATGTAAATGGCCTAAATGCTCCAATTAAAAGACACAGACTGGCAAATTGGATAAAAGTCAAGACCCATCAGTGTGCTGTATTCAGGAAACCCATCTCACGTGCAGAGACACACATAGGCTCAAAATAAAAGGATGGAGGAAGATCTACCAAGCAAATGGAAAACAAAAAAAGGCAGGGGTTGCAATCCTAGTCTCTGATAAAACAGACTTTAAACCAACAAAGATCAAAAGAGACAAAGAAGGCCATTGCATAATGGTAAAGGGATCAATTCAACAAGAAGAGCTAACTATCCTAAATATATATGCACCCAATACAGGAGCACCCAGATTCATAAAGCAAGTCCTGAGTGACCTACAAAGAGACTTAGACTCCCACACATTAATAATGGGAGACTTTAACACTCCACTGTCAACATTAGACAGATCAACGAGACAGAAAGTCAACAAGGATACCCAGGAATTGAACTCAGCTATGCACCAAGTGGACCTAATAGACATCTACAGAACTCTCCACCCCAAATCAACAGAATATACATTTTTTTCAGCACCACACCACACCTATTCCAAAATTGACCACATACTTGGAAGTAAAGCTCTCCTCAGCAAATGTAAAAGAACAGAGATTATAACAAACTATCTCTCAGACCACAGTGCAATCAAACTAGAACTCAGGATTAAGAATCTCACTCAAAACTGCTCAACTACATGGAAACTGAACAACCTGCTCCTGAATGACTACTGGATACATAACAAAATGAAGGCAGAAATAAAGATGTTCTTTGAAACCAACGAGAACAAACACACAACATACCAGAATCTCTGGGACGCATTCAAAGCAGTGTGTAGAGGGAAATTTATAGCACTAAATGCCCACAAGAGAAAGCAGAAAAGATCCAAAATTGACACCCTAACATCACAATTAAAAGAACTAGAAAAGCAAGAGCAAACACATTCAAAAGCTAGCAGAAGGCAAGAAGTAACTAAAATCAGAGCAGAACTGAAGGAAATAGAGACACAAAAAACCCTTCAAAAAATTAATGAATTCAGGAGCTGGTGTTTTGAAAGGATCAACAAAATTGATAGACCGCTAGCAAGACTAATAAAGAAAAAAAGAGAGAAGAATCAAATAGACACAATAAAAAATGATAAAGGGGATATTACCACCGATCCCACAGAAATACAAACTACCATCAGAGAATACTACAAACACCTCTATGCAAATAAACTAGAAACTCTAGAAGAAATGGATAAATTCCTCGACACATACACTCTCCCAAGACTAAACCAGGAAGAAGTTGAATCTCTGAATAGACCAATAACAGGAGCTGAAATTGTGGCAATAATCAATAGTTTACCAACCAAAAAGAGTCCAGGACCAGAAGGATTCACAGCCGAATTCTACCAGAGGTACAAGGAGGAACTGGTACCATTCCTTCTGAAACTATTCCAATCCATAGAAAAAGAGGGAATCCTCCCTAACTCATTTTATGAGGCCAGCATCATTCTAATACCAAAGCCGGGCAGAGACACAACCAAAAAAGAGAATTTTAGACCAATATCCTTGATGAACATTGATGCAAAAATCCTCAATAAAATACTGGCAAAACGAATCCAGCAGCACATCAAAAAGCTTATCCACCATGATCAAGTGGGCTTCATCCCTGGGATGTAAGGCTGGTTCAATATATGCAAATCAATAAATGTAAGCTAGCATATAAACAGAGGCAAAGACAAAAACCACATGATTATCTCAATAGATGCAGAAAAAGCCTTTGACAAAATTCAACAACCCTTCATGCTAAAAACTCTCAATAAATTAGGTATTGATGGGACGTATTTCAAAATAATAAGAGCTATCTATGACAAACCCACAGCCAATATCATACTGAATGGGCAAAAACTGGAAGCATTCCCTTTGAAAACTGGCACAAGACAGGGATGCCCTCTCTCACCACTCCTATTCAACATAGTGTTGGAAGTTCTGGCCAAGGCAATTAGGCAGTAGAAGGAAATAAAGGGTATTCAATTAGGAAAACAGGAAGTCAAATTGTCCCTGTTTGCAGACGACATGATTGTATATCTAGAAAACCCCATTGTCTCAGCCCAAAATCTCCTTAAGCTGATAAGCAACTTCAGCAAAGTCTCAGGATACAAAATCAGTGTAAAAAATCACAAGCATTCTTATACACCAACAACAGACAGACAGAGAGCCAAATCATGAGTGAACTCCCATTCACAATTGCTTCAAAGGGAATAAAATACCTAGGAATTCAACTTACAAGGGATGTGAAGGACCTCTTCAAGGAGAACTACAAACCACTGCTCAAGGAAATAAAAGATGTTACAAACAAATGGAAGAACATTCCATGCTCATGGGTAGGAAGAATCAATATCATGAAAATGGCCATACTGCCCAAGGTAATTTATAGATTCAATGCCATCCCCATCAAGCTACCAATGACTTTCTTCACATAATTGGAAAAAACTACTTTAAAGTTCATATGGAACCAAAAAAGAGCCTGCATTGCCAAGGCAATCCTAAGCCAAAAGAACAAAGCTGGAGGCATCACACTACCTGACTTCAAACTATACTACAAGGCTACAAGTAACCAAAACAGCATGGTACTGGTACCAAAACAGAGATATAGATCAATGGAACAGAACAGAGCCCTCAGAAATAACGCCGCATATCTACAACTATCTGATCTTTGACAAACCTGACAAAAACAAGCAATGGGGAAAGGATTCCCTATTTAATAAATGGTGCTGGGAAAACTGGCCAGCCATATGTAGAAAGCTGAAACTGGATCCCTTCCTTACACCTTATACAAAAATCAATTCAAGATGGATTAAAGACTTAAGCGTTAGACCTAAAACCATAAAAACCCTAGAAGAAAACCTAGGCATTACCATTCAGGACATAGGCATGGGCAAGGACTTCATGTCCAAAACACCAAAAGCAATGGCAACAAAAGCCAAAATTGACAAATGGGATCTAATTAAACTAAAGAGCTTCTGCACAGCAAAAGAAACTACCATCAGAGTGAACAGGCAACCTACAAAATGGGAGAAAATTTTCACAAACTACTCATCTGACAAAGGGCTAATATCCAGAATCTACAATGAACCCAAACAAATTTACAAGAAAAAAACAAACAACCCCATCAAAAAGTGGGCGAAGGACATGAACAGACACTTCTCAAAAGAAGACATTTATACAGCCAAAAAACACATAAAAAATGCTTATCATCACTGGCCATCAGAGAAATGCAAATCAAAACCACAATGAGATACCATCTCACACCAGTTAGAATGGCAATCATTAAAAAGTCAGGAAACAACAGGTGCTGGAGAGGATGTGGAGAAATAGGAACACTTTTACACTGTTGGTGGGACTGTAAACTAGTTCAACCATTGTGGAAGTCAGTGTGGCGATTCCTCAGGGATCTAGAACTAGAAATACCATTTGACCCAGCCATCTCATTACTGGGTATATAGCCAAAGGACTATAAATCATGCTGCTATAAAGACACATGCACATGTATGTTTATTGTGGCATTATTCACAATAGCAAAGACTTGGAACCAACCCAAATGTCCAACAATGATAGACTGGATTAAGAAAATGTGGCACATATACACCATGGAATACTATGCAGCCATAAAAAATGCTGAGTTCATGTCCTTTGTAGGGACATGGATGAAATTGGAAATCATCATTCTCAGTAAACTGTCGCAAGAACAAAAAACCAAACACCGCATATTCTCACTCATAGGTGGGAATTGAGCAATGAGATCACATGGACACAGGAAGGGGAATATCACACTCTGGAGACTGTGGTGGGGTAGGGGGAGTGGGGAGGGATAGCATTGGGAGATACATCTAATGCTAGATGACGAGTTAGTGGGTGCAGCGCACCAGCATGGCACATGTATACATATGTAACTAACCTGCACAATGTGCACATGTACCCTAAATCTTAAAGTATAATAAAAAATAAAAAAATAAAAAATAAATAAATAAATAAATAAATAAAAGAAAACACATTAATGAGCTTGAGAGAACCTGAGTATCAAAATATAGTTATACATTTTTTCAAATGGTATGTTTTAAAATATAATGATAGAAATCATCAGCATACTCCTTGGCACCATTGTAATACAATTACAACATTTATCATTGAAAATATTCTATTTAAGACACTGTACAATATAATGAAATAAACACCATGTTGGCATTTTTTAAAAAGCAGTGCCATTGCTCTAGGTGTTTCATTTATGACTTAGGTAATTGACTCTAATTTAGCTTCCTATTCTGTAAAATGAGAGTAATGATATTTGGTTAATATCCTCATGAATTTCTTGGGAAAATAAGTAAATAAAAGCTGAAAAATTATTTGAAATTATAAAGCACCACTCATAGAGAGAATATGAGCTTAATGATAGAACACCAATGAATTCATTAAATTACTGTGACCTGTATATTTCATTTACATTATAAAAGCAATGTAGGTTTCAACATTCATAAAATTATTTTTCTGTTGATATTTATTATATATTTTTATTCAATCACATTTCTGGTCAAAATGTAGGAAACAAAAGGGAAATTATGTGAACATAAAATTTCATGACTTATTTTTCCAGATTGTACTCTGCTTAAATTGATTTCCTCCATCAAACTAATTTGAAGCATTATTATTATCATCATCATTTAATATATCAGTAAGTCTATTGAACATTATCAAATAAATATTATATTTTATTTTAAATTATGTCAATATTTTTAATAAGGGATATATAAATTAAATCTCCAGGTTAAATATTAATATTTAATTGTAGATTTCATTTTTATATACATATATGGTTTAAAAAATGTTTGTTACGCTAAAGATTAAAAAATGCATAGCATCAGGATCTCAATTAATATTTCTCTTCAATAGCAAACTTAATCCTAATTCAAAACGCAGTTGTTTAGTACACATTGATAGAAATTGGCTTGACATTTAGATATTTCCCATTAGCCTTAATAGCATCAAATAAAACTTATGTCTGTGTACTGTTCTGGGCAAGGTGGGAATGAACATTTACTCATTCTTCATGTATATGCTCAATGGTAAAGTCTAGTTACATTTCGGTCTAGTGACAATCACAGGCTCACAGCTGTAGTTGCAACAGGCAATCTGGAAGAATTTTAATAGATTAGAAAAAAGTAGAAAGTGAGAAGATTGCTGATTTTCCTCCTGGCACTTTGTGACATCCACATACTAAAAAGGCTGGTTCTTTCATACCATATGGATAAAATTGTTCTGTTACACACATTAGTCAACTGTTATTTTGTATTCTGAGAAACCAAGATAATGGTTTTTGGGGACCCTTACAAGAAAGAAAATCTTCACTATGAGCAAAAAGACAACAAACCATGCATTTAACATTTGTCTGTCTAAATACACTTTATAATATATCAAGGCTATTTCTTTTATTAAAATTAACTTACTTTTATTTTGCAAATGTATTGTTTTCTATCCAAGAACAGCGATAGTTTTCAAGCAATTAGTCATGCTGTATTATATTAGACTGAATGTTATTACTATATAAAGAAAGTAGTTAAAATGGTATACAATACTGGAAAATTGGGTAAAAATCATATGTATTTTTAACTGTATCCTAAAATTAAAATTTAAGTAAAATATTACTTTGCATTTAAATCCACAGCAGCATATTTTTCTAGATTGTCATTCTGGCAAAGGCGTGACTATACATTTGTAAAATATTTATTACTCACAAATTTGTTTTTTAAAAGCCTGAAATTTGAAAATTAACACATCTATTACTTCCTAGGTTTTTATCCTTTGATCATGCTTTCTACTTTATATAAATTTTTTTAACGCCACTGTGAAATAAGTTTGGTTTAGCTTTATTTTACTTGACCTCAATGAGTTTGTAGGAGAACTAACTTGTAAAATGATAATTACAATCTAATGCTAGTGTGGAGATAAAATGCTTAAGATACAATAGGAGAACAGAAAACATATGCATTTAAACACAGAAGTTTGGTTAGGGAGAATTTCCTGGAGGATTTGCATTTTGTAGGAGTTAATTAGGAGCAAAACAGAGACAGGAGGTGAGGGAAGGTCATAATTATTGTAAAGAAAGATTTTTTGGAGGGGCAGCTATTAGGTCAAATATGGCCCTCCTACTCGATTTCCTCTCTATGTCCTCAATTAATTAGCCAGTGAATGCACATCAGAAAGCACAGTTTACCCTTTCCCAAGGGTGTAAAATTAGCATTTCAATTCCATTGATAAAGGCTATTATTTGGCTTCCAGAAAATTGTCGTGATGTCATCTAGTGCCCCAGAATTCAATGACCATTATCAATAGAGCCTCCCTGTATATCAAATAATGAAATTCCACTTTTGATACCACCTTCATGATAAAAGTCAATAAAGGGACATAAAATCCAGAATATATTTATCCCAGTTCTTTCAGAAACTAAAATATATTCAATTCTTTTCTACACACAAATTTAAAGGGATTGCACTCTTCTGCAGTGTGTACTCCTCTCCTCTTCCATATACATCCCTCTTTTTCCCCATCAAATTTCCTGTTTGATTAATTTTTGCTAAATATTGTTTCTATTTTAATGCACCACCTGCAGAGAAGATATCTGTGAGTTTCTAATCTAAATTTAGTCCCTATATGTTATATTCTCAATGATCATTAAACTTCTGATCTGTTCAATGCATTTCTTTTATATTTACCTTGCATATGTCCCCATTAAGCTTATTAGATCACAAACTTCATGGGGGCAGCAACCTTATTCCTTTTATCCACTTCTGTTTCTATGTACATATCTCTTAGAAGCTCAAAACATATTTATGTACATAATGAATTAATGGGTAAATGAAGAAAGACAAAAAATACTCTGTATTTTTATTTTTATTTATTTATTTATTTTTGAGACAGAGTCTTGCTCTGTAGCCCAGGCTGGAGTGCAATGGTGCAATCTTGGCTCACTGCAACCTCCACCTCTCGGGTAGCCTAAGCCTCCCAAGTAGCTGGGATTACAGTCACCCACCAGCACTCCTGGCTAATTTTTGTATTTTTAGTAGAGAAGGGGTTTTGCAATGAGGCTGGTTTGAAACTCCTGACCTCAGGTGATCCTCTCGCCTTGGCCCCCCAAAGTGCTGGGATTACAGGCATGAGCCACTACACCTGACCAATACTCTCTATTTTAACACTACAATTCTACAAGTTAAAAATACTTTCTTTTTGTCAGCATCATCATTTTATATAGACTTGCATAGAACTTAAAGAAAATAGTTTACAGTTTCATGTTAAGCCCACTGGCTCCATCTTATACTTAATGCTATTGATTTTCAACCACTGTCAGACTTTATACTATTTGGCATTGAATTTAACCTGAGTAAAATCTAATGTATTTGTTCTAGCGTCAAACTACCTTCATTTTAATTTTTGGTTCAGCCTTATTGCTCTGCAACCTTGGGCAAGTTGCATAACATCTCTAAGTTGCAGTTTTCCTATCTATAAAATTACTAATATAAGCCTGCTGTATTAGAACCCACAGAATGGATATATAGAGTGCAAGATTTATTATAGGAAATGGGTTCATGGGATTATGGACACTGACAAATTCAGAATTTGCATTGTGACCCAGCAGGCTGAAGACCAAGAAGACCCTATGTTCCAGTTCAAGTCAAAAGGCAGTCTACTGTAGAACTAGGAAGAGCTGATGCAGATGAAGTCTGAAAACAGTCTGCTGGAGAATTTTCTCTAGCTCTAAGGGTGGCCAACCTTTTCATTATAATCAGCTCAACTGATTGAATGAGGACCACCCACATTGTGAAAGATAATCTGCTTTACTCAAGGTTCACTGATTTAAATATTAATCTCATCCAAAATACTCTCACAGAAACACCCAAAATAATGTTTGATGAAATATCTGGGCACCACATGGCACAGACAAGTTGACAAACAAAATTTGCCATCACACCTACCAAAAAGGGCCTTCGAAGGACACCAAAAAATCATATATGATAAAGTGTCTGGGACATATTGAATTCTCATAAGATGTTAGCTATCATGATTTTTTTCTTAAGTTAGTAATGATCATCAGTGCTTTTGTCTATTTTGTTCACAGCTTATCATGAAAACTAAACATGTGTCTTGTAAAGTAATGCAAATAGTTATTAGTTTTAAAGCGATATAGATAACAAAACTTATCAATATCTTTAAAACTGCTAATCAGTTTGGTTATTTCAGCTCCTGTGCTGTCTCCCACAAACTGTAGGCTCTCAATAATGAGTACTTGTTATGTTTCCAAATATTAAGTTTTACAGTTTTTACTTAGGTACTCTTACTTGTGAATTAAAGTCCAGCTCAAATGTTGTCATCTTTTAAGTCTTTTATAATATTTATTAATGTTCTCAACTGTGCCCACAAATCACAATACCATGCTTCTAATTTTACCATAGCATATTCATCAATCAATTCATCTTCAGTGTTCGGAATTAGATTCAAAAAAGCTATTATTCTAAAAAAGTTGAACTCATAGAAGTACAGAGTAGAATAATGGTTACCAGGGGATGGGCTGATGGATGTTAGAAATGTTGGCAAAATGACACAAAATTTTAAATAAAAGAAATAAGTTTAAGAGACCTATAGCACAACATGAAGACTATAGTTAATAACAACGTATTTTATTCTTGAAAATTGCCAATAGAGATTTTAAGCATTCTCACCACAAAAAAGTGAGGTAATGCATACGTTAATTAGCTTGATTTAGCCATTCCACAATGTATGTATATTTTAAGACAGCATATTGTACACAATACATGTGTAGAATTTTGTTTGACAATTAAAAAATAAAGCGAATGCACCATTTAAAAAAGTTATGATACTGAGCATTTCTTTTGATTCACTGAGAAGTAAAATCAAAATTAGGTACTATTCAAAAAAGTGATCCTAAGATGACATTTTGGCTACATAGCAGTGCTAGAAATTTGCCTTGGCATGGTTATCCTTCAACCCTGAGAGATCCCTGAAGGCAGGAAATAAGCATATGAAATAGTGTAACATTTTATTATAAACTTGGATGTTGTTCATCTCAAAATAAAATTCACTAGCATGTGGGGTTAGACCATGAGGTACTTATCTGTCCAAATTGGAAACAGTCAACCGTTGAACCAAAGCAAGACCCGCCATTCACCAGAATGTAAGTTTGTATCACTAGAATTTTCCATTCTAATAAGAAAAACGTTTATTTGTGGAAAAACATAGAGACTACACTAATATTAGCCAAATATTTTTAATTTGAAAATAATAATTTAATTCCCTAGACTACCAATGTTTAGATATGTAAGAAGGTTTTGCCCTCTCTGCCCTCCCAGGTTTTCCTTACAGCATGTGTTATAGGGCTGGGCTCATGACTCAGAGGTGAAAAAGTGTAGACCTTAAAGCCAGGAGGCTGTTCTCACTTCCAGGTCCTGAACTAGCAGAGAAATGTAAAAGAAAGTAACTCAGGTTACAAAGTATCAATCTGAAAAAGTTGGATTTTGAACTGCTTTGGACATGGTGTCAAACTGAACTTCTTTCTCTCCTTGGTCTGGGGCTGCACAATTGGGAGATTTCAGTGTACAAGGCAGACCCTGATCTTGTCATCCATGCTGGGATCACGCATTGCCTAACACCATCAATGCAGACATCTCCAGAAAAGCCCCATGTAGTTGGTAACATTTAACTGAAGAATCGTGACCAACAGAGAGCACCAGAATAGGGCATGTCTCTACCTTTAATAGGGTGTCCAAAGTGGATGAAAGTTTACTTTTTATAAATTGAAGAAAGACATATGAATAGAGACAGAGTGGAAAGTTACCCTTCATCTTTCTTTAGTAGATTGAAAGGTATGTCTATATGGTAAGTATATACAAATAAAAAAGAATAAATATTTTATGATAATTTTTTACAAAATATGTAATCTTTTATCAAAAAGCTAATTAAGATGATTCCCAACTAGAACATATTCAACAGAAAACTATGTGTGAATAAGCGATTATATTAGAAGTGCCTTTTAAAAAGCTTTGAACAAGCTTTGATCCAGATAATTCAAATCATTTTGGCTTATAGAAATATAATTTTAAATACTTAAAAGCAATATATGCTCTGTATCTGGCTAAAGCAGAGTTGACCAGTCACACTGTGTCATATTTTCCATGAAATTAAATGTTATCATTCAAGTCACATTGTATTAAAATATGACTTATCACTCTAACAATTTAAACTCAAGTTCTTTGAAGGGTAATTTTCAAGTTGATTAAAATACCCATCCTTGTGAAAAGATATTAAATGGACATCAAATACCTATACAGTTATGTTTGGCCTTCTTATCTATCTCACATTTATTTTCAATTGGAATACCAAGTTGGAATACAAAATGCTCTATCCTTGCTGATATACTTGAGGAAATATTTCAGTTGACATTATTTATATATCAACCAAATTTTATGAGCATTTTTCACATATCTATGATTGGCATAAAAGTATCATCCCAGTGTTGAGCAAATATTACATTATCCAGACATTTTTGTTGTTACACAGCCAAAGTTCGCTAAATTATTGACACATAAATAAATAGACCGTGATGTGTTAAAGCAAAAGCCCAAATGCCAAGAATTGAACACTTGGAAGATGGAAAGATCTTTGAGAATACATATGACCATTCAGAGCAGACTTTGCTCTGAATCACCAGAACAGACTTTGGACATAGGGTTGTAGATAAAAGAGAACTACACTGAAAATCACCATTGTCTGGCTAAGGAATTCTGGTAAATATCATTAAAGAGTTCAATCTTGAAGGAAAGTTAAAAATTCAGAAATTATTTTAAAGCATAGATTTAGTGATAATTAAAGGGTAATGCTAATATTTTGGAATTTTAGAGTTGGAAGGGAGATGAAACAATTACCTCCTTTTCCCTTATATACAAAAAAAGCTTTGTGAGAAAAGAGAAAAAATAGAAATGCTCCATATTCTTCACTCATTCCCCCAGTTATTCTGAAAATAAAGAACTGACTTTCTCTCACGGTCTTTGGCGCCTAGCTGCTGTGGCTGTGCAGCTTCAGGTCAAGGACAGGCCTGCAGTCAGTGTCAGAATAGAAAAAGGAAAACAAAAAATGAGGAACTTCTAACATACTTTACAAAACAACACCCCTTTCCCTGGCTCTTCTATATGGAAGAGATTTTTCTTCTCTGAGTCTCAGGTATCTGTATCACCACAGGCTGCATTGCTGAGGCAGTTCAGCTCTATGACTGGGGCTGACCTCAGGACAAGATGGGGAGAGGAAAAAAAAAGATAGGAACAAAAGGAAGTTTTCCTCTATCAGCTGCAGATGACAGGGAGGGGAAAACAGGGAACTGCTACCAGGATAATCATTTTTCTAGTTTTGACCTACCTCCTCCATCCATGTGCTAGTGTTTGCTTTTCAGATTTTCAGCTAGTTGTTTTTGATATTTTGTACGCATATTTTATTTTACATTTTATGGTTGCATAATAGTTGTGCATATTTATGGAGTGCATGTGATATTTTAATACAAGCATACAATGTGTAATAATCATGTCAGGGTAACTGGGTTCTAACAACTTCAAGCACTTATCATTTCTTTGTGTTGGGAATATTTCAATTCCATTCTTCCGGCTATTTTGAAATAGACAATGAATTAATTATTGTTAACTATAGTTGCCTCATTGTGCCACCCCAAACGAGATCTTATTCCCTCTAACTGCATTTTCTGTACCCATTAACCGCCTCCTTTTAATTCCTCTCTCCTCACTACCTTTCTTAGTGTCTGGCAACTGTCATTCTACTCTCTATCTCCATGAGACCAACTTTTTTATCTCCCACATATGAATTAGAACAGGTGATATTTGTCTTTCTGTGCCAGGCTTATTTCACTTGACAAAATGTCCTCTAGTTCCATCTACATTGTTGCAAATGACAGGATTTTATTCTTTTTTATGGCAGAATAGTATTCCCTTGTGTAAATATACCACATTTTCTTTATCCATTCATTCATCGGTGGATACTTAGGTTGATTCCATATCTTTGCTATCATGAATAGTGCTGCAATAAATGTGGAAATGCAGATATCTCTTCGATATACTGATTTCCTTTCTTTTGGAGATATATCCCATAGTGGGGTTGCAGGGTCATACAGTAGTTCTGGCTTTTAGAGTTCTAATCAATGGGAAGTACACATCACAGTGGGATTACTCAATTTTACCAGTAGACTCTAAAGGTCCAATATTTATTAATGAAACAAGTTATTTAAAAGGATAAAGAATAAATCTACAATCAGAGCATATTGACAAAAACAGGAGGTATAATTCTAAAAATTTTAGTCAATATATAGATGTCATTAAAATATTTAATGTTACTTTTTGCAGCATTTTCCTTTACATAAGAAAATAATGAAACATTGATGCTGCAACAAAATTGGTTCATTCAGAAATTACTGAGTTTCTTTAGATGTTTCCTCAATTATGTGTGATTAAAGATGGGAATATTTTAAGCTCAAGGAACATAGCCAACGTAACTAGGAACTTAACATAGAATATCTTAAAGCCCTGATGGGCATAATATCCTGGCTTTTTGAATGGCTATAGCAGCCAACAAATGTGGGTAGAAATGCTGAAAAAGAAAGAAAATATAATGACATGAAGAACCTGGTCTGAATTTAAAAGGGATCAGAGTGTTTCAGGAAAATTTAGTCAATTTCAATACACAACACAATTTGCTCTAGTCAAATTATTACAATTCAAGTGTAAAGAATATTACAAACATCCAGGTGAAAACACAGTTTTTTTTTTTTTTTAGTATGCAAACAAACAAAACCAGGCTGAATCAAAATAAGATTTGTGGAATAAATATTTAAACGAAGTATTCTTTACCTGGCAAAGTCACCATTTATACTTGAAGGCAACAGAAGAAAATATTAAAAATTTAAAGACACCTGTATATTCTCTAGCAAATATTGATTTGAAGTTGCATGACAGCCAGGTGCCATGGTCTAAAATGCCTAGCAGTGAATAACTAAGCCATTAAGAAGAAACTTGAAATAGCAGTTATAATGAGGTCTACACTGTGGTGGAGATGTAATTATTGTTCGATATTTTTTCCTCTCCCTTTTATCTGGGCACACTCCAGGATTATCATGCCAATCCCTTGGAGTTAGACATGACCATGTGCATTGTTTTGATCAATGAAATATGAACAGAAGAATTAATGATCTGGCATATAGTTCTTCATCCTCCCTTCCTCTCCTACATCAAAACATGAATACATTATAAGATAGTGGCATGTTAAGATAGTGGAATTACGGTCAAATTAGATCATCTCCAAGTGACCACAATAAAACCAATCTGTCATGATCATGCTAAATGATGAAGAAATAAGTCTTGTTATTAGTAACTGAGAGTTAGAGCTGCCTGTTACTTCAGAATAGCCTAGTAAATACTGACTGAGAAGCACAATATAGATGTCTAAATTCTAGTGAAAAATAAACTTAGTAAATAAAATATTTAATTTCTCATTATATCAGGCAGAATATAAATGCCAAACTTACCAACAGAAAACTAAGATAAAGAAAGACTTGTTAGGTGTTTTGGTTGCTAACTCTGTTGTAGACATTATGATTTATTAGGATTGAACATATAGTGTTTTATTTTTGAAATTTTGATGTATTCAAAAATTGTGGCTCAAATTAAAAATACATCTCTATTATATTTTTAAATTACAAAATCCCAAAGGGGGTAAATAAAACAACACATCAAATATATATAGTTATTGATGTATATAGTCAAATATATACAATAATAAATGTATTTGTATAACTTTTGCAACTGAAATTTTAAAAAAATTCAAAATGGCTGATTAAAGAAAGTGAGTAGGATAATTATAAATTAGATTAATCTGTCTATTTAAAGAAATACGGGCCCATATAGAATCCAGGGTCTTTTACCTTAAAATTATGATCTCTGTGCTTGTGTTTCAGAATGGGCATGCTCTTTCATTTGTCTACTCTCTTTCCTTACATTAGTAGCAGCATCTCAAAATGCCTAAGGAAGAATTCTCATAAGCAGATTTTCAAAAAGCCATATGTGCTTATTTTCAACAGCTAATTGCACTGGGCTGTTGCCAGTAAGACAACTGATCCTTCATGTAGTTTTCCTGTCCATAGAGTTTGAGATACTGCTTCATTATCCTCCCCTTTCTTTATTAGACTCAGTAGTTCGGAGATTTTCTGAGGCGGCTTGAGTTCACCCATGCTGATGCTTCAATGAAGTGTGCCTCTCAATTTTATCTCTGCACATACCTGCTCTAAATAGGATAGAACCATGCTTCCTCAGTCCAAATCTTCCATGTCCATTGACCTGAGTTCCAAAATCTCTAACATATCAATACCAACACTGTATTATTAATCCAAAATAATTATTTGTAAAGTTCATCAACTCTGTTTCTAGAATGCATAAATATACGTTCCAAAGGTTCTCAAATTTTAAAGCATGTAACATATCACCTTGAAATTTTATTAAATGAAGAATATAATTTAGTAGGCATGAGATAAGCCTCAAGATTTTTTTATTTTGAGGAGAGGTTGTACTAAAAATATTCAATAACTTAATTTGTATTTATTTCGGGAGTCACCCTCAAAAGCCAAAGTTTTAGGGATTAATCAGGAGTTTCCTCTTTGCTGTAATACATCCATATATGCATCCTGCTAACAAAAATTCATACATTCATTCAACAAATTTTTATTGTAACCCAGCTCTGTTCCTGTGCCAGTCACTTTTCTAGGTGCTGGATATCTATCATTCACAATACAGAATATATTCCAAATGTGTGTGTGCATGCGTGTGTCAAATCAAATGCAAGAGTTTCATGCTCAGGAAATTCACTATTTCTGGCAGGTCATAACTTAGAATATCATATAAAACTCTTTTCTGCTATCAAAAAATTCTTAGGCAGCAACTCTAGTCTTGGAGTATAGTATTGTAACTGTACTCCCAGTGCTGTCGTAACATTGGGTATTGTATCCCTCCATCTCTAATAAGATATCAGGCCGGGTGTGGTGGTTCACACTTGTAATCCTAGCACTTAGGGAGACCAAGGAGGGTGGATCACTTGAGGTCAGGAATTCAAGACCAGCCTGGCCAACATGGTAAAACCCCATCTCTACTAAAAATACAAAAATTAGCCAAGTGTGGTGGTGCATACCTATAATCCCAGCTACTCAAGAGGCTGAGGCAGGAGAATCGCTTGAACCTGGGGGGCAGAGTTTGCAGTGAGCTTAGATGGTGCCACTGCACTCCAGCCTGGGCAAAAGAGCAAAACTCCATCTCAAAAAAAAAAAAAAAGATATCAGACAGGCACAGGTACACACACACACACACACACACACACACACACACACACACAGGAGATAGGATAAATTTATATATACACATATAGGTATTTTTAATTTTTCAAACACGTACACTCACTTTCCTTGTTATACACTATAATTTCTTACTTTATTTGCCTTCTTATTCTTCTTATAAATTAATTTACTTCAGTTTCATTGCCATTTTTCTGCAAAAACCAATATTCATTGAGCACCATTTTCGGGCTTTCTATTTAGTTACATAATCTGTTAACATTGTACTTACAAAATATTAAGATTAAATTCTGTAAACTACAATTTTTGTAATCCACTCCCTTTTCAAAATACCCTTCCCTTTGCTCATGAACCAAGTCCTCCACCACCATTCTTATCATCTGTGTGTCATTTCCTTGACCTTATCCCAAGTTAATCCATAACACTTGCCTGAAACTCCTACTAATGAATTTAATGAATTTATAATACATCTATGGCAATTTTTCTTTTCTTTCTTATTTTTGAGACAGGGCCTTGCTCTGTTGCCCAGGCTGGAGTGCAGTGGCACAATCTCAGCTCACTGCAACCTCCGCCTCTTGGGCTCAAGCCATCCTCCCACCTCAGCCCCCTGAGTAGCGGGGACTACAGGCATGCACCACTATGCCCTGCTAATTTTTGTATTTTTTGTAGAGACAGGGTTTTGCTGTGTCACCCAGGCTGGTCTCAAACTTCTGGACTCATGCAATCTGCCTGCCTTGGCCTCCCAAAGTGCTGGGATTACAAGCACGAGCCACCACGCCCAGCCCTATAATTTTTCTAATGCACAATTCCTACTATTACAACCTGACTGCTTAAATAATACCACTGAATGTCTAAAATCACATTGGATTTCCAATTCGTAACTTGCTTTATTATTCCTTTATTAATTGACATCCTCTTTCCTTACCCAACTTCCCTATGAACTCAGATTTTATAATGCTTCATTCCACTCTACTCAAAGAAAAGAATTTCAACCCCATTGCTCCTTGCCTATCTTGCATGATATAACATTTTTCATTCTTTTACTTTCAAAGTCTTTTTGCCTTTAAATCTAAAGTGTCTCTTATAAAAAGCATATAAATGGATTATTCTTTTTAGCTAGTCTGTCAATCTCTGCCTTTTGATCAGTATGTTTAAATAAATTTTATTTAATGTAATTATTGATAAGGTAAGATTAACGTCTTACATTTTGTTACTGTTTCCTATGTGTCTTGTCTTTTTCTGTTCCTCTGTTCCTCTGTTGCTGCCTTCTCTTTTGTTAGATATTTTCTATTGTATCCTCGTTATTCCTTTGTTTTTTCTTTTACTATATTGTTATTTTTTCAGTGATTGCCCTAGATTACAGCTAATCTTTTAAAAATAAAAGACAAGTTTAGATTAATGTCAACTTAACTTCAAGAGTTCATGAAAAATTCCTTCTGTATATTTCATTTCCTCCTTACTCCTTTGTGCTATTATTGCGTGCAAACTCCAAACTCCATCTTTTTATGTTATATGCCCCTCAACACAGCTTTATAATTATTCTTTTATTTTGCTGTCCTTTAAATAAGATAAAAAAGAGTAAAAAGCACACTTATATTACTCTTTAAAATTGTTTATGTAGATACTTTATGAGTTTTTTAAAAAATTTGTAACATCAATTCAATTTATTCTCTAAGGTCCTTTTATTTAAAGCTAAAAATTGCAGTATTTATTGTATGGCAGATGTGCTAATGATGATTCTCTCAGTTTTTGTTTATCTAGCAATGTCTTAATTTCTTACCTTCTGAATGATATTTTTGCTGGAAATAGAATTCTGGTTGCCAGTTTTTTTAATTTTAGCATTTTGAGTATGCTGTCCCACTGCCTTCTGGCCTCCATGGTAGTAGATGAGAAATCACATGTTGACCTGATTGTGGATTCCTTGTACTTGATGCGTTGTTCTTCTCTTGCTTCTTTCAATATTTTCTGTTTGTCTTTGGTGTCCAACAGTTTCCTTATGAAATGTTTAGGTATGAATCCTTTTAAGTTTATGCTACTTGGATTCATTGAACTTCTTAGATGTATAATTGGTCTTTTCTTCACATTTTGGAATCTTTTAACCATTGTTTATTTGAATACTCTTTCTGTCCCTTTCTTTCTCTCCTCTTCTCTGTGACTCCCATTATGTATATGTTGGTAGATTTGAAGGTGTCCAGAGGTCCTTGAGGTTATATTATGTTTCCTTCTTTTTTTCTTCTGTATCCCTAAATTTTATTGCTTCTTTTTTTTTTTTGGCAGTTCAATTCTGTTATTCATTCTGTCAAATACGTTTTCTTAGTTTAATTTTTACATTTTTTAACTCCTGAATTTTTATTTGTTTTGAATTTTTGTATCATTGGTATTCTAGCTTTGGAGAGACATGGTTCTCATACTTTGCTTTAATTTTTTAGACACTAGTTGTTTGAATATATTTAAAATAGCTAATTTGAAGCATTGTCTAGTACGTCTAATATCTGGGCTCCCTCATAATTTCTAATGATGTTTCTTTTCCTGCATAGGCCCATACTTTTTTTAATGTCTTGATTTTTTTCCTTAAGTGCTGGATATTTTAGTAATACAATGTGGCAACTATGGAAAACAGATTCTACAACTCTCCTCAGGTTTGTTCTTGGTGTTTTTTCCCAGATTATATCCTTGAGAAACTTACGATTTTTTGACATATAAGAAGCTGTACACGTTTAATGTGTACAATGAAATGAACTTGGAGTTAAATATGTATAGCCATGAAACAATCAGAACATCAAAGCTATAAATATATTTATCACCTCTTAAAGTTTCTCACCACCCTTTTATCATTATCATCATTGTTTTTCTCCATGTGTTGTTAGAACACTTAAAATCTACCCTCCTAGCAAATTTTAGGTATACAATGCAGTATTGTTAGCTATAGGCCCTATGATGTACAGTAGACCTCCAGCACTTATTTATCTTGCATAACTGAAACTATCCATCCTTTGGCCATCACCTCCCCATTTCTCCCTAGTCCTTGGCAATCAGCATTCTATTATCTGCTTCTGTAAATTTTACTATTTTAGATTCCATGTGTATGAGAGATTGTACAATATTTATCTTTCACTGCTGGCTTATTTTATTTAGCATAAATTCCTCCAGGAGAAGCCATCTTGTTGCAAATAGCAGGATTTCCTTTTTTAAGCCTGAATAGTATTCCATTATATATATTCACATTTTCTTGATCTAGTCATCTGTTAATGGATATTTGGGTTGATTCTGTATCTTGATTATTGTGAATGATCCTGCAGTGAATATGGGAATGCTGGTATCTCTTTGAGATCCTGATTTAACTTCGTTTGGATAAATACCCATAAGTAGGATTGCTAGATCATACAGTAGTACCATATATAACTTTTTGAGGAAAGTCCATACCATTTTTGATAATGGCTATACAAATTAACATTTCCACCAACAATATATAAGGACACCTTTTTCTCCACATTCTTGCCAACACTTGATATTTATTTTTTATCAATAGTTATTCTAACAGACATAAAGTTATATCTTATTTTAGTTTTGATCTGCATTTCCTTGATGATTAATGGTATTCAGCACCTTTCCATATACCTGTTGGCATACAGTTACAAAGGATCATAAGAAACTACTATGAACAATTACATGCCAATCAATCTGATAACCTAGAATAAATGGATAAATTTTTAGAAACATATAACCTACTAACACTGAATCATTAAAAAATACAAAATCTGAACAGACCAAGAACAAGTAAGGAGATTTAATCAATAATCAACAATCTCCCACAAAGAAATGCCCAGGACCTGATGGTTTCACTGGTGAATTCTAACAAACAAAGAAGAATTAATACCAACCCTTTTTGAATTATTTCAAAAAATTAAAGAGAAGCAACACTTCCAAATTCATTCTGCAAGGCTATCATACCCTATAATTACCCAAAGCCAGAGAAGGACACTATAAGAAAAGATAATTATAGACCAATATCCTTGATAAACATAGATGTAAAAATCCTCATCAAAGTACTAACAAGCCAAATTCAACAGTGCATTAAAATGATCATGCATTGGGATCAAGTGGGATTTAACCCTGGGATTCTAGAATGGTTCAACAAATGCAAATCAATAAATGTGACAAACAATATTAACAGAATGAAAGATAAATACCATATGATTCTTCCAATAGGTTCACAAAGACAGACGTGCTGGTGTGTACCTGCAATCCCAACCTGGGAGGCTGAGGTGGGGGGATAACTTGAGGCCAGGTATTTGAGATCAGCTTGGGGAACATTGCAACTTGTCTCTTTAAAAAAAAATGCAGAAAAAGCATTTGATAAGATTCAATGTAATTTCATGTTAAAAAAAAACTTTCAACAAACTAAGTATAGAAGGAATGTACCTCAATATAATAAAGGCCATATAAGACAAGCCTGCAGGTAACATCAGACTCAGCAGTGAAAAGTTGTTGCTGTTTTTTTGTTGGTTTTCTTGTTTGTTTAGGACTTTCTAAAACAGTTTTGTAGAATACTTTGTTTGCCATGTGTGGTTAATGAAGCCCCTCCACATGGTAGTTTAGTTGTCAGCTAACCATTGGACAAAGATTTTCTTAAATGTCTGGAATCAGTAAGTCTCCCAGTCTTTGGCAAGCCAGTCTGTGTTTGGGGGCATTCATTCAGAGATCTGGAAGGCTGTTTACAGCTATGCCTTAGCCTTCACTTCTTGCCTGCACAGAATCACTAGAAGAAACAGAAGTGAGTGCTTAGAGCCATCTCAAATTATTCCTTGTCATGCTCTTAGCCCTGGGCATGCACAC
Organism: Homo sapiens; assembly: GCF_000001405.40. Taxonomy (NCBI): domain Eukaryota; kingdom Metazoa; phylum Chordata; class Mammalia; order Primates; family Hominidae; genus Homo; species Homo sapiens. The sequence goes on along the minus strand of NC_000004.12, from coordinate 178,842,257 downwards.
AGCCCTACATCTTCCTATAACCATCTATAGTCCCTGAAACATGTCAGAACGTTTCAAAGTCTCCTATGCTCATTTAATTTCCAAGCTTTTCCTTTTAAGGTTTTTGATCATTTTGTTATTTGTTGCAACAACTGTTATTGTCACCTAAGGCAGCCACAGAGTTAAACAATTTCCATTGGTTGTTTTTGATAGTGATGGTGGAATGTACAATTAGAGGAGCTCAGAACTCCAACCTCTTTCTTCCCTCCCCAATGCCTTTGGAGTTGAAGGATTTCAAGGCTACTATGGAGGTAGGTGGGAGCTAATGGAAATTGTACAAATGAAAACAACACAAAGTTCACTGTTCTTCCCAACATTTACCTCTTTTTCTAAAATAAACATCCCTCAGATAGTTGCAATTCTTCCATTAATTTCCATAATTTTGACTTTTTTTTTCTTTGCCAGTGTTGTTCTCATTGCTTTTATGGAAAACAAGATTTTCAGAGGTCCTTTCTTGGCTACTTCAAACATTGCTCTTCATTTTCTATTTCTTATCAAACATGTAATGCTTATATTTACTGTAATGTTTTATTTCTTGTCTTTTAAAGGCCTTAGCCATATTACTATATTCCTTGAGCAAAATTTGTGTCTAGTCTAAACATACTTAATCTTAAAAGTTTTTTACGTTCCTCTTAATATGATATAATCCTGTTATAGATTACCACAGAATCTTATGTTTTAAATTAAAATTATAACTTTCAAAATTTTTAAGTTAAATATCTGTCATCTTTAAAAGGTTGTAAGGTCTGAGACGGCATGAATCAATTCTGGCTTGTTTTACAGATTATTCCTAGGAACTAATACAAACTTGAGTGACTATCATCCATTAAAATAATTGTAAATATAATAATATTTATTGAAAAATATACATATAGAGAGAGTTAGGTTTTTACACCAAATCATTTATTGGTTGCATGGTTAAAATTGCCATTTCATGATTTTTAATTGATAATTTCTGGGGGAGAAGCATAGTATTTGTAGGGACTCCATTCCTATTCTTCATATAAACGTTAATGAGAAGAATCACTACACATTAGTTTGTTACCCAGACACACAAGGTCAAAATGATGATTAACTAGAAGTTGTGCCTTTTTTATTCTGAGAACATCATGTGTTTCTCGGGAAAATTGTGAAAAGGGAGATGCTATTCTCACATTTTTCCTTTCCACATCCTAATATTTACCAGTAGAAAATTAAGACAGAATTCTTAATGGGATCAATAATGTCTCAGAATATATATTTTCTGAAACGGTTTTTAGCAAGGAAAGAGTACATTCTTTAGAAACGAGTACATTCTTTATGAGGGAACAAAATTAGCAATGAGTATGTAATGTTGCATTTAGGCCATATTGCTACAGTAAAATAATAGAAGGTAATGAAGATCTTTGCTGCTTAGTGTTAAGTGATTTTATTACCAAGTCAATTTTAGCAAGGCTTTATAGTAGAATTTTGCTACTTTATTTCAGGTAGGCAGTTTTTGGGCACTCATTCAAAGAGTCACAGTCAGCTTCTCATTAATGCTATATTATACATGTGGATCATGGGCAAATTATAATTTATAATAAATTAAAAGGGCTATTATAATTGGAGATGATAATTGCTGTTTCTTTGATTTCTGACTAAAATTTCTTAATTGAGCAAACATATTATGCTGCCCTAAAATCAAGAGGTTGGTTACCTTGGACTAAATAATTCTATTACTACACATTATGGGAGACTCTTCTCCTTTTGTTCATAATAGGATATGATTTGAAGAAGCATTAAAATGAATCACTAAAAATATTAGGAAGAAATTATGCCCCAAACCATGAAGGATCTAATTTTCTTTCATTTTCCAGTTGCCACAGGTACTCATCAGGAGCAACTTGTCAGGTTCTTTCAAATTAAAATAATTTACTAAAGTTGATTGCATACTGAAGAAGTCATAAAACAAATGGGTTTACAGGTAAAAAGAAAATGTTGATCTAATCCAATTTGGGGTCAAAAATATTATACCTCATGCCTGTAAGCCAGTACTTTGGGAGGCCGAGGCGGGCAGATCATGAGGTCAGGAGATCGAGACCATCCTGGCTAACACGGTGAAAACCCATCTGTACTAAAAATACAAAAAAAATTAGCCAGGCATGGTGGTGGGTGCCTGTAGTCCCAGCTATTTGGGAGGCTGAGGCAGGAGAATGGCATGAATCCGGGAGGCGGAGTTTGCAGTGAGCCGAGATGGGGCCACTGCATTACAGCCTGGGTGACAGAGTGAGACTCCTTCTCAAAAAAAAAAAAAAAAAAAAAAAAAAAAAAAATATATATATATATATAATACCACAATAAGACCAAAGATATAAAACATAATATTGGAAGAATAGATCTAGTAGATAACTATTTAGTATTCATGTGAGATTTTACATAAGTCAGTCAAACAATGTCAGAATGCCTGTGTTAGTAGCTATAATTAACGAAGAGGATTATTGATAGAAATGCTTAAATCTGTAGGGAGGCAGTCCAGATTAGGAATAAGGCTTCCTTGCTTATTCTCTGTTATATCTGTTATATTAACAAGGACTCCAGCACCTTCACCTTCATTTCAGTTAACTGAGCCACACTTACAGCCTTATCTTACACCTCACTCTTTTAGAATGATACAAGAGTATAGGATGTTAGAGGACATTTATTACAGTTATTTTTCTATAGTTAAGCAGAGGACAAGTAATTCATATGAAGTCAAAAACTAATTATTAAAAGATTAACTAAGACTAAAACTTCATTTTCTTTACTTCATATCCGGTGTTTTTTCACCACATTCAGATGTCTTTTATCTCAATGGTCTTGAATTGTTCCTACACCTTATTTTAGTTCAGGAACTAAAATGTAGTTAGGTTTAATCCCACACTAAAATAAGACACTATAAGTTCCAGAAAAAGACACTGTTTTGGTGTCTTGAATTGTTCCTTTATTTCCGGAACATATAAGTGTGGAGATATATATATATATATACACACACACACACACACACACACACACACATATATATAAAATTCTTATATATTTTTTCTTATTTATTTATTTATTTACTTTTACTTCCCTAAGTACTACCTTCAGGCTTGCCTAAGAGCATGCAATTTTCCGTAGGAAGAAAATACACAAATGACCTCACGCTCTTTTCATCATGATGGGGTGTGCAGAGTTCTAAAAGGCTGCACTCTGCCAATCTACAACCCCTCACTGAACCATTACTACTGTTCTGCCCAGGCACACCATGAGATGACAGGCTTCCCTGATGCTGTCACAGGAGGGTGACACACAGACCCTCTCTCCCTGAGACTCTCTGGCCTAGCCCCAGCAAGAGGTCTCTGCCCACAGACACTAAAAAATAGAACTCAGTTGCTCTCTGAGCATTCCTATTGCCCTCAGCTGATTAAATATATCTCTACTTTGAGAGAAAACTAGTTCTTAAGTTGTTGCCTTTTATTTCCAATTCTAGAGTTTAATCTAAAAAATCCTTCAGGCCATTTTTTTCTTCAATGCTAAGGTTTTGCAACACTTTCATGAGTTTGAAAAAGCTTTATTGAGGTACAAAGTGTACAGAATAAATTCAACATTTTTAAGAATATAATCCAATGAATTTTAGTAAATTTATAGAATGTGCGACCTTCAGTTTTAGAACATTTTCCATTAACTCAAAATCATCTGTCATGCCAATTAAGTCAATCCCATCTCCTACCTTCCGGACTCAGGCAACTTCTAATCTACATTCTCTCTGTGCATATTTACCTTTTCTAGATATTTCACACAATATGTAGTATTTTTATCTGACTTCTTTCACTTTCACACTCTTTTTGAGGTTATGGAATTTTGATAGCAACTGTACAGCATCTCCAGATCAATTTAGGAACAATTGCCACCTTAGTTTTCAGTCATCCAATTCAATAATTTAGAATTGCTCATCATTTATTTAGATCTTCTTTAACTTTTTGCAATAACGTTTTCTAGTTTTCAGTGTAAAACTTGTGCACTATATTTTATTTATGTGTTATATAAATATATATAATAGAGATATATATTGTTCATACATATGTTTATAATGTTCTTATATGTAGAATTGTTTTCTTAATTTTATTTCCAAATTATTCATTGCTGATGGATGGAAAAACAAGAGTTATTTTAAAAATATTTGGTATATTTTACCTGTGAAGACTTTTGTGCCTGAACTTTGATTTCTGGAAAAATTTAAATTTCTAATTCAATCTTGGTCTGAAAGAGTTAAGCATTGCAAGAGAATGAAATAAATCTAGCAGAGAGTTTTTATTTTTTCCTTTCTAAATATTTATTACATTCACTTTCAGGGAAGCTCTAAATGGTTATTGATAAGTTATTGATATCCAATATTATCTTTATTTTTACCACCTCAAAAGCCTGGGTAAAACCGTTTTTTTCATTGTCTTGCAGTTTCAAAGTCCTCTTTTCCCCCTGCTCAGCTTGTACATGACTATCTTCATTCATTTGTTTAACATATGGTTATTAAAATCCCTACAATATGCTAAACTATGTGCTAAGTTCCCAGCATGTAAAAGTAAATATGACATTTTAGTTTTTTTCAAGTCGCGTAAAACTTTCAGGTAAAGCTACTAATTCTACCATCATATCTCACACAATATGCTAAGTGTTATGATACAGACATTGTAGGCGCTTATGAAATAAAATGAAGGAATGTCCAATAATGGGAAGGTTAGTTCAGAGAAAGTTCTTCCAGCAAGTATGTGAGGAGAGTCTTGGTGCTTAAATTAATATGATGGTATTTTCAGAAAGAAATCAGCATTTTTCATTAAAACAACACAAACAATTTGATGTATTTGCATCATAGAATTATCTGCAACTTTGAATATTTCTTGAACATCTCAATGAACTCAGATGACTCCAGAGCCACTTCTTTAAAAGGAGTTAATTCTGATCTGTATAAGCCAAATTGACAACAGCTGCTCAGGTACATTTTTTAATTACGTTCAGAAATATACATATATAAACATATACACACATAAATAGACATATGCACACATACTATACACACACACAAATATAAATATATCTGTATATTTGTCCCAGGCATTTTACTTTTAAGAAGTTACTCCTATACAAATAATAACCATGGATTATAGAAATTTCTGCTTACAACAGCAAATATTTTCCAAAAAGTTAAAATCCAAACACATTGGATGAACTGCATGTATAATACACACAAACATAATATTTTCCTAAATAATTCCACTACATAATATTATTTACATTTACTCAAATGTTTTATACAATTTTCATAAGTAAAAAACAATCAGATTACTTGAGTGCTTCTAGAACAAGATCCTGATTGATGAGATACAGTATATCAACATTTTAGAAGTGTGAACTCTGTGTCCAGGTTATATAGATCTAAATACCAGTCCTAACAGTGAGTTCATGTTCCCTTTGTCAATAAAATTAATTTCTCATGTATGATTTTCCTCACAAGCAAATATGGATAATAATAACATCTACTAGATACTATTAGACAGAGGCTTAGTCTTCATACCACACAGTATAAATTGTAAGGAATTATTCATGCATTGCATATTCTTATGCTGTAAACTTTCTAGTAGCCAGTTTAAGACAACAAAGAAAATCCATTTCATAAATTGTTTTGTAGCCAACAAATGGATTTTTATATAATTCATTGAAACATATACTAGATCACAGCTTTGTTAGTTATTTTTAGTAAGTTGTATAACTGTTCTTTATATAATCAGTGTCTCATTCAAAACAAAAATATACATGAGCAAGTACAGAATACCATTAACAACATGGGCATGGAGTCACTGAGCCCTACACAGTCAAAAATTTACATAGAACGTTTGACTTCCTCAAAACCTAACTACAAATAGCCTATTTTTGATGAAAAGCCTGACCAATAACATTAACAGTTGACTGGCACATATTTTATATGTGTTACATGCTGTATTTTTATAATAAAGCAAACTGGAAAAAAGAAAATATTATTAAGAAAATCATCCCTGGGCACAGTGGCTCATGCCTGTAATCCCAGCACTTTGGGCGGCTGAGGCAGGCAAATAACTTGAGGTCAGGCATTCGAGACCAGCCTGACCAACATGGTGAAACCCCGTCTCTACTAAAAATACAAAAATTAGTTGGGTGTGATGGCACATGCCTATAATCCCAGGTACTCGGGTGGCTGAAGCATGAGAATCGCTTGAACCCGAACCTGAGAGGTGGAGGTTGCAGTGAGCTGAGATCATGCCATTGCACTCCAGCCTGGGTGACAGAGCCAGACTGCCTCAAAAAAAAAAAAAAAAATCGTAAGAAAAAAATATATATTTATTATTGATTATGTATAAGTGGATCATCACATAGATCTTCCTCCTTGTCATCTTCACATTGAGCAGGCTGAGGAGTTGGAGGAAAAGGAGGGGTTGGTCTTTCTGTCTCAGGGATAGCAAAGGCAGAGAAAAATCTACATATAAGTTGACCCAAGCAGTTCGAAGCCATGTTGTTAAGGGTGAACTGTATTTAACTGTATCTTAGATCAATTCTTGAGAGAGAAAGAGTAGTATAGTTCAAGTTAGTATTTTCTTGGTGATATGTCTCAGAAATTCTAAAAAAAAATAAGTAAGCAACAAACATTCAACTGGATCTTGACACTTGTTAATTCTTGGAGCTTTAAACAATGCAGCACCCAAGAACTATTTTTTCTAAAGTACAACTCTCATTATTCCATTCTCCTACTTATATTTTCTAAAAATGTGTTATTTATCACAGAATTAAGGCCAAAATCATAAGGATAACATTCAGTAATCTGTAATGGAGCTCTAAATTGGTATTCACATGGAATACATTTTTTTTTTTTTTGTGACGAAGTCTTGCTCTGTCACCAGGCTAGAGTACAGTGGCACAATCTCAGCTCACTGCAACCTCCACTTCCAGGGTTCAAGTGATTCTCCTACCTCAGCCTCCCAAGTACCTGGGACTACAGGTGCCCACCGCCATGATCGGCTAATTTTTGTATTTTTATTAGAGACAGGGTTTCACCATGTTGGCCAGGATGGTCTCCATCTCTTGACCTCATGATTCACCCACCTCAGCCTCCCAAAGTGCTGGGATTACAGGCCACATTGAATAACCTTTGACCTAGACTTTGTTTTCTGTCTTCTGTCATTGCCCACATTTAGCTTTTTCTTCTAAAATTCACTCTTCATAATTACTTCTTATCCATCTGTACCAGGACCTCCCTTCTCAAAGCATCAACCTACTTTCCCATACCTGTCTTTGGCCAACTTTAAACTCTCCTTTTTTGCTCCTTAAGTGTGCTCCCATAGTAACAATTATAGATAGATAGATGATAGATAGATAGATAGATAGACAAACAGACAATATATAAATACATAGATTCTTCTCTGTGTCCTTTACTGAGTCCGAAATCATTTTCTGCAGATTGATAAATTTCATCATCTGTGATGTTATTATATTTATCTCCTGACACAACAAAGCTGCTAATGTGTAGTTCTTAAAACAACTAATAAACAGAAGTGTTATGTATCAATGAAGCAAGACTCTGATCTTACTGTAACTCTCTAGATTAATTTTAAACTTAAAATTTCAGTGGCACTGTATTGAAGGAATCTAAATGTCAAAGGAAATTTATATTACATATAATCCATCATATGCCTTTATATAGACTAACAATAAAGGGTATGCTATTGCATTTAGAAATATCTTTCTCTTTTTCTACCTTCTAGCTCTATCTCTCATTTCCTCATTCTTCCTTTTTTTGTCTCAATCCTACTACCATTCATTCAAATTCATTTTTTTATTATATGTGTGCTGGCTTTTGAAAAGTTTATAGTTGAAAATTAATTTTGAGTAATGTAGTATTTATATTGCTGCTCTGCAACTCTGTGAGATTTCCTGCTTGCTATGGATCATTCTCTATTTATTCTAGACATAAACTCAACTTAAAAAATGGAGATGTAATTTGTTTTAATCAATAGATTCTTTTGCCAGGCACATATGCAAATCTTCCTTTATTTCAAGTTCAAATGTTTGTTTCCTTCTAGTGATTGCTGTGCTTTGCTGCTATTTATTCAGTGGCCCATAGCTTAGTTATATTATTTGTGGCGAGTAGCAAAAGAAAATTGTCTGTGATTTCAATTTAATTTTGTTTTATTCTCAAATATTTATTTATTTTGTGGAGTATAACCAAATAAAGTTTCTTACATTACACAATCACAACTAATTTATATTTTTTATATTCATAATACTTGAACTATTAGATTTTTCATTTTGCAATTGATAATTTTTTTCTAATAGCTAAAATAGGTATATTAATTTTCTAGTAGTAATTGCAATTATTCCATTTCAACCTGGTGTTAATAATAAGCCTTTATCATTCTCAACTTGTAGAAAATCAAACTGTGAATGCAATAGAATGACTTTGGTTAGCCACTGTTCTAGATAATTGGATAACTGCTTTTGGTTCTTAGATTTGTATGTATCAGTACAGGTTATAATATGCAATTCAAATATTTTTTAAAATTATGTTATTACTTCTCATGGTTTTTACATTATGTTTATTTCTGTATTGCTTTTATCAATATAAAACTAAAAATAACATTATTATAATAAATTAAGCCTGTTGTGAAATAAGAATCACCGAGACAGTTTTTGCCTAAAGAGAAAATAACAAAAGAGATACTTGGCAATCCAGCAATGTGTGCCTTGGTATTTACTCAAGGGAATTGAGAAAAGCTGCACATAGATGCTCAGAATAGCTTTATCTACAATTGCCAAAACTGGGACGAAATCAAGATGTCTTTCAGCAGGTGAGTAGATAAGTAAGTTGCAGTTCACCCAGACAATGGGATATTACTCAGCACTAAAAATAAATGTCAAGCCATGAACAAACATGGAGGAAACTTAAATGCATATTACCAAGTAAAAGAAGCCAATCTGCAAAGGCTACATACTTTATGATTCCAACTACATGATATTCTGGAAAAGGTAAAACTAAGGAGAGAGTGAAAAAAAAAGTGGTTTCAGGGACTTAGCGGGGAGGGAGGGATGAATAGGAAGAGCAAAAGAGCAAAGAGGATTTTTAGGAAAGTGAGTGTTCTGTCTAATACTGTAATAGTGGATACATGCCACCATTATGCATTTGGTTAAGCCCACAGAATATACAACACCAAGAGTAAGCCCTAACAAACAATAGAGCTTGGGTAGTAATAATGTATCAGTGAAGTTTCACTGATTGCAACAAGCATACCACTCTGGGGGGATGTTGGTAATGGAAGAAGCTATGTACCTGTTGCGGGGAGGAGGCACATGGGAAATTTCTGGACCTTCTGCTCAATTTTGCGGTGAAACTAAAACTGCTCTAAAAATGAAAGTCCATTTCTAAAAAGGGATATTTGGTGGAAAATTATTTAGTAATACAAATATTTAGAAATACAAATATACCCAAAATGTATCTTTTCTGGAATATGTAATTTATTTCAAGTGGTTCAGTTAGACTGTGGCATGTTTATCCTATTTCTTTATTAATCAGTATTGAAAAGTACACAGAAGAAAAAGATAAGTTGGACCTAGAAGTTATCATTATGAATGAAAAGTATTTTCCACACTTAAGAAGCTTGCCATCAATTGTTTGGGAAAAACAAAATATAAATTATCGAAAAATCCCAGGAAAATATAATATCAGATATATAAAAATTGCTTTGGAACCAAGAAAAAAAAAGAAACACTGTCTGTTATTGTACATTGGGTAATTCATTTTTTATTTTTATTTTTTTGAGGTGGAGTCTCACTCTGTTGCCTAGGCTGGAGTGCAGTGGCACAATCTCAGCTCACTGCATCCTCAGCCTCCCTGGTTCAAGTGATTTCCCACTAATTTTTGTATTTTTATTAGAGACAAGCTTTCACCATGTTGGCCAGGCTGGTCTCAAACTCCTGACCTCAAGTGATCAGCCCACCTTGGTCTCCCAAAGTGCTAGGATTACAGGCATGAGCCACAGTGCCAGGCAGTAATTCAAATTTATAGGCATTTCAATTGAGTGGAAATAATTACATGGCCAATTAATCTCTAGTAAGGCCTTCATGCATATCTTTATTTTCACAGAAAGATCTCTTGCATAGACTGTATTTTCAATTATGAGTGAACTTTTACTATACACCACAGAGAAGACAGACAAAAGATTAGAAAATTCTCCTGTAAATGGGGTGGGTTGATAGTAGAGGGAAGTAGATAACAAGAAAATAACAAATCTTTACTATTAATGTTCAAGAATATTCTTTAATTATTGTGAGGATTAATTTTATGTGTCTGTTTAACTAGGTTGAGGGATTCCCAAATACTTGGTAAAACATTATTTTTGCATGTGTTCTTGAGAGTATGTCTGGAAGAGGTTAGTATTTGAATCAGGAGACTGAGTAGAGACGATTCATTCTCATGGATATGGGTGGGTATCACCCAATTCATTAGGGGCCCAATAGAACAAAATATTAGAGAAAGGGTGAATTCACTCCCTCTTCTTGAGCTGGGAGATCCATCTTCTCCTAGTCTTGAATATCACTGCCAGTGCTCCCATATATTGGGTCTTTGGGCTCTGGGGACCAAGAAGAACACCTTCCTCGCCGCTGCCCGCCCCACCATCCTCCTACTCAGGCCTTTAGCTTGGGACTGAAAGTTGCATCACTGGCCCCCTGACTCTCAGACCTTTGGACTCTAACTGAATCACACAATCGGCTTTCCTGGTTCTCCAGTTTGCAGGCCAAATATCGTGAGACTTCTCAATCTAATTATATAAGCTAATTCCTACAATGTATCCCATCATATACATGTATTCTATTGGCTCTGTTTCTCTGGAGAACACTGACTACTAACAATTATCTTTCTCCCCTCCCCCAATATATAGGCATAGAAGTAGTGTTTAAAACTTACTCTCATGTGCAAATAAGTACCTCTTTTCTGATTAGTTTATATTTTCAAATTTTTCTAAGCACATAAATAAAGATGACACGAATCTTCCAATAAAAGCTCTTAATACAGTTTTTACTAGATTCTAGAGGTTTTGGAACCAGGAATACTTATAGTAAGTGTTTGAAATCAAGTTACAAAGTCTAAAAATGTATGTTCTTTTAAAATGAGGCTAAAATCTTTAGTTAAACAATGGTAGGAAATAGGTTCATATTAATAACAAAAGCATTTAGTTATATTGAAGTTTTTTATTGCTTTCATGTACTTGTTTTTTGTTGTTGTTTTTGTTGTGGTTTGTTTTGTTTGTTTTTTTGTTTTGAGACAGAGTCTCACTCTGTCACCTAGGCTGGAGTGCAGTGGTGCAATCTCAGCTCACTGCTTCTGCCTCCCAGATTAAAACGATTCTCTTGTCTCAGCCTCCTGATTAGCTGGGACTACAGGCATGCAACACTACAGGCCTGGCTAATTTTTGTATTTTTAGTAGAGACAGAGTTTTGCCATGTTGGCCAGGCTGGTCTCAAACTTCTGGCCTCAAATGATCTACCTGGCTCAGCCTCCCAAAGTGCTGGGATTACAAGAGTGAACCACCATGTCTGACCTTCATGTGCTTTTAAATAATTATATACAACAATAAATGTTAATGTTAACCTTTTCAGTTATATTTTTATAAAATTAGTAGACATGTTTTTCTTTAAAAAATCATGATTCATTCACTAAAATATCAATGTTCTCCTTGCAGAACTGTGTTATAAATGCAGAAATTGTACCTAGATTGAGAAGCCGTAACTTGGCACATAAAAAGCACAAAATAAATGTAAATTATTTGATTTTGTTTTGAAGAATATAATACATAAATAAGTGTGAAAAAAGAGAAGTACACAAATAAAACATGTACAGGTCTCAGTATACATTCACAATTGAACACTACAAACTTCCCAGAAACGAATTTCTACCTATTTCTAGGTACTACACCTTCCAAGAATGACTTCTATTCTAACTTCTTATTTATTTCTTCTCACTTCTTTGCTCATTTTTGAACTTTTTGATATGAATGAAATCATACAGTACTTTAACTCTTTTGTCTGGCTTTCTTTGCTCAGCATTATGTATAAGAGATTCAACTGTGTTAATATTATTATGTATAATTACAGTTGATTATTATCACTGCATTGTAGACCATATTGTGAATATGCCACAATTTACTTACCCTTTCAGCTGAAAGGCATTTGCGTAATTTCCACTTTAGGGCCACAGTAAATAGCCCTGCTATGAGCATTTTTTACATGACTTTAGTAAAAATATACACACATTTCTTTCGAGTGTATACCCAGAAGAGGAATTTTTGAGTCACATAGTAGACATATGTTTGCTTTATGAGAAACTGCAAAACTGCTTTTCAAAATGATTCTACCAGTGAACAGAACTACCAGCGAACAGAACTACCAGCCTTGTACAAAAGACGTTATTACTCCCCAATCTATACAACGCTTGGTAACATCTATCATTTACATAGTGGTTAGTGTGAAGTTGTGTAACATTGTGCTTTTATGTCTTATTTGCTTGATGGCTAATGAAATGAAATATTTTTTCCTATGTTTACTAGACCTATTGGTGTCTCCTTTTGCTTTGTGCCTAGTTAACTCTCTGGCATCATTATTTTTATTTTTATTATTATTGTTACTAGAGTTTAGTCATGCAAACTCCTACATTGAAAGTAGCCAAGATCATCAGTTAATATTATGGTAATGATAATGCTGATATACAAAGTATATATTCTTTTTTTGAGAAGGAGTCTTGCTCTGTCGCCCAGGTTGGAGTGCAATGGTGCGATCTCGGCTCACGGCAACCTCTGCCTCCCGGGTTCCCACCACTAAGCACAGCTATTTTTTGTATTTTTTTAGTAGAGATGGGGTTTCACTATGCTGGTCAGGCTGGTCTCGAACTCCTGACCTCAGGTGATCCACCCTCCTCGGCCTCCCAAAGTGCTGAGATTACAGGTGTGAGCCACTGCACCTGGCTACAATGTATATATTCTTTTAAAAGTTTAAACAGTATTTACATATTCAGGTTCAGCTTGGTGTTTTGACACACAGTTATACATTTCCAGTAGGCATTGCCTGCAAAGTCCTTTTGTTACATACAAAAAAAAAAAAAGACATTTTTCCCAGTCCACTGGGTTTAAATACCATTTCTATACTGGCACCTGATTCTATTTATCCAGTCTGACTTCTCTTCTAAATAGATTTTAACTCCATTTACCTACTTGACATCTTTAAGTGAATGCCTAATAGACATCTTTAACTTAACACGACACAAACAGAATTATTGGTTTCTTCTACAGATCTACTCCTTCCCAAATCTCCTCACAACTGCAGATGAGGGCCACTATTCAGTTAATTACACAAGCCAAAAAGCTAAGTGTCTTTCCTAATTCCTCTCTATTATCCATGAGCAAGCTCTGTCAGTTCTATCCTCAAAATAAATTTGAAATCGGGTGATGCCTCACCTACTTCACTACTGCCAACCTCATTCAAATGACCTACTTTTCCTAGACTTGAGATATAGCTTCTTTATTGCTCTTTCTGATTCCACTGTTATGTCTACCACGGTCTGCCCCACAGAGAAACCAGGGTGTGTAAACTTCCTAGCCTTACATGAACTTCTATAGGTGTCCAAGCCTGAAGGTCTACAAGGGAGAAAAACAAGAGAGAGAACAGATTATTGGGTACTCTTTTCAGATTGAAATCACAGTATTGACTTGGCTATGATTCTTTCTGGAGCTAGGGGCACTCTTTCAAATACGTGTGCTTTTGATAGAGTTTAGTTCCTTATGATTGTGGCACTGAGGCCTCTGTTTTCTTCCTGGCTGAAGTCTAGGTGTCACTTTAGGCTCCCAGAAGCCACCCACAGTTTCTTGCCATGTATGTTCTTCCAAACACATTCTCACACATTGAATCTCTTCAACTTCCCTTTTAAGGGCTCACCTAATTGGGCCAGGATGCTCTTTTGGTTCATTCAAATCAACTCATCACAGGAGTGATGCCCTATCATAGTCACAGGCTCTGCCCACACACAGAGAGGGAAATTACATGAGTGGTACACAGTGGAGGGCAGGTTTTTTGGGCCATCTTGTAATGCTGCCTGTTAAACTTACATACTTATATTCTACTGATTATAGTGGGCAAAGGAATCTATCTCTGGGAACCCTGAAAATGTGGATTTGATTTCTCTCACACAGGCAAACACCTAAAACAAGACAGGTCTGCTTCTTGTTGCCTCTTTCATTTTATCTATTCTAAAACAAATTATCCTAAATACATATCTAACTAAAGAAGCCTAGATTATTAAAACATTAGAGCTGCAAATGAAATTGAGGCATTGCATCCTGGCTTCCCTATTTTAGGTAGGCAGAATTCAGAACAGGTAGAAATTTCAAATTATAGGAAAGGCATTAAAAAGATTCTGGGTAGCCATAAAAAGACAAAAATCTATTATATCTCACAAAGTGCCACTTTCTCATTTCTGTGATGCTTGGGGGAGGCGATTTTCTCAAGGCAACTATGGGAAAAGCAAGATCAGACACAGCTAACTTCCATCCTCTGTTGCTTCTATGAAGTCTTTTAAGTTCAAAAGAAACTTGGACTTCCAAAGGCATTTCTCAAGTTCTATGTTAGTTTCACATTTTTTCTGAGGTTTGTCTTTTGCTAGTTCTTAATATTTCCTGAATTGAAGCTGAGGCTTGCTTCTTTTTTGGGGGTGGGGTGGGGGGAGGGTATGAACATAGTTCTTATTGGTAAATATTTTTTATGTGTTCCAAAAAAATATGTTACCTAAATTATTAAGTTCAGGTTGTGTGTGTCTCCTTTCAATTAGGTTGTTAATTTTGTGTTCAGACACTGTAATTTTATTTTTTTCTTATTGACTAGTGGAATCTGTTAAAAAATCTCTCTTACGTTAATGTGTTTGTCAATTCCACTTGTACTTCTAACAATTTTGTTTTCAGTCTTTTATGATCATTTTATTTTTTATATGGATGTTTGAAATTGTCACAATTTCTTAGACAGTTAAATATATCTGACATTAATAATCTTGGATGTGGCTTAAAGTCTACATGGTCAGATATAGATATATCTACTCTGAATTTTTTAATTGTCATTTTCCGCCTTTTATTTTCATTCTTTACAAACATCCTTTTAAGCAGAATATGGTAGTATTAAAAAATAAACCTATCTAAGTTGTCAATATTTTCAATAGTGTATTTAGTTCAAAAACACTTATTTTGATTATTAATATACTTAGGCCAATTTTGTGTTTTATATTTGTCCCGTTTCAATATTTTGTTTTTAAATTTTAAACATTTGTGTTTCTAGGAATTATTTTTTATTTCTCACTACAATTTTCTTCACCTAATCTTTTGAAACTTATATTTCTTTTATTCTGTTAACTATTTTTATTTAAAATTAACATAATTTATAACACATTAGAAAAGTCTAATGAAAATCAATGTCTCAGTTGTTTTCTTGAAAAGATTACCAAAATATACACTTTTTCTTTTTCTTTTTCTTTTTTTTTGAAACAGCATCTTGCTTTGTTGCCCAGGCTGGAGTACAGTGGCGTCATCTTGGCTCACTGCAACCTCCGCCTCCCGGGTTCAAGCAATTCTCCTGCCTCAGCCTCCCAAGTAGCTGGAACTACAGGTGCAGACCACCATGCCTGACTAATTTTTTTGTATATTTAGTAGAGACAAGGTTTCATCATGTTGGCCAGGCTGGTCTCCAACTCCTGACCTCAAACGATCTGCCTGCCTCGGTCTCCCAAAGTTCTGGGATTACAGGTGTGAGCCACTGCGCCTGGCCAAATATACACATCCTTTAGAGGATTTCAGTCTCCCTCATATTTCCTGGACTTACATGCAGTTGATGTTCTCAATTTTAGTCTTTTTAAAAAATTCACAAACTAGACATTATTACAGAGACAATGTATTTACATTAATTTACAGCTTTTCTTGTTCCCTTGTTTATCTTTCCTCTTGTATCACAGATTTTTCACGCAGGGTCCTTTGTTGTTGCTGTTGCTCTCTTTCGCTTCCTCCTCCTCCTTGTTCATGAAGTGTGTCCTTCAGAACTAGGAGGTTAATGGCTGGTAAACTCTAAGTTTTTGTCATTCTGAAATGTTCTTATTTTATCCTCATTCCTTTAATCTCAACAAATAGTTTGATTATAAACACATTTTTTAGTTCACAAATATTTTCTCTCAACATAGATATTTAGATTACTCAAAATAAACATGCATGTTTTGTACCTTTTCCATTGGTGATGTTAACATCTTAATGACCCCTATTTAAAATTCTCTGCTTGTTGGTTTTGACACCTGTGTTACTTATGCTCTTCTCTCAATATTTTTCTACTGTGGATCATCCTCTTGGTATTATAGCTAAGCTATTCTTTGCCTAACTCAATATCTCAGAATATTTATTTGTAGAACTTTCAGAATTTTGGATTATCTATGCAGGTGTTTTGTCTATTTTGAGTTAAATTCTGTATATCTTGTGAGGTATAAATCAAATTTTACTCTTTCTTTTTGCTTATGAATATCTAATTTTCCTGGCACTATTCTTGAAAATAATAAACTTTCTTCATTGAATGACGCTCACATCTTTGTCAAAACTTAGTTGACTCAATTTGTGAGTTTGTTTCTGGGTTCTCTAATCTGTTCAATTGACTTGTATTTCTATTATTTGGTAAATACATTTTGCATTCACACCAGCAATGAATGAGAATTGCTCCGCATGTTCGCCAGCATTTGGTATTTGTCAGCGTTTTGGATTTAAGCCATTCTAATAGATGTGTTTTAGTTTCACATTGTGTTTGTTTTGACTTGCAATTCTCTAATGACATATAATGTTGAATACCTATGCATATGCTTATTTTCCAAGTATAAAATTTTAAGTAAAGTTTCTCGTCAGAACTTTTACCCATTTTTAGTTGTGTTGTTTATTTTCTGATTATCATGTTTTAAGAGTTCTTTGTATATTTTTTATAGAAATCATTTATTAGATATATCAAAAATGTATCACCTTTGTCAAAAATTATTTGATTCTATTACTGAGTCTGTTTTCTGAGCTCCTGGTTCTTTGAGTCTTTTCTCTATTTATTTTACCAATACCATACTGTTTTAATTACTATAGCTTTATAATAAGGCTGGAATTCAGGTAAAGTCAGCCCTCCAACTTTGTTTTCCCTTTCAGTATTGTGTTGGCTATTTGAGGTCTTTTGCTTTTCTATTTTAACTTCAGAATCAGTTGGTTGATATCCACAAGAAAACGTATGATTTTGTTGGTATTGCACTGAGTTTACAGATCAAGTCTCCCTCTTAATGAACATGGAATACCACTTCACGTATTTAGGTCTTTTGAAAAATTTTTTATCAAAGTTTTATAGTTTTCCTAGTGTAGATGTTTAACATACTTTGTTAGATTTATACCAAAATATTTCTTTTTTGTGTGCTAATTTTATCCACTATATGGGCATAGAGTTGTTCATAATACTTCTTTATTAAATAGTTTTTAATGTCTCAGGATGAGTTGTAACAGCCCCTCTTTCATTTCTAATATTAATAATTTGTGTTTTTAAAAATTTTCTTGGTTAGACTTACTAGATATTTTTTAATGTTATTGATCTTCTCAAAGATCCAGTTTGGGATTTTATTGATTATCTTTGTGCCTTGTTTTTAATTACATTGATTTCTGTTCTAATTTTTATTATTTCTTTCCTTCTGTTTATTGAGACTTAATTTGTTCTTCTTATACTAGTGTCCTAAGTTGGAAATTTATGGTATTGATTTTAGATCTCTCTTCTTATCTAATATACACATTCAATGCCATATATTTCCCTCAAGCACGGCTTCCACTGCAACCCACAAATTATGAGTAGTTATAATTTCATTTTTATTTCCAAATGAATTTTTAAAATTTCAGAGAGATTGGAAGTGAACCAAGCACTTGGTACTACATTAGTTATCTCTTCTATCATAACAAATCACTTAAAACTTAGCAGCTTGAATAATAAACATTTAGTATTGTATGGTTTCTGAGGGTCATGAAACTGGGAGCAACTCAGCCAGATGGTTCGGTGTCAGAATCTCTCAAAATATTTCAGTTTAGCTGTCAGCCTGGAATACAGTCATCTCAAGGTTCAATTTGGGCTACAAAATCCTTTTCCAAGTTTAGTCAGATGGTTTTTGATAGTTAAGAAGATATTTTCTTTGATCAGAAAACAACCTCATCTGACTCATGATCACACTAGAGACTATGCAGTTCATAGGGGAAGGGAAAAAAGAGACAATCTGAACACAGGATTAATCAGTCAAAGAGTTAAGTCACTTTGTGGGCTGACATCAACAGTTTCCTGGTGAGTCACTACTGAAATGTACTTTATGCATTTATGCAAATGTATTTATGCATTCGTGACAGAGAGATCTATTTCCCTAGCAATCAAAGACTGCTGAGCATGGTGGGTCTTATTCAGTTTCTTAATTATCTTCAACCCTTACAGAAATGGGTATGAACATCAAAACTCCAAATCTGCACAGCTATTGGAAAGTAGAAGTGCATAGAACGTAACTGGATAAAGGAATTTATCTAATTCCATCCATAGACGTTAAATAGAGTAGAATCTTGAGAATATTCACAACTTTAGATTGGTTATAAAAAATAATAAATTATCTCCAAATGTTATGCTTTTGGCCCAAGTGATAACTGCTACAAAAGGAGGGTCTCCCCCCAACTTCTCACGCTCCTTATAAGCCCCTGTTATTCACAAGACAGGCTGATGTGGAGATGTTCTATACACAAAACGTAAGAATTAAACCAATGGGGAAAACGTTTGAATAAATTAAGCTATGTGTAAGTATTCAGATGATTAATTAAAAATGGCAAAAAAGAAAGTGGTTACCATTAAAATGGTAGTGTTTTAATATAAGAGATTAGGTGGTGTGATTGTTCTACCAACTCCTCAGATAGTAAAGGATTGTGACAAATTTATTCAATTTATCCCAGCCCTAATGAATTTACCAAAAAAAAAAAAAAAATCTTAGGAGGATGATGCAAGAGAGCTATCTATAGATCCTCTATAACCAGTGCCAATTAATACAATATGAGGTTAAAAGTGGATTCTGATTCTGATTATAGGATTGTACACATTCTCTTGGCACAACCCCAAGAAAGGGATCGGAAATTGTTTGTTCTATAAGTAAAATGCCTTTGACATAGTGGAGGAATTTTATGGGTATTACTGGACACTGGTGTACAATGTAATACCACACACAAACCTGTTTATTGAAAGGTAAAGGCAATATAATTGTTAAGTGGATCAGATGATAATATAACTGTAGAAGGAATAAACAGCAAAATAAACAGTAAAACTATGCTTCAAAATAGGAGCTAATAAATAAAAGTTATAATGGTTTTTATATACTGATATAGTTTGGATGTGTGTCCTTGCTCAAATCTCATAATGAAATGTAATCTCCAGTGTTGGAGGTGGGGTCTGGTGGGAGACGATTGGATCATGGGGGCGGAGGAATTCTCATGAATGGTTTAGCGCCATCCCACTTGGTACTGTACTCAAGAGAGTGAGTTATCTGGCCTCATACCTTGTCTACGCCATCCCTGCACAGAGTTCCTAACCTGTGGTCAGTAAGGAATGTCACTTTCTAACAGGTCTGGGAGCTCCAAGTTTATCCTGGGACCTTACAAGCAAAGAATCTCCCAACTCACAAGTATTTGAGGATACAAACACATGGCCGGGCACGACTATTTTTTTTTTTTTTTTTTTCCCAAAGTGCTAGGATTACAGGCGTGAGCCACCGTGCCCAGCCCTGGGCTCAGCTTTAAAGGTCTTATCTGAAATTCCTTGTGGAACAGAGTTCCATCCAAGCCAATTGAAAAGGCCTATGTAGAAATAACCATTCTTGCTGCATTTTATGCAAATAATCAGGCCAAGTATAACAATAAAGTTTATTCTACAAATAATACACACGGTCCTATCATAATTTATTCTTACCAAAAAAATAAGGACTGGAGAAAGGAATTGTGCTCCAAAGCTTATCATACTTTTGTCATTAAATCCTAGTCTCATTAACTGTTTTTAAGCTTTTTGCCTACGTTTTAGATGAACCCCGCCTATTCCTGTGAAGCAAGTGGTGAGCTCCTGCAGCTTGGAAGAATCAAAAAGGGATGGGTAATGTAAAAATCTGGATCAATATGTTAGTTCTGGGCACTTATCCTGCAAATTCTGCCAGGTAATGAAAATGAGTAGGGTGCCCATAACCTGGAGGTTTATTTGTTTGGGAAAATGAAACCAAGAAACTTCATAGACACCCCAAAGCGAAGTTCTATATCTTGGCAAGTAAAATTTTAGATGGAAATTATCTACTACACCACACTTGTGGGAATTGCTATACTCACTCTACTATTTGCAACAGGGTTATTATACATGGTAGCACCTCCTAAGTGAAATATTGGACAGAGAGCTTATGTCTTGTGTTAGTATTTGGACACTGTATACTCAGTACTATAACTCAAATTGTTTCCTCTCACCTAGAAGCAATCAAACTCCAAGCCGTGCTGCAAACTGAATCACCCATGGACACACCATTCTTCTGAGGACTCTTAGATCCAGCCCAGAGGGAGCCCTAGCTGCTGTTCCCCATTCAACGCCCCTTTTCAGCAGGAAGTAGCCAGAAAGAGTTGTTGTCCAAAACCCCCTAACAGCAGTTAAGGTGACATCTCCACAGGAGGAATATTATAGGAGTTACTACAAATTATTTTAGGTAGATAGAGAGGAAAAGGGGTCCTTGGGAAGTTTTTGTTTCTTTTAAAGCAGCTCCAGAAACATTTCTTGTCTAGCAGGAAAGCCCCAGTTTTTAGAGCCAGGTGGCAAGTTTTGATATGCAAATGCAGGCCATGAGAAACTGGGTCCACCCAAACATGGCGATTCCTCCGTCTTCTTCCTTGCCCCAACATGTGCCTGGAAACATGGCTGCTTGTACATATCCCCACGTGTGTAGAACATCATGGTGCCCTGTATTTGCATATTAAAAGGCTAGGGTGGGAGGGCCATTTTTTTTCACAAGCTACATGAGTAACATGCCTGGTCAAACCAATCCCCTGAGCCCTGTGCAAATCAGACACCGCCTCCTCCAGCCTCCTCATATAACTGGCTGATTTCCTTGCACTCAGG
Organism: Homo sapiens; assembly: GCF_000001405.40. Taxonomy (NCBI): domain Eukaryota; kingdom Metazoa; phylum Chordata; class Mammalia; order Primates; family Hominidae; genus Homo; species Homo sapiens. Next base: position 178,820,975 of record NC_000004.12, on the reverse strand, counting down.
ATTTCCTCTCTCAGCTTTGGAGACCCCCTCCCTCTGTCTCTGTATGGGGGAGCTTCTTTATTCTTTCTTGCTTATTAAACTCTCCACTCTTTGAAACTAACAAACAAACAAAAAAAAAACAAAAAAATAAAAAAGATAGTTCTCATGAGCTTTGGTCATTTAAAAGTGTGTAGCGACAGGGCACGGTGACTCACACCTGTAATCCCAGCACTTTGGGAGGCTGAGGCTGGCGGATTGCTTGAGGTCAGGAGTTCGAGACCAGTCAGGCCAACATGGTGAAACCCCACTTCTACTAAAAATACAAAAAAATTTGCCAGGCATGTTGACGTGTGACTGTAATCCCAGCTACTCAGGAGACTGAGGCAGGGGAATTGCTTGAACCGGGGAGGTGGAAGTTGCAGTGAGCCGAGATTGTACCACTGCACTCCAGCCTGGGCGACAGAGCAAGACTCAGTCTCAAAAAAAAAAAAAAAAAAGGTGTGTAGCACGCCGCCCCCAACATCGCTCTCTTGCTCCCGCTTTTGCCATGTCTAGTGACTGCTCCTATTTTGCCTTCGACCATGAGAAAAACTCCTTGAGGCCTCCCCAGAAGCCCAGCAATGCTGGCGCCATGCTTGTACAGCCTGCAGAATCATGAGCCAATTAAACCTCTTTCTTTATAAATTACCCAGCCTCAGTTATTTCTCTATAGCAATATAAGAATGGACTCTTACACATACCCATACACAAATATATTACTGAGATAAATGTGATGTCTGTATGAAGTGTGATGGATATGGGTTTACAGGTGAAAATATTATCTTTGTCTTGTTTTAACTGGGTATTTTAGGTGGAACCTTTAGGTCTATTTATAAGCACTCACATGGTAATTTTTAAAACAATACAAAATACCCAGAGACAGACTATCAAGAATTTTTGTCTTAACTTTAAAAGCATGTTAAATGCAATTATAATAATAGCCACAAATCCCTTCTTTTGTGGTTTGTCAGAAAGGAGACCTCTAGGAAAAACTTATAGATCCTCAAGTCTAACTCTAGACTACAAAGGATTAAATACATTTGTACCTACAAAAGTATCAGCTGGGTTCAATACAGTATTAACAATTCAGCAATGTGCAGTGACTCATGTCGGTAATCCCAGCACTTTGGGAGGCCGAAGTGGGTGGATCACTAGGTCAGGAGGTCAAGACCAGCCAGACCTACATAGTGAAAGCCGGTCTCTACTAAAAAAAAAAAAAAAAAAAAAATACAAAAATTAGCTGGGTGTGGTGACGGGTACCTGTAGTCCCAGCTACTTGGGAGGCTGAGGGAGGAGAATCGCTTGAATCTTGGAGTTGGAGGTTGCAGTGAGCCAAGATGCCACTACACTCCAGCCTGGGCAACACAGCGAGACTTTGTCAAAAAACAACAACAAAAAAAAAAAAAAAAAAAAAACAAACAAAAAAAGCAAAACCTGGGCAACAAGATAAAGGAGATTGGTATTCTGTGATGAATTGGACTAACATTTTCTTCTTAATTTCTATCTTGCAAGAAAATCAAAGCCAATTTGAATTCATGTGTGATGGACTCCAGTATTTATTTACTGTGCTTTCTCAAGCATATTTAAATTTTTTTGCTTATTTCTGCAACCTGGTGAGATGAGACTTAAGTTTTATCCAGGTTAGAAGTATAATTTGCTATCTTTATTATATAATACTCATATCTCAATCTGAATATTAAGCTAAAACAGAATCTCTAGTGCCAATTAATCATATGACCAAAGGAAGTACCTGTACCAAATAAATGTTAAAATGAAGAGAATTACTTATTCCTCAAGCAATTAAAAATAGGTTATTTTCTTGAAATCAAAACAAGGAGGATAAAGTTTGAATGTATTGTTTGATTTGTGAAGATATCGTCTGTCACATCTGGAAATTTCAGTAACCCTGATTTACAAAGATATGAGGAAAAAAACTGAATTTTCTTGATGTTCTGGACAACTGCAGGCTCTCTTGAAGCCTCAAAGAACTAACACACCATAGATTCCTTTGGGACAACGCTACCGTGATGTTCAAATGACATTGTGTCAGCAACTCACACACAAACAGAAGCCTTTGGCAAAAGCCCATGATTGCCAACCATTGGCTATTGTGGGGATTTGGGATTAGAAATTATCTGGGTTTACCTCCAGGCATAACTTTTTAAAAGACAATTGCTAGCCTATTATTGAACTTCAGTTGAAATTGTTAATGTTACATAAAGACATAAAATTATTTTAACACCTGAAAACTCCATAATGTCATGGGTTATATCAGAACAACATTCTGTAAGGAAGGGAAATGCATCCTAAAATAGAAAGGGTATGTACAACAATCTATGTCAGGGCACCTTTGAGGACAACTATCGTAATTAAAGAAGAAGCTCTTAGCCTTTGAGCTCTACATTAGGCCTTCCTGGTTATTTATCTAATTAATATCTGAAGGCACCACTTTTTATAACTGTTTACCAGAATATGACAGAGTGGCATGGTTTACAGAGGGTAGTAAGGAATAGAGGGCTGAAATTCAAACTGAAGGCAGCTGTATTGCAACTGTTCAAGGTTGTATATTGAATGGAGAAGGAAAAGAAAATCTCAACAGACAAGATAAAAAGTGGTAATCTTCATAACATCATAGAGAATAAATAATAGTAGTCACTATATTAAGAGATGTCAGGCCGGGCACAGTGGCTCATGCCTGTAATCCCAGCACGTTGGAAGGTTGAGGCTGGTGGATCATTTGAGGTCAGGAGTTGAAGACCAGCCAGGCCAACATGGTGAAACCTCATCTCTACTAAAAATACAAAAAGTTAACCAGACACGGTGATGGGCACCTGCAATCCCAGCTACTTGGGAGACTGAGACAGGAGAATCGCTTGAACACCGGAGGCGGAGGTTGCAGTGAGCTGAGATCGTGCCACTGCACTCCAGTCTGGGCAACAGAGTGAGAGACTCTGTCTCAAAAATAAATAAATAAATAAATGTCAATAAATGCAAACCTAGCAGACCATTCTCCCTTGTCTAAAGTTAATGGTCTAAATTGGTATGGCGAAGATTTAAGAAATATTCAATTCAGAGTAATCAACGTTTCTGATATATCTTGATGATACCGGATGAACAATTACAATGATTCTAATGTCACCCTCTCTTTTGGTTTCCATTTTGCAGGTTTTATCTATTACACAGGGTGCATTCTTAGGGAGTAAGTAGGATGTGTTGCTTCCCAAAACAGAGGACTTTGTTCAATAGCAGGGACGTGGAAAATATGTAACTTTTAAACTAATAAATGCCCTTTTCAAAAAGGTGTCCATACATAGTGGTTAGACTATCTCCTGCTTTTACAACTCCTTATAAAATCATGTGCCCCAATGCTTATAAATCATGTATGCATTTGTGAACGGAGGGCAATGATGAAGGTAAAGTGTCATTTAGGGCATAACTTGGAGCCCCGTGAGTCCTTTCAGTTATTCAACGCCATGTGATTGTCACATGCACTGCCTCTCTAGCAATCCCTAGCTTCAGATTACATCCACTCTATTCCCAAAGCATGTGAACTTTTGCTAATAAGTGTCTCTACAGGTGAAGGCATTACATAAAAATTTATTTCTTGTAATTTTCAAAAATGGAGGGGGAATTCACATAACATAAAATTAACCATTTTAAAGTGAACCATTCAGTGACATTCTGTAGATTCACAATGTTGTACAATCACCACCTCTCTAGAAATCCCATGCGTATCAAGCATTTATTCCACAATCTCCGTTTCCCCAGCCCCTGTCAAGCATCAATTTTCTATCTTTATAGATTTCCCCTATGCTGGATATTTTATATAAATGGAATCACACAGCATGTGACCATTTTTTGTCCAGCTTCTTTTACTTAGCAAAATGTTTTCGAGGTTCCTCCACTGTGTAGTCCAGCACTGTCACTGATGCTTGGAAAAAAATCTGTGAATAAAGTAGATGCATATTCACTCTTAGGAGTTTGTAATTTAGCAGCTAAAGAAAGTCAATGGCAATAAATGCAACATAAAAACAATTTTAAATTTTATAGTATTGCGGAAGATGATCGATATGAGGAAAAGAAAAAGTAAGGCAGGGTAGGTGGGATTTTGAGAGACGAGGGAGGACTGGGTGCAATGATATATGATTGACCAAGTTAGGACTCAAAGAATGTGGAATTATACTAAAGAAGACAAAGAGGTGCGAACATTGGTGAAATTGAGGTGATGGGGCACATCCAGTGCAGAAAAAAATAAGGCTGTGGAATGCTCTGATGTGGAAGTGCTCTCGGTGTGGTCAAAAAACAGCAAAGGAGGCTGATGTGCTGGATCCCAGAGATTAGGTGAGAGTGATAGAAGGCTAGAGAGATAAGGGTTGGGAGGTGGCACAGATCACATACAGCAGGGTCATGTATACCATTGGCAGGACCTTGACTTTTTTACTCTGATCTGAGGACTCCTGGGAGAATTTTGACATTATATTTATGCTTTAAAATTACCTAATTGCTCCATTGAAAATAGATTGGGTGATATGGTAGATTTAATAATTCAGAGAAGAGATAATGATGACTCAAACTATTAGGTAGTAAAGGATAGTGAGGCATGCATGTATTCTCAAGCACTATTAACAATTCCCTGATGAATTGGACGTAAAGGGAAAGAGTGAAAAGTGACTCTGGTGTTTTGGGGCTGAGCAATTGAGAAGCGAGATGTGATAGGAGCGTTTGGATGGCCAATCACTGGAGACAGAATTTAGGACCAGCATGCTAGTCTCTTGGAAGATTTGTGGGAAAGTTTAGTTTTAGCTCCTGATTTTGAAAAATGAGAAGTCTACCAGGAGGAAACCGGCAGAGGATCTGATGCTGAGATGGGAGATTATGATACACATTAGCCAGGCAGCACAAGGAAAATGCCTGCTGTTGATGCCGAAGCACAGCACATAGAGGAAACATGGCATCTTTCTGATTTGGAATTTAATTATCTTCTTGAGGAAAATTAGTCCCTCGGAGAATCCCAGCAGTGGAAAAATTTCAGAGAATGTGGGAAAGCAGGAAGTTCAGCACATATTGGCAGGTCTTGGCACTCCTTATTCTAGAACAGGGACTGGGAAATTATGGCCCACAGGCAACATCCAGCCTGCTGCATGTGTTTGTAATAAAGTTTTATTGGAACACAGAAACATGCATTTGCTTACATTTTGGCTGTGGCTGCTTTAATGCTACAGTGCTGCAGTTGACTGGCTGCAGTAGAAACCATATGGCATGCCAAGCCAAAAATATCTGCTACCTACTGTTTTCCAGAAAATGTTTGCTGACCTCTGTCCTTGAATATGTTTGAGGGGAAAAAAAAATCAGCTCACCCTCCTGATTAGATGCTGTAGTGCAGCTTCTATAAATGCTTCTATTTTCATGGTTTCATTTTTTGTTTATATATTTCTTGTCTTATGATCACTGTCCAAACAAATTCAAGATTTAATTAGAGTTTATGTCAGAAATCAGTGCTAATAACACTTCTACAAATAATGGTTATGACCGGGCTTGAAGATTCTGAGGCTCTATTAATGACTGATTATTGGTTATTGAGGGAAATAATCTCTGTCAAGGTATTCCAGGCTCATGGAGGAATTTATAAGATTCCCCAAACAAAATTATTTAGTAACTGAAGTTGGTACAAAAGTTATGAAGTAATACTTCTTGGTATTTTATTTCCCCTATTCAGACCTGCAGAAGAAATATGTGAGTATTTACATAAATGACTCATACCTCTGATAGCAATGTTTATTTATTTGTTTGTTTGTTTTTATTATTATTATTTATGAGACAAGTTTTGCTTAGTCACACAGGCTGGAGTGGAGTGGTGTGATCATAGTTCACTGCACCCTTGATCTCCCAGGCTCAAGCAATCCTCACAACTCAGCTTCCCAAGTATCTGGGACTGCAGGTGTGTGTCACCATGACCAGCTAATTTTTTTTTTTTTTTTTTGTAGAGACAGGTTCGCACTATATTGCCCAAGCTGGTCCTGAACGCCTGGGCTCAAGCAATCCTCCTGCCTCAGCCTCCCAAAGTGCTGGAATTACAGGTGTGAGCCACCACACCCAGCCATAATATTTAAAGAAATAAGATAATGATATATTAGAATCATATACAACCATCTATTACTCTTTTCTGCTCAGGCAATATCTTATACAGCTTCAGAAAAAACAAGTATTCCAGGACTCGGGAAGCACGTAAAACCTTTAAAAACTTATAAAAGTTTCAAATAAATCCTGGAAAATGTTAGTCAAAGGCAAAGAAAGTGTTTTAATTACTTTATTCTAGAATTTCAAATGCCTTTACACAGAAGATATCTGCCAGCTGTTCTTCATTTCCACAGAGAGGAGAGCAACCGATGCAGACTTAACTAGCAGTAATAAAGCGAGCAATAAGGAGATTCTACTAAAAGCGAGAGTGAAAACATTTTAGGGTACGTTAAGAAATCTTCTCTGGAGATTTTTTTTAGTCATGGATAGATTCTCATTTGTCTGGAATGGTGAGCATGTGGCCCAGGAAAAAGTTAGGGAGAGGACTAGATTTACTTTTCTGTCCTTAAAGTTTTGTAGGTGACTTTAAAATTTGCAATGTATTTCTCAACACTTCCAACATATGGGAGCTAATTCATGCAAGACATTTCATAAATTGTGGGTTTTAGTTTAGAATCATAAGATCTACTTTCCATCCTTGAACAATGAATAGAAAACTGAAAATATTTTAAAGACAATGTTTAGCAGATAGCTCCAAAATTTAATTTCATATGTTTTCTATTAAAGATTTAAAATCTTAGGAAGAGATATTGAAGGCTACCTTTAAGTTTTCACAATAATTTAGAAAATAGGACCAAGTATTTTCAGGTCTCATTTCAAATCAAGAAAAAAAAATTTGGAAGAAAAATAAAATGTATAAGCAATTATCTAGATGTTCAGTATATGTGGTACATTTATTTTTTAATATGAAAGTATTTAATTACATGTGGAATAAAATTTTTTATTATTCTTTTAGCTGTTTAGGTGAGCTATTAAAATAGGCCCCTAAGAAGAAAAAATAAATATAATAGCAAAGTAAAAAAAATAAAATATTAAAGGAAGCACTTTCAAAAAATTGTGGCAAAATATTTAAATTAAAGAAGAGAAAAGCAAAAAAGGAAAACAAAATTCATTTGGATTATTAGCCTCGTTTGTAAGGCTTTTCTGTCAGGGAGGCATTTCAGGAGTCATGGATAAAGTATACTTTGAAGTGGAAATATCAGATTTCATATTCTGGTTCTAACGCATGAAGATTTGTGATTAGGAAAGATATTTCACTTTCCTGAACCTCTGAGACTCCATTTTTAAAAGAAAAACGAGTTTCATGGTGTTATTAATAGCAGCAGGAGACAGTCAAATTCCTAAGCAGATAGGAGGGCGTCCCTGGTAAAACCTGACCAAGCCAAAGACCGTTTTGCCTGAAAACCAAGCTTCTGGACCAGAGTGAGAACTTCTATTCCGGTTTGTCCACTCTCTCTCTATTGATTCCTTCTGGATGAAGCTTTTTAACCAATCAAATGTTGCCTTTTCCAAGGCTACCTTACAGCACACACCTCCTCATTGCAAACCTATAAAAACCCTGGACTCAGCCTTTCAGACATTTATCTGCTTTGGGCCTCCTTCTCACACAGAGGGGTACCCACTTCGGGTCCCCTCTCATTGTGGAGAGCTTTTCTGTCACTCAATGAAATTCTTCTCTGTCTTGCTCTCTTACCGGTGTCCACGTACCTCATTCTTCTGGTCACAGAACAAGAACCTGGAACCTGCCGCATAGTGGCAGTGAAAAGGGCAGCAGCACGCTTCTGGTTGGCTCGCCCATCTAGGCAGCGGGACCGAATGAGTTGTGACACGCCCTCGTTCGCTCGGCTGTAAATGGCGGGAATGAGAGAGAACTGTAACACTTCCTGGGGGCCCACACCTCAGAACTCCCCGAGCAGAATCTGTGACACCTCTTTGGAGTTCCGTGGTCACTGTTGTCTCCGAGTTTTGGGGTGCCACAGCGCTCCCCTTGTCTGAATGCTGGCTCCCAGACATGGAAGCCCCTTGTGGCACTTCTGGTCCTGCCATGGGCTGGACCATGGTGACCACACAGCCATGGTGGTCACGGGATCCAGGCCAGGGAGCGAGTCGAGTGCAGCCTGCCAGGTTGAGCGGGCTGGAGTGAAACCCGGGCAGAGGGGCCACCAGCCACAGAAGTTTCTGGCTGGCAAAGCGGCACTGAAAGTGTCCTGTGTCATTAATATAATTAAAATAGTTAAGAAATATAAAGCACTTACAAACGGTACTGATGACATGGGCAACATTCAGCAAATATGGGCTAGTCAGTGTCTCAGTGGAAGTAATGTAGTAATAATAGGCATGACAGTGGTACTAATTACTATTATAAAGTATTTTATTGATAATGTAACATTAAGATATATGGTTTTATGTCGTTTACTAAAATTACTAACTTTGAAGTATGTAATATAATGAAATAGTACATTAAACATAAAATAGTGTATATATGGTAAAGTGGAATGGCACTAAATAACTTAAAAAATATGAATTAGGCATGGCTATATTCTGGACAATGTTAACAGCAGAACCGTTCAGGACTTGATCAATCTGTTTTGACTAATATAACTTTAAGGAATATCATTATAACGTTCTTTCAGCTCATCCGCAAAAGGTAAAATAAAAAAAAAACTTAAAGAAATGTAACAAATTAAAAGTTTTAATACATATTTTGAAAAGAAAGCACATAAAGGAAATTAAATGCCACTGATATAAAAAAATTTTATGTAGTCAGAAAAATCTAGCCAATGATAACCACTTAGTAAGTGATAGAGCCTGGATTTGAACCAAGGAAGTATAAATTCAGAGTGGATATTTTTAACTACGAAACTATAGACTCCTACCTGCAAGTCTAGTAGAGAGGAATTGCATAAATCATCCCTAAAGTCTTATTACATATCCCAGAAGAATACTGGATTTGCAAGAAGATAAAACATATTTTTGAATATATATAAAATGAAATTTTCTGGTCTTATAAAATTATTTTATGTTAATATTAAATTATGCTATTATTTGGAATTGCAAAATATTCTCTTTTTATAAAGCATTCATTTTTTCCTCACAAAACTGAAACAAGATCGTGTAGATTACTGATTAGATATACATGACTTTGTAACACCATCTGTCACCATGAAAAGGTCTTTAGAGTTTTTATCAAAAATAATTTCATTTAAATTTGCCATAGGAAATACTATATTTGAAGTTGTCATAGACACAGAGATTGCAGGAGAGGTAGTCTTTGTGGTTTCTTATCAGTCTTAAATGCCTAACTGTGTCTCTGAATTCATTTTTCTTCCTCTAAGAGTTATTCATTATAACCGCCACATTATTATCTGCTGCAGCAATACATTGAGTGTTAGGCCAAACAACTTCAACAAACGCCTTTATTCCAGATTAATTTATTTTTAGCCTTTTTCTTTCTTCATCTTTTTTGGTTGACTCTTGAGGGTAACTCTAAGTAAATTATTCAACTTCTGAATCATTGTGATTCCAATTTCCAATTATGATTCTGATTTCTGTAAAACTGTGCATAACATGTTTCCTACTATATTGTGAGGGTCTTTTCCCCAGATTACTTGAAATCTGATAAATGTCAAACTATGGGAATTTTTCTAGTATATATTCAGACATTCTACCTTGAAGTTTACTTCTTCTTCCTGTCTTATCTAATTACAAAAATAAATTTATATATTATTCTAGGGTATCTGATGATTTTGGCAATAATAATGTAGTTGGTAGTAGCATTGGTAGCAAACATATCCTATTTTTACTATTTGATTTAAAATGTTTCACCTACATCTTCAGGTAAAGAATGGAAAGATACATTACCTCCTAAGTTGATAAATTGCCTGCCCCACTCCATCTGCCCAGTCTCCTCTAACAGTTCTTTTTAGCCTATTATTATGAATGGAACATTTATTTAAAAAACAAAACAAAACAATAGCCAGACACGGTGACTCACACCTGTATTCCCAGCACTTTGGGAGGCCAAGGCAGACAGATCACAAGGTCAGGAGTTCGAGACCACCCTGGCCAGCAAGGTGAAACCCTATCTCTACTAAAAATATAAAAATTAGCCAGGCATGGTGGCGCACGCCATCAATCCCAGCTACTCAGGAGGCTGAGGCAGGAGAATTGCTTGAACCCAGGAGGCAGAGGTTGCAGTGAGCTGAGATTGCACCACTGCACTCCAGCCTGGGCAACAGAGCGAGACTCCGTCTCAAAATAAATAAATAAATAAAATAATAACGATAATAATTAAAGAAAATGTTCTAATTTGCATCACAGCCTTGAAACAATCAGTTAATTTTCTTTTTGAAAAGTTACAAGGATCTAACTATGCACAGTATACAGTATACACTTACCGCATGCACAGTCTGCACCTTGTCTTTTAGAAATCAAAGAAAGCAGTCTCAGAGAAGGTTTCAGTGTGAAATGGAGCTAATTTTTACACATTTTGAAAAAGCACATAAATTTCAGCATCAGTACTTAAGCTGTTCTTAAATTGAGAAAGCATAGTTCTATGATCCTCATTAGTCTGGTCTACTCACTGCTACAATTTAATGATTGAAATACATAATTGTCTTCCATATATATTACTTTATATTATTAGGTTACAGATGGAGCTATGTGGGGTTTTTAAAATTCTGAAGTAACATGCAAAGCTGTTACCATTCTCTGATTTATTGTGGGGCAGCTACAAGCAGCAGCCACATGGGCTGCGCAAAATGCAGAAGTTGTCGAAGTCCCTGGGCCCACAGAACTGGAAAGTCAACATGAGATAGATGGGAAAACCTCTGCTTGCCCTGCCTGCAGCAACTCCTCTGGCCATTTTAGACCTGGCACTGATGGATTTCTGAGGGAGTGACATTCATCTGCCCTTGGGCAGAAACACATCATCTAGCCTGAGGAATGTAAAGACTGAATGCTTTTAAGGCAAAATCTAAGATCTTTTTTAAAAGTAGCAATTTTAAAGTTTTCTTCTTCCCCAAACTATTAATATGAATATAGAGACAACTTTTCTTTAATCTGTACTTCATGTATCAACATGAAAGACATTTTTAATCTTGACTTTATAAATTCTCTAGATATAAGCATCTGATGGAAAAGTGAACTTTCTAAAACCTCAATACAGAATATTCAATGCTTCCTTTCCCTCACATTGACTTCTACTTATTACAGCCACATAAAAAAAGTCAACAAAAGTACCACATCCCTTGTTACACAAACTCAATATGCGCTCCTCAAATATGCTACTGGGATCCTTTGATGCAATGTGAATGTATTCAGGGATTTTCCTTAACCTCCATGGCAGTTCTAGATATATGGATTCAATCAAGAATACTAGAAAATTTTGCTTTTACAAAGTAGTCTTTTTCTTTCATAAAATAGGCAATACAAATATGTAAATATAACTCAACCTCATAATCTCAATCTCAAGGTATCTTAAGTGAAATTTAAACAAAAGTAATTATTGGCATTTTTCTATTAGTTTAGAAAGAGAAGAAAAATATCCATATTATTCCATTCTGCACAGAAATGGGCCTTTTCTATTATTATTGATATTCATAAAAAATCTCTAATTCTTTATGAATTAGAATAATTCTAATTCACAAAATTTTAGAGAATTCTAATTCTTGAAAATAATTTCATCTAAATGTGCAAATTGTTCATTAAAGCCTTGTTCGTAATAATAATTTTTTTTTTAAATCAAATGATTATGTTTAGGGCACTGGATAAAGAAATTATGCTACTCCCATGGAATAAATGACTTAGGATATATTTAAAAGAAAGACATGTTTCATATATACTTTTAATAGAAATATCATTAAAGAAAAGTATAGAACGGCTTTGTGTTATAATCGTGGTTACTGCATTATTTTACACACATGCACACACACACACACACACACACATGCTCTTTTGAAAAATTACGTCCCCAGATGTGAACAGTGAATATGAGTTAGAAGTAGGAGATTTTGCTTATAATTTTTTTCTATTTTTCTATTTTTTAATTAAAAATAGATATCATTGTTCTAATTGTAAGGAAATACATGTTTTAAAGTGAAGTAATAGGGACATGTCAGAATATAGCACTTTGATATTTTTAAAGCACTAAGTCTTGAGGTTTTTCAATTAAACAAGACTGTCCACATGTTATCTGGTGTACAATTTACTAGTCAAAAGAAACACTAAGAGTCGGGTTCCATCTTAAAAGTTTCCTTGCCTTATCCATTTCATCCCTCAAAACAAACTGAGGCCCGTGAATGGTTAAAAAACAAGCAAATAAAAACTCACACTAACATTATTTGTCTAAGATTTAATCTTGCTTTTCTGAATCCAAATTCAATTTCTTCTCTCTACAATGTGTTAATGTTAGACATATATCTCTTTAAGAGTATAGGGAGAATAGCCAGGCATGGTGGCACAGGCCTGCAGTCTCAGCTACTAGGGGGGCTGAGGTGGGAAGATCCCATGAGCCTGGGAGGCAGAGACTGCAGTGAGCCGAGTTCATGCCTTTGTATTTTAACCTGAAAATCTTGCAAAACAGTTAATGGAAATGAGGAAGTAGTAATGTATTCTGCTTTAGAAACATAGTTATCTAAAATGATCTAGAAAAGTGAAGTTGAAATGGCATCTAAAGATTTATATGATGATCATAGTGGAACTTGGGGATAAAGATTTTCTATGTGCTAGAGGTTTTCAGGTCTAATATTTATTTTTCATAATTGTGAATATATTTGTTTTATACAGTGTATACCACTCATTTGTAAGTGAATTGAGAATATTAAATTCAGTCTGAGAGGATTATCTGTCTTGTCATCCTTAATATTTACATAAAGGCAATGGGACTGCTTAAGCCATGATTCTCTGTATGTTAGTGAAGGACAACCTCCCACACTTCTGCATAATAGTTTATAACTCCCAGCAACATTTTCAATTTTGTTTAGCTAGAGACTAAATATGCCTCAGATGAATAAGACTGGACAGATGGTTTCTTGGAGATGATATAGAAAAGAAAACACACCCATAAACCTAAAAGAGAGATACTTTATCTTTTTTTTTTGTATAGGTGTACTTTAAGTTCTGGGATACATGTGCAGAAAGTGCAGGTTTGTTACATAGGCATACACATGCCATGGTGGTTTGCTGCATCCATCAACCCATCATCTACATTATTAGGTATTTCTCCTAATCTTATAAATTATATTCAATGATTACAGAAAACCTAGATAATTACAGAACTTTTTATAAAAGCATTGTGGGGGTTTTCCTCAAGGAAAACAGAACAGCCATTTGCATGCCCTCACTATATTTTGTGACCCTGAGAGCTTTATTTGCAGCAGAATAAAAATATTGAATGGTAGGAAGGTTTTATTGACAGATTCTATATTAAGCAGACACCAAAACATCTATAGACATGAGGCTTAAAATCTTTAGGATTCTTTTTATTTCCACTGGTAGAAATCAAAGTTAAATGTACAAATATTTCTTAAAAATGTTATTTAAAAATACTCATTTAATTGATATTATTTGTTCTTCTCTGCTTTATTAAAAGAAACTAAATTTCCAAACTGTATTTTCTGCTTAGAATTATAAAACTACCCATAATTGTCAGACATTTGCAATGTAAAATTAAAGGGAACCCAATTCCTCCTCCCTCCCATCCCGCCACCAGTTACCATTTTGACATAAGAATTATTCTGAGCAGAAGTGAATTGAGAGATGGCAGATGCAGGAAAACTTCTCTGCCTTCCCCCTGTCTGCCTAAAAGCTGTGCATAAATTTCCTTTTGTGTAGGTGTTCCCTTTATAATAATAGAAAAGAAAAAAACAATCTTCATCGATGCAGATGGAGATGACACTAGATGGGTCTGCATAAACAGAACTTTACTAGATAGGCTTTATCATTTATCAGTGTCCCCATATATTTGCCTTCCTTCAATTTACTGCCCCTCAAAGCTAAATCTCCTTTCCTTTATCTTGTGACATCTCCACAATTAATCACCCTTTGTTAAGTTGGGATACAAGTCCCCTGAGTTTAACCGTTTCTTTGGGTCTTCACTTTCTACAAAGTCCTCTGTGCACATAAAAAAAATAAATTATTAATTTCAAATAAAATTTGCATGTATTTTTTCCCATTAGATGCCTTTTGTCAGTCTAATTCACAAGCCCCAGGTGCACATCTTAAGAGGATAGAGGAAAGTTTTTATTTTGCTCCATTTCGAGTGACCACAAAGAGACAGCATAGACTGGGACACCTTGTTCCTCCAGAGCCTGCAGCTGAGATCTTGGGATTCCTAATGCTATGAACTGAATGTTTGTATGTCTCATCCCGGAGTCATACGTTAAATCTTAACATGGTATTAGGAGGTGGAAGCTTCAGGAGGTAATTGCATTTGAAGGGAGGACTCTCATGAATGGGATTAATGCCCTTATAAGGAGAGACACAAATGCTGGCTTCTCTTTCTCTCTCCACCACGTGAAGATAAAGCAATAAAGTGGCTATCTGTAAACCAGGAAGAGGGCCCTCACCAAGAACATGACTGGGCTGCCACCTTCTTGTTAGATTTCCAGCTTGGAATTGTGAAAATATTTGTTTTTTTAAGCCACCCAATCTATGATATTCTGTTGTAGCCACCCAAACTGACTAAGGCACCTAATAAAGACTGAAAAAGGTAAGAATTCTTCTTGAGTAAGCCTCTTGGATTTTCCATCAGTAGCATCTGACTGAGAGAGGGTTGTAAGATCTGTCTTTTCTTGTTCCTTTTTAAATTTTCAATTTAGATTAACAAGGTAAAAACATTTGTATGAATTAATTCCTTAGGTATTGCCACTTTTGTTCTATTTGGCCTTTGCTGTTGATCCATTCCCCACCAGGATAGCCATCATTTTACGTTGCCTTTGCCTTTTGTGTCCTTTGTCATAAGGCAGGGAATCATAGTGTTCCTGAACCAAACTGAGGGTCGGGCTGCTATTTCTCGAGGCCCAGTAACAAGATGCAGATGAACTAGGGAAGAAGAGAGTTTTTATTTCTGTAACTGGTTACAGGGAGAAATCCTGGAAAATATCACCAGATCAACTCAAACTCACAAAGTTTTCCAAAGCTCATCTTACCTTCTAAGCTATAAGTCTACACGTAAGTGTGCATTCCAAAGACATAAGTGATTAACTTCTTTTAATCTATAACTGAGATCTGAGTCCTGAAGACCTTCCTCTGGAGCCTCAGTAGGCTTACTTAATCTAAATAGGTCCAGGTGCTGGGGTGATTACCCTTATCTTGTCTCCTGCTAAATCATGGAGGTTTGGGGAGTTTCTTCAGACCCTCAGTAAACTTGTTTGTGGAAGCCTGGGGAGTTTCTTTGGACCCCCAATAAAACTTGTTTAATCCTAAACGGTCCTGTTAAGAATTCTCTCATTATCTTGTCATGCTTCAATGCCCAAGAAAGACCCAGGCAAAACTCTTGTTGGGCTTCTGTTACATTTCAGCCTTTGTGTAAGGGCACTGGCTCTATCAGCTTTTAATATTAACTTCACCACTCGGTCAGTACTGAGACAGTTGTTATGGAGGCCTGCGTTAGTGAGACCTGGCCTGCCACAATAGGGCAAAATGCAGAAATGGGTTTCCAAAGCCTGTTGTTCAGCTGGCCTCACAGAGTTTATGGTTCTTACTAGATGGCTATTCATTTGGATAAATTTTGCTGTGGACACCAATAAAACTGCAGGAGATTTTTTTAAATCCATTTCATGTACTTGGAGCTTGTCTTGAATCCAGTGAGAGAGCTGTCTCTGATTTTTCTACCTGTACAGGGACCACAAGCTGTCAGGCCTGCACCTGATGGTTAAGAGTCAGGCTGGAAGTCTGGTTGCACAAGCAATATTATCTGTCTGACTGTGGCAACACTCAGGGGAGCTTGCTAAATCAAAGGTCCCTGCCCATACCAGTATCTCCTGCCTGGTATCACAGGTAAGTAGGTCTATGATTGGCGGCATCTCACTTGTATGAAAGACCAGTGACGGGAGTTTTCACATAAACAACATCCTTACCAACTGTGGCAACAATTGTCTTTAATTTCTTTTGTTATCCTTGGGAGTGACATTCTGCGTCATGGAAGTTATATCTTCTGCACCTGCTCCAGGGATGTATCTTGCCTCTGTGGTAAAAAAATCACTTTATGCCTAGAAAGTTGCCTCCAGGTCTTTCCAGAAAAAGGCTTTTTTCTTTGTGCTGCATTTGATGGCTCAGTCCTTGACGATTCTACCCATTGATGAACAGATGATGGATCTTTTGATTTGGAAAAACGTTTATATTTTAAAGCAATGTTTTGAGAGTTCTCATTCTAAACAAATGTCCTATTAGGACCTCTGGGAAGATCAGATTGTAGGAAGAACACAAAAAAAGCATTTTGGCTAGTCTGAGGGATTCCCTCAACAAAAATCGAAAAACAAAAATCAGACTTGGAACAAAAGTTAAAATCCATAACCCATTACAAATTCCCCTTTCCAGCCTGACTCCCTATCTCTGAAACTCCAGAAGATATTTTGGATCTCTGAAACCTGCCATAAATCCCCTCCCCAAATTTTGGCCCCAGCCTTTTCAACAAATTTCTTTCATTCACAATACTCCTCCAAATTCCCTAGAAAATTTTTTAAACACCCAGCAGTCCAATTTAACTTCCATTTCCTTATAAGAATTACCCAAAGCACTGCTGCCTGACCTCCAGGCATGGGACAAACAAGTTACTTATGCAAATGCTTATAGCCAGGAGAAACTTTGGCAGAGGCCCCAGGTACACACCACAAGGATGATTTTGCCGTCCCTTGTAACTACACCTACATTTCAGGACTCTAATCAAACTCCATCCATACCAAGCCTTCCCAGGCAATGCTCTCTGCCAATGTATCCTGGACCCTGACTGCAAAGAATTTATATCCTCTGGATTGTAGTATATCTTTTAAATTACAAAACGTTTTTACCTCTATTTCCAGAAGATCATCTACCGTATTTAGAGAGGAGCTAGAAAGATTAGTGGCCATTCACTAATCCCACACACAGGGACCTCAGTTGGCTACTAAAAAGTTTGCTTCCCGCCCATGATAATACTATATTTATATCCCAAGACAGATGGCTTCTGTGAACCCCTTCCCAGGGGAAGCCAGTGGCCAGATCCCCTTCCAGGCACTCCAGCAGAGAGCCAGAAAATGCTCAGCTTAGGACCGCTATTCAAGGCCTGATAGCAGTTATTACAGAAGCCTTTCCCCCTCAGGTAAATTGTTCTAAGGTTAAACTTTGCACTCAGAAAGAAAGCTAACATCCCAAACCATTTGTGGAAGGCTTTATACAAGCTTTCCAAAAGTACTGTATCAAATCCAGAGGTCTAAAGCATAGAAATCTTTGAATTTCTGCAGTAGTCCGAAATCTTCCCCAAAATATAAAGGAACAAATCTAACCAAGTGTGGTTAGATGGGCAGGATAACCTCTCGGCTTTATTATTGAGGCTTTTACCCAATTCTTTGAGAATAGCTTGTAGGAAAGCAAGAAAAAGAAAGAAGCAAAATAGCAGTCCTTGCCTTGCAAACTGTGTTCTCACAAAAACAAAAATGTGGCTGAGAATAATTGAAAGTGCTTCCAACCACAGAACCTCTCCTATTCTTCTCAAGATATTTGCAGATAATAAAAAGCCAGGATATTGGAAGCATAAATGCCTGAAATTAAGAGAGGGAAAGTTTAAATTGCACTTTTCTTGGGCTTCAGCACCCTCAGAAGGTCCATTTTTCCTCTTCTGTAAGACAATTTCCTTATAAACCCCACTGATTGACATGGTCAGCCAATCCTTAGTAGCAACCCAGACACGTCATTAAAATTAAAACAGAGGATCAAGAATGCAATTTTTAAATTGACACAGTGCAACTTTTCTACTATTCCCTCAGAGGATTTCTCTCTCCCCATCACCTCTAATTCCGTTTAAGCTATCAGAGTCTCTGGGCAACCTGTTTCACTACCGACACCTCAGCACACCTCAATATCCTAAGGCCTTATTAACACTCTCTATGCCTTTCTACTTTCTCATACCTCACCAATAAACCTTATAGGTAGAAAGTAGCTGTGCAAATTTCATGTCAACACCCCATATAATAAGAAGTGGTAGGTTTACTTCCATGGCCTTACACAAAGACTCAGACTTCTTGCTTTTCTTGATGGAGACTCATCTCTAATCAAAATCCTCTGAAGGGGACTTCACCTTAAAAGTTTTCCCAATTAGTCTTTGGACCTTGAATGCAAATAAGGTTGAACTACTACTAAGTATAGAACCTGTGCACATTTCCTGAAAAAGGAATAAATCCTTCCATTCAACAGCCTGATACCCTTTCTATGGAGGTGCAAAATGAGGAATTGAACCTAAAATAGACTCCCTTTTACAGCAGGATGTTTATATTTTTGCCTCCTCATTCTGCAATACCCCAATTGTAAAAGAAGGAAGGGAGAATGTATTCAGAACTGAATCAAATCTATTTGTGCAAGATCTAAGGGCCATAAACCCTTTAGTAATTGTATGCTATTCTGAAGTCCCTAATCCAGTTACTATTCTTACTTCAATTCCAGCTGATGCAGCCAAGTTTACAGTAATTGACCTACGCTCAGCTTCCTTTTTTATTTTATTGCCTTAGACTTGTAATTTCTTTTTGCATATAAATTTAGAGGAAGACAACTAACATGGACTCACATAAGTTGGGCTATTTGGAGGTCCCCTCAATATTTTTGCAGGTCCTTAAAGCCAGCATAGACTCTGAAGCCTTTACCAAAAGCCTTGCTCTTGTTTAATATGTGGATGACTTCTTACTTTGTAACTCTTATAGAGTTCCTCATTTTCTAAAAGGCCCTCTCTGAAAGAAGTCTTCAGGCCTCCAGAACAAAACTTCAGTGAATACAAATGACTGCTACCTACTTTTAGGACTTGAGATATTTCAAGACACTCAAAATTTATCCCCAAATGCCTTGAGTCTTTTGTCCATCTCTTTCCTCCAAATGAAGACACAGTTATGTACATTTTTAGGGGCAGCTGGATACTGCAACCAACAGACTGCTAATTTTGCTACCCTTGCTAAACCTCTATATGCTATCTTCCAGGATCCTGCCACAAAATCCATTTCTTGGCCCTCAGAAGCGTTAACTGCTCTTGAAGTTGCAAACTCAGCATTGTCTACAACCCCAGCACTCAGCTTACCCAATTTGGACAAATCTTTTCACATATACTGCCATGAAAAAAATGGGATGACTATAGGTATTTAAGGAAAAACTTTCATCTCTCAGAAACATCCTATAGCCTATTTCTCAGATCAATCAGACCCTGTGGTATCAGGCATGCCCACATGCCTCCATGCTGTAGCCACTCTTGTAGCCTTGACAAGCTGGTGCACTTACACTTGGTTCCTTCATTCTCCTCTGTTTTCTCTACGCTGTGTTGGCTCTTTTAGAAGTTCATAAAACACAGCAACTTTTAACCTTGTGGTAAACAACCCATGAACAGGCCTATTAACCAACCTTCCATTATCTCACATTGCTGTGGCACTCTAAATCCAGCTGTTCTAACACTCCACCATGGTGATGGAGAGGTCCCACTCCATTCCATGGGATTGACTTGTGACTATAGGAATGGTCTCAAAGCCACAAGAAGACTGCTTAGATATTGTCTTGAACAACCCAGACCTACCTCTATTTTATGCTGGCTTCTGTAAATGAAATTCCCATAGAAACATAATGACTGGTTATGACATGGCTGTCTCACATGAAACTCTTGAAGCATACTCTTTGCCCAATGTAAAGTCAGCTCACGCCACTGCACTCGTGAGTCCTGTAGAAATCTGTACATTGATAAAAGGACAAACTGCCCTGTTTACACTGACTTGAGATTTGCTTTGGCAGTTTGTCATGTAGTTAGCACAATTTGAAAATCCCACAGATTCTTAACCTCTGCCAGGTTCTCAGTGCCAAACAGACATATAATTGCTACTCTAATACAGGTTATTCATCTCTCTCCTAAACTTGCTATTTTTCCTTTTCCAGCCTATCCCAAGGAAATTGACACTGTATCTCCAGAAAATAAAAGTCTGACAAAGCTGCTAAGTGCAGAGCTAAACATGTACTCCTCTATCCCTTTACTACACAATTTATACATCTGCCTCTATCCTTGACTGGTATTATTAACTGTCAGAGAAATGTCCCATAATATGAAGAAGACAGATGGATACAAAAGGATGCCAAATAATTATCAAACTGATTAAACAATGGACTAAATGGGCTTCCTATAGCCCTCTCTCTTTTGAACTTTTGGCTTGCACTTATCTCCCATCAAATAAAAATATACCTGTTGATGGGGGATAGTTAAGGAGCTAAAAGACAATTGGCTCTACCCTGCCATCCACAAAAATTCTGACTAAATTATTTCCCAGGGTACTGCTTGCAAATCTCACCAAATTTCCGAAGAAAACCAACATAGCTGAGGAAATCTCCAAGGCCCTCACATCCCCTTGCAGTAATACAAATTGATTTCATAGCTTCATCTCCAGCTTTAGGTTCTTCTTACTGTTTGGCTGTCTGCAGGGTTTGTGGCTAGACTGGATGCCACCCAGTAGGCATGTCAATACAAAAGTGAAAAAGAAGTTAGTAACTGAGATTTCTTTTTTTTTTTTTTTCCTGAGATGGAGTCTTGCTCTGTCACTCAGGCTGGAGTGCAATGGTGTGATGTTGGCTCACTGCAACCTCCACCTCCCACGTTCTAGTGATTCTCCTGCCTCAGCATCCCGAGTAGTTGGGATTACAGGCACCAGCCACCATGCCCGGCTAATTTTGTATTTTTAGTAGAGACAGGGTTTTGCCATGTTGGCCAGGCTGGACTCGAACACCTGATCTCAGGTGATCTGCCCGCCTCAGCCTCCCAAAATGCTGGGATTATAGGTGTGAGCCACCATGCTCGGCCTCCATAAAATATTGTTAACTACCTACATTGCCATGCCAATCTAGACCTATATCATCACTCTCAAAACAAGTAAAAGTCTATTTCTGTAGGAGACTTTAAGTTGAAGATTTTCAGAGTCACATCCCAGGTTCTGGAAGTAAAAACACCTCAAAGTAGGCAGCTCTTGATCATGGATTCAGAATTTCATCTTTACCTAGTTTTTTTCCCCCTTGATATCTTCCTCCTCCTTAAGATGGGAAAAAAACAAAACAACCTCTTTTGATCTTTGAAACAAACTCCTCCTCACTTATTTATATCTCCCATTTATCAAAAGGCTGACTAGAGATTGCTTGTCTCAATCTATTTTATTCTCCCTCTAATCCCCCATGATGAGCTCTCTTTCAAACAGTGTCTTGCATCTATTAACTTTTCTATTCTCTCAACAAGTCAAGCACAAACGTGACACCCCTCTTTGCACCAGTTTTCCAAACCCTGGCCAAGATAACTAATCAATCTAATTGCTAGTTATGTCAACATGTGGGCAACACAGGGAATAAATTTTCCTTTGTGCAGATGCCTCCCTTTCTTGTAACAGGATGGGAAAAACAGCCTTTATCACTGGACCTGGACATGACACTGACATGAGTCTGCATAAACAAAACTTACTGATACGTTATCTTCTACTAGTTTTCCTCAGAGATATTTACCTTCCCAAAATTTTCTGCTCCACGAAACCCACAACTCTTTTCTTTTGTTTTGTTGCTTCTCCATAATTTATTTTCCTTTGTCAGGATAATATATAAGCACCCGAGTTTAACTACTTCTTTGGGTCTTCACTTTTTATAAAAACCTATGTGCACATTTTAAAAAAAAGAAAAAGAAAACATTAGCATTTGATAAAATTTGCATGTGTTTTCTTCTGTTAATTTGACTTTTGTTTTTCTAATTTGTTAGAAGTAACTGTCTAACCTAAGATAGAAGAATGTTTTTCTTCCTCTCCAAATGCATTCTAATTGGTCCAGATGATAGCAAAAATAGTATAAGACATTTTCCCAGCTATCCATAATTTTAAAATCTAGATGGGAAAAGAGCACATTTAGAAAAAGATATTGTACATTAATGGAGGATGCCTCTTCGTAAAAAAATCTAGTCAGCAGATGATGAACATGAGTGTTTGGTTCTTAAACAATAGACACAGCTATGATGGGTATTAGCAATAAAGTAAAATGTGGGCCTATGTGAGTGGGAAAGCATCCCTGGGGGAAAGGAACATATCCTTATGAGCAAAGATGGTCTATTGGAGCATACTAATATTGAAAATTTAAGTAGTTGATTTTGAAAAAAACTATCAAATTGTTGATAAGGTATCCTGAACATGAAGAAAATAAAAATCAGAAAAATAAAAAAGAGAGAAGAGGGATATTTTGGTAGTCATGAAGAAAAAGAATAAAAAGTGTCAACTTCTGATGAAAGATTATGTAAAATGAATAAAAATAAGTTATTCAGAAATCATTACTATGGACTTTTAGCTATGGAATTAGATAGTATGCAACTATTTTGATTAACTATCATAAAATTGTAAAAATAGAGTAAACAAACTAGAGAAGAACTTGAAATTAAAGGAGCAACTTTTAAAAACAGTATATACATATGATACATTGGTAGGAAATGGCATGACTGAAAATATAGAAGCAAAGACATCATCAAATATTCTTAGTATGGAACTGAGAAGATCAAACTATATCCATCTCTGGGGAACTGTGCTTTTACCTCACTATAGATAACTCAATTGATCTAGCAGATATTTTCATATAGTCCAGCAGATATTTCTGATTTTGAAGATTTCAGCCCAGTTTTACCTAGGAAATACTGAAGGCTGCATAGAATTTGGAAGACAGATATAAACCCTATGATACATCCTTGTAGAGGTCTTTCCACACAGACGTGTCACCACAAAGAGCCAAAATAAAGAATAAGGGTAGACAAAAAAGAAAAATGCTCTATCTTAAATTTGGCACTGGATGGAAGAGAAATATATTTACCCTGAGAATTCATAACCACAGTTAGTCCTCGTAAATATTCCGTCAAAATTCATATGGCTACTATGATCCATTAAATCTGAAACAAAGGGTTAGATATCATGTATGCCCAGAATAAGAATATTCTTGTGGAGAAATGCAATTACACCCCTTTCCTCAAAGACAAAATTTCAGAAAGAAGATTCTATAATTATGAAAAAACAAAAGACTTGGGAAATAAAATCTACATTAAAAAACTTTCAAATATATGAGAGGAAATTATAAAATTATAATTTTAATTGCCAAATAAAAATTAAATTTTTACAATTATAAAATTCAAATATGAGAAAAAATTATAAAATTATAATTTGTAATATTGAAAATGCAGTATCACTTTAAGCTGCTAATTAGAGTGTGAAAAATAAAATTTGAACCTGAAAACGAATCCAAAAAGTTATCCATGTAGAACAGGGGTTGCAAAGTACTTTCCATAGAGTCAGATGGTAAATATTTCAGACGCTGAAGAGACAAAGTTGAAAATACTCCAGATTTGGTGGTAGACACCAATCCTCAGGCTAAGAAAGTAGATCGCTTCACAGATAAGAAAAAGACAACTGAATTTAGCACTAGGTATATCATAATGAACTTAGAAAACATCAAAGATGAAAATAGGATGTTAAACGCAAGTTGAGAAAAGGACAATTCATAGGCAAGGCATGACAATTAGACTAACAGCTGATTTTTAAAACAGAAACAGTAAAAGCCAGAGGTAGTAAAAGAGGAATTTTAATGTGTGGCATTAACCAACATTTTTTGCACCAGATTTCTATGAAATTGTCAATAATTTATGAAATTGACATTAGTAATTGTCAGATTTCAATGACATTTTTCAATTTAAAAATGTCAATAAATAATATGAGATAAAGTAATTTCTAGACAAAACAGAAAGGATTTACAAATAAAGGACATTCCAAAGTTTGAAATTCAGGAAGGAAACTGGATCCTAGATGGAAAGTCTGAGATATGAAATATAACAGCAAAGACAGTGGTAAGCACGTGGATAAATCCAAATGGACACCGTCATTTAAAAATGATGACAATGTCTAACTAGTAAAAGGGATGCAACTAAAAATGAAATACTAAAATTTATAATAATGTATAAGGTCAATACATGTTTTAAAATATTCTAAAGTACATTTTATTGTTTGAGAGGTGATGACATGATTTTCTATGAACAAAAATCAAGACGATTTATCTAAGATGAGCTTGAAATAAAACATATAGCTGGAATTAAGATTTTTATGTAAAGCTCATTTGATTTTCTATACAGCAACAAGTTGAGAGCATTTAATATAAGTGATACTTTTAATAATATTACAAATTATGACATACAATATACATATCAGCCCTGTGAAAAAGATGATATAATATTATAGATATAGATATGACTTAAACAAATAGAGATAGAAATTATATCTTAAATACGTAAATCTTATTAAAGTGTATCTGAAGATTCAGTGTCATTCTACATAAGGTTTATTTTTAAAACATGGGGGAATTTATTCACATTTTTAAGTGGAACAATAAAGATCCAAGAATAACACCTTTCAAGACAAAAATAATGTGAAGAAAATTATCTGTACTAGATCTATCAAAGCATTTTAAAAATATATAGTAACTAAGCATTTTTATAAGCAAAGTAGATAGATAAATTTACTAATTGAATCCAATTTAGACTTTAGCAACAATTCCAGGTTTACATGGGTCACGTTATATGGTGGAGATGATATTGCACATGAATGAGGAAAGGATAGACTACTAAATAAACATTTCTAAAAAAATGAAAGGGGTTCAATTGTTTCCTCTTTACATCATATGCATATTAGTAAGTGGTATATTATTTCAGTATTTACATTTAAATGTATGAATGTAATATTGAAGCATTAAGCTTTTTGAAGAGATAGATACAAAAACACGATGCAAAAAGCTGACAAAATTGATAAATTTACCACATTAAAATTAGAAAATCTGTTCACTAAAAGATGCTGTAAGGGTGGCATATGGTGGCTCATGCCTGTTATTCTAGCACTTTGAGAAGCTGAGGCTGGAGGATCACTTGAGCCCAGGAGTTCGAGGCTGCAATGAGCTATGATTGTGCTACTGCATTCCAGCCTGGGCAAGAGTGAAAACCTGTCTTTAAAAAAATGAAAAAAATTTAAAAATTTAAAAATGCTATAAATTGATAGAGGATATAGATACTAAATGGGATAAAAATAATCACATTATATTAATTTTAAAATTATAATATATTTATATTTATAATATAGTTAAAATTCCTACAAGGCAATACTAATTAGATTTAAAAGAAAAGAGGCAAAGTATTCATAGATATTTCAGAGAATAAAGAATACTAACAAATTCGTGTGATGAAGAAACACAAAAATAATGTTTCAACCTCAGTATTAATTCAGGAAATTAAAAATAAAAACTCGATGAGATCCAATTTGTAATCACTGGGTGCACTTATATTAAAAGTTTAACAGTATCAGGCATTGGAAAGTACATGAAGAAATGAGACTTCTCATCCTCTGCTGACTGGATTACAAATTGTCACAAACTTTTTAGAAAATAATTTGACACTACCTGGTAAACTTGAAATTTCTTACTTACCCTATGTGTTATGGCCATCTTGAGGATTGAACCCGGATATGTTCCAAAATATGGTTCAGATGTTAAGACTGATAATGTCACCCACACACATACCCGAGAAAATAGGCAAAGTTTTCTTATTCATATAATGAGACATTTTGGGAGACACAAGACAGACTTTCCAAGCTGATCCAAAAATAACTTAAGTGCACACAGAAACAAAACTAATTTGGGATTTTTGTGGGGTTTAGCGGGTGGGGCCAGGGTCAAGGTTTGAACTTCCCAGAAGCGCCAAAGGAGAAAGCACCAGTTCTTTCTTATTAGCTTGCTCAGAAAGGAACAGAAAGAGATGAGGCTTAAAAGCTGTCAGCGCCAAAACATCAAAAATTGAGTCAGGTTCCATATCATATTGTGGTCCAGTCATTTTCCTCCCCTTACATACTCCAAAGAAACTCTTGCACACAAGCCTCTGGGCATACACATAAGAATTTTCATAACAGAAGTAATACTATTGTTGGCTTTATATATGCTGGCAAAAGACAAACAGATAAATTGTAGCAGTATAATCATATAATGGAATAATATGCAGCAGGATAATAAATGGACCAGTTATAATTAGCTATAAGTAAACCTCTAAAATATTAAGTAATAAAAAACCTAATTTTCCACAAGCAAGTTTTGAAACTGGTAGATAAAATGTAATACATATGCCCATACAAAGTTTTGGGATACATATTTAGGTGTTAAGATGTAAGGAAAATCAAGGTCCTCTTCAAAACAAAATTGAGCGTTATAGTTAATTCTAGTGAGCGGGGAGGGTAACACAGAAAGGGGTGAAGGAGGTTGTCTGGAGACTTGACATCCATGAGCAGCCTTTTGACTAATAGCAGCAGCAGCCCCTGCAGAAGCACCTGGGAGAATCTCAGGCTTTGCTACAGATTCCTGAATCTGAACCTGTGTCTTAAAAAAAGATGCTTATGCACAATAAAAGTCTGAGAAGCAACAGCTTGAAGTATTAATTCAGTTAATTTTTTAACCTAGGTATTGTATATGTTAGTGTTGGTTTTATGAATATTTGAAATTATGTAAATGTCTGTATGTCTCTTTTTTCCTTTTGGGAATATCACTATTTTAATCACATACCTGTTATTTGCTTTTTTTTTTTTTTTTAGTTTACAAATTATGGCACCAAACTTTAATTTTGCTACATCTTTTAGAGCTTTAAATAAAAAATAAAACTCAAAGATGCCACCACAACCATCTGAATGAACTCCCTCCTTGGCCAGGGCACTTTAAAATTTAACCTAAAAGACTGGTTCAGGCCAAGATAGGAAGTGGGGGTCAGCCATGCCTCCTTATACACCTCCAGCATTAACATCAACGCAGACCTTCAATCTGTTAAGAAACATTTACAGTCTACTCTCTCTGAAGCCGGCTACTTAGAGGCTTCATATGCATGAGAAAACCTTGATCTCCACAATCCCTTATCTTAACCCAGATATTCTTTGCTACTGATAATAACTGTTTGAACCAATTGCCAATCAGAATATGTTTAAATCTACCTATGACCTGGAAGAGCTCTGCCCCCCACTTCGAGTTGTCCCTCCCTTTCAGACTGAACTAATGTAAATCTTACATATATTGATTGATGTATTATGGCTCCCTAAAACGTATAAAAGCAAGCTGTACCCCAACCACCTTGGGTTCATGTCATCAGGACCTCCTGAGGCTGTGTCATGGGAGTGTCCTTAACCTTGGCAAAATAAACTTTCTAAATTGATTGAGGCTTGTCTCAGATACTTTTTGGTCTACAAGGCACATGTGGGGGTGTCTCCGTATTACGGAAAAATACCATTGTTTCAAAAGCATTTCAACATCTAGTAATGAAGTTTTCAATAACAAATATGTTACTGGCACATACTATTTTTGGTGCAAGCATTATGACATGCATTTATATTACAAATAATTAAATCATATTTTTGTGCGTAATGTTTTCCTACTCAAGCATTTCTAGTTTATTTTATACTGTATTTATTAGGTCATTCTTGCATTGCTATAAAGAAATATCTGAGACTGGGTAATTTATAAGAAAAGAGGTTGAATTGGCTGTGCAGGAAGCATGGCGGCATCTGCTTCTGGGGAGGCCTCAAGGAGCTTCCAATTACGGTGGAAAGCAAAGGGGGAGCCAGGCATCTCACATGGTAGGAGCTGGAGCAAAAAGCAGAGGTGGAGGGGTGCTACCCACTTATAAATGAACAGATCTCACAAGAACTCATTCACTGTTGTGAGCACAGTACCAAGAGGATGGCGCGAAACCATTCATGATCCATGATCCAACCACCTCCCAGCAGGCCCCACCTCCAACACTGGGGACTATAATTTGACATGAGATTTGATAGGAACACAGTTCCAAACCATATCATATACTTTCTCACTGTTCATTAGAATATAATAAGTAATTTAAAATAATTTTTAAATAATGTAAGAATTAGAAGTGATAATAAATTATTTAATCATTCTGATATCACTGCTACACTATAGACCTTTAAAGAATTTCATTATTCTCAACAAACTTCTAAATATAATGTTCAGGTCTATTAAAATATGGCCACAACTTCCATTTCTGGTTTTATCTTCTGGTAGGGGGAAAAGTACCCCATATTCTGATTTAGATATTAAAATACCTGAACCTCTCCTGACTTACTTGTATTATTCTGAGATTATTTTTCACATGCTACTCCCTCTCCGTAGAATAATCCATTCCCCTGATTCTGACTTTCATTCTCTACTCAAAAACTAGCTTTTTCTGATGCCTCCCTGGATACTTCCATTCAGAAATAAATTATCTTTTTATATGCTTTTACCAATAGTGTGATTAAATCTCTTTCAATACTTACATTGTGTCTGACATTATTGAATATGTGTTATTTCCCCTCAAATAAAATCCTTGAGAAAAGGGACCACATTTTACTCATTTTAATAACCTCATTATACCTACTGTGCCTTGTAAATTTTTAATACATTTCAGCATGAATTTCTACTGATGGAATACCACAAATTTCTTATCTAATATAAGAAGCACAGACAATAAGAAATTCATTGTTCTGTCTGGCATAGAACATTGGTTTACTTGGGCTTCTTATTTTAATATTTGGTTTCTACATAGAAGAAAACAAGGCATCACTTCATCACTTCACTCAGTGTAGCACAGTATTTAAGGGGAAAGTTTGTTTCTGTTTGGTGGTCTGTGTTGTGTGTGTGTGTGTGTGTGTGTGTGTGTGTGCGTGTTTTTTTGTTTTTTGTTTTTTTTTTTTTTTTTTTTTTTTAGATAAAGCCTCTCTCCGTTGCCCAGGCTGGAGTGCAATGGTGCTATCTTGGCTCACTGCAACCTCCGCCTCCTGGGTTCAAGTGGTTCTCCTGACTCAGCCTCCTAAGTAGCTGGCACTACAGGTGTGCACCACCATTCCCAGCTAATTTTTTTTTTTTTTCAGTACAGATGGGCTTTCACCATATTGGCCAGGCTGGTCTTGAACTCTTGACCTCAGGTGATCACCCACCTCGGCCTCCCAAAGTGCTGGGATTACAGGCATGAGCCACTTCGCCTCTGTTGATAGCATCACACCAAGACTAAGGTCCTACTCAGTGTCCCCCTTTCTATGTGCAAAAGCTATGTTATTTCCTTACTTACTACATCAGCCCTAGGGGTGTTAACAGTGTCTGGCTGTTACTGGTTTCTGTATGTTATGACCTCCCTTATTCCCTTAACAATGCTCACTCATATGAATTCAAGAGTTTCCAAACATCATTTTTATGTATTTTTAGTGGCATCATCTATTTAGGTGTCTTAGTCCACTTTGTGATGCTATAACAGAATACCCCACACTGGGTAATTTATAAACAATGGATATTTATTTCTCACAGCTCTGGAGATTTGAGAAGTCAGTGCAAGGAGCTGGCATCTGTTGAGCACCTTATTGCTGCATCGTAACATGGCAAAAGGCATCACATGGGCAAAGAAGAAAGGGAAAGGGGTCAAACTCATATTCTTATAGGAAACCCACTCCCAGAATAATGGCATTAATTCATTCATGAAGACAAAATCCTCATGATCTAATCTCCTCTTTAAGGTCCCACATATCAACACTATTACATTGGAGATTAACTTTCCAATGTATGAATTGTGTGTGTGTTGGGGGGAGGACATATTTAAACCATATCACTAAAATTGATTGACATTGGTGACTCATATCATCTAAAATTCTTTATTCCATATTATGTGTCTGAGGGCTGAAACATAATCCTTCTGGAGGCAAAATTCAGGACTTGTTATTTTTACGCTGCTAGGTATTTTTAAACATATAAAATGGAAAGGAATATTTAGAGAAACACTGCACTTGGCTGATTACTATATTAATGGACACTGCTTGATATAAAGATGTTCTTAATGAAAAATGTCATTTTAATTATGTCAACATGTTGCTTTTCAAGTATATTCCGCAGTCATTGTGATAAAATGGAAAAAGAAAAGTGTGACCATATAATTTATTCTTACTAAAGAACACAAACCCTCAGGGTTAATATTAGCCTTGGTGCTCTCTTATCTCCTAGGGTTATGTTTTTCTCTTTGATTTAGTTATTGCATTTCATTTATATTTTGTTAGCTCATTTGTGGATTACAAAGTTTTTGGCTGAATTTTATTCATCATTTATTAATTTTGATTGAGAAAATCTTTCAAGTTACTATCCTTCTAGAAATAAAAATTGTGACTGTTAGATTTTCACCTTTTTATCTCCCAGTACTTAGCATGACTAAAACGCATAATAAACAACAACTCAATAAATACATTATATGAATACCTGTATAAATCCTGTCTGTGGTTAAGCTCATAATCCTTAGTAATTCTTAGACTATCTGATGAAACCTTACACCTTTGTCTATATGTGACACCCCAATCCCTATAAGATAAAATACTACTAAGACTTCTGAGACTTTGTCTATTCCCTCTTACAACTTCCATAATCCAGTAGACACTGAACAACAAAGACCCCTAAAAGCTTGTAGCTATTTCAAATGAACAAAGATTTTTATGGGTTTCTCAAGCCAGCACTTATCATTAGGAGCTTCCCATCATGCAAGAAAAAAAAACACAGGATTTCTAGAGGGCAGAATAATTTCCACAACTGCTTGCCCCGAAGCAAAATTTCCAAGCCTGGCTTCTCATAAACAACTAGTAAATTATGGACAGAAAGACAAAAATAATAAGCTAAGTCAAAGGGTGATCTTTATCATCTTAAGTAAAAAGAGCTCATGATTAACTGTTTAAGATTTCTAATGGGAATTCACGGCATGCTTTCCTCTTCTCATTTTGAATAATTGAGATACTACTGATCGATGATGTAAATCACATCTGGGATAGAAATATAATGCATGTCATTGTAAAAAATTTATTGTCCTTATTGAATATTTTATATATTCATAATTTTAATTTACTTAATAAAGTAAATTTATTCGGAATGTTTGGCAAAGGAAAAAAAAGTGTGTCTTTGCCACTCATGACAATTTTTACGAATTTTTTTTTTTTAAATAAAGCTTTTGGCCTGAGGCTATGTAATGGCAAATTTCCAGATGAAAGGTGAAATATTCTTCATTCTCAGAACATGGAAATTGAGATATAAAAGGAGATCTTTTTGCAGCTGTAACTACACCTGTCACTGCACGTGATGCATATAATGAGTGTGGTTCCCCCAGGTCCCAGGGAAAATGAAATAGAAACCTCAAGAGATCTTATCATGTATAAGAAACTTAAAAGGTTGACAGGTATTTTTCTCGAATGTGTGTAATTTTTGTATTCTCCATTATGATTTTTCATTCAGCATTGTTGTCATTAATAATGTCATTTATTGCAAACAAAAGTGATGTAGAACAGAGCTGTCCAACAGTAATAGAATGTGAACCACACATATATGAGTCATATGTATAATTTTTAATTAAATGTATCTTCTTAAATTTAAGAATTTCTTTAAATTTAAATAAATTAAATTTTAAAACTAGTTTCAAAACTAAATAAATTACAAAAAAGAGAAAACTAATTTTAATTATATATTATTTAACTCTATATATCTAAATATAATATTATTTTACTATGTATCCAATCTGAAATATTAATTATATTTTGCTTTATTTTTATGAACCAAGACTTTGCAATTAGCATGTATTTTACATCACTTACTGCACGTCCCAGTTCAGCTAGCCATATTCAATAGCCACATGTGGATACCGGTTACTACTGCACGGTGTAGTCCTGGTGAATGTAGATTATTTATTCAGACTGAGCCATTGCAGTATGTGATTACTGAAATTATCCACATCTTGTAGTTATAAGTACTTTAATAGAGATATGACAACATAGCAAAAACATTCATAAATTTTTGAACTCAGTTTACTGTGAATTTATATTTCAGTTCCAGTGTTTCCTATAAATAATGTTGCAGATTTTATTTTAATAAATTAATCTTCAGATTCATTTTTAAAATGTGATGTTAATTAAGCTTTATCATATGAAAACTTGAAAATTACATTTGATAGTTTATATAAAATGTCTAGTAAAAATTAATGACATACAATTAACTTTATTAAATTAACATTAACAATTATTAAATAAATTATATTTCCCATATAAGGTTAATTATTTGCCAATGTCATTACAGATGTTTTTTGTCATTGTTTTGGGGGAGACGATTTACTAATAACAGGTAAACAGCAGAGTGAATCTAACTTAAGAAGATAAAAAATAATCCTTATTAAGCCACATTAATCTCCACTTCAGTACCTATGTAAATTGTAAAAATAAATGAGCATAGATCAAGAATGATACACAAACATCTTTTTCAAGATGACCATTTAATTACCTTCAATAATTTGATTATGACTTTTATAGAGAATGTGATGTCATACATGCATACACATGTAACACAAAAGAATTCCAATTGTTTAAAAATAAATTTCTTTTTCAAGCACTTTTCTTGAGGAATTTGTTTAAATAATAAGTTTTGAGTATTTTAGATATGAAGATGAAATAATTGATTGGATGGATGATTGTTCAACATTTTTTCTAGATGTGTTATTTGATGATAAGGTAATTCTATGTTTTAAATTAACCTAATTTATCAAAAAGGGGTCATGTAACACACAGAGGAAAAAGGTTGCGTTCCAAGTATTTCAAGACAGATCAGTTGAGAAATCTGGGAATGATTTTATTTGTTTTATTTCCTCACTTTACTAGACGTCTATTCTTCACTATAGTTTCTATTTCACTGCAGTTGGATTTAAGGGTTCAACTAATCTCAGGTTGGTATTGTGAGTAGCCTAAAATATTCTTGTATTTGTTTACATAGGTGTATAACTCAAAGATTTGTCCAATTTGCTGCCCTCTTCCTGAACAACCTTGTAAATGAAATAAATCACATTATAATGAATAACAACAAATAAAATTAACCAAAATTTCACATATGCCTAATTTTGTGTTCAGCCCTTACAGAATTAGACATGGGGGGAGAAGAGTTAAAATACATTCTAACTAGACAAGTGTGATAGAGACAGGAAACCACTCACAGAGCCCTGGGTGACAAGCAAAGAAGGAAATCAGTAAACCTTCACTCATCATAATCGTATCCATTATTGATCATAAACCTGCCTTTAAATTAAAGCATTGGAGACTCTTTGTCAAAACATATCATTCAAATAGTTAAAAGAAACTTTACCGATTTGAACAGGAAGCCTGTGCAATCATTTATATATTTCAAAGAAAAAAAGTGTACTGCAAAGTTCCAAAGTTTTGATAAACACAGTGGAGACTGATTATTCTTGCCTTCATTAAAAGTATTCCAAATCAAGACAAGATGTGCCTTGGGAAACTACTCATTATTAGAGCCTTTATTTATTTTTCCCTTTGGGAAGCTGTAGGGTGTTCAGTGAAGCAAAGAAAGAAAGATGGGGGTTTTCAGAGAGAAACTTAAAGGCATGAATTTAATTTAGTGAATAATAAAATACTTAGAAAACATATTAAATTTACATCTTTAGAAGTTCTTTTCTGTTTAATATATCCAAATAAAGTCATCTTAGAGCAATTAATATAGAAAATATATTATTTTAAATATGAAATAAACTATAGCAAGCCCAAAAATTTTATGATATTTAAAAGTACACCTATATTCCCAAGAAAGTAATGTTTTAGAAGCATTGTTGAAAAAACATATTTATGGAACTGCAAAACATATAATTAGGTAGAATTAAAATGGGGTACTTTATTTTGCACAAACAAACATGGTCTTGAGATGGTGAGTTGAACAGATTCAACTTTGTTTTATGAACTTGTAAAAAAGAATCAATTAGTCCTGAACTTTCTAGTAAGCATAATTTATATTTACTGAATAAAATAGAATTTGGAAAAACCATCTGTTTAAATGATTTTTACCCATTCGAGTTGATTTGATTTATTATATCAGTGCTTAAATCTGCTTTTTGGTATTTATATCACAAAAAATATAATCATCATCCTAAACAGTGGTTTGATTGTTTTGACATTTAGGAATTATGCCATGTGGTATTGAAGGACATTAAAAATAATGATCCTTTCATATATTTAAGATATAGGAAAGCCACTAACCAGTACCAGTCCATGGCCTGTTAGGAACCAGCTGCACAGCAAATGTGAGCAGTGGGCTAACTAGCATTACTGCCTGAGCTCTGCCTCCTGTCACCTCAGCTGGGGCAGTACATTCTCATAGGAGCGCGAACCCTGTTGTCAACTGTGCATGGGACGGATCTAGGTTGTGTGCTCCTTATAAGAATCTAACTAATGCCTGATGATCTGAGATGGAACAGTTTCATCAGGAAACCATACCCTCCCCCCACCACACCCCCTACCCCCACCCCCCATCCATGGAAAAATTATCTTCCATGAAACTGGTCCGTGGTGCCAAAAAGGCAAAAAGTTTGGGGGGACTGCTGAGGACCAGAACTATCACTTTAATATTTGTAGCTCATATATTGAGATGGCGCATTATAAGATATCAAGGGATTAGATTTAGCTAGTTTTATACATAAGTTTATGTGATAGTAATAATTACTACATTCAAATCAAATTATGATTGTTCTTGTTTTTATGACATATTTGATGCTGTAGACATCCATGGCCATATTTAGGAGTGCCCTGCTCTTTTCCACTCTCAGGTTGCTTATGTCTGTCTCTGTCCTGTTTCACGCAGCTCCCACTAGCCACCTAAATAAAGTACTCAGATTGATCTAATAGTGGAGATTATTGGACATAACGTATCGATCACCACTCAATTCAGTAACAACTTGCTAAAGCATAGTCATATCATCTAGGAACATGTAGGAGAATGGAATTAATGTCAGAGATTTAGGGACCTCATAGGTTCATAGGGAGATCTTTAATAGAAGATAGTGCTTGTACTCTTTATTACATAATGCAAATGCAAACTCTACAACTAGAAAACAGTCCTCCACTTTATTTTCTTTTATTTAAGAAATGTTCCCAAGTACATTGGAAGTAGAATACATCTATATTGGCTATTTTTACATATCTAAAAGTCAAGAAGCCCAGGCAAGAAACAAGATACTCTTAAATTTAATTTGACTTCTAAAATCTTTTGGTGTAATTGTCATAAGTTAAAAGAGATGATGGGAATGTATACATGGCACTTAAACATAATTCATTAAGGTTCAATCCCACTGTTCCTCTAACTTGCTTCATAAAAGTTGCCCGTGAGCCCCACGTTGCTGAATTCAGTGGTCGTTTCTTGCTCCTCCTCCTGCTTGGCCTGCCAGCAACATCTGACAATGTCTTACTCTTCTCCTCACACTTACTTCACTCAGGTTCTATCTCCAGTAAGTTCCCATTCTCTTGAGTTTCCTCGTGTTTCTCTAGTTGTTGTTTTCCACTTTTCTTTCCTGGTTTCTCCTTTTATTCCCAAAGATGAGGTCCACATCCTGTTTTCTCAGTGTCTTCACTGACTCCCTTGAAAATCTGTTTAAGTTTCGTGGCTTTTGAAGAAGAAGTAGGAAGGGCATCCCAGGGAGGCATAGCAAAGGGGACACATTCAGGAGCGTGTCCCATCTGTGGGATAACTCTCACATGTTTAATCCAAGCACATCTTATTCCCAAATTCTAAACTCATATCCAGCAGCATTCTTGATTACTCCATCTTGGTTTTCTAATAGACAAAACAAACAAACAATCCCCTAATTTCACTCCTGTTCTTCCCAATTTATCCTATCCACTATCTTACCTATACTCATTGATGACAATCCACTTGCCAGTTGCTCAAGCTAACAATTTGGCAGAATCTCCCTTGACCCTTCTTACAGCCCATCTTCTTCCTGCCAGGAAATATCTTGAGTAATACCTGGAATCCAGGCATTTCTCACCACATCTACTGCAGTCAGCCTCCTCTGCTTTGCCCTCATCTGTTGCTTGGATTACTGCCATTACCTCCAGCCGTGCTAACTGCGTCTACCCTTTCCTTCCTCCAGCCTATTTGCAAGACAGCAGCCAGAGTGTTCTTTTTAAAGCAATCACTAAATACATCATTCCTCTGCTTTCAAGCCTTGGGAATAACTTCCCATTTCACTCTGTGCAAAAGCTTATTTCTTAACACTGGTCAGCAAGGCCCATGAGCTCGCTTCCCCTGTTACTGCTCTGGCTTTATCCTATTTCACCTCCAACTGAGATCATTCAGGCCCAAGATGCATTGGCCTCCTCATTCTTTCTCGAATATTCTAGGCATGTTTCACCTTAGAACCTTTAAATTGGCTCTTCTATCTGGTATATTATTCCCAAGGTATTTGTGTAACGAACCTTCACACTCCTTTAAGGTTTGCAGGGAAGTCATCTTCTTAGTGAAGACCATTCTACCCACTGTGTGAAATGTCTAAATACGCCTGCCCTCAGCACTCCTGACCCCTTCAACTTCCCTATATTTTTCTTTTTCACAAAATGATTTATCACCTTCCAATATACAAATAACTTACTTATATGTTGTTTTTGTTATTTACTGTTTAACTTAGCTCTATGACGGCTGGGATCTTTGGTTCGCTACTATACCATCTCATGTGCTTTGAACAATTATTAGCACACAGTACTCACAATAAGTAATTAATTAATGATTACTAAACACATGATAAAAATATAAATGTAAAAAATGAGTGAAAGTCAAATTATACATTTTCAATTTTCTTCACTTAAATGAATTTTAGTCGCATTTTTTTGAATTCAATTTATATTAGAATACAGAATGTATTAAGATTCTCCAGAGAAACAGAACCAATGAGATGGATTTATTTGTTTATTTCAAGGCATTGACTCAAGCAGTGATGAATCTGTACTCAGCAAGCTAGAGGCCCAGGAGTGGCAGTGGCATAGTTCCAGTCCCCATCTGATGACTTGAGAACTAAGAAAGCCAATGACATAGTTCCAGTCTGAGAAGTCAACAGCCTTGAGAACCAGGAGGATCCTGTATTTCCACTTGAGTCTGAAGGCAGGAAAGCAAATCAATGTCTCAGCATGAAGATAGATAGGGAGAAGAAATTGTCTT
The DNA here is from genome assembly GCF_000001405.40 of Homo sapiens. NCBI lineage: Eukaryota > Metazoa > Chordata > Mammalia > Primates > Hominidae > Homo > Homo sapiens. The sequence continues at coordinate 178,783,607 of NC_000004.12, read as the reverse complement.
CCTCAGACTGTTCCATCCAGGCCTTCAACTGATTGGATGAGGCCCACATTAGGGAGGGCCATCTGCTGAATCTACTGATTCAAATGCTAATCTCATCAACAAGCCCCTGACAGTTACACACAGAATAATATTCGATCAAATACTGGGGCATATCCTGGCACAAGGTAACACATAAATGTACTTACATCGAGCTTAAACATGACCATAGCTGTTTCTCTTTTCCTTAGTAGCCTTTCTTCAGAGGCTCACACTTGTTCCTCCCAAATGTTACCATTCCATAGAGTTATAAATAACAGTTATGGAGTGTTGAATGATAATTGGGAATACACAGACCTATGTGCTGCTTGATTATATTTCCTGTAACAGCAACAAAAAAAGGCTAGCTGAATTGATTGATACTTATCAAATGAGTCTCTAGTTTTCTTTAGCCACTTGTTCTGGCGTCTCAAAATCCCAGTAACCCCAAGTTAAGAGCATTGAGCTTCTTTTATTAAATTATAATTTAAAAAATTCACTCAAGCTGTTTCATCTCTAACCTATCAATAACAATACTTAAATGAAAATTAACCCAAATATAAATAAACTAAAAATAATCATTGTAGTCTGATTACTATTTCTATATGATTACAGGTGTTAACTCACTAGGTGACAGGTAGTAAACAGGAAAGTCATTTCCTCAATGATCAGTTAATAAGTGAATTGAATAAACTGATAACATAAAAGAATGCTGTTTTTTGATACCCTGTAAACTTGCCTATAAGTTGTCTGGAAAGTCACAGTGAATTCTTTTCACCATGATATGGATTTCTTAAATAATGCTTACTTACTTACCAAATAAATATTTTAAAAATATGTGGTTGTTATGTTTGATGCATTAAACAATTGGCAAATAAGTACACATTTTTGCAATATCTGTAAACTTCTCCAAAATTTTGGAGTGAAGTTGTTGTTATTGCTAATCAGGTTACACAGGGGTTCTTGAAATTATCATACACATGAAAATAACTCAAGCACATTAGAAACTGATGACATTACCATCTTAGTATTTTCTATTTGGTTTTATAGTTGAATATTTGATTTGGAAACTTGCATTAACCTTCAGAAAATGGACATATGAATACGTTGGAACATTCTGGTCTAAAATTTAAATTGTTACTATAAATAAAATACTAGAAATATGCACAACAGTCCAAATTGTACAATGAAATAAATATGCGTGTTAAATATGAAATCAAGGAAAGCAACCTAGGGACACTTACAGAGTTTCCAGTGGTGGGGACTAAAGGAGAAGAATGAGCTTTGGTTTACAAAGCTCATTTTGGCAGTAGCTGAAGGAGAGAATTAAGGTGACTGTGATTGTAAACACTTAATAGCTGTTAATAGACTACTGCAGAACTCCAGACAACAAAAGATAAGGGCATTCTTGAAATGCAAATATTGGAATGGGGATAGAGAAGAAAGATCCTATGTTAAGGATCAAACATCATCTTGATAATATTATCTCCCATAACATTACATAAAATACATAACCTATGGCTCTCTATTTCTTAAACATGCACCATATTAAGCAGGAATAAGAGATGAGTAATCCATTTTACTGCCTTATAATCTGCTACAGTATACTGGAATCCTTTGGTTATGAGGAAAACAGCTAAATGTTAGAACTAGAGCCACAGTGGTCCAGGAGAGTATTTGTCTAGTTGGATTATATCTACACTTGAAATCTGGTGCACTTTTAATATGACTAAAACGTTCTGAGTGTCACATTTAAATTCCCCTATTAAAAAAAAAAAAAGAAAGCTAACATGTAAGTTTTGTTCTGTTTCTTTGTGTGTGCATGTGTGTGTTTATTTTTTTTTACTCTCATGAGGACTAAGTTCTGATTTTTATCTTACCCAAATTCCTTTCTAAGGGGTCTGGGGACTCATGCCCTACAAACCATAAATTCTAATCAGGTGGGATTTATTTAGCCCTGTATATCGTAACTTACTTTCCAATCTGACTCTGGCATAACAAGGAAGAAAATCAAAATGCTTTACCCCAAAATATATTTCCTTGCCATAACTTGAAATTGCCCTGCCAAGTCTCTTGTGGGAAATAGCCACATTCTATAGAATCCCCTTACCCCTCTGTTTTCCTTCCTTCCTTCCTTCCCAAATCCAGGAGATAATCAACTAAGAACCAGGCACCCTCTTAAGTCCCATAAGAAACAATTTACAACCTGCTGTCTCTCTGCTCTCTCAGCTATCCGAGAGCTTCCGCTGCACAATAAAACTTGGTTTCCACAATCCTTTACCTTTAACCTAAACATTCCTTTCTATCAATCCCAGATCTTTAGACAAACTCAACCGTCAACCAGAAAATGTTTAAATTTACCTATAGCCTGTAAGCCCCCGCTTTGAGTTGTCCCGCCTTTCTGAACCAAACCAATGTGTTTCTTAAATCTATTTGATTGATGTCTCATGCCTCCCTAAAATATATAAAACCAAGCTGTACCGCAGCCACCTTGGGCACATGTTCTCAGGACCTCCTGAGGGCTGTGTCACAGGCCGTGGCCACTCATATCTGACTCAGAATAAATCTCTTAAAAGATTTTACAGAGTTTGACTCTTTTTGTCAACACTTACATTCTTTTGCAAAAAGAATACTGTGAGAATAAAGTGTTATTGCTTTATGAGTGATAGGGATAAAAGTGCTTCCCTAGTTAGGGAGAATGGTGAGACTATCACTTCTTTTTTTCTGAGAAATTTTGCTTTGAGACTTGCCAGAATCATACTTATTGTATTTCTCATTCACTTTATAAGCATGATTAAATGATTTCTTTTTCAGAAATATTTTGTTTAAGGCTAAGAAGCTTTTATATTCTTCTAAGTATTCAGGTAAACACAGAAACTTAATGTTATGGAACAGTTACCCAACATCATAAAAATATATAAACAATCCATGGGCCCGCAAGTTATTCCCCTAGGAAACAGCTTATGCATCTTGGCTGGTATTCAGCATACTCTTGTGAAACAAATTTACTTTGACCAAAGTTTACAGAGACAGGCAATTAATAAAATGATCAATTACATATATTGAGTACTATCACTGCAGACTAATACTTTCACTGCTATGAAAGTTTACACATGAAGTTAAAGATTTTCACTCTTTCTCAAGTAATTTAAAAATTAGGAGGAAAAGTAAAACAAATACAGCTGAAAATGGAAAAATATAACAAATACCCAAATCAAAATACAAAGGAATATGAAAATTAATCACATTGTAAGATAGTACACCTAATTTACTATGGTTCACAAAAATGGATGTATTGATGCTTAAAATATGTTGCATAATTATATTCAATAAACATGTATTATTTTATAGCTTCAAGACCTTTAAAAGGAGTTAATGGCACATAAGAATTAATTCAATATAATTTTTACCTAAGCTAGTAAAAGAGAGGCCTATAAATATCTAGTTGTAATTCTTTTTTACCATTAGCTAATATTTTTATTATCAACGATTTGCAAGTCACTGTATTAATATACACTAGGGGTTTAAAAAAATGCATGAAATGGCTTTGTCCCCAGTGGGTTTATAATCTAATTACAGAAACAGAACACACACATGCAGTACATGGGGACATATTAAAGGATATATTAATATACAGGCAGTTAAATATTTGTAAGCAGTGAAGTCAATATTGAGGTTAAAGTAGTTAAATCTCTCACTTTTCTCCCAAACACTTCAGGTCAACTGAAGCCAATGCTAGCGTGGCTATGATGAGGGTCGAGGGATTAGCACTTCATCAATGTGGAGACTTTCCCTACCTGCCCAGTGAGAGCAGGAGTGTGGAGAGTCCAGAACCATGAATAGACTGAATGAGTTAGAAAGAAATTAATTTTTAAAAGGAATGTGTAGAATTAAGAATGAAACCCTGTCTCTACTAAAAATACAAAAAATTAGCTGGGTATGGTGGCGGGCGCCTGTAGTCCCAGCTACTCAGGAGGCTGAGGCAGGAGAATGGCGTGAACCTGGGAGGCGGAGCTTGCAGTGAGCTGAGATTGCGTCACTGCACTCCAGCCTGGGTGACAGAGCGAGACTATGTCTCAAAAAAAAAAAAAAAATGAAAAAAATGAAAAAGGAGGTTGTTTCAACACAGTTGCATGGAAATCTGTGAGTGACTCAGAAGTATTGGCAAGTGATTGACACACAAACAGGACCAGATCGAGAAATCTGGCTGTCACTCTGAATTATTTCACTAAGAATGGTCAGCTGGTTGAGTGCAGGTTGTCAATTTAATCAGCCAATCATCGCTTGTCCCTTCAAACTGATATTCTCTATTGATTGGAGAGAGATCTTCACTTGTCTATTAATAGTAAAATGTATAGTTTCTGTTGGATTAATATTAGGTACCTGTATTTATTATACTCTATGTTTTGAATAAAATGTTTTATGACTATGAGGCACACCACAAAATCATTTTAAATTGTATTAAACAAATCCCTCATTCCCACTTAACAGCATTGTGTCACAAACTATTGGCTTCTGTGTTTTAACTAACTACAGACTGATGGGCCAGTTGAGAGATCAGGGTTTGTTGATCAGCCCCTTTTTGCATCTTCCACTTCATAAAGAAAAAAAGAAATGAAAAAAATCCAAAATCTATAGATCTACACTTGGAAGAAGTAATTCTTTCTGTTTTGTTTTCTTCCAGTTGAAGGATTTATCTACTTTAATGAAAAAAAAAAAAAAGATTTACGTTTTGTCATCTCAGAGTTTCTCGTGGACACATGAACTGAGCGAAACTGTATTTCAGAGTTGTTTTCAGCGATGTTTGCACAGCACATGCGGATTGTTGCTCTACATGGCCATTACTGTGGCTCTAAGGACGGGCAGATCAAGTAGCACTGTCTGGCACAACGTGTAGTACTCACAGCTGGTGAGCCTCAGGCCTGGCCTTGATTGTCAACCAGTTGTGAAAAAGAAAGAAGACTGGAGGAATTCAGTTCAGAGCCTTCCACAGAAGCAAGAGTGCCCATAAGCATCCAGAAAGTCACAATGAATTATCCAAGAGAAAAATAATTTAAAAGAGAGTTAGTTAGACTTCAATTCTTCTTGTCGCTAAAAGCAATGAACATTTCTTGGCCCTCAACATGCTTTAAATGTCATAAACACACACCCACACAAAGGCATATATGCACACATGCAGAGCTTGGAAAATTCAGAGATCCTGTTACTTGATTCTGAGAAAAAACACAGTCTAAGTTTGCTTACATCAGTTTTCTTCCCTTCTCTATCACCTGCTCGCTCTTCATACTCTGAACTCTCACCTTGCACATCCTGCAGGAATCATCCCTGCACCCTCTTCTCTATCTTTCTCACAAAAAGATTCCATTCAGTCCTATCACTCTACCTGCAGGTGTTTTCCAAGCAGCCCTCTCTTGTTCAGATCATATATCTATTGCCTAAACAATTAACATTCATATATTGGATTTCAATAGGCCTCTTAAGCTAAATAAAACAGAGCTCTTCAAAAATGCTTTCTCCATTCTCTCAGGCTAATTACTGTAAGCGGATCCCATCTTCTACAGCTCCTTGCAGCAAATGTTCACAGACTTTCCTCGTTCTTTTCTTTTTCCTCATTCCTCAGATCCAAATCTATCAGGATATCCTATTGATTCCAGCATTCGTCTTCTTCATCTTTATTGCCATCATCTATTCCAAGTTGCAAACAGCTCTTAATTCAGTTCTACAAGGGTCGCTTCATGGTCTCCCTGCTTCTGCATCCGCCCTGCTGAACAGCAGTTGTAAATCATACCATGCTAACCCCTTTATTTAACAACTTCATTTCTTTTTAAAATATACTAGTTATAAAAGTCAAATTTCCTATTACTGCAGTGTTAATATTACACAGCCCCCAAAAATCTCTATAACATATTTTTTTAAAATGCTGCTTCCTCCTTAATCATTATATCCCAAGCAAAAAAAAACCCACCATTTTAGTCTCTTGAATTACTCTGTCCTCAGGTTGGAGTGCAGTGGCACAATCTCGGCTCACTGCAACCTCCACCTCCTAGGTTCAAGCAATTCTTGTGCCTCAGCCTCCCAAGAAGCTGGGATTACAGGCGTGCAACAATATGCCCAGCTAATTTTTATATTTTTGGTAGAGACAGAGTTTCGCCCTGTTGGCCAGGCTAGTCTTGAACTCTGGGCCTCAAGGAATCCTCCTGCCTTGGCCTCCCAAAGTGTTGAAATTAGAGGTGTGAGTCATCACTCCCAGCCTCCATCTTTCAAATCTCAGACTAACTGTCATCTTCTTAGACAGCCCTATCTGACACTATATGCTAAGTAATCTCCTGCCTCACTCTGCCCATGGTGTCCCTTCTACTACAGGTTGAGAATTTCTGACCAAAAATGCTCCGAACCAGAAGTGTTTTGTATTTTAGAGTTGTTTGGGTTTTGGAATATTTGCATATACATAAGATATCTTAAGGAAGGGAGCCTAGTCTAAACTTAAATTCATTTTTGTTTCATATACACCTTACATATTTAGCAAGAAGGTAATTTTATACAATATTTTTAATAATTGTGTGCATGAAACAAAGTTTTGACTGTGTTTTAACTGTGACCTATCACATGAAGTGTGGTATGGAATTATCCACTTATGATCTCATGTTAGCATTCGAAATGTTTTAGATTTTTGAGCATTTTGGATTTTGGAGCATTTTTCATTTTGAGATTAGGTTGCTCAACCTGTACATTGCTTAATTTATTATTTTTTAATGGCAATTATTACCAGCTAAATTTACCTCAATATCCATGCTTATTTTCCACACTGCCTTCTAGAATAAAAATGCCATAGAGAATATGGTCTCTATCCCAAAAGAAAAGGAAATGTTTAAGTAAAGTGTGGTTTATTAAACACAGAATCTAGATATGACAATTTGACTCTCATGTGGGGGATGAGTTGGGGAGCTATTTAACGAGAGGTGCCAAATTCTTGTTACATATCTCAGGCTAGATGTCTGTCATTTACTTCAGACTTACTAAATGTAAGTTGTCACTGTTATGATAATGAAGATTCTAATGATGAGGAAGGAAGAGAAGGAAAGAGATGGAAAACTATATATATGGAGAAACTAGTTCATGAGGTGAAAAGGCCTCAGTAGGTTGCCTGCAGTGGAAGAGAAAAACAACAACAAAAGTAAGCCACATAAGGAAATCGTATAAGAGGATGGGTACAAAAATGCATTAAGATGAATAAACTAGGTTTGAATCCCAAATTTATCACTTATTTATGTGACCTTGGGCCATTTACTTAAATTATGAGTAAGTAAATTATGACTGAGTCATAATTTTCATGTTGAAAATGTTCTAATTATGTGATGATTTAGTATAATCTCTTAACAATTCTAGGGATTAACTGGGCTCTTCTGCATGGTTTTCACCTAGGTAATGAAGCCACAGTTGGATCATGAGTGGAGTGTGGTTATCTGAAGGCTTCTTTGCATCTCTTCGTAGTACCTTGAACTTCCTCAGAGTATGGTGGTCTCAGAGATGTGAACTCTTTCCATGCCAGCTACCTTCACACAGAGCAAACTTTCCAAGAAACCCAGGTGGCTGCTGTTTCAGAAGTCCCAGAACAGCAATTTGTCAATAACGGGTATTAAAATGTTATTTAAAAAGCAGTTAATTTTATGAGAATCTCAAAGACATCATTTTCATCAATTTTATATATTCCTTTCTGTAGGCCAGTAAGGTTCTTTGTTTCTCAATCTATTATCTCTTTTATTTCACAAAGAGCAATCATAATTCTCTTTGAGAGTTATTAGTCTATTTTTAAGGTAAGATATAATTTTGGAGTTTCTAATTTCTCTATTTTGATTTATTCAGCCAATAAATAGGCCAGTCATTTGCTTTAGTCAATTTTCTTTCTATGCTCTTTCCTAAGTGTAAGGTTAATAAATATCAAGTCAGAAATGAAAATTACTTCAGAATTGAGAAGTAGAGATGAGACATTCAAGTAAGGTGTAAGTTTAAGGGAAGTCATGAGGAATAATTACTAATACATGCACAAAATTTTAACTATTTCCTAATGAATGGTGTATGGGAATATGACATTTCATACAGAATTCAGTATAAATAAAAACTCCTCCACAATTTCCAAAATTCTCTTCCTTAACTTTTTTGAATTAAAATGAATTTTTCCACAAGTTTAATTTTCTGCATGATCCAAGGGAAGAAATATATTTAGCAACTTCAGTTTATAATTTCTGTAGGCTTAACTTCCTCCATATCTGCAAATGGAAAATCCTCGATATATATAATGATATATGGGAGGAGGCGTAGGCTGGATAATGGCTACCCAAAGATATCAACTTTTAAAACTTGGAACCTGTAAGTGTTAATTAATTAGGAGAAGGTGTCTTTGCAATTGTGACTGGGCTACGGATTTTGACCTAGGGAGATTATGCTAGATTATCTGAACAGTCCATCAATCCAATCACTAGTGTCTTTATAAGTTAAAAGAATAGAGAATTTGACACACAAACTCACAGGGGAGAGCCTATCTAAAGATGGAGGCAGATACTGGAGTGATGCAACCACAGGCTAAACGGTGAAAAGAATGCTGGCAGCCACCAGAAGTTAGAGGCAGCAAGAATCAGTGTCTCCCCTAGAGCCTCCAGAGAGAGGACTGCCTTGCCATACCTTGATTTCAGACTTCTGCCCTCCAGAACTGTGAGAGAATAAATATTCCTGTTGTTTTAAGCCATTAAGTTTGTGATTGCTTGGTACAGCAAACACAGGAACCTAATCCAGGAAGAAAATATGTTGATATGTGGAATAAACTAAAACAGAAAATAGAGGCAACCTTTACGATGCCTGGATTTGGGAGAAAAAAACATTATGAGAAACCATATCCTACTAAACTGTGTTAATTTTTTTTTTTTTTTTTTTGAGACGGAGTCTTACTCTGTCGCCCAGGCTGGAGTGCAGTGGTGCAATCTCAGCTCACTGCAAGCTCTGCCTCCCGGGTTCACGCTATTCTCCTGCCTCAGCCTCCCAAGTAGCTGGGACTATAGGCGCCCGCCACCACGCCCGGCTAATTTTTTCTATTTTTGGGAAAGACGGGGTTTCACCATGTTAGCCAGGATGGTCTCGATCTCCTGACCTCGTGATCCGCCCGCCTCTGCCTCCCAAAGTGCTGGGATTACAGGGGTGAGCCACTGTGCCCAGCCAACTGTGTTAAAATTTTTCGTCAGATTTTCCTATTTTCTTTTGATCCATCAATCCATCCTCCTAAAACATTGATTTATTTATACAACAAATATTTATCAAAAGCAAATACAAGGAAAGATTCTGGAGACTACAAAGTGGCCAAGAATAATTTTTATTTTACCAGAGCACACAGACATTAGGTAAAAAATTATGCCTTAATTATTGATTAAATTGATTTAAGTACTATGAAAAAAGGAGTTGTGTAATGTTGAGCAACTTAATGAAATTCACTGAGGCTTTACATTTTCTTGTTCTGATCTGTTTGACTTATTTGGCAAGGTTTATAGGAGGTTTAAGTGAGATTACCTCTCTGGCACACAGTAGCTGTTAAATTAAATAAGCAAGACGTCATTAGCCTGAGGCTGTCTCCTTACTTAGGGTTACTAATTAACTAACAACAATTTGACTTAGCACATTAACAAACCAAAACCTAATTTAGGAATACATGTTGGTGGGTTTTTTTCCCAAAATATCCAGTTTTCAGTCAATCAACAACAGTCATGCTTCAGCCAATCACAGACAGCCAACTAATCACACCATACACAATTACGATGGATGCCTCCCTGTAGCCAATAAGGCGGTTTCTCTACTTTGCTTCCAAGGCTCACTGCTTACATGCTGGGCAGAGCCATCTGAACGTCTTTTGGTTCCGAGTGCTGCCTGATTCATTAATTGTTCTTTTTCTCAAAAAAACTCTGTGAAATTTGTCTAAAGTTTTTCTTTTAACATACCTTATAAAAAATTCCTCTTGACTTATTGTTTTATTCTATCCAGGCTAACTTTTTCTCCTTAATAAGATAGAGAGTGCAGCTATGGTATTAAAATTATTTACCTTCTTCATAAACATGATTGCCTTTATGTAATACTCAACTCATAACCTTACCAAAAGAATGTAATTATGCTTCATAAATTTATTTTTTATAGCAAGCCCCTTAGTGTTTATTCTTTCAGGACTGTAAGTTGTATGACAGTATACTGTGGGTCCCTTGTAAACTACTAGATAAAGTTGTTTGTAAGGTGAGGCTGCTGCCAGATTTTCCCCGTTAAAAATAACATCTTGATAATAAGGTATTATTCTTCCCTTTCGTAATTAGTCAATACTTTCATCAAATTCTAAATTCAAATCTAAAGTATAAATATTTATCCTAATACCATCAGGTAAAGGGTAACCTCAATTGAGCAATTTGTATTTCAAAAAATCCATGGAATATATTTCTTAATCTGAACATTTACCAGTGAGCATGCCTTTTTAAAATTGCTGAGGTAAATCAACATTTTAGAGAACTCAACAATTGTGATAATATTGTATTTGAATTAACATTGCGACTTACATTCTTCTAGTTAAATCAATCTTGTAAAATTAGTATTTTGTCAGTTTAACATCAGTCTATGTGTGTCTAAGGCCAAGCTGGGTCAAAATCATGAGGAAATATATTCAAAATAATATAGGCAAATTTTGATTAAGGTATTCTAGTTTCACTATTTTTTTTCCTTATTGCACTATTATATTAGTTTATATAAACTAAACAGGCATGGCATATTCATAGATATATTAGCAAACCACCTGCTTTTATATGCAGTAGTGTCATAAAATATGCCCAACATATTTAAAGTCTCTTTTCTCCAGGTCATCCACACTATTTCTAGGGCCGCTCTAGAAGCTAAAATAATAAATTATGCCACCAATAAAAAACTCAATGAATATCTACAAACACAGAATCAGATCACATCCAATTTCCTTAAAAAATTTAAGGTTTTTTAAGTGCAAACTTAAATGGAAACCAAAAATTCTTTTTTAGGTTTAAACAAGAAGTTGGTTAAGTGTTTAGCTATAATTATTGAGGGGAAAACTATGGGTGTAACTTGCAAAAATGTTTATGTTAAAAAATATAGAAAAAAGGACAAATTTTTTTTTTTACTTTTAATTATGGAATCAGAAGAATAAGAAGTAAAAACATTTCAAGTAAAGAGGAAAAAGTCTCACTGCACAGTAGATTTCTGTTATCTTTCTTACAATAAGAACAAATATGTAACTAAATTATAATTAAAAGCATGCTACCAAAATTGATATAAATTAGTTCAGGTTTTCAGAAAACATCATATGAAATGTTTTTGTTTGCATTGCATATATTCTACTTATTAATAGAATTTAGGGAAAAAAATTTAAAGAACCATTTTAATGATCTATCCCTATATAGCAATTAATTGAAGCTACTCATCTTCAAAGGTATAAAAAAGATATTTTATTCTTCTAGTTAGCTAGAGACCAAATTAGAGTTACCCTGAGTTCATATTTCTTCTGAACCAGAGTAATGTGCTAATGCATTTCTTTTGTTAGTAGGAAAAAAAGAAGGGAAAGAAATATTCAGTTTAGCTCAGGCCCTGCCATATATTTTTCTCTAAAGCATAGCAATTAGTTTTAAAAGGAAACATAGTTTAGGTAAACTAACTTTAAGAACTCTAACAGCATCTGTAATAACAAGCGGTTGTAATAAAACAAAATTAAGCTTTAAGTTCCAGTTGGAAACAAAGAAAATTAATGTTTAAACCTTTTAAAATAATAAGATTTTAGAATTCCTGGCCAGGCACGGTGGCTCATGCCTGTAATCCCAGCATTTTGGGAGACCGAGGTGGGTGGATCACCTGAGGTCAGGAGTTCGAGACCAGCCTGACCAATATGGTGAAACCCCATCTCTACTAAAAATACACATAAAAAATGAGTTGGGTATGGCGGTGGGTGCCTGTAATCCTAGCTACTTGGGAGACTGAACCAGGAGAATTGCTTGCACCTGGGAGGTAGAGGTTGCAGTGAGCCAAGATTGTGCCACTGCATGTCAGCCTGGGTGACAAGTGTGAGATTCCATATCAAAAAAACAAAATACTAATAAAAGAAAGAATTTAGAATTTCTAAGACAAACCATTGTTCCTTTGTATCTAATCTAAATTCTGGTCAGAACAAGATGTTGTAGACCCTTTTCTCCCTGCTTCTTCCCACTAAGTACAATTCCAAACACAGGAAATAATTCAAGACGTGACCACGGGAGAATGGTGAAAGGAGGAGGCAGGAAGTTCACTGTGTAGGAACTTCAGAATTGGGAAAAGAAGAGAGTGGCAGGACATCTTAAGATCTTTCAACCATGAAGAGAAAGCAACCCATATCTCACGTTTCTTGACTCCCAAAGTAGCAACAGAAGGCAGTCCAGAAAGCCTTATTTCTACCCTGGATTGAATAGGAGTCTCACCCACAGCAGCTGGGCAAAGGAGTACAATCTGGGACTGCTAGCAATATGTGGCCCGATTATCAGGTTGAAAGTCTTTCCACTCATAGCCTGAGACCTTCTTTTCCAGCCAGAGATGCTGAGTGACTGTGAATATCTGCAAGGGGGACCTTGCCACAAAAAGCACCTGGTCTGAAAAGCCTGTTAGTTCCCTTGGTACTGAGAATCCCCCTCCCCACTGAGAAATGCCAGGTAGCTGAGGGCCACCTGCAAGTGGATGTTGTCAGAGAAAGTGCTGTGGCCCAGGAAGCCCGTCATCCTTATGGGCCTGAGCCTCTCCTCAGCTGCAGAGACACACTTGGGCAGCAAAGTGGCAATGGCAAAGAGATTCCACAAGAAACCCCAGCGTAAGCAGCAGTCCCTCGTCCACAAAAAGTGGGTATCCAGCTCCAAAAAGTGCCCGGCCTGAGAAATGCTCTTCTCCACCAGTCATGGAACTCCCTTCTTCACTCACAGATACTGCTTAAACTGGCAGCAAGAAGAATCCTGCCACAAGCCACCTAGACTGGGGAACTTTTTATTCTTGTGGCCCAGAGACTTGCTTCCCACACCTAGTCTACCTCACCTGGCAAATCACCTTTGACTACCTAAGGCAGCAATTAGTGAGGACCGGTGGAAACCCCAGTAGTATCAGGTAAACCACACAGAGAAAAATAACACGGCAAAGGCTCAAAAATTAATTTGTCATTAGAACCACAGGCCCCCCTCTTCTCAATAGTTCAGGATCTGCATGCTAAAGCAAAACAAGATGACTGTCTGCTAAAATAAAGTACTTTTGTAGAACCTAATATTTTCCAAATTAATAGCCAAAATATACTATATACAAGTGAAATTAGCTATCCCTGCAAGAACAAAGTAAATCCCAACTTATGTAAGAAAATATGAAAATTGATGACAACACTGAAAAGCAGCAGCTATCATAAAACTGTTTCAACAGTAATTAAAAATCCTCCTAAAACAAATAAAAAATAGAAAATCTTAGTCAAGCCATAGAAATTATCAAAAAAGAACCACATGGAAATATAGAAATGAAAAATAAAATAACCAAACTAAAAACTTGTGGGATAGGCTTAATAATAGAATGGAGATGTAGAGGAGAGAACTGGTGGCCTTGAGAACAAATAAAGAGAATTTACCAAATCTGAACAAAGAAAAAAAATGTTGGAAGAAGAAGGAGGAGGAGGAGGAAATAGTGCCTCAGGTAACTGTGGGACAGTAACTAAAGATTTACATTTTTTTCATCAGGTTTTAGAAAGGTAGGTGAATAAACATGGAGCTAAATGACTCTTCATAGCAAAATGGCCAAAAATTTCTCAAATTTGGTGGGAAGTTGGGTCAACACAAAAGAGGATAAACCTAAGGAAATTCACACCAAGACATATCATAACTAAATTTTTAAAAACTAAAGACTTGAGGAAAATCTTCAAAGCTGCTAGAGAGAAACAATGCACTAATTATAGGTAAACACCAATTCAAGTGATAGAAGACTTCTCATCTGAATTTATGGAGACCAGAAGGAAGTGACGCATTTTTCAAGTGCTGAAAAAAGAATTATCAACTATAAATTTATATCTGGTGAAACTGTCCTTCAGGAATGAAGAGAAAGTAGATACATGCTTCAAAGGAAAGCCAAAATAATTTACAGCCAAAAGACCTGTACTACAGACAGGTTAAAGAAAGTAGCTCAAACTGAAAGGAAATTATAAAAATAGGGAAACCTGGAGTGTCAGGTTGAAAAAAGAAAAATGGAAAAAAGCAGAAATATCAGTATATACAATGAATTACCTTTTTCTTAAGGGTTTTATAAATTAGATTTGAAGATTGAAACAAAAATTATTACACTATCTTTTAGTCAAGACAATAATATTTAAAAGCTGGAAAATCAAAAGGACATATTATATGAAATCAAAGTTTTCACACTTCCCTTTAAGACAAAAAAGTTGATACTAGCAAACTATATTGTCATACATGTATATCGTCATACTCAGAACAATCACAAATTAAAACACACAATAATATTCACTCAAGCCCAGTAGAAATAAGTCAAGATGGAATTCCAAAAGTGTTCAAAGTACTCACAGGAGGCAATAAAAGAAAAAAATAGAGGAACAAGAGCTAGAGAAAACAAAAAATAAATAAATAAATGATCAGACTTCAGTTCTAACATATCAATAATACCAGTAAATAGAAATGTAAATTATCTAAATGTACTAACCAAAAGGCATAGATTGGTGGAATGGATTTTAAACATGTAGACTCATCATATACTTTTTAGAAGAAAATCACTTTAAATTTGGTGACATAGGTAGGGTGAAAGTAAAAAGATGGAAAAATATATTTATTATAGAAACATTAATACAAAAAACCCTAGGAGTGGCTAAATTATTATTAATTTCAGATAAATAGACTTCAGAGCAAAAATTTTACTAAAAACAAACAGGGATATTGCATAATGAAAAAGAATCCGTTCCACCAGGAAGACTAGAATTAAAAATTCTAAGTTTTTATGCGCCAAAAAACAAAGCCTCAAAATGCATGAAGCAAAAATGATGGAGCTCAATTAGAGTAGGAGAATTCAATACCTCCTTTGTAGCAGTTGATAAAACTACTAGAAAGAACAATGACAGGATATAGACTATGTGAACCAACCAAATAACCAACCAATACGTGAACAAACCAAATAAACCAACAGCATCTAATTAACATATAGAGAACACTTGATGTAACAACAATTGAGTACCTCAAATGCTTTAAATCATTTTTCAATAAATGGAGTAGGTGATAATACAGAATTTTATATTTATTTTAATATACATAAAACACTATCTGAAATAATATAAATTTCCCCTTTTTATACTAAAAAAATGAAATATATAGTTGCATGAGAGTGTTATACTTCAGTCCATAATATATAGAAGAAAAATGGGTGGAGCTTGCAGAAAATATTTTTTAGTAACTTCTATGAAATTGGGGACAAGAGAATTTTAGTTTAAAATTTTGCTTCGTCCACTAAAGTAAATAAATATTTTCATAGTGATTGCAAGCAATTTACAATCTAATAGTGCCGAGACCAACTCAGCTGGGGAGACCCTAATCCAGTGGTGCTAGAGGAATTAAAGACACACACACAGAAATATAGAGGTGTGAAGTGGGAAATCAGGGGTCTCAGCCTTCAGAGCTGAGATCCCCGAACAGAGATTTACCCACATATTTATTAACAGCAAACCAGTCATTAGCATTGTTTCTATAGATGTTAAATTAACTAAAAGTATCCCTTATGGGAAACGAAGGGATGAGCTGAATTAATTGCAGCAGGAACACGCCCTTAAGACACAGATCTCTCATGCTTTTGTTTGTGGCTTAAGAATGCCTTTAAACAGCTTTCCACCCTGGGCGGGCCAGGTGTTCCTTGCCCTCATTCCCATAAACCCATAACCTTCCAGCTTGGGCATTAGGGACATTATAGGCATGTTACAGTGCTGCAGAGATTTTGTTTATGGTCAGTCTTGGGGCCAGTTTATGGTTGGATTTGGGGGGGTTTGCTCCCAACAAATAGTGTCCATGCAGATTATCAAAGATAAATGATAGTACACCATATGTTGCATTGCAAAAGAGTGATAATTCAGACAATGAATAGTGTAAGAAAACTATAAGATGTTGTAATTAAGGAAGAATCTGTTAAAAATTAGCATAAATGATTATTATTCATTAATACAATTTAAACTGGGAAGTGATAAATTTTAGCTTTACAGTTGAAATTGTGAACTCCAGTTCTTGTAGAAAATTTATTTTAAAGGGAAAAGAAAAGGCCATGGTCCTTATACATCAGGGTTCTCCAGGGAAACAGAACAAATAAGATGTGTTTGTGTGTGCGTGTATATACATATATACATACATAGATACACATACACACACACACACATATATATGTGTGTATATGTATACGTATATTAAGGAATTGTCTCACAAGATTATGGAGGCTGGAAAGTCCAAAATTTGCAGGGTGTTTCTGAGGCTAAATCAACTAGGATAACCAATTTTTAAATTCAGGTTTGACGGCAGTAAGGTAGGAGGAATTCCCTCTTGCAAATGGAAAGTCAGTTTTTTGTTATAATCAGACCTTCAGCTTATTGGATGAGGCCCACTCACAAAATAGAGGGTAATGTGCCTTACTTAAGGGCCACAGATTTAAATGTTAATCTCATCAAAAAATGTCCTCAGAGAAACATCCAGAATAATGTTTGAGCACATATCTCGGCACTGTGGCCCACCCAAGTTGATATATACAGTTACCATCACAGTCATCAGCACGATCGCAGTGATCTAGTATAGTATTCTAAAAACCAGATATGCTTACAGTTAGTAAGAGGGAATATAAGGTCTTAAGAACATAATTCTCCAGATCCTGAACTGCCTGGTTTACACTCTCTTAATAATGATTTCTCTGAAAATAGAGTCTGTGATGTGTTCCTTCTTCTTTTCATCTTTCATTTTTTTAAAGCCTTTGCCCCACTTTATAAAATAGATACATGTCAGTTACCATTCACAAATATTAATATGGAGCACTGACACGGGATAAAATACCACTGGTGATTGAAAGTAATAAATGTCAAGAAAGCACACCTCACAGTAGCAGAGCAAAGCTAGTTTCTTTGAGGAATACTGAAGATGATTGTTTTATCTATCTATTTATCTTTCTCATCTTTGGATTATAATTTAGAATGAGACTGTATTTATGGGCATACTTATTTAGATCAGTTAATAAAGTTGGGCTTTTTGTGCCAGAATATAAATTTGGCTGATTTGTTTGACAATAAGAACTGACTGGTAATTAAATTATATGATGGACAGCTTCCCGAAATTGAATGAACCAGAGTGAAAAACCAATGTTTGTCAAAACTATAGAGAATGGATGTATTTAATATTTGATATGCCAGAGATTACATGATTTATAACCTCTAATTTTATTATTAAATTTTTATATCAGTATCAACATTTAGATGTCAAATTTAGGGTTCCTGTGAACCAAAAATATATTTGCTACTGATAGCTTAGTGATATAATGATGTAAGCTTTTACTATGGTGTGGCCATCAGGACGGAAAAGAATATACATCTAATATGCATATATGTATATTTGAGAGAAAATTTGTATTAATTTATAATATATTTTACAAGAGAGTTTAAAAATATTATTATCACTGAAATAAAATTTGCCTGAAAAATTTACTTAATGTATGTTCCTATTAGCCACTATCCTTAAATATAACTTTTTAGGAATTAATTCAGGAATTTAAGATATTAATATCAAAAGGTTAGTTGATTTTAAATAACCCTGCCTATCATTAGAAACTGAATTTTATGATTTATTCTATTATGTTTCAAATTTTCAAAGTTAATATGTAAAATAATAATTACTTAAGTATTAACTGTAAATTAGTGGCATATTTTCTATACATATATGACTAATATATTTTATTAGCATAGAAAATCTTCAGGAACTTTTATGGACCGAATGTTAGTGTCCATCCCCAGATTCATATGTTGAAATCTTAACTTTCAATCGGAAGGTATTAGGAGGTGGTGTCTTAGGAAGTAATTAGGCTTCGCCCTCATGAATGGAATTAGTGCCCTCACTAAAGGGACCACAGAGAGCTAGCTCACTCTGTTTCTGCCATGTGAGGTTACATGGTGAAGCTGGCCATTTGCAAACCAGGAAGCAGGCCCCCACTAGAACCTGACCATACTGGCAATGTAGCCTCAGACTTTCAGCCACCAGGACAGTGAGAAATAAATGTTGGGTCTTTAAGCCCCCAGTCTGTGGTAATTTGTTATAGCAGGCCAAACTGACTAAGATGAGTACATATTGGTTAACTCCTATTTTTTTAACAAAAGAATATGTGGACATCTTTAATATATCACAGTTTGCTTAGTGCACACTATTATAGTAATCACAAGGACTTTTGCTATAGTATGAGTTTTTAGTAAATTTGTGTTATTGTTGGTGGGCCTATTGAAAAGTAAAGCTGTAGGAAGCACTTTACTCACAACGGAGCACTAAGGATATTGCCAACACATAGAATATCTTATATTTTAAGATCTACATTATCGCTGAGTCTATATAGTCTAAAGTTGTTATCCTAGTTGGAGTTCTGTCACAAGTTCTTTTTATTGCTGACTAATATTCATACCTATGCTAGACATTCCAGAAATAATGTAATTTGTGACAACTAAATTATTATTAAATTTTGCAAAACTCAAGAAAATAATGGCCTTGCTTCTCAATCAAAGGTGACTTTTTCCCCCATAGGACATTTAGCAATGTCTGCAGACATTTTTGGTTCACAACTGGGGAGAAGTGATACCGGCATCTACTGAGTAGAGAAGAGGAATTCTCTAAACATTCCACAATGCCTAGGAAATCCCCCCCACCAACCAAAATAATTATTTGGCACAAAATGTCAAGAGTGTCCATGCACTTGTTGAAATAAATTGAAATGACCTGAAATATGGAAATCTTAATAAATGCTTTACCAATGAAATACATAATGTTATCAGTCATCAGGAAGAGCAAATTAAAATAATGAGATCTTATTATTCATCCATTATAATGGATAGCATCAAAACACAGAAAATACCAAATGTAGCTAAGGACATGGAGCAACTGAAAATAGATTGCTGATCAGAAAACAAAACCGTACGACCAAATTGAGGAACTCTTTTGTAATTTCTTAAAAACTTAAAAAATCTGTCCTATGACTCCATGACCTATCTGTGAGTTTACTCAAGAAAAATGAAAATATATGCCAACAAGCATGTGAAAAATATTAATGGTAGCTTTATTGAAAATAATCAGTCATGAAAAAACCCAATGTCCATTAACTGGAGAATGCGTGAACATAATGTTGTAAATCCTTAAAAATGAGACTCAAAGGAAGAGTGCAGTGTTCCCATATACTATTTCATGGGATTTACATTGATTGTACAGAAATAATTCATTTACCCACGTGATGACATTGATGAATCTTAGAAATATTATGTTAAAAAAGATATCAAATGTCTCTTTTGTATGATTCAAATTATAAACATTTTATAAAAATATGAAGCTAATCTATAGTGATAGAAATAAGAAAGCAGTTTCCATTGGGGTGAGAGAAGTATCGACTGAAAAGGAATGCAAGGGAACTTTCGAGGGTGACAGAAATATTTTTTAGCTTGTATTGAGTGAGTGCCTATAATTGTCAAAATTGTCAATTTAAAAATGAAAACCGAATACTTAACACTAAAAATCAAAATTTATACATTTAATTTTATATGACTATTATCTATGTTGAATGGAATAAGCCTTTTCTCACACACTCCTACCAGGTAATAATTTTCATACAATTTTAGTAATCCTAGAATCTCTCTCAACTTAGCCAGAAATACCCATTAAGAAATCCTTTGCAGCTAATATGTGAATTAACAAATATTAGCAACGCTTTGTGTGTACATAATAAAGGAAAAGAGACAAATAATTACTATACAGTAGTTTTCTTCAAATACAAAGGAATTGATAATTTGAATGAATAATAATAAATGAGCATTGCTCAATTTTCTGGGTCTCCTTTGATCAATAAAATATTAAAACTAGGAAAAACAGCATATCAGAAAAACTAGAAAGTTACATTTTATCCATATGAATAAACTCTCAAGAAAGCCATCAAAATATCGTATAGATGGGATTAAACTGTAGGAAAAAACTACCTTCAGAAATAGGTATATTTTCTAAAGTAAAGAGAAAAGAATTCAATCTTGTAGGTGAGAGTTGATATCAAAGGCAGGAAAGAGAATGAGATCTGAAACCTTACTTAATGTTTTATAGCTACAGAAGTTAATTCCAGAAACCCAAGTATTAGCCCAGCTAAGATGGCAGAAATCAGCAGAGTTTGGGATGAAATTCATCTTTTCACGTTACAAGAGAAGACCTTGAGTGAACTCTTCTAACACCACTGGAAGAGAAGATCAAGAATAGGGGAGAAAATACTATTGCATAATTTTTAAGACTCAATGGAAACACTTGAAATGAGAATCATTAAAAGTCTACGATAACTAGACTGAGTAACTATACCAAATATAAAAAAGGAAACTGAAGCATAATCAAGCGTAAAAAAAGCATGAATAAAAGATCACTGACTGAGGATAGCTACAGTTTGTAACTTACCTGAAAGCCTGCTCTAAAGTTTGTGTCTGAAAATATCACTTAACCATGCAGAGAGAAGAAATAAGCAACAAATTTTTTTAACGAGCACTGTAAATTTTTAGCAGAATGCTATTCTGGACT
Source organism: Homo sapiens (assembly GCF_000001405.40). NCBI lineage: Eukaryota > Metazoa > Chordata > Mammalia > Primates > Hominidae > Homo > Homo sapiens. The sequence continues at coordinate 178,762,743 of NC_000004.12, read as the reverse complement.
TCTGGCAGGATCATAGCTCACTGAAGCCTCAAACTCCTGTGCTCAAGCCATCCTCCCATCTCAGCCTCCTGAGTAGCTGGAATTACAGGCACAAGCAAGTGCACCCTGTTCCAATTTCTGTTTCTTAACTATGACTAAGGGACTCATTTTAGTCCTTCTTATCTTCCAAGTACTTATTAAAATGATGAAAACCTATAAAAAAGGAAAAAACTAATTTAGTGTTAGAAATTATGGAAGTATTTTAGTTACATGACAATCTCTAATATACATGTACAGCTGAAACTAGATTTGGGAAAGACAAATGTATTTATATTTTATCTCATTAGACAATGAAACAACTCTGGAAAATAATTTGAAGAGATTTTTTGTGAACACATGAATCTAACTTAGCACAGAGTAGCAGAACTTTGAAATGAAGCAACAGCAGGATCCAGTTACCTGCGTGTTGGTGGGCAAGATCTTGATCTTAATACTAAAGTTGGTATAGATTCAGGATATCAGTAAGCACACATTCAGAAGTAAATAACTGAAAATCCAGTTCAAGCAGGCTTAGACAATAGATTACTGATTTCTTCTAATTGCCTTCTGCTGGGCATTTAGTGTGTAGTCTTGTGTTAAAATAGAAAGCGCGCTCGTTTTGAGTTCTATTGCTTTTGGTCTACCCTTTTGGCATCACGTTTTTCAAATTCTTTTAATAATAACTTGTGTTTCTCTCCCTACTTGTTCTTGGGTCTTCCTTTGCTCCCCCAGAGTTATATGGTAGATCTCTCAGCAAATAAACATTCAGCTGTCATTTTTACCGGACTTGGTAATGTGGTGATGAGGTTGGGTGAGCAGGATGTAGTTGGATGTGCCGATTCAGTCTCATCTTAGATTCCGGTGTACCAGGGTCTCAGTGCTGCAGCCTTCAGGAGTCTTCCTGCCCCTTCTCCATATGTAACGCTCAGCCTAACCTCTCCCCACATGTAGAAATATATGTCTATTTTTATGTGTTTGTTTATTTACTGTTCCTCTCTCTATGCTATTGTTTTGACTCCTTTCCCCAGGTAGGTTAAGGCCTTTTGTTGCTTAGATGAGATAGAGAAGATGGCTCTGCGTGGCATTGTTGGTGGTGGTCGACATTTCTTTTCTCCAGCTTCAGTGATTTTCCACCATGTTCCTCAGGCTCCAGGTTTTGATAATCTTCACGTATAAAGTCTTTTGTTCCTTAGGAATGTTGCATTGGTGTAGAGTTTTGATCGTGGTGACAATTCTCCTCCAGCAGCACTTGAAGGAACCTTTCTCAAGATGTTTTCCAACCTTCCCTGTGAGCAACTTCTACAGTTCCTGGAGGAAAAGTCTGTGAGAGGATATAGTCTGTCTTATGGATCTCAGAAGTTTTACCCTTTTATGTCAGCCAAATCTCCACCTTTACAAATCTGTTAAACATTTCTAGCTGAATCTTTCATTGCAGTAGATGGTGTTCAGTAGTGTCTGTCCAAGGTAAGCAAATGTTTGCTCCTGTTTCTCTCTGCTCAGGCATGTCGCTCTCTGTTTTTGAAGATGATTGCTCTATATTCTTCATTCTCTGAATGTTTCAGAAAATGTCATTTATATGTAATTTGTCCAGCAATTTTATTATAAGGGAGCAAATGATGCTCTTTCCAGTCATCTAAATTCCCGAGCTGAAACAAAACTGCCATTATTATTATTAATAATAATAATTATACATAGTTGACTGGTTTGAGTTTTTACCGGAACAGTAAGTAGCAACTGTGTAATGTTTTGGAGAGGTTAATCCAAGCAAATACATGCACTTCCCAAGAGAAAACATTGTATGCGAACACGGTCTTTACTAAGCCTTTACGTGAATCTAATAAACTTAGATTGGCAGCTTTTGTTTTGTTTACAATGCAAATTATTTCTTCGCTTTAAACATCACATACAGACCTTTTCCTGAAATTATATCTTTCACGCCTGACCCTTAAAACCATCTTAATTTCTCTTTCTCTTTGGAAACAATGGAGTATTGGGACCTTTTAAAGCTGTGGACTACTCTCCTGTTGCAAAGACAAAAATAAGACGAAACACACAATTAGCCTTACACCTCTGGCTATGCTGCTTATGAAAGAAAGCTGGATTTTTTCAGGCTTTCCGATATTTACAGCCACAGTGTATTCTATTCAGATGATCCGACATATCTTTTTGACATTCATTCCTATTAGAACTATGTCCTCTAGTTCCATGGGCGAATAAATTTGTGTTTCTATTTCTTTTCTGGTTGCCTTTATTTTAAAATAATATTGCTTTTTAACACTTACATTTATTTCAATATGAAGAAAATTAACATAATTGATCATATGTACTTTTATTTCTGAAGGCTGTCTCCTCATGGGAGTTTTTAAACTATTTTTTCCTCTACATGTTCTAATTTTTTTAAAAAAATTATTTCTAATAGTTTTATGGGTATGAATGTATTATTAATATTTCAAAAAGTATTTTATAGCATTATCATGATTCTTTCAATGTTTATTGCATGACTTGAAGGACTGTCTTGGAACAAACATCTTGAAAAGTAACACTTTAAGGAATGTTTGTAGAATCTTGTATTATTTTTAGTATCATGGTTTTTTAGAGTATCATTGTAGTATAACATTAAAATTCATACCTTTGAGTCACTTAGAAAATACTTTGATGTTTTAATTAAGGTTGTGATTTGTTATATCTTTGCAAATCGCAATAAGATTTGGCTGTCCTTTATTTATTAAATAATTTCATTTTCTTTCATAACATGAAATCTGAACAACATTATGCAATAAATTCATCCATGTATTTTAGTCTATTTAAAGACTTCTTTCTGTACTTTACTGACCCATCCTTCCTAAACAAAATGGTGATGATTTACATCACTTTATCTTTAGAACGTATTAAGATAACTTAGTTAGACATAGCTATTTTGCTTTTGCTGTAATTTCTTACCTGTTTAATGTCTCTGTGTGGTGAAACTTTGGTGGTTTATTTCTAGTTCTAAAAATAATATTGTCAGGATTTATATTGGGATAGCTTTAAATATGCAATTTAATTGAAATAAAATAAATATATTTGAAGATTATGTCTTTGTATAGGTAACAGCATGTTGGTACCTTCCATTTTTTTTTACTTCATTTACATCTCTGTAGAGTTTAAAGTGTCATTTCTATAGTATATTCAATGTATATATTTGTTAATATTATTATTAATCTTTTTAATGCTATAAATGGACAAGTTGTCCAATTTTTATTTTAAGAATTAACTTCTGCATATAGGAAAGCTACTGTGTTTCTATACCAATAATGTGAACAACGAGCTATCTCAATAAATGCTGCTACTTTAATGGCTTTAAGTGGATATTGTTGTCTTTTTTAACCTCACTTAATCACAAAGTATTATTTGTTAAACAACTATTTTAAGCCACATTCTGTGGTAAGCACCGGAAACATTAGCAGATAAGACTAATTATTGCAGGCTTTTATTAGGTTGGTGGTAGAATATAGAAAATGAAAAATAAAATGCTTATTTCATTGGGTGTTCATCAGTTTCAAACACTTGAAGAAATATAATAAGATTGCACATATCTATTGTGTTATGCAACATGGAGTTCACTGGTAAACTTGAAAAGATAACTTATATATGACAACATACAGGGATAAAATCAATAGACAAAATCTGGAATGGGTCCCAATCATTATAGGGAGAAAAAAACAAATATAACAAATACAAAATCTTTTAAATTTTTTCCTACAAATGAAATCATAGACTTGGAGTGGTAATGAGTAGTTCTGTACACATGTGCAAACTGCCAGAACATGTTCATCTGTTGATGGAAGAGCATCCGGAGAAACAATCTGATGATTAAGAATGGGAGAGATGGCACCTACAGCAGTACAAACCTTCAGCAACTTAGAAAAGATAAGACCCATCAGGTATGATGGCTCATGCCTGTAATTTGAGCATGCTGGGAGGCCAAAGCGGGCAGATCACCTGTGGTCAGGAGTTCAAGACCAGCCTGGCCAACATGGAGAAACTCTGTCTCTACTAAAAATACAAAAATTAGCCAGTCATGTTGGCGGGTAGCTGTAATCACAGCTGCTCAAGAGGCTGAGGCGAGAGAATCTCTTGATCCCGGGAGGTAGAGGTTGCAGTGGGCCAATATAACACCACTACACTCCAGCCTGGGTGACAGAGCAAGACTGTCTCAAATAAATAAATAAATAGAAAAGAAAGAAAAGATCCTATGAAAAAGTAACTTTATAACATTTGTCAAAAGTCAAGTTATGACTTTTAAACATAATAATTGGAACAGAAAAAGAAACAGGAAATATTGAGCAGATGAGTGCATGTTGTATTTATTATGGTAGAAAAATAGGAAAATTCCTGTTGGATTGTTTCTATTTTTTCAGTGAAGTATTTATGAAAGTCATTCTCTGAGAGTGAGAGGTGAGGAAAAGGGGTATATGCAGGATGACAAATAGATTTCTGAGGTCATTATCCTGTGAGCTGTTGGGTGAGGAAGCATAGATAAGGAACACATTTCTCAAATCTTTATTTGAGATCTTCTCTATGCTTTGCTCAGGCAGTGTGCCTTACAAGGTCTTCTTTCCTTTGCATAGCAATAAAAAAAATTCAGCTTTTTGTCTCAAATATTGAGTTGTGATATTATTCTTCAACGAATTTAGCTTTCAGTAATATAGATTTTTTTTTTTTTTTCCGAGACAGAATCTTGCTCTGTTGCCCAGGCTGGAGAGCAGTGGCACAATCTCAGCTCACTGCAACCTCCTCCTTTTAGGTTCAAGCAATTTTCCTGCCTCAGCCTCCTGAGTAGCTGGGATTACAGGTGCTCACCACCACACTCAGCTAATTTTTGTATTTTTTAGTAGAGCTGGGGTTTCACCATGTTGGCCAGGCTGGTCTCGATCTGCTGACCTTGTGATCCGCCCGTCTCGGCTGGGATGACAGGTGTGCACCACTGCACTCAGCCTAGATTTTTTCTTTTTATTACTGTCATTCCATAGGATACTCAGAGAAACAGGCACACTAACTTAAACCCTTGTGCTCAAACTACAACCATCTTCTTTATCTGCTGCTAGGTGAATCTGTCTCAACAATTTTCTGTGCTAATTTATTTTCGATGAGTTAACTGAATGTTTTGTTTTTGAGGTGGACCATTTGATACATTCTCATGCCAAGTGTGTTTTATTTCCCTTGTTTTCTATTTATCTAATTGTAGATATTATTATCTCAGATGTTTTTATGTTATCTTGATAATTTGAAGCCATTTAATTGCATAAAGATAAGCTTCAAATGGAACACATAGAAAAGGAAGGCCAATCAATCTCCAGTTGAATGTAACCCCCAAGATTGATGGTTGTAGAAAATTTAGAGTAATAACCATTTTGTGAAAAGTCAATTAATCATACTGTGCCTTGGGTACCTCAACAAACATTGAGGTCACCTTTGTTCTGTCAAATTACTAAGGAATATTACCCTGTAAAGCTTGTGTTTTAGGGTCATATAGCTCATTGATCATATGGCCACTTCAGAGACTATTTTGTAATGGAAATCAAGACACGGTTCACAATTATACACTTTTGACCAATTATACTGGCCTTTATCCTATTTGTCATGTGATCATTCACATCAAGCTGCCATGTCTTCCTGACAAAATTCTGCTTCATAAGTATAATTTCATTATAATCTTAATGCTGGTGCTTTCCTTGGTAAATGACAACATTTTACAAATGATGACTTTAAATAATAAGGAGTCCACTGTGATAAAATGTTCGTAAGGAAAAATCTTTCTGATATCGGAAAGATGTTATCTGTAGAGAGGCTTAATAATAGCATTATTGATGAACAGTTTGCCCAATGGTTCTGGAAAGAAATTTCAGAAATAATAATTTCTATGATACCTAAGAATAGGTCTTGAGAAGCCAGGACACTTGCCTAGGAAAACAAGAAAATCTCTACACTTTTTGCCAAAAATTTTCTATGAGAATTCAGTGGTGAGGAAATGGTAAAAGTATCAAACAAAACCAGAAAGAAACATTTTCAAGAAGGGCAGTAGACATGCCAATTCCAACTTCATCTATAATGAACACAATCCTGGAAATACTGTAAAGATTAAAAATAAACTGGAACTACACCCAGAGGGACTTCTTAAACATCACCAAATAATAGCCTCCCTCTGTGGGTACAATAATTCACTAACAACATGTTTATTTTCTAGTTAAAATTATTCTCCTGTTAACAAGCTACTGTACTCACAGTGGCTAAAACTGTCATATTACATTTTTCCCTAACTAGTACATTTCAACTTATTTCTCTATTGATAGAGAAATACATTTTACTATGATAGTTATGATGTAAAGTTGTGTCTCTTACTCAGATACTCAGTGTCCAAACCATCTACAAATCTTGGGAAAAGTGAAAAGAACAAATGGAATGTAAAAGCCAAATTTATCTAAACTGTCATACGTCCTTAATCTCTGATGACCCAGCATACTATAATTCACTTTCATAGCCTTTCATTCTTTCTTCTCAAGAAGTCATAGGTCACCCCCTGTCAAGTTCACTGACTGTCCCGTGCAAATAAAAATAAACCCCTCTGTACTTGTTTTCAGTCTTTTGCAAGTTGGTTAGCAAAATATTTTAAAGCACTAATTCACATCAGTCCTATCATGGTGTCCTTCCTTTCAACCACCAAATCGTCCCCTGTATAACCTATATCAGGTTATCTGGTATTCTGGAGAAGACATCAGACAAATACTGATTTTGGACATTGCTGGAGAAATATACTCTATCAGATGTCCTTGATTACTTTGTAAACAATTAAAGTACAAGGAATTCATACTTGGATATGTGTTACTCAACTAAAACAACTTCACCCATTATCAAAGTAAAAGAACTACAAAATTACACCCATAGAAGATTAAAGTGAGTTTCTCCAGTTAGAGAGGTAAACTACAGACTCAGATCCTTGGAGTACACATAGGGTAGAGAGTTTTTTCTCAGTATCAGTTAGAACAAGAGAGTCTTTGAACCACAATCGTCATATCTTCTCTGTATACATTTGCATTTTACCTTTTTAGCTATATTTTTCCTCTGTCCTTGTTTAAGGCTCTCCATTTAATCCATGATACCCCAAGTCTTTAATTTTGATTTCTCAAACTATTGGTAGTGTGTGCAATTTATGTAATTCTGTGTCTTGTCAGAGAAAAGACAAATGAATGAACCCATAATGGAAAGTTGCATTCATTCAAAATGTTTAAGCATAGAAAAAAATGAGAATATCAAGGTGTATCAGGCAATCTTACCTATAATGGTACCCTTTTGAACACAAAGAAACTTACATTTGCAATGGAATAGGATAAATAAATATTCTTAGGTTGTAATAGTGACTATTTTTCGTGAAAACTCCCAGAGATAATATATCTAGAACTCTAATAAAAATAGTAACATCTCTTGTACATTTCTTTCTTTCTTTTTTTTAAATGTGAGAATCACTTCATTTTTAATGCCAATCCAGGAGCAAGGATTACTTTTCTGTGGCATAAAAAGCTATACCATTACAAGTCTATGACTTCCTAACTTTCTCAGAGAACTGTCTTCTTGCAGAGATGGGACGCATAATATCCTTTTCTGGTAGTATAACTAACAATTTTTACAACAGACTCCTAAGGATGGCCATCTTATCCATAGCAGTGAATGACACAAGGTGGTAATAAAAAATGTTTTCCTTACTTGACCTAACATAATAAATACCTAATATAATAAATAGTATAGCTTATGTCCTGAGGAACCACTCATGAGTTTAATTTCTTAGTTCAATTAGTTATGGATGAAATAATAACTTCTGTTTTTTTTTCTTCTTTTTTATTTTTTGGCCAAGCAGCAGGAAGTCTGCATTATTGCTGAACTTAAGTACCCGAATGAATACCACTATTAAGATGGAAAATCTAGATCTGTACTAATGGGAAGGTAACTTGTCTAAAGCTTATCTCATTAAAAAAAAAAAAAAACCTATGCAGATGAAAGAAAATATAGACTTAGGGAGTCATTGTCACTTGATTTCTTCAGCAAGACTGAACAATCTTTTAATACTTTCAATTATTGTTACTTGACTTATATCCATTTGATATGTTACACAAGGCCTTTTGTACAGCTATCGTCGCCATATGGCTCTGTATATGATTCAAAGAAAAAAGCAGAAAAAATTATGCTAATCAATACACAAACTGAAAATCAGAATTTCACAAATGACATGTTTGTCTTCTGGTCGAATCAACACCTCAACAACAGGGCTCTAGACAATACCTGATGATATTTCCTGGAGCTTTGGCTGGGACAGACAAACAGAGTTGACTAAGAATAAAAAGTTTCTGACCTACTAGGAAAGGACTGATTTTTCTTCAGCTGTAGTAAGTAACACATACCAGAATTATTTAAAATAATTGTAATTATTTAAAATGGTTGTAAATGATCCATGACAATTTGGCACCAGTAGCCAGGCTTTTGAGAGTCATTCTCATGCTTCTGAAAGTCAGCCAATCCATAAAGCAGCACTCCAGTTAATATATTTGATATCTTTATATTTCATACTTGTAAATATCAACTGCCCACTTTGCTCAGACAAACAGTGCCTTACAAGTGTGCCATACAGCACTCTCTTCATTAATGAATAATACATTCAGAGTGCCTGCTTGCCTTCTTTCCTTTCTTTTTTTCCTCCTTTTTCTTTGAAAGATATTTAAATTTGGCTGCCTCTTTGTCATCCACATTTAACTATGCAACTTAGTTCACATAAGGTTATAGGCTTCCAAAACAGACATGAAAGTATACGCTATACATTCCTTTGTTTTTATATTTATATGCACATATATATTTGAGATTTTTACATAAGTGATAAAAATTATAGCAGTTGCATAATATAATTAATGCATGATATTGTGTTTTGTTTTTAAAAATCGAAGAACTATACATAGAAATCTTGGTTCTGTTTCAAAAGAGCCATAGGTTAGCAACCTTGAGAATGCCAATGAGATTCATCAAAGCAGACCATATGAAAGAAAAGGTGGTTTTTCATTTTATTAACATTGGCTACTGGAAATTTAGAGAAATTATTGAAAAAGAAAGGAAAAATTCAGCATGGCCTCGACCTATTTTAACACCTCATTGACATCCCGTTGACACCTCATTAAGAAGATCTATGTGTTCCCCCTTCAGGATTTTCTCAGAAAATCTATTTTCCCCCTTAAATGAGAACATTTGCCACAAAAATAAAGAGCTCTGTATGAAAGCCGAGAATGCTTTGGGGGCATGTGTGGGTTGGGAGAGAAGAGGATAGCTGGCAAGGAATTTGTTCATGTTACTGTGCTTGCAAGCTGAAATACATCAAAGGAAATAGAATCTCATGATCTTATCCGAGAGAGATGCCAGCTCCAGGAGAAGAAAACACTTAAGGGCTTTAGTTAGACTCACAGTATAGGTCAGTTAAATGCAAATTGTAAAACACAAAGGTTGGTTTTAATCCACTTTCCTTGCCTGGAAGAAAGCTTTAAGCCTCTCAAAATTCAGAGAGGCTCATATATTTAGAGCTAGTTTAAATCCTATTAAACCAAAGAGGGATTATGTAGATTAATAAAAAGGGGGGTATTTTTGTTTGTTTATTTGAACATAATATTCTCTGAGCCATTCTTAATTATTGGAGTCTTCAGTTTGAGTTTGAGTTCTCAGTTTCAGTTGACCCTGCAATTTTACTATTTACACAACCCTTATAAACTGGATGTAAAAGATTGATAGTTAATACTTTTAAGTGACATATTTTACCCAGAATGAGGTCATTAAAATATTTTGCTTATAGCTGTATATGATAGAAGAACATATTAAGAATAAAAGTTAATTTTAAAGATAAAGCTACTTAGGCCAGATTCACCAAAGCATTTGCACAAAAGATGGGAAAGTTTGCAAACTTTATTTCGTTTGTCAAAAGGGGTATATATTTGTGTGTGTGTATCATATACATATTTGTGTGTGTGTATCATATACATATATATATATTTGTAGAATAAACTTCAAAACAATATATTAATATTATACATTAATTATATTAACATTAATAATGCATTGACAACTCTTAAAGGGATTTTAATTCTTCAAAACCATTATATGACTTGCTTCTTATAGTGGGATAAGGACTAATAAATTCAGGAAATATGGATATATATACATATATATGTATATATATATGAAGAGAGAGATTTCTGTACCTAATATTTATTTAAAACCAAAGTTGACAATTAAAAAAGAAATGTGTTTTGATTCTTATCAGGATACAGAATTTAAAAATGTCTATTTATTTAAATATTATTATGAGATCCCTATTATGTTTCAGGGATGGTACCAACCACTATGAACAAAATGGACTTTGCCCTTGTGCCATCCACTAATGGCAGTCGATTAGTGATTTCTTCATTCATGACATAAATGAAGTCTGGACATACGTAAAGATACAGAGGTATAAGCTAGTGGAGGTAAGTACCCATATTGGCATAGATTCAGTGTAGAAAGTACTCATAAAGTATAAATATATATCTATAAGCATAATATATAGATATACTAAAACATTTAATTTATTCAGTGTTTAAAAGTAAGTTGTGCTCTTCTCTTAATTCTCTTGCTGGGTTTTATTATTTCTAAAGAGAACCATGATTTAAGGCTTATATTTTAAAATATCTCCCAAAAAAGACATTGTTGTTAAAACGTAGCTGTAGAGGCCAAGTGGGGAAAAATGGTAGAAAGAAATACCTTGGAGGACAGTTTTGTTGTACACCATTTGGCCTTAAATAAATGCATGGTTCTGCTACTGAAAATTTATTACTTATGTCAAAGGAACAGTAATTAAACTGCTCCTTCTAAGCTTTTTTGATAGGCCATTTTCAGAATAAATGGTTGAGGCTGAGAAAGGGCACTTGGCATTTAAGATCCTTACCTTTAGGGTATTATTCTCCTTGATTTTTCTATTCAATATGATATCTTTTTTCACTTTTACACCATTTTAGAAGGAAGTTTTCTGCTACTTTAGCAAAAGACTTGAGAACCACATAGAAATGGTAAGTTGTTCCTAAGGTAGATTTAATTACTTTGACAACTGAATTTGGTCATTAAATAGAAATGAGAAGTGATTAATAAAGGGAACACGTATAAACCCTAAAGAAAGATGACAGATGTAACAAGTTATCAAGGTAAAGAGGGCAAATTTTATATTTTGACACTGAATAATAAAAAAATCATAAAGTCAGCGTTTTATAAAATGGTTTAAAATAATTATCTGTTTAGAGTTATTTGTGTGTATAAAATATAAATATAAATACATCTTACATGTGGATATATAAATATGTCTATGTATTACACTTTCTGATCGTGACCTACAATTTTCTTTTTAAAGAACAAGTAATTCACAAGCTAAATCCTGGAAAATTTTTAAAGGAACTGATAAAAATTGAATTAATTCTTCATTTAACAGTAATTATTAATCACTTCTAAAACTCTTTTATAAAAATCAAATTTAATTGATTTTTCCATTAACTTGTAGGTTTATCTTCATTGTGTCTTAGCATACATGTCTATAGCATGCACAAAACTTGCTGCACTCAAGGTAACATTTTTGTAACATTTGTGATAGTACCACTTTTTAATTTGAAAGCCTACCAGCAGCAGATCTGAAAAAGAAAGGAAGTAGGCTCATGCAAAATAGGTATCAGCCCTCATAATTTTAACCTGTATATACTCCTGCCACATTTTCTTTTTAAAACATCTTGCCATTTCCCTTAACTTTTCATTGCTCCCTTAACATGCTTTGTATTTTGTCTCAATTTCTATAACTATTTTCAGTCAGCCTGTATATTTCCCCTACACTGTGTTTACAAATTATGAACCAAATGTAAAAGGTTAGCTCATGAAAGCATCATTCACACTGGCCAGGTGCAAAGCAGTTAATCGCGTAGACTTTCTACTATTCTTGTATTCCTTTGTTCACTCATTCATTCTACAAATATTTGTTAAGGACCTACTATGGAATAATCATTGTGATTCCAGGAAAAATGATAAATAACACAGCTTCTGCCCTCAAAGAACTTGCCGTCTCTTGAGAAATAGAGGAACATAGGTAGTTAATACAATACAACATGATTAACCAATTATGGTAATAATGAAGCCATGAAGAGCATGCCTAAATAAGGGGATAACAAGGGAAAAGGAATGAAAGTCAGGAAAATACTTACAGGAGTTTACATTTGATTTGAATCTTAATCGATGATTGGTAAGTACAAATATAAAAAGAAATGGATGAGAACAATCATTTCCAGGCAATAGAGAAAGAATAAATACAGGAAAGAAGGCCAAAAACATGCACAGAATTCCATAAATATTTCAGAGGAGGGTACATTAATAACAAGAAATAAATATCATGGTAATTGACAAATATCTGTAGGTATGCCACTTCCTGAAATATCTAATATAAACATTGGGCTTTTTAAATTAGTAGATATGAAAAGAAGCAAATTTAACACATATAAATTTGACAAAACTTGTTTTCTAATTGAAATGTCATAATTCAAGGGATTCCCATATTATATCATGAAAAATATAAACTTTTAAAGGATACACAAGATGAAGACTTAGATGATAAAAAAAATACTTAAATGTATACAATTATCAGAAATGACCTTAGAATTATCAACCTCACTTCTATATTTGTAATATAAAAAACATTTATTTAATGAAACAATCATTATTTAATTATAAGGTCCTTCAAAAGACATACCTACTTATTATGGATAAATAAATAGAAGAGTCACTTGGTTGCAGAATAAGTATTCACATTATTTGATTGTAACTATAGACCTTGGTTTTAAAAATATACTTTAATCACACGTTCTCTTTTCTCCCCCTTCCTTTTTCCCTCTCACTCTTTCATTCCTTCCCTCTCTAGACACTCCCCTCTGGCAATGTATGCCTATCCAATTATGGTTTTGCTTAAGACATTCCAAAGGCTAATCTTGAACAAAGTAGGCATGGAGCTCTGATTGGCCAATCTTTGCCCATTTGTTTGAGAGAGTTGCAAACAGCTAGTTCAGAACTATCCTGAGAATTCAAGAAAACACCAACCAAACCTGTGGACGGCTGATTACCCAAGATAGCCATTGGAACAAAGAGACACAGATCTTGGACTCTGCACTACTCCTTCATGTTTTCCATACCAAGTTTCCCTTTAAAAACTCTATGGTAAAATTTTAAACTTAAACTTTTTGCAACTATAGTCCACCATCATCTCCATTTGCTTGGCTCTCAGAATAAACCTGCTTTTTCTCCCACCAACCCTTCTCTCTCATGTTTGGATTTCAAGCACTGAGTGGCCAAACCTGGCTTCAGTTACAAGATGGCTAATATTCTAAGAAACATATTACTAAGAAGTAGCTAATTGGTTGAGCTTAAGTTTAAATAAGACAATCTGGTTTCAGAGCACATGCCATCTTTTGTTACTCAAATTATCTAACCTCAAGCCTAAAACAGTGTGTTTTTCAACTATGTGTGTAGGTGAGTTGTGGTGGTCAGGAAGGAGAATCCTACTGAAATAATATGGGGAGTCACACTATGTAAACACACAATTGGTACTCCTCCAGTTGAAAGATGATTGGAACCTGCTTGTCAGGAATCATGACTTAACCTCTGCAGTTCATGGTGAAGGATCCAAAGTTCACTAAGAAGTACATATTACTATTCTAAATTTTTAAAGAGTATTACACTGAAAATATCACAGTTTTGGTTAACTTTTTTTTTTTTTTTACAATTTACTCCTTTATATAGTACAAGTGAAATAAAACAGCTTACACGCAATAACAAGTTTTTTTTTAATGTTCTGCTGATTGATAATGACAAAATGTAATCTTTCAAAATTTATCAGTTGTAATTGATTTAATAAAAAATGTTATTGTCAATTATTAATACTTCATTTTTAAACATCAAATTTTTATAGACTATCTGCTACTTCTTTGCTTATACAAGGCAATAATTCTATTTATTGTATTTGTTTGTCCAAAAACCTCACAGTAAACATTATAGATTAGCCCATTATTTTTAGGAAATGCTTCCCAATGTTTATAGTGTCTAATTATCAACACTTGAATGCAAGGACAAAATTATATTGTGTTACCTTAAACACTTAAACATGAGAAATTTAGCTAAAATTTTCCCCAGCCAAAACACTTCAACAGTGGTTACTGATTTTAATATAGTATTTTCAACACATAGTCAGATTTTTAATACTCAATACTTACTAGTAAATACTGATAACTTTGTGTAGCGTGTAGTTGTTGAAAAAGAAGTTTTAAGAAGTGAAATTATAATTATTGACTTCTATTTGTTTTCTGTCTAATTAAAGATACTAAAAATCATCTGAGTTCATTTGGAAATCACTGTGTATATTAATAGATTTAGTTTTACACTTGAAGTGTTGTCCATTTGCTCCTAGCAAACAAGAAAATTGTTACAAGAAAAGTATTCTTGCCTTAAATATCTGTCTGTAATCTGAAGTACAAGGTGCATGATATCATTTATAATTCATATCCTAAGCATGAATTTTCTATTTGAGGTAATTTTTTAAGAAATAAAACAAGTCTTTGAAATGTTAAATATAATTTTAATTATATAAAAATCTCCTATTTAAGCAAAGGCATTTAAATGGCAGTTTTTAAACTGATGAACACATACGGAGAATGTATTCACTTATTATGCTTTAGGAAATGTAGTACTTGTCCAGGCATCTTATGCGCCTCATGGCATTAAAATGCCATGTTAGGATTTATATCACGTAGCACGTATTTGGTTATAATAAAAAGCTCAATTCAAACAAATTTAGGCAGAACAGGAGAATTTATTAACTTGACACTGGTATCTCATAATACTCAAAAGACAGAAATATACCTCTATTGCAAAAATAACTGGACCTATGAAGTAGGATGTCAGGATGTCTTGACACCGCTGTCTCTTTTGCTCTTCTTTTTAGTCTCTTTCCTTTTGAGCTTTTGCCTCTTTTTCCTTTATCTCTCTTAGTAGAGATAGTTTTATTCATATAACAAAAACCATACCTATGATATATTTCAAATAAAATAATAATCTGGTACCCTTAATAATACCTAAAAATTCCAAGCATATTTTAAACTGAATAAAAAATATGGAATGTCCAATAAACAAAGGAATATAGATTAGTCAATACATATTTACAGATGACTGGTACAACATGTGTTCAAAATTACTGTTGGACCCATATCTCCTGCATTACATTAAAATACTACTAATTGCACTCATGATTTATTTTGATGGGCAGTAAGGGGCAAAAATATTTAAACATTTTTCCAAAGAGTTACCCAATTATATCAGCAAGCTTTTGAATAAGGTTGAATCTTAGTTTGTTTGGACTGCTGTAACAAAATACCATAACATGATAAGCCTATCAACAAGAGAAATTTATTTCTCACAGTACTGAAATCTGGAAAGTCCAATGTCAAGATACAGCAGGTTTGGTGTTGGTTGAAGACCCGCTTTCTAGTTCCTAGATGGTTCCTTTTGGAGTGTTCAGCATTTCATAATCAAAATGGTACTTCATTTCTGCCTGAATTAAAAATGCCTCTATTTTAACCTAAATACATGTCTTCATGAGTTATTATATCACAGAACAGGAAATAAATTGCCTTCACATTTTTTCTAGTCTATTATATTAAATATTATCAATGTATATAGAGATATACATGTTTAGTTCTACCATGAAGAACCAGATTATTCATATTTCTAATGAACATACACACATTTCCTTTTTGTTAATTTATAAATGTATAATTCTGAGATCATCATGGTTTTTAACCAAATGTGATTTTTAAAATTAAAATACTTTAAAAATAATTATGAGAAAGATTTTTAGGACTAAAGAAACTATTTTCACTGTCTGATAATTTTCAAGATAAATTTTTACTAATAGAGCTCTTGATAAAAATGCATGTCAGAGGGATATTGATTTTTATGTTCTAATGATGTTCAGTACAAATACAGAACATTCAGTAACGTTTTTCTGTATTCTTTAAAATATGTGTTTATGTGTGTGTATATATGTATATGTGTGTATCTGTAAATGTACATATATAAAAATTTTGCTTTAGGCCGGGCGCGATGGCTCACGCCTGTAATCCCAGCACTTTGGGAGGCCGAGGCTGGTGGATCACGAGGTCAGGAGATCCAGACCATCCTGGCTAACAAGGTAAAACCCTGTCTCTACTAAAAATACAAAAACTTAGCTGGACGTGGTGGCGGGCGCCTGTAGTCCCAGCTAGTCGGGAGGCTGAGGCAGGAGAATGACGTGAACCCAGGAGGTGGAGCTTCCAGTAAGCGGAGATTGTGCCACCGCACTCCAGCCTGGGTGACAGAGCGAGACTCCGTCTCAAAAAAAAAAAAAAAAATTATGCTTTGTGCGTGTTGCCGCATAATATCGCTAACTGTAAAAAGTGGAACTGTGCTATCTCAAACAATGGAGAAAGTATAATTTGTCATGATTTATCATAACTAATATTAAAATTAATCTGTTGTGAATCTTTATTTGTAGGGGTCAGCTTTACTATTATAACTTGAGGCTTTTTTTCTTTCAAGAAATAGACTAGAAAAATTGTAGTGCTGTTACTTTAATAATGCAAAGTTCTTTTATTTATTTATTTACTTAATTTATTATTTTCTTTGAGATGGAGTTTTGCTCTGTGGCCCAGGCTGGAGTATAGTGGCGCGATCTCGGTTCACTGCAACCTCCACCTCCCAGTTTCAAGGGATTCCCCTGCCTCAGCCTCCCAAATATCTGGGATTACAGGCGGGCGCCACCATGCCCAGCTAATTTCTGTATTTTTAGTAGAGATGGGTTTCACCATGTCGGCCAGGCTGCTCTTGAATTCCTGACCTCAGGTGATCCACCCGCCTCAGACTCCCAATGTGCTGGGATTACAGGCATGAGCCACCACGCCTGGCTGCAAAGTTCTTTTATAAAAACTGATTAAAATAAAATACATGAAAAATCAGTACACACAATAAATAAATCCTTTCATTTTTCATGCCAAAATGCACTTTCCTATAATAATATATGAAATTTTACATAAAACAGAACCTATGCATATTAATAATGAGAGCTTTAGTATATTCTACAGGGTAATCACCACCCACATTCTGTAAAACTTGCTTACTACTGAATTGAATTTTATTGTTGGCGTAATGACAAAAAGTACAATGACAGTGTGAGAAATGAAGGAAGTATGTTGAGCATTGAATGAGTCAAGAGAGATGGGTTAGATAAAATAATATCAAATATGACAGAAACAGAGTCAAACTAATCCTTCCTACATCCAAGAAAAACAAAATAAAATCAGGAGAGTCAGAAGAGAGAAGACATGATCTACCAAGAAAATCAAGAAGAAACAATTATAAACTTAAGAAATATTAAGTTCAAAATTGGTTTAAAAAAAGTGTTGCTAAAAGGATAATTTTTAATTTAAACTTGTCAATACAAGTAGATTCAAATTAAGAATGAGGTAATGGTCCTTGGGGTTACAATGGATTGTGCTGTGTAACACTATTCACTATTATTAGTTCCAAACTTGGGATGGCCAACTGAAATCTGGTCCCCTGGGGTAATTGAGAATTGAGGTTGTTACGAGATAAACTGTACCTTGCAGCAAGTTTAACATGTAAATCCCAGGCTTGTCGCATCACCCATTTTATTTTTCCTGCGCCTTATGTACTCCGGAAAGCCTATTAAAAAGTAACTGTCATATACTAATCCATAACATCTAACACAAATTTCCCTGGAATAGGATATTGGTATTTTCTATCCCTTCATCTTTGTCCAGAAATTCGGAAGCAAGATCAATTAAACATTATATTACTACTCTCACTAAAACAATTAAAATTAAAGTGACCTTCCTATGATCATCCAGGTTGAACATTTCCTCCAGTGTCTAATGCTTAAAATCTGTTCAGTGACCATCATCCTCACAGTGGCCATTAGAATAAGAAAAAGAAGGGATGATTACTTTGAACATACTATATCTAGTTTTCCATTTTGGTGTTGGCCATATATTATTTCACGAAGCGATCTGAATGCTTTTACTGTTTACTGCTCCCTGCTAAAATTTGGCCATTATTACATGTATGGTTTAATGCCAGATTTTGAGATCTTGACTTTCAGAAATCTCCCGTGAAGTAATCATTTGAGTGATGCAATTAATCTTCATGCACATCTATGTAAAAATGGGTAATTTCAGCAGTCCACTCCATTTCTTCTATAATTTGATCATTCCACACACTTATCTTTATTTAAAAAAAAAAAATCTGCCTCCTCTTCTACTCAGATTTAACTGACTGGAGGCAGAGCACAGAGCCTTCATCCTCTTGGTGCTCTTGTGATCTTGTGAACAGTGACAACGCCAATCCCTTGCCCATTGCCCACAAGTGTAGGCTCATCATTGTCTGCATCTGCAGAGGAACTCGAGCTGAGATGTGCTCAGCTGCTCTTTGCCCTCATGCTGTATTATGCATAGCAGCCACGACGCCCGCCACTGCAGCCTGAATCCCCCCACCACGTACATAGTCTTATGGAGCCACCAACATTCTGCATCATCAGTTGTTTTATGAGATACCAACAGGATAGTGAAGACACTGGGCTAACAGTACCTGGCCTATTAACAAAATACACAGTTTCATTTTTAAAACTCTGCCATTTGTTTCTGAGCTTCTGCGGTGGGACATACCTCTACCTCAGCCTACCTGTCCTCAGAGGATACATTCATACTGGATGGCTAAAGCTGCAGACTCTTCATGGCAGAGCTCTAAGGTCACAGCTTTGGAGCTGGTACAGACCTGCCCCTCCTATCCCTAAGCACTGGGTTTCCCCTGTTCTTTCTTCTGCAGGGAAGTAATTACATTACTTTTAATGGCAAGAACTGCAAATACTTTTGGACCAACCTAATAGCTAGAGAGATTTTCTTCCTGCTTTTTCTCAGAATGTCTCTTGCCATCTCTCCCCGTCACTGGCTCCCGTCTTTCAGCACTGTTTCAATGTCAGCTTCCTGGTGCAATCTGCCATGAGCATCACATGTACAATAGTAGTCCACTACCCACTCGTTCTCTTTTTCTTTTACGCTTTTCTAGCTCACACTTATAAACTAAGATACAATTTACTTATTTACTTTTTTTTGTCTCCCCTTAGTGGGATATAAATATAAAAATAACAGGTATTATTGTTTTGTTTGTTTAGTGCTGATTCCTCATCATTTATAAAAGATCCAAGCTCATATTAGAGTTCAAAAATTAGTTGGTCAAGAACTTTTGCTTCAAGAACTGCTGCAGGAACATACCAGGAAAGCCTAGAGAAGCCACAGACCCTTTGAAGGAAGCAGATTGCTCCTGCGGAACTCAAGAGACAGCCCAAATACTGCGAGTGCCCAAGGTGTGAAAGTGGGAAAGGGGGATCGTCTGCCCCTGAACACACACCTTCAATGGGGAACCTGAAGGTTCAGATCACAGGAGAAGGATTTGACCTTACCTGAAGCTGAGATAATTTAGAGAGCCGAGCTAAATACAGTGGTAGAGGAACCAGTGGGAAGAGCACTGTGGGCTCTCTGGATCCCTAGGGAAGCCATTTCTGACTTTGTCTTACAGGGGTCCTTGGGGAGGGCTGCCAGAGGAACTGGGAAAAGGCCACAGGGAGAAAGCAACCTTTAGCTGAACTTCGTAACATTCCAACTGAATGCAAAGTTTTCTGGACAGAACTCAGGGGAGCGGGTGAATCTGGAGCGCAGACGCAGGCAGGCAGGGAGATATGAAACCTGGAAACCCTGCTTGCTTTCTCAGCCAGGAGGCTGGTAGCCCCGGAGCAAGTTCTCAGCCCTGCTCGCCCACTGCTTGGCGACAAACTCGGTGCTATTGGGGGTCACTGTGGAAGTGAGACCGACCTTTTGGGTTGCATGGGAGCTGGGAGAGGCCTGTAACTGCTGATTTTCCCCCACTTCCCTGGCAACCTGCATGACACAGCAGAGGCAGCCATAATCCTCCTGGGAACAGACCTCAATTGACCTGGGATCCCCCACGAGCAGGTAAAGAGTTTGAATAACATTAGACTTTATTTAATGTGTTCCAAAACTGTGAACACAAAAAGAATACATATAAACTATAAAATGTACACACAAGAAGGGATAAATGAAAACAATTTAAAAATCCATTAATCCAAAAGAAGTCAAATAAGAAAGAAGAAAAATTTTATAAAAGAGTGTAGTGACAAATATGATTCCATAATACATTATTAGATTTAAATCTACAAATAACCATAATCATAATAAATGTAAATGGGCAAAATTGTCTAGCTATATTACAAAAAACGTCTAATAAAATCCTATTTGCATAAGAAACATCTAAGGCATAAGGATACAGAAGGGTGAGAAAAGATATATAGAGTAATGTTTAATTTTTGTGCGTGTGTGTGTGTGTGTATATATATATAGATAGATCTATATTTTTTTTTTTTTTTTTTTTTGAGACGGAGTCTCGCTCTGTCACCCAGGCTGTAACGCAGTGGCCCGATCTCGGCTCACTGCAAGCTCCGCCTCCCGGCTTCAAGCCATTCTCCTGCCTCAGCCTCCTGAGTAGCTGGGACTACAGGCGCCCGCCACCACGCCCTGCTAATGTTTTGTATTTTTAGTAGAGACGGGGTTTCACCGTGTTAGCCAGGGTGGTCTCGATCTCCTGACCTCCTCGTGATCTGCCCGCCTCAGCCTCCCAAATGTTTAATTTTTAATAAATCTTTATATAGCTTTAACTATGACAGGCAATATAAATAAAGGCAAAACTATTACATGGAATACAGTTTTCACTATAAAATTCAGATGTTTGACTTATCAAGATGATATGCATTTCTGAACTTGTATAATACCTCAAATCAGTAATATGCTTAGACTGACTGAAGAAGGGAAGCAAGCCTCAGGCATGTGCGTTGGAGGACTTGTCTCTCCTCTACAATGACCTTTACTCTATTAGGTGAACAGAGTCCACTGGGCCAACAGGTTCCCCTTAAATGTAGTTCATGTCCATACTCACAACCACCTACTGGTTATGTCTTCTCTAGGTCATATTCCAAGGCCAAGTGGCCTCTCTATTAATTCAGTCTTCTGGAGGACTCACTATGATGGAAGCAGGTGTGGAATGCAGCCAAAGCTGTGCTGTCTACGTGAGTGAACAGCCAGTGTGACGTGGAGCTGATGGTGAAAAGAAAGAGAAAGGGGACAGAGACCAGATTTCACGGTCTGATCTGACCCTCTTCATAGGCCCTCTTCCCAGAAAGAAACTTCATGAAATCCAAGAATTTTAAAAGTTTCTCTGCCTTTCCAGGTCATTAAGAATGTAATAATCTGTCAAGGGAGAAGGATAGAAAATATTTTGTATAAGAGCTTATTTGTTACATTTATGCATTTTAATATTTAGGTATAGTATACAGCCCTCTACTTCTGCCCCAGACAAATATCAGGGACGGTTTCTGTGATAAATATAGTCATGACTTTTATAAAGCAAAAATTAACAGAAGTATATGGAGAGATTAACAAATTTTGCACAATTTAATACATTTCTTTTAGTAATTGATAGATCAACTAAATATAACAATCCAAAAGAATTAACAATTTGGGCTGAGTGTGGTGACTCATGCCTGTAATTCTAGCACTTTGGGAGGCCAAGGCAGGTGGATCATTTGAACTCAAGAGTTCCAGATCAGCCTGGGCAACATGGAGAAACCTCATCTGTACAAAAAATACAAAAATTAACCAGGTGTGGTGGCACACACCTGTAGTCACAGCTACTTGCAGGTCTGAGGTGTGAGAATCACTTGAACCCTGGAGGCAGAGATTGCAGTAAGCCAAGCTTGCACCACTGCACTGCAGCCTGGGTGACACAGTGAGACTCTGTCTCAAAACAACAACAATAACAAAAATTAAACAAATTGAACAGAATTAGCCAGGATGTTCTCAGGGACACATTTTACAATGTAGATAGCAGTTGTGAGGATAAGAAACATAAAAAAATTAACCACGGTAATAGTTGCACAGCAATGTAAATGTACTTGAGCCACCAAACTGTACTCTTAAGAATTGTTAAAATGGTAAATTTTATGTTACGTGTACTTTACCACAATAAAAATAAATTAAGAACCTGAAAAAATAGCCAAGAACTGCTAAGTCTTTGATTAAGCCTTAACAAAAGAGAAAGGTCTGTTATGAACTTTTCACCAGCTGACCACAATAAAATAAGTTGTAAATCAGTAAAAACAAACAACCCATTCTCCCCAAAAACAATATATTTGAGAAATGAAAACCTTACTAAATATATGTTATATGTCATTCAATAAAGCATAGTGAGACTTAGAAAATATTTGGAAAAATAATAACCACAACAAATACTAAATGTGAAATTTGGGGTTTGGAGATAAAATGCAATTGAACACACACTCAGAGACATATGTATGTATGTTTGTTTGTGTGTGCATTTGTATATATGTGTGCATGTATTTATATAAGTATTTAGAATATAGAAACATCTAAAATTAATTAGCTAGGCTTTCATTTTAAGAAGTTATTGCAATTATAACAGAATAACCCTAAAGAAACAAAACGAGAAAAATAAAACAAATCCAAATATCTTCTTTTGGACCACCAAAAATATTAGTATCCCTTTATCGAGAAATGAGTAAATCACAAATGAGGAATAAATATGAGGAATAAATAGACTATGGGGATATTTTTGCAATTGAACATGCTACAGCACTGAAAAATGTGTTATCCACAGCTACAGTTTTCAGCACACATGGAATATCAAGTAGATGGAATTTAACAGACAATATTCTACAAATTACAGAAAAATATGATGTAGATAAATTTGATTTGCTGAAAATTATAAAACTGAACAACACTATTGGTATTAAAAACAGGCAAAACAAAACAATATGTATTTGTAGCCATCTATATATAGACTAAAGCCAAAAATAAATCACAAAAATAAAGCCAAAAATAAATCACAAAAATCAGGATCACTGTTATTCTAGGGTGGAGAGAAGGAGATGTAATCAAGGCACACAGAGGACCTTAAATCTTCATTAACATTCTAGTTTTTAAGTTAGTGTGTACACAAGTATTTATTTTATTGTTATTCTTTAAACTATAAATGTATTTTACACCATCTTTAGTAGACATATTTTATAGTAAGTTATTTTTAAAGAAATAAAATTGAAATTTGAAAATAAGCATGCAGATTACAAAGAATATAAACAAAACTAACAAAAACTCAGAAAAAAAGTTCAAAGAAAAATATTTTGAAAGAATAAAACAGTGCAATTCCGAACAAACTAAATGTAAGATAATTTTTATTAACAAATGAGCAAAACAAGTAACGTTGGATTACTTTTTATGTTGCCAAGGCCTTTTTAATATAGCAGCAAAATCGGAAGTCCTTTATAAACACTTTCTTAGTTTCTAAAAAAAATACTTAGGTGCTTAATTTGTTTCATTTTCCCAGGAGTATTGCTTATAAGATACTTTGCCAAATTTTTAATGATATCAGTGTTTCTGCCAGTAGTGTTTTACACCAGCTGTACTAGACTAATTATCTGGTTTCCTCCAATGCCTAGTTTTGAAATAATTATGGCTTTTGAACACAAAATAGACATTGTACCTTGGATAGACAGGAGTCCTGACTAATTGCTTCTTTAAAAAGTTGACCATCATTTTCATAAACAAATTTCATTAGTCCCTTTTCACCTAGATCACAACAATATTGCCCCTTTCATTATATGTGCAAATTTTATTTTTGAATATGTATACTCCTAACTGAATTAAAGGCATGCTTTGGCGAAGTGCAGAATATGTTTTACCTTGCTACATGGTAATTATGATATTTTATATCTCCCTTGAGTTAAAAACTGTCATGTCTGAGAGGAAATTTGAAAGGCCAACACATAACTGCACTATGTGGTAGACTAGTCATTTTATCACTCTGAATTTTCATAGCATTTCTTCTTTTTTGGTATGAAATAAATTTAAACCAAGTGGAATGGAATGCTGGTAGTGGAAATAGCTTTAACTTAGTAGTTGACTTAACACATGCACTTATACACAGACACAACACACACACACACACACACACACACACACACCCTACAGTGAAGAGAACACTCAATAATTAGGCAATTGTGGAAATCTAATGGCTTCATAGAATCTAAAGTCCTAATATTTCAAAAAATCAAGAATATCGAATATGAGAACATCATACAGACAAATCGGTCCTTATGTTTTCCCATTCAGTTCTGAAGAACTTTGTATGATTAACGTATGACTTCATTGAAGAATACATTTGTAAATATATTGCATCAAATGACTCACCATACACACAGTATTTTGAAATTTTGGCACTGAAAAGCTACTTAAAGTTTTAAAGCTTGATAGCAAATGAAATCATGCATGCAATTTCACCCAGGATAAGATAAAGAGATAGCCTTCGATGGCCAAAGCATCTTTCTGTTATTTCTTCCCCTTAGTAATTTTCAGTATGACTGATAATATTACATTAATGTCTTTAAATAGTATTCAGCCTTTTTATTTTCTCATTTTAAGTTAATACTATGAAAAAGAGGCTAAGAATTTTGCCTTTTGACTTTCCGTGTCTGTCTACTAATAAACTGAGCCTATTCGTTAATTGAAAATTTTATTTTTAAAATAAATATAAATATGTGAAAATATACTTTACTCTGCTACATCAATCAGTCATGTTCTATTACCTACTTTTTAATTTTGTAGTTTAGGTTCTTCTTTGAATATTTTATGCCTTATATAACATAATGTATTAAAAAATGGCAATAACAAGCTTGAGTAATTTAAACATGAGAAATGACACCATGGAATTCAATCAGAGGAAATGCTATGGATAAACATTTTATTTACTTGTAAAGAGAGAGATAATGCAGTAATTAGGTCACATATTTATTTTATTTTAATATTTATCTACCTAAGTGGATAAACTTTCATTAATAAAGTTTAAATTGAATTAGCTGGAAAAATACTGATAAAGAAATAACTGTAATTAAATTGTTGTATTAGGAATTAAGGGATTCCACCAAATAGAAGCAATACAAAA
Source organism: Homo sapiens (assembly GCF_000001405.40). Classification (NCBI taxonomy): domain Eukaryota; kingdom Metazoa; phylum Chordata; class Mammalia; order Primates; family Hominidae; genus Homo; species Homo sapiens. The sequence continues at coordinate 178,737,474 of NC_000004.12, read as the reverse complement.
TGGTTGTCAAATTTCACGGCAGCTTGTGCAGCAAAAATAAAAGTCAAAAGGACTGCATCCCAATCTTGCCACTGATTTTTATAATCTCCAGTTGCTTCATCTCTAAAGTGATGTTAGCTGAGCTAGTTGATTTCCAATACACCTGACAGCTCAAAAAAGAAAAATGACTCCTTATTGTACATTAAACCACATTTTCCCTATATGTAAATTTCACATCAGCTATTCATTTTTTTACCTTATTTCAACCTATAATTTCATAACCTACAAAACTCTCAATAACCCTTTTTTCTTGAAGATAAGGATGTTTACTACTATACCAAACTTATTTACTAACAACATAATTTGTAAAATTTTTCTCTTTTCTAGCAATGTAAAATTTTCTTGAATCAATTGTGGATATAATTTCTAAGTAAAATTATAAAAAGATATTTTGCTATATTTTATATTCAATTTCTAGAGGCAATTAAATATATACTAGTTTATGAAGGAATGGGCTGTATTCATTTTAAAACATTTTTTAAATATTTTGTATTTCCCACTTCCACTGTCCTTTTCATTTGTGCTATATGTTACCGGGAGAAGTTCCTACTGAAGTCTAATCCTTGTATTCAATAGTTTGCATTTATCATCTCAATAAACCATGAGGCGTAATATTTCTAGCACTAAACCTGATTCTATTATTATTATTATTATTTAAAATTTTCTTAATGTCTTATTTAGGACAATTTGCATAGTTGCTATATTTCCATCGGGTTATTTTTCATTTATTATTTTGGATTAATGAATGGAATGGTTTGCATCTCTCTTTGGTCATGTATTTACCTGTGATTAGTTCTGTGAGAAATTTCTTCTAAAGATTCTTTACTCCAGAGCCCATGTGACACTTTATATAACTACACAAGAACAGATTTTTATGTTTTTTTTCCATAGTTAGAATTTTTTTTAAGGCTACGATAGACAAACTTCTTTTGTAAAGATTCAAGTTGTGAACACTTTAGCTGTGAGGGCCACATGTTTCTGTCACAGCTATTCAAGATGGCCATTGACTATCATGCACAGCAGCTATAGACACTACGAAAAACAATGAACCCCACCCCTAACCCAAAGAGACAAACGAAAAACCAGGGCTGTGTTCCTATAAAACATGGACATTGACATTTGAATTTCCTATAGTTTTTGTATGCCATCAAATAGTGTTTTTATTTTGAGCCTTCAAACTATAAAAAGTGTTCTTCATTTTGGAGTTCACAAAAATAGGTGCCAGGCTAGATTCAGGCTGTGGGTTGTGATTTGCCAGCCCCTAATTTAGAATGATAACAATATGACAGTGACATGTGACTCAGTGCCCTTAGACGAAATTGAAGATTGTTTTAATTAGAATGTAAATTATGTATTTATAACACAGCAATATCTTACCACTTAATGAGATGCCTCTACTTTAAATATGCTACCATTTAAATTATTTAAAAAATACTTCATGAAAAAAGTTTTCTCTAGTTTTACCCTTATTCAGTAACTAAAAAAAAAAATGCACTTAAGTAAAATGTGTTTATCACTTCCCCAATCTGTAGATTATATGTGTATGTGTATGCGTGTGTGTGTGTGTGTGTGTGTGTGTGTGTGTGTGTGTGTGTGAATGTATGTATACATACATGTATTAACTTTGGCTAGCTGGTGAGGCTCTTGATTTTTTTTTTTTTTTTTAGCAAACTGCATATATATCTTAAGTGCAAAATATCACCAGAAGTATCACTAAAGATTTTGGTTAGAGGAAAAGTATAGGTATTCGATGATGTCATAACAAAGTTATTTAAACTTATGTGTTATTCTTCAGTAGCCATAATAATGTGAAAATGTATTTGGTTTACAAAAATAATTTATATCAACACTTTCTATGAATTGAATAGTTTCTGTCAATAGTTTCTATCATTTATTTATAATAATGTTTTTAGAAATTATCAAAACGTCTTAACTTTTATTCTTGGCTTGTAAATAATTTATTATCTTTCAGTAAGATAGTAAATCACGCTAATTTTGTGGTTTTCAAACTGAAAAATCGCTATGCTCCATACCTTTGAGTGACAATTTACCATGAAATTTCTTCACTTCTTTTGATCCAGATTATCTTTCCAAAGATGATTGTATAGGAAATAGCCAGGGCAATGGCAGGACAGGGGGACTAGCAACCTTCTTTAAAAAAAAAAAAAAAAAAAAAGATTTCCTTAATTCAAGTTTCCTCAGCAATGACACAAAATCAATGCCCATAGAGCATCTACAGGGCTGCCCCTGTATCTTCTCCAAGAGACTTTGGGGGCAATGAAAAAACAATATGAACACGAGCTCCTGCTGTCTGCTGTGCTGTAAGTAATAAAGTTCTTTATCTTTGACCTCGGAGTCTCATTCCTTCTGCCAGCACCTACGAAACTGTGACAGTCCGACTTGTTAGTTTTAAAGTAACATAGCATTTCAGAACCTTCAGAGTTCTTGACACACACCTTTTTGCCAAAACCGGAATTAGATTAACTCTTCCTGGAAAATTAGCTTGGTTCAACATATTTGCTGAATAATTAATCTTCTTAGTATACTTGATATGTCTTATTCCTGGCTAGATGTCTTACAAAGGATCTTATTCCTTCATTTTCCAATTAAAATTCTCTATTTTCTTTCATTTGATTCTGAGCATTTAAATATTTTTATACATAACTATTTCTGGAAAATGATAACCCTATAAAACAAATATCACATTTAGAGATATTTTATAAGAAAAATGTGATATTTTTATTACAGAAATGTGCTATTGGAAGCTTGATGTAGGCAGGAAACACTTCTCAGACTTTGGATTGTCAGTGTAAAAACAATTATTTAGATGATTATTACAAATACTGTTTTCTTTTGTGAGACCTTGTGTTTTCATTTGACATATTTATTAGTAAAAAACATTGCTTACTATCTCAAAGTAACTAGATTTCTGAAAATTAGATATCTGAAATGATATCAGAAAGCAATTCAATATATAAAATAGAAAGTACATCTCCTACCTTATTTAAAATTTACAATAATTTGGAGTCATTTCAGCTAACTTCAGAATACATTTTGACTTTTTAAAATTTCTATTATTTCCAACAATTGTAGCTTTTTTCAACATTTTTGAGCTATAATTAATGGTATATGATTGGATTTCCAGAAGAAACAAATATGCAAACGTAGCTTTAAAGTTTTCTTTAATCATATAGGCCACGGGTTCTTTGGGGAGAAGAGCAAGGGTGCTCTTTAGAGGGTGACAATGGGGTGTCTAGTGTGCTGGCAATGTTCTATTTTTTAACCGGAGTAGTGGTTTGCTTAGTACCTAATAATTTGTCGTAACGTGTACACTGTGAAATATAAGTGTGATAAGTAAATTTAATATATATATTACAAAATATGTAGTAAATAATTTAATTTGACCATAATGAGATGTTTTTTGTCCTCAACTTTTGGTAGGTAATGTCTAAGCCCTTGGAACGTCATGCCTGATAAGAGAACTTTTGTTTGCCTGAAGACTTTCGACCAGCAAGAGGCTAACACTGTGATTTAGGATGTGGTCCTGTGAAGCAGTATCAGCTGGACCTCGGAGGGGAAGGAAACGGAGACCAGTCTTGTGGGTAGTTAACTGTGCCAAAGTGTTTGAGCCTCAATGAAGACTTTGGAGAGCAAGATTTGGGTCAGTTTCCAGGGCTGTCACTACCCTCATGTGTGTTGTCACATCACTGCCAGGAAAGGAACGTTGTCCACGACTCTAATAGGGAAGGAGCGTGGGAGGTTTATGTTTGGAGCTTTTCCTGGATTCTGCCTATGTGCTTCCTCACTTGACTGGTATTAATCTGATTTCCGAAACATAAGCCCGGGTACAGCAGCTTTCAGGGGTTTTGTGAGTCTTTCTAGTAAATTTTTCAACCCAACAGTGGATTTGAGAAGTCACCAAACTTGAAGCTGGTGTCAGAAGTAAGGGTGGTCTTGTGCGGACAGTTCTCTCAAAATTCACAGTTACGAACTTATTTTAGAAACACAGGCTGGACACAGTGGCTCATGCCTGTAATCGCAGCACTTTGGAAGGCATAGGTGGGTGGATTTTTTGACTCCAGGAGTAAAAGACAAGTCTGGGCAACATGGCAAAACCCTATTTCTACAAAAAATTAGTGCGTCTAGTCCCAGCTGTTTGGGAGGCTGAAGTGGGAGGATAGCGTGAGCCTGGGAGGTTGAAGCTGCAGTGAGCCGTGATCTTGCCACTGCACTCCAGTCTGAGCTACAGAGTGATACAAAAAAACAAAACAAAACAAAACAAAAAACACAGAAGTGCATTTAATAGTTGCCTTTATGAGGAAACAAATAATAAATTTCCTGCCTAAAATTTCACTCACAAGCATTTGCTCAAAAAGATATAATAAATTCCCACATGAATACACATTTTTATTAATAAACATTTAGTTGTCATTAGTTGCAAAATCAAGTATAAATAATTGACATCATTGTTTAATGATCAATAGTTTCATTTCATTTCTAGCAGCAGTTATTCACATAATATATTTTAATCTATATTAATTAATCATATTAATTTAATGAGATTTCTTATTCAGTTGTTTCAATGACTTATTTTGTGTTATCACTGATCTATCTCCCCAAGGTGATAACCTGGTCATTCAGTCTTCATTACACAGCTTCTCGTACTGATTTAAATATTATACCATACACTTATTCTTTTAAAGAATAAACCTGAAAAAGATCATAAGTCAATTAATTAATTTTATTATTTCTGAGAAATATAATTTATGTCACTTTTGAAAAAATTCACCAAATCTTATACTAGAACTAAGGCCATCCAGACAAACTCACCTCATCTCCAATTCCCATCAGTATCTGCTATTCTTTTATTAGGGCTTACAAAATCTAAATTTCAAATATTTAACAGAAGAGTATGGACACTAAAATTTGGTAGCCTAAACATTATGCAATTCACGTAATACTTCTCTATCATTGAGTCTTTCTTTTGAGTTCAATGTACCAGTAGATATGACACGTATTAACTATTTGAAGTGCAAACACTTATTTGGGTCATGTGAATTGATTAAGTAAATAAACACTTATGCAAATAATAAGACATCTTGCCAAACAAAATGATTCTCTTCTCTCTAAAAGAGAATATTAAAATTTTGAGGGGCCTATAAATCAGATCAAGATCTTCTATTTTGTGTTTATGTATGTTGTTAGAAATTACCATACACACAAATCTAGCAGATTAAACAACCCAAATTTGTTATCTTACAGTACTAGAGTAATGAGACTAAAGAAAAATTTCAGCTTTAAACAATATTCATTAAAATTGAAACTGGACAATAAACCTTTAGGACACAAATAAAGATTAACTTAAACATAATTTTTTTCATGAAATAAGTTTTCATGACCATCTCTAATTTTATCTTTACTTTAATTTGATGAAAAAATCATGGGTTATAAGTAAAATAATAATAAATAATGATTAAGAATCATAATATTAACTTGTTTGAGTAAGCTCCTATTCTGTGCAATATATTTTGCATATAAATTATATTTATATTGTCTTTATACTAATTTCTTATATTTCATAGGAAAGGTATATTTATCCTAATTTTACATATAAGAGATGGAAGTACTAAAGCGATTTGATAACGTGTCCAAGGTCACTCAGTTGACAGGTGGTAGTGATTTGCTTTTTACCATACAACCTTTAATAAAACATTGTGTTTTATTAACTGGAAGAGTTAACAAACCCATTCCAGCAATCGTCCCACCCAGTTCTATTAACTGGGTAGGAGCCTGACTTTTAAGTGAGCTCTTAAGCAGCAATTTTAAAACAGTTGGTGGTAATTACAAATTATGGGACAGTTGGAAAAATGCAACTCTTCTCTCTTTTACTTTACAGTGGACTATCACTGAAAATTAACGTCAGCCTTTGGATGAAATGCAGATGCATGTCTGACCCAATGGTTATTAGCCGAACTCATTATATAGTACAGAACCACAGCTGCGATTTTTGTTGCTAGCGAGCCTCAAAAGAAACCGCAATTTCAGATCTTCTATGTAACTAGTATTGTGTAGATTTCATGATGACAAGGCTTCCTCATCTTTTGCTCCTCACTATCTGGCATTGTCTCATCCTGTAGGACTTTAAATATCAAGGCCACTATGTGATAGCCTACTGTTGTCCCCAAACGCTATTTACAAATGAGTAAATCAGATTTGGTTACATATATTTCTCAGCAGTGTGCAAAAATCAATGGTTCAGCAAAAGTGTTATCAAAATATAAATAAAAATGTTAAAAATAGTAGTCAGCGTAGGATATTTCTGGGGGAGAAAGGGTTGTGTGTGTGTCCCTGATGCCTTGGGGTTAGAAAACCTTGAGATCAGATTCATTTTGCAATTCAGGATGTATCAGATTTTTGGAACAACACATATCGATACACCATATAGTGTTTAACATATCCAGTTTGGTTTAGGGGAGCACTCTACAATCAACTCTATAAATATTTATGTACTGAAGTGTATGAATATGCATGCAAACTTGTATAAATAAAGACTATAAATAGCTTCCCCATCCACTTCCATCATTTATCAATGTACAAATAATATAAAAAAACTTGGTTTTTAATGAATTTTGGATCACAGATTTTGGATAAGGATTTGTAATTTATCTAGGCACTGGGCTGTCCGAAAAAAAAAAAAATAAGAAGCTGTCTTTGGCAGGATGTGGTGGCAATCCCAGCACTTTGGGAGGCCAAGGCAGGGGGATTGCTTGAGGTTGAGTTCAAGACCAGCCTGGGTAACATAGTGAGACCCATCTCAAAAAAATAAAATAAAAATAAAAAAAGAAAAAAAGAAAAAGCTGTCTTTGAATAGTTCTGCTATAGATGGTAAAATATAAAATACTATTAGTGCTCAATTGAAATGCCTTCTCTCATGTTTATAGTATTCTTTAGTTTTTCTAGCTCTTCAGCAAAGAATAAGTTACCTTTCCAGCTTTCTGAGGTGATGGTTTGATGAACGCAAGACTGAAGCCATAGAATGAGTTGAGGTCTTCTTTGCACTCACTCCTTTTCCACACTCCCAAAGTTTGTGGGGGAACATAATAGACAGGGAAGAAATATACAGCTCAGTGAGCAACTTGGGAGTGAAGTTGAAATGAAATTACTCTCCTAAATTTACTAGAAGGTTATGATTCTTCTCAGGGAGAAGAAAACTAACATTAAGGGGACAATTTTTAAAAATGTTCCAATCTGATCCTTGTTGCACCATAGATGTCATATAAAGGTGCTGGATTTATAACTGATTCTGTGAAGTAAAGTAAATCTGAGGGAATAAGAAAAATCTAAAGTCTACCTATTTCTCTCTGCATAGAAATTCTCATTTACCAAATTCAGAGGGTTTTAGTGTTTGATTTATTAAGATAAACACTAATTAGAACACATGTGATCTGTAAGCTTAAACTCAAATACTTCCCTTCTTGTAGCAAATGGTAAATGAAGAATTTCAATTTAAAATAATTCTGAAGGCACTTAATACCAAATAAAAAGGCACCTATTTTATTGTTCCCATTCCCCTTAATTATTATACTTTAACATTAATTGATCACTTTTAAGAACTCAACATACTGTTTTCTCAAGTTATCATTAGATAAATGTGAGATGGTGGCAGGGCATGGTCGCTCAGCAGTTTGGATCCCAGCACTTTAAGAGGCCAAGGTGGGCAGATTGCTTGAATCCAGGAGTTCAAGACCAGCCTGGCCAACATGGTGAAACCCTGTCTCTACGGAAAATATAAAAATTAGCCAGACTTGGGGGCACAGGTGGTGGTGTGGCTTTTCCTCTGAACCAAAAAGTGATGGGGGAAGTTACAGCTTCCATGAGCTAGGAAATGTTTTAGAATATCAGTTTAAAATATCAGCATAGTACCAGCATAAAAGCAGAAACATAGACTAACAGAACAGAATAGAAAAACCAGAAATAAATCCATGTATTTATGGCCAGCTTACTTTTGATAAAGACAACAAGAATACACATGTGGGAAAGGACAGTCTAACAAATGGTGCTGGGAACACCGGATATCTGCATGCAGAAGAATGAAATGAGGCTTTTATTTCTCACCGCATATAAAAATAAAATCAAAATGGATTATGTACTTTAGTGTAAGACCTGAAACTATGAAACTATTGGAAGAAAACATTGGGGGAAAAGGACATTTTTCTAGGCAAAGATTTCTTGAGCAAGACTTCAAAAGCACTAGCAGCAAAAGTAAAACCTTGACAAATGGGATTATGTCAAGCTGAAAAGCTTCTGCATACAAAGGAAACAATCAGCAAAGTGAAGAGATGACCTACAGAATAGAACAAAATGTTTGTAAATTACTCATCTGACAAGGAATTCATGACCAGATTATATAAGAAACTCAAACAACAACAAAAAATCCAATTAAAAATGGGTAAGTGTTCTCAAAAGAGGAAGACATACATGTGACCAACAGGTATATGAAAATGCTCAATATCACTGATAATCAGAGAAATGCAAATCAAAACCACAATGAAAAATTATCTCACCCCAGTTAAAATGGTTGTTTTCAAAACACTGAAAATAATAGATGCTAGCAAGGATGAGGAGAAAGGGTAATAGTCATACACTGTTGTTAGAAATGCAAATTAGTAGAGCAACTATAAAACAGTATGGAGCTTCCTCAAAAACTGAAAGTTGAATGACCATATGATCAAGCAATCTCACTGCTGGATATTCAAAAGGAAAGAAATCAGCATATTGAACAGATACCTGCACTCACATTCTATAGCAGCCTTAGTCACGATATTCAAGATATGGAATCAACCTAAGTGTCTATCAGTGGATGAATGGATAAAGAAAATGTGCTGTAAATACAGAGTGAAATATTATTTAGCCATAAAAAAGAATGAAATCTTGTAATTTTGCAGCATCAGGGATTGAACTGGAAGACATTATGGTCCATGAAATAAGCCAGTTACAGAAAAACAAATATTGCATGTTCTTACTTATATGTGGAAGCTTAAAAAATTGATATTATGAAGGTAATTGTGGTAACCAGAGGCTAGGAAAGGTAGGGGAAGGAGGGGATGAATAAAATTTGGTTAATAGGTACAAAAATACAGTTAAGATAAAAAAATGAATTGTAGTGTTTGTTAGCAAAATAGGGTGATTACATTTTACAATAATATAGTATATTTCTAAATAGCTATGATAAAAGATTTGGAATGTTTTCTTTAATTTGTTAATTTACTAAAAATGTAAAATGAAAATTATCATTAACTCTATGCAATAGTAAATGTTAGAGGTGTTGGGTATGCTAGTTACCTTGATTTGATCATAACACATTGTATGCATATATCAAAATATGACATGTATCCCATACATTTTATGGATCAACTATTATGTATCAATAAAAACACTTCCTAACAATACACATACTGTAACTTTTTTGTGGAGGGCGGGCACTGGATTTAGAAGTGAGGTCAACTAACACTTTGAAAAAAAAATTTCACTGTGCCAGAAGTTTTCTTTTTCTGTAAACCCTAGCATGTCTTGTTACCTATTACAGTTCTTTTAAAAAAATTCTCCAATAAAAAAGAAACACGAACAACTTTTTTGTTTATTTTATTTGGTTAATACCTACAAATGTGTGTATGGGGAAATAATAAAAGCGAGAGAGGACATTTGATTACTAGACTGTCAAAAATGCCAAGAGTGGTCTCTGGGTGGTTGTGTACAGGTTGATCAATGAACAACACCAAGCTTTGGTCCTGAACAGAGGGTAGCATCAACCTGAAAGAGGTAGCAGTGCTGTACATATTTGGCATATCTGCAAAAGCTGTGCAGCAGCCCAGATGTGACATGCTTTTTAAATCCAGATACAGATACTATATGAGCCAGTGACATCCCTGGTAAGAACTCAAGCAGAAGTATAAATAAAGCCTAGAATATGTACCTGGGTTCTCAGTCATGTTAACCAAATAGTGACAATTTTTTCTTTATTTTGTACCATGTGGAAAGCAATCTTCTCAAAACCATTTGAACTCTTTGTGTGTACACAGTGATCTTTGTCATCTCTACAACATAATAAAAATGCAACTAAAACATAATTTATCAAAATTTGAGTACAGCACAGCTAAAACAAATAACAAGTAAAATCCATAAAACTTTTGTCATTTATCTTTACATATTTTGCATTCAAGTACCAGATGGTAGACGCCAGATAAAAACAATGCAGATGAATTCTTCCCATTCAATTACAAAGTCTTCTGATCTAATTCAGATCTCTGAAATGCAGTTAACTTAGAGGAGACAAAATGCATATTTCTGTTGGAGATAACACCTCAGTGTAAACAAGCTTTAGTTCATTTTTCAATGGTCAATCAAATAAGTCAATGCAAATAAAATGACCAGTTATGAAAACCTTTCTCATTTTTATAGGAAGAGTCATGATGCATTTTGTAATCACAACGGAAAGACACTAAGTGAGTTGAGGATAGATCAAGCTTGTAGAAATGTAAAGAAATATCAAATCATGTCTTTGCAGCAACAAATGGATGGAGCTGGAGGCCATAATCCTAAGCAGATTAATGCCAGAACAGAGAACAAACACTGCATATTTTCACATATAAGCGGGAGCTAAGCATTAAGCATACATGCACATAAATATGGGAACAACAGACCCTGTAGACTACCAGATGGTGGGTGGCCTAAAAAACTACCTACTGGGTTCTATGCTCACTACCAGGGAGACTGGATTCATGTTCCAAACCTCAGCATCATGCAATATTCCCACGTAACAAATCTGCATATGTACTCCCTGTATCTAAAATAAATTTGATTTTTTTTAAAGTAAAGAAACTAACTGGTAGAAAATGCAAAAATTTGACTAGGTAAATAGCAGTTTAATTTTATCAAGCAGAAACAGAGAGAAGTCCTTAATTGAGTTTTTTTGCTTATATAAAAGCTTGAAAATTAGCCAGTTCTCAAAAAATGACAGATATTCTCAATGATTTTATTGAGTGGTTGCATAGAAAGAGATAAGCAGATGTAAAGAAATAATACTTCCAACCTCTAAGATATTCATGAGCTGTATTTTTCAAGTATTGAGTCGGCACAGAATAGATTTTATTTTTTTCTTTAATTTATTAAAAGTATAAAGAGAAAATTATCATTACCTTTTTATGACTATTCTAATTTTTAAGAACTTGGAATTATTTTATACGTGTCTCTTATCATAAACACATTTTGTAATGAGTCTCATTATTTTAATTGTGGCTTTCTTACTCTCTATCCTCTGTGTCCAATCAAAGTTATTGCGCTGATATGCATGCATCCTACCCTTTATTTTCTTATATATGCATCTATTCATATATGGATATATGGCCATATATCACTTTAATCTTACACAAATAAAATTATATTGCATATATGTTTCTACTTTTAACTTTTCTCATTCAGTAATACATCTAGAAGTTCATTTCAAAATTTTTATCTCATTATATATGCATAATTATGGAAGTATATATATTTATACACTTAAATAGTCAAATATGTCTCTCTTTTTTAAAACATTCTTATTCTGCTACTTATTCTCACATATCTCTGAGCACGTTACGCTTGCCCTTGCCTCAGCTTACCTTGCCAGTTTTTCCAGCAATGTCCTTTGCCTTTCTCTTTACCTGGCAAATTCATATTTGTCCATCAAGAACCATTTCAAATGTCATCACAGGTTTATAGATATATCTCACTATGTTCCTACAGTGAGGTAGCTTATGCGGCCGTAACACGTGTGCATTGTGCCATCATATACTATTACACAACTTACCATATCTGACATGTAATTACCCATTTGCATGCCTTTGTCTAAGGTAGAAGATTTCTTTAATGACAAGAATTGCATTTTATTCTTATTGTATCCCTAGTGTCTTTAACAGTTATATTTTTTATTTTGTGGTAGACAGCATCACTTTCATATTGGATATTTGAAATTTAATGACATTTAAACTGGACAAAATGAGATGGAGAAAGGAGAAAAAATACATTAGGTATTTAACAAGATTGAAAAGTCGAGAAGGACCTCTTCAAAGAGAATTGCAAACCATTGCTCCAGGAAATCCAACAGGACACAGACAAATGGGAAAAATTTCATGCTCATGGATAGGAAGAATCAATGTTGTGAAAAAGACCATACTGCCCAAAGTAATTTGTAGATTTAATGCCATTCCCATTAAACTACCATTGATATTCTCCACAGAATTAGAAAAAAAAATTTTTTTAATTCATATGGAACCAAAAAAATGACTGAATAGCCAAGAAAACCGTAAGCAAAAAGAACAAAGATGGAGGCATCACCCTACCTAACTTCAAACTGTTCTACAAGCCTACAGTAACCAAAACAGCATGGTACTGGTAGAAAAACAAACACATAGATCAGTGAAACAGACTAGAGAACTCAGAAATAAGACCACACACCTACAACCATCCGATCTTCAAAAATTCTGACAAAAACAAGCAATGGGGAAAAAATTTTCTATTTAGTAAATGGTGCTGGGAGAAGTGACTAGCCATATGCAGAAAATTGAAATTTGACCCCTTCCTTACACCTTATACAAAAATTAACTCAAGACGGATTAAAGACTGAAATGTAAAACCTCAAACCATAAAAACCCTAGTAGAAAATCGAGGCAATACCATTCAGGACATAGGCATGGGCAAAGATTTCATGATGAAAATGCCAAAAGCAATAGCAACAAAAGCAAAAATTGACAAATGGGATCTAATTGAACTAAAGAGCTTCTGCACAGCAAAAGGAACAGACCACCTATAGAATGGGAGAAAATGTTTGTAATCACCATCTGGCAAAGATCTAATATCCAGAATCTACAAGAAACTTAAACAAATTTACAAGAAGAAAACAAACCACTTCATTAAAAAGTGGTCAAAAGACATGAACAGACATTTCTCAAAAGAAGACATACATGTGGTCAACAAACACGTGAAAAAAAGCTCAATATCACTGATCATTAGATAAATGTAAGTTAAAACCACAAGTAGATACCATTTCACACCAGCCAGAATGACTATTAATAAAAAGTCAAAAAAAAAAAAAAAAAAAAAAAAAAAAACAGGTGCTGGCAAGGTTGTGGAAGAAATGGAATGCTTTTACTGTTGGTGGGAGTGTAAACTAGTTCAACCATTGTGGAAGACAGCATGGTGATTCCTCAAAAACCTAGAAGCAGAAATACCATTTGACCCAGCAATCTCATTAGTGGGTATATATCAAAAGGAATATAAATCATTCTATTATAAATATATATGCACCTGTATGTTCATCGCAGCACTATTCACAATATAAATTGGACATTTAACTTGGACAAAATAAGATGCAAAGACATGGAATCAACCCAAATGCCCATCAATTATAGACTGGATAAAAAAAATATGGTACATATACACTGGAATACTATGCAGCCATAAAAAGTAATGAGATTATGTCCTTTGAAGGGAACATGAATGGAGCTGGAAGCTGTTATCCTCAGCAAACTCATGTGAAACAGAAAAGCAAACACCACCTGTTCTCACTTATAAGCGGGAGCTGAATAATGAGAACACATGGACACATTGCAGGGAAGAACACATACTGGGTCCTGTCAGGGGGTAGGGGTTGGGGAGAGCAACAGGAAGAATAGCTGATGGATGCTGGGCTTAATATCTAGGTGACGGAATAATCTGTGCAGCAAACCACCATGGCACATGTTTACCCGTGTAACAAACCTGCACATTCTGCACATGTACCCGGGAACTCAAAAGTTGAGGAAAAAAATTAAAAAATAAAAAGTAAAATATATAAACCTTATGATATTAGTTGTGGGCTTGTAAATACAAAATAATAGAAAAATATAAACTTAAAGTGAAATAAATTATATTAAAAACAAGTTGTTAGGAGGAAAATTACAGATTATATGTACCGCCATGCTGTTTTGATGACTAAAGTAAATCATATTTATTTCAAAAATATGTAATATACAATGAATGAAACAGTTATCATCAATAATGCCAGCACATAAGGCATGTCACGAGAATATACATATTTCTTATCTATAAATAAATTCATTAATTAAGAAACTAGAAAAAACATTTATATATATATATATATTTCTAATTAAAATATTCTTTATCCTGAAATACACTTAACATGTATTCACATGCTATTACTTTTAGTGATATTTAAAACTGCGTATTCTGGATACAATATAAATTATCTGACTATCATACTTTTGTTTGATGCTGATATCATTTAAGTTTATATGATAAATAATGATATCTGCATGCCTGCAAGTCTTCCTTCATAATATATTCTTATTAGTCAGATTATAAGATCAAGTGGTTTTTTTTTTAATTAAAAAATATTGACTATAAGTGACCTGGACTCTGTGATTTTCAGAATCACTGTTCTCATTTTATAGACACGTTTCATATTAGACCTAAATAGTTTTTCCTATTCCAAAAATGACAGATATTAATTATAAGCTTCTTCATTTTGGGGAATATATTATAATACATAAATTAGACATACTGTGTGCATTAAATAAATGATTGAACTAGAGTAAGGATGATAGGCTTTAATTAATTTAATTTAGTAATAATACAAGTGTTCCATAATCTCGTTTATGAAAAGGGCTCTTCAGCATAAACAGGATTTTACATACTTCACTAACTTATTCATTGATGCTTCCCCTTGTAAATAATGTTTGGATGTCAGACAAAATATATACCAGATTAATATTCTTGGGCATAAACCAATTTATTCTCAGACAGAAGTTGATGATGAAATGCAAAGTATAGACATAAGAGGGTCTAGAGTAGAGAAAAAAAAGGGAAAGTCTAAAGGCTATTTAATTGTGTTATGGATTTTCCCATCTTTATCCAACCTAATTCAAATAATTGGCAAGAATCTGGTAATACTTATGACTCAGCTGGGACACAAATACCATTAATTTTGCCTGATAATCCTGTCTTGTGTCCATTTCCCAGCACATATTTATCACAAAGCAGTCCTGCAGCATCAGCTACGAACCTTTCAAATTAAAGGCTTTGTTTTTTATGTACTTATTACCTGAAAAGTCAGATGAAAGGATTGTGCTATTGTGAGTATCCAGTTAACATATTTATCTGCAATTATTTCCCATCCACTGTACTTGAGGTTCAATATAAGTCATACATGCTAATAAGCCCACTCAATAGTAGAATGGCCTTTCCTTTTATGTAAAATTATTTTTAAAAATCAATAGTAAAAAGTAAACACGTAGATGCTTCTCAAAAAAGACTCTTGCAAAGGCCGATAAATAAATTGAGCAAATGAAAAATTGCTCAAAATCTTTACTCATTGGGGAAATGTGAATTGGTTCTATAATGAGGTATTATTCGACTTCCAGGGTCATACCATTAAGAGAATAGCGAATACCAAAGGCTGGTAAAGATACAGAATAACTGGAATTCTCAGATGCTGCTAGTGAGTATCTAAATTTATGTAACTACTTTAAAAAACTATTTGGCAGTGTCTACTTAACCTGAATGTGTAGACATATGAAACAGGAAATCAAGCTCTAGGTATATGCCTAACAGAAATGAGTGGTTCTGCCACCAAAAGATAAGTTTTAAAAGTCTTAACAGTTGTGTTCATAATAACCCAAAGTTAACCCCATAATCCTTACTAATAGTAATCAAAAGAATGAAGTATTCCCGTATGCAGTAACATGTACCACTCTGAAAGCCATCACGTAGAGCAAAACATATATAGAGAGAGGAAAAAAAGCCAGTTACAGAAGTTTACATACTATATGTTTTCAGTTATATGAGAGTCAAGAACAGGCAAAACCCATCTATGGTGATAGAAATTAGAATAGTAATTACCTTTGAGGGAGTATTCACTATAGGTTATGTTTGCTTCAACTTAGTTGTCCTAGTGGACAGAATATTATAAATTAGCCAGGAACCTCTGAAGTATTTGCTCTTTGAGAAATCATGTAAAAATTAATCAGGGAAACAACTGAAATGGCCTTCAGTAGGTGATGAATAAATGAGGTACATCCAGACAGTGGAATATTATTCAGTGCTAAAAAGAAATGAGCTATGAGGCCATGAGAAGTCATGGAGGATACTTAAATTATATTACTATGTGAAAGAAGCCAATCTGAAAAGGCCACGTACACGATTCCAATTATATGACATTCTGGAAAAGGCAAAACTAGAGAGATAGTAAAAAGGTCTGTGACTTCCAGGTGATAGCAGGTAGAAATAGATAACAAAGAGAGTATAGAGGGTTTTTAGGTTGGTAAAATTACTCATTATGATTCTGTCATGGTGGACACATGTCATTATACATTCGTCCAAACCCATGGAATATACAATGTCAAGAGTGAACCCTAACATAACTATGGACTCTGGGTGATAATGATGTATGCATTAGTGTAGGCTCATCAGCTGTGACAAATGTACCCCTAGTGGAGGAGGCTGATTACAGATGGGAGGATGTACACCGGTGGGGGCAGGATGAAAACGGGAAATCTCTGTGCCTTCTGCTCCACTTTGCTGTGAACCAAAAACTGCTCTACAAATAAAGTCTACGAAAGAAACCCCACACAACTGTTAAAGTTGACAAAGAAATATCCAGAGGACACAGTGACTGTAACTTCGTAAGCAGTTCAGAAGACATGAGATGCATGAGGCAAGAAACATAGGTACTGCGTAAAGAATAGTGTTCAGATTCACAGGCTTGTTTTGTTTCTATGTCTTTGTTTTTGTTGTTATTGTTGGATGCAGAGCTATTAACACAAACTCTCAATAATATTTAAATAAAGGACTTAATACATACAGTCAAATGTCCTGAACACATCTCTGGTTTTGTCCAGATCTAAAAATACGGATGATATCGTTATTAGCCAAAAATAATCAAATATTTAAAAGTCACTTGAGGACTAATTTGGTATTAGAGTTTCATCTTATGTTTCCTCTTTAAATACTATGTAGAAAGGCAGCACTCTGTTTTACACAAGCCTCCAGTTGTCCTTTTATCTGCTAATCCAAATTTGGCCTGAAAGAAATGTTATTTGGTAAAGAGGAATCTAGGAAGGTATCAATACCAGGGGAAAATAATGTTGAACCAAAAAGATAGGCTTGTCATGGGCAGATAGGAGTGATAGAAACAGAATGTATAGTTTTATCTTTATCTTTTGACATTTGGTTATCACACTACACATTTGATTTATATTAAGACTGTGTGCTTGGCTGGGTGCTGTGGTTCAGGCCTGTAATCCCAACACTTTGGGAGGCCAAGGCCAGCGGATCATGAGGTCAGGAGTTCGAGACCAGCCTGGCCAATATGGTGAAACCCCATCTCTAGTAAAAATACAAAAATAATCGGGGTGGGGTTTCGCGCCTATAGTCCCAGCTACTCGGGAGACTGAGGCAGGAGATTCGCTTGAACCCGGGAGGCGGAGGTTGCAGTGAGCTGAGATCACTTCACTGCACTCCAGCCTGGGCGACAGAGAGAGATTCTGTCTCAAAAAAAACAAAAAAACAAAAAACTGTGTGCTAAATCCAATACCATGGCATAAACTGATTTTTACAAATGAGTTATTTCATGTTTTATAGTTTTTTTCATTCATTATCATATGGTCAGCAATTTTATATATTGAATCTCAGTAAGATATATTTACTTTTCTGTTTTAATTTTCAACTTTAAACATTTAATCGTTTCCTTTGCACTTAAAAAAATTACACCTACATGATTAAGTGGCAAGATCACAAGGCTTGTGATTGGAAAATGATGTTTGAAGTTTCAACATCATTCCTTGCACTGTTAAGCAGTCTTGACCCTTCTAAGTTGGTTGAAATCATTAGCCTTTTTCTTAACTTGTTTTTGACAATGTTTAAGCCCTTTTAATTATCTGATGATTTCAGTATATATTTGCTAGTTCAGCAATTCAATTCTTTTTGGATCCTTTCTCTGCCTGGCTGTGCTATACAAGCCTGATACCCAAATGTTTTTCTGAACAAATCTCCACATAATGTGTGTACAATAAACTTTCTTCCAACCTGAAATTGTTTAATGCCACAGTTCCATTTCTCTCTGAAATCAACACAAACTGAAATGATGTGTCTGCTTTTAAAACGTCTTTTGAAGAAAATTATAAGTAGTATAATCACAAGCTTTACATTATTTGAAATAATTCTATTAAAAAGAAAAGTGATAAAGTATTTAATGATTAAAATAAAAAAGTTACAAATCTCAGATGTTTTTAAAGTCTAAAATTTCAAAGTGGTATTATTTATAAGAGGAAAATAAAGGAAAGAAAAAGAATCTCAATGATAGAATCTAGTTCATAGGGCCTCTGAACGTACCGATTTGAAAATTTTATTTTTATTTAATGAAATTCTGAGGTGTCTGTTTGTTTATGTGTGTGTACATTTTATCAGTTTCATTTCTGTAAACTTTTAATCTCTTCTTCAAAATAATATTTTAATCTTATTTAAATTATTAGTTAAAGCCTCAAGATGTCTTTCTCTATTACAACTTTGTGTCTTATTACTTGAGTTTTATTATTAAGACTCAGATTGTTTTTCTGTGTGTGTTTAGAAATATTTTGGTCATATCAAGATAGACATCAGCAGCAGGGGCCTGTTTTCTTGTCATTCAAATGAAACATATCATTTAATATTCAAAATAATGTTGATTTAGGGAATAAAATGGAAGCAATATGAAAGAAACACCTTAGGAGTCTTATAAGTAGATTTCAACTCTTAAGGGAAGGATCATGGACAATAGTTGAGGAAAAAACAGCTTTTGCGCAGTGACAGTGCAGTAGTAGTTCCAGTTATCTGCTGTTTCTCTTCCAGGGACCTACCTTAACATATATTAACATGCCTCACTCTACACCCTACCCAATTTTTCTTCATTACTACCATTAATTAAATCTTAGCTTAATATTTCCTCTAATATATTCCAATAAAAGGCAGTGCCAAGAAGAGGCTTGAAGGTGGGGTCTTAATTCATCCTCTTCAGAGGCTGACAAAGACCTCCCCAATAGTATAAAATTGGAATAAATGAACTCTATTTTCTAAATATAGTTTTCAAACGATTTTCTTTATCTGCCCCCAAATCCCACTTTCATACTCCTAAAAATCTACTGTGAAGAAATCTTAGCCCTATTTATTGAGTTGTAATTTCTATTCAAGTTACGTGATGCCAAAGACAATGAGGATTCCAGAAATTTTGCATAAGAGGGATTTTAGAAATGGCAATCATAAGAGAGTGTGGAAAGGAGAGAAAATAGAAAAGAGAGTGAAGGACAGAAAATTATATGTAGACTACTTTTTTTTTTTTTTTTTTTTTTTGAAACAGAGTCTCACTGTGTCCCAGGCTGGAGTGCAATGGCACATTCTCAGCTCACTGCAACATCACTGCAACATCTGCCTCCCGGGCTCACACCATTCTCCTGCTTCAGCCTCCCGAGTAGCTGGGATTACAGGCGCCCGCCACCACTCCTGGCTAAGTTTTGTATTTTTAGTAGAGACTGGGTTTCACCATGTTGGGCCAGGTGCGGTGGCTCACACCTGTAATCCCAGCACTTTGGGAGGCCAAGGCGGATGGATCACGAGCTCAGGAGTTGCAGGGTACTTTTTATGCCTCTTTACCTAATGTTGAGAAAAAGTCATGCATTTTTAGTAGATAGTTATAAAAAATGCAGAAAGCACTTAATTGAAGAAAAAAAGGTTTGTTTTGTTTGTTTTAGTCTGTGACAAATACAATTATATCTTCAGTGCCTGCTCAGAAAATTACTTTTACCCTCTTGCCCTGTCTACGAATGGTTGAAATCTAAAGACACTCTTTTTAACATTTTTCTCAAGAGTTGAGATTTCATTTACATATTTTTAATCATAACCCAGATTTTTTTCTTAGAAGTTCATATTTTAGGTTTTATATTTCTGTCTATGATTCACGTTGAGGTAAGTTTTCTGTATAGCATGAGGTATTCATCAAAGGTCACAATTTTTTTGCAAATTGATATCCAATTGTTTCAGGAAAATTTGTTGAAAATAATATTTTTTTTTCCTACTGAAATGTCTTTGCATCTTTGTAATGAATTATGTGACAATATATATATTCTATTTCTGAACTCCCTACTCTGTTCAATTGATGTATTTGCCTGTCTTTTAGGCAAGTACACTGTCATGGTTACTGAAGATGTAAAATGTCTTAAAATATAGATGAAGTGAATCTTCTAATTTTGTTCTTTTTAAAGTTTTTTTTGTTTTCTTTTGTTTTGTTTTGGCTACTCTGAGTCCTTTGCCTTTCCAAAATAATTTTGGAATCAGTTAGCTAATTTCCACAAATAATCCTGAGATTTTAATGGGTACTGTGTTGATTTATAAGTAAATTTTGGGAAAATTGACATCTTATTTTCAGAAAGTATTTTAACCCATGAACATGGTATACCTCTTTTTTAAATTTAGGTATTTAAAAACTTTTTCACAGAACTATGTTTTAGTTTTTAGTGTAAGTTTCTTTCGCAATTTGTGTTATATTCATCCCTAAATATTTTATGTTTTTATGCTATTAAAATCATTTTTAAACGTTATTATTTTAAATTTCTAATACTTCTTGCTGATACTCAAATTTATTTTTGTATATTGATCTTGCAACAGAACACTTACTAAACTCACTTATTAGTTATAATTTTTTAACAGATTCTTCAGGTTTTCTACATAAACAAGGCAGTTTTTGAATAAAGACAGCTTTATGTCTCTCTTTCCCATTTAGATGCTTTTCCTTTCCTTTTTCTTTTTCCTTGACTTATTATATTGGCTCTAACCTCCACTATAATGCTGAATCGAAGTGATGAGAGAGGACATTCTTGCTTTTCATTAAACATCAGGAAAAAACCTAGGCTTTCACCATCATGTATGTAAGCACTCTAATACCAGAATAGAAATTATGACACCTTTGCCTTCTGGATTCCATTTTTCTGTACATGTGATACTGACTGTTAATTTTATTTATTTATGAGACAGAGTTTTGCTCTTGTCGCCCAGGCTGGAGTGCGATGGCACAATCTTGACTTGCTGCAACCTCCACCGTCTGGGTTCAAGTGATTCTCCTGCCTCAGCCTCCCGAGTAGCTGGAATTACAGGTGCCTGCCATCACACCTGGCTGATTTTTGTATTTTTAGTAGATGGGGTTTCACCATGTTCACCAGGCTGATCTTGAGCTCCTGACTTCAGGTGATCTGCTCACCTCGGCCTCCCAAAGTGCTGGTTACACAGAGGCATGACCCACCATGCCCAGCCTGTTAATCTTATTTTGATACTTTGAAGTAAATGTGCCTTTGCTCTCTGAGTGTATTTTTATTTCTCTTTGTCTTTGGTTTTAAGTAATTTTATTATAATGTACTTGGCTGTTATTTCCATAGTATGTTCATAGAGTTCATGAATCTGGAACTTAATGTTTTCTCTCTGTTTCAGAAAATTCTCAGCTACTAGCTTTTAAAATTTTGTATCTTTCATATTCTCTCTCTTAACCTTGATCATATTTTCTGATTTTTTTTTGCATTTTTAATACATCTTTTTTTCCCTGACATATGTGTTGATCTTCCTTTGTTAGTTAACATCTCTTATTTGCTCATTGTTTTCTTCCATTCTTCTAAAGTATTGTTGATATACCTCTTAATTTTAATAATTTTTGGTGTTACATTTTGAAGTGCAAGGAGTGAAAATGCCCCTTTTTATATTATGATCATAAAATATAGTCAGAATTTAGTCGATGCAAATTTTAAGGGTTTTGCATTGCCTTCGATTCTTTTAAATTGGTTTATACTGTATCAGTCAATTTTCTATGTAAAGTTAATTGGTGGGAAAATAAAAGTTTGGTTTAATATCATTCAAGTTAGTTGAAAATTTGAGAAAAATAGACTTCAATACTTACGTAATCAAAATACTGGTTATTTTTTCTTTCTGTAGTATGCCTTTTAAACTGCGGTAATCAAAACAAAAATTCTGTTGTATTTCATGCAAAATATTTTTATTATATTCATTGTTTTAATCAATAAACACTGATTTAACACCTAATTTGTGTCAGCATACACAATACACACTCTCTCACGTTAAGGAATGTGAAGACTAAGGGATGATAGAGGGACATTAAGAGAAAATTGTAGGGTAATAGAGGATAATTATTACAGTCTGAAATATGGCTTATCTCATTTAGTCCTTAAGAAAAACATATTTGGCTAGAAGGGGGATTATTATGATCAACTTTAAAAAAAATTCAGTAAGACAGAATGTTAGTTGATTTATGGATTTCTACTAGAGCAAGAAATCAATGCAGGAATTTTGATATGAGGCCAAGTTATCTTTATTCCACTTGAAAAATAGTAGAAGCAATTCATATTTATGGTCTGTCATCTTCAAATGTCACCCAGTACTTTAAGACTCTTTAAATAAAATGTGAAAATCAGGATTGAAAGTAAATTAATAGAGGCTAGTTATATTATTCTAGTACCTCTTGGAAGGGCATTCACTTCTTTAAATCCATGTATAATGGATTAACTTTATTATGTGATGTTGCCTGTAACAAAAATCTTAAAAATATGGCTCTTTTTATGGCTAAATAAGTAACTTTAAAGTTATTTTCAAAAGTCATGTGGATAAATATGTTTTAATATACAATTTACATATTAAAAATTAAATAATCATAATTGATACTTTTTTGTGGATAGAGTGTTGATTGATATTCCAGGAATATGCATTAAGTTAAATGTTAAACCTTTAATCAAAATTGGAATGGGCTCATTATCTAAGATCATACACCTTCATAAACTTAAAAATAGCAGTTTAATAATTTGAACTGTTGATTGTAAAGTAGAATGATAACAATGTAAGTTCCATAGGCTTATCGATATTTTGATTTTTTTACTTTCTTTAAATAGCGTTAATTTTTAGCCTAATACACCGTGTTTCACATGATGGGTGCTCAGAAAATATTTCTTAAATATTAGAAAGAGAAGAGCAGTCCTTGACATCCAAGAGTTGTCCTGATAATATCAGCCAGGACTTGATTTTGCTTTGAGCTGGCAAGGCCCTCACAGCTAGGCCTTGGCGTTCTCCTGTGAACATAAACTATGGCCCAGAATATCAATATCAGACAAGTCCACTTTGTGGCTACAAAGGATTAAGGTAAAATCAAGACATTGTAACCATGTCTGAACTCAGAAAAAACATTAAAACTACAAAAATAACCAAGTTTATCCCCTCGCTGGATAATGTGAGTGATTCATGCTTCTTTACCAATTATGGCTTTACCTTTGGTCTCGTGTTTCTTCCTTCTAGATAAGATTTATTAAGATACCCAATTGTACTGTTTTCTCTGCTTCCTGACAAGATCCAATTCAGAGCAAAGCCTCACTTCCTCAAATCATCAGTAAAATCTCCCAATAGAAGCACAAATCATATAGCATGTTTTTCCTAATACACTTTTACTGGAACATACAATTTTCCCCGATATTGTATGGTATCCCTTTGAAATAAGAAGTAATAAATTCCACTTGTTAAGCTACAGATGTGTTCTGGGTGTTCTTTGGCTTAGCTAGAGAGGACTAATAAAATGTGATTTTTAGGTACTAGACATTGGCATGTATTTATTGATGCTCCCATTTTCTCTTCATTTTCTTCTCTCCCTTCCTCCTTGTTTCTCTCTGTCTCTCTCAATCCATCTACCTCAACATACTTATGTAAACAAACAATACAACAAACATTCAATTTTACATAAAAGTAGACTTCTAAAAATGTTCACAACTCTACCGACTTTATCATAGAATTGCTAATTCTCAATGTAACTATGTGCTCTAAGAGAAAGATCAATAGTATTAACTTGTAAACAGTGATGTCTTGTTAATGAATGTCATCAGTTTGATTAACTATTGCCAATTGCAACTCATTTGTAAAAAGTAAATGGCAACTTATGGAGCATCTGGCTCCAAAGGTCAGTCACAGCAATTGTTCATAAACAGGTACATGAAGTCAATCAGGAACTATGCTTCAGAGTGTGAAATAAGCATGCAATCACTTGTTTAAAAGCAATGGCACAAAGACAAAAGGGATGCCACCTCACATACATATGTCCTGAGGAGAAAAGTGAGAATAATTGATAAAAGTTGGCACTTTGTACTAAGATCCCATGTGTGGTGATTATTGTCATTTGTGAAGACAATTTATAGAGCTGTTTTTTTTTTCCTCTCTCTCCACTTCTCTGTATCAACCCCGACCCCGCCATCCTACTTTTGATTTGTCTCTTGTGCAATATTTTTTGGTATATATAGCAAAAGTTGAGAGTAAAATATGCTGAATTGTCTATCCAAGCATGTTGATAATTTTTAGAAAACATGAGAAATATTTCTAACTAAATTGTTTCACAATGCAACCAAAAGTAAATGATTAAATTTGTCATCTGAAACTATTTCATAAAGAAGAAAGTTGTTGTAAATAGTTTTCCCCCAAATATGTTAATGGGATAATGAATAAAGCTTATTACTTCAAACAGCCACACCATTCTACTAAAGTTATTTGAAAATGAAAAGCAGTCTTTGGTGATTAATCATTCATTACATATGATGAATGCTCTCTGATGTGGAATCTTCCTTCTTGTTCCACTTAAATATAAACAATCATGTTAGTGTACACTTTTATGTAATGTCTTACTCAAAGCTATTTCTTTTTTTTTTTTTTTCTGTACAACTGAGAAAAATGACTTGTGGGTAAAGACCTAGCGTGAAATGTGCCACAATGGAAAATAATCTAGTTTATGCATGCATTTTTCTTAAAGGCCTATGTCTGTCTGGAAATTCTCTGTGGAAGAATGTGCTATTTTTTCCAGTGATTTCTATTTATCATTGAGATGTGGAACACCATTGGCAATTTAGGGAAGACTAATGTCCTACAGGTTAGAGACCAACAGCAGGAGTTGCTCCCATAAAGACAAATGTTCTAAAGATTTATCTGTTTACCTACATAATTTTTTCCTCTTTAAGATACCTAGGGATTTTTGTGCATCATTTGGCACTGATTTGTAAGATACTGTTGTCAGGAGAGAAAAAAAAGAACATTAAATTTCTCTCATAGAAAATACCTCATTTTCTAGACATTTAGAGAGTAGTAGAACTTTTTTTTTCTTGGTTGTGCATTCCAAAATGATACCACTAAAAGCTAATTATCTTTGAGAATCTAAGTAAATACATTAATGACTTTATTCTGGATTTACCATTGAGAAAACATCAGGCTTGATATTAATAGAGGCAAAAGGCAGAGAAATTCCAGGCTGACAGGGGCAGGTCCCTGGCAAAGCCCCATCTTTAAGCCAAAAGTAGCCTGAAACCTGCAGCCCAAAGTGAAACTTCTATTCTTGTTTGCCTGCTCTGTCCCAAAGACAGAATAATGTCCTTTTACCAACTGAATGTTGCCTTTTCCAAAACTACCTACGGCCTGCCCTGCCCCACCATCCCATGCCTATAAAGACCTGAGACTCAGCCAGTAGTGAGGAGAAGCAGCTGGATGTTGGATAGAGTCAACTTGACTTTAGAGATGAGGGCTGATGTTGGAGAAAGGCAACTTGACTTTGGAGGGAGAGAGGCAGAGAGCCTCTGAAGCCCTTGACTTCAGGGGAGAGCGACCCACCCTTCCTGTCCCCTTTTCAGCTCCCCTCTCCAATGAGAGCCACTTTCATGGCTCAATAAAATTCTCCATATTCACTGTCCTTCAATTTGTTCATGTAACCTCATTCTTATCGGGCACTGGACAAGAATTCAGAACCTACCAAGTGTGAGTACCCAAAAAGGCTGTCACACTGGCCTTTTGCCCTCACTGGGGGAGGGCAGTCACCACACACAAAGAGGCGGGGGGCCCACTGAGCAGATAATACACTGCTCTTCGTGGACCGTGGAGCTAGGAAAGCATAGTAGCATGCCTTCTGTGGCCTTGGGATTGCAGGCACCCCAACCAGGACGCCGCTGTAGGGCCTGCACAAAGTTTGCTCCTGCTAGTGCCAATGTGGCTAGCTGGGTCCCATATTCTCTTGCCTTCACACTCCCTCCCATGAAGGGTGGGGTGCAGCAGGCCTTAGTAATGGAGATTGCTCCTGCTGGCGCAGAAGCAGCTGGCTGGTTCCCGTGCTCATTCCCTTGCTTGCTCCCTCCCTCGAGGGGTCAAGTACCATAGGTTGACCATGGGGCATCCCTCTCATGAATCCCACAAAGTGGTCAAGAAAATAGATTGTATCGATATCATTTCAGTACGAATACAAAATTTGAAAATCCTATACTTTTTATATATGTAGAAATGACAACTCATATTGAAATAGATACTGTATAAAATTAGAGTATTTTTGAAAATCAGCTATATAAATTGACATGAAATACACTAGACCTTTTCAAGAAAATCATGTTATAAATAATTGGCACAAATTAGAAATAATTTACCATCTCACTTCCAAAGAAAATACGTAATTATCAAAACCATTTAAATACTTTCTGCCATCGCATCTACTTAAATACATGCAGTGTGTCATATTGTAACATCAATACTTGCATTTAAAAAAAATTACTTTGAAATTCGTTGAGTTTAATACTGAGATATCACTATGTGCCAGGAGTAGAGGAATAGTGGTTATGGCTCATTTACTCCTCATAGAAATAATGTTGGCTGGGTGTGGTAGATCACACCTATCATCCCAGTACTTCAGAAGGCTGAGGTCGACAGATGACTTGAGGTCAGGAGTTCAAGACCAGCCTGGCCAATGTGCTGAAACCCTATCTTCCAAAAATACAAAAAATAGCCGGTCCTAGTGGTGAGTGCCTGTAGTCCCAACTACTTGGGAGGCTGAGGCAAGAGAATTGCTTGGACCTGGGAGACAGAGGTTGCAGTGAGCCGAGATTGTGCCACTGTACTCCAGCCTCGGTGACAAAGCAAGACCTTATCTCAGAAAAATTAAAAATAAAAAGAAAACAGTAACGTGAATAAGAATCTTTTCTTACCTTAGTGTTACAGATGAGGAACTAAGACATGGAAAATTGTTCAAATTTATAGTAAATGTAGTTCTTCAAACATAATGTTATAAAACCTACAACTCTCTAATCCTTCCCTTCTTTTTTTATTTTTATTATTATTATACTTTAAGTTTTAGGGTACATGTGCACAATGTGCAGGTTAGTTACATATGTATACATGTGCCATGCTGGTGTGCTGCACCCATTAACTCGTCATTTAGCATTAGGTATATCTCCTAATGCTATCCCTCCCTCCTCCCCCCAACCCACAACAGTCCCCAGAGTGTGATGTTCCCCTTCCTGTGTCCATGTGTTCTCATTATTCAATTCCCACCAATGAGTGAGAATATGCGGTGTTTGTTTTTTTGTCCTTGCAATAGTTTACTGAGAATGATGATTTCCAATTTCATCCATGTCCCTACAAAGGACATGAACTCATCATTTTTTTATGGCTGCATAATATTCCATGGTGTATATGTGCACATTTTCTTAATCCAGTCTATCATTGTTGGACATTTGGGTTGGTTCCAAGTCTTTGCTATTGTGAATAGTGCTGCAATAAACATACGTGTGCATGTGTCTTTATAGCAGCATGATTTATAGTCCTTTGGGTATGTACCCAGTAATGGGATGGCTGGGTCAAATGGTATTTCCAGTTCTAGATCCCTGAGGAATCTCCACGCTGACTTCCACAATGGTTGAACTAGTTTACAGTCCCACTAACAGTGTAAAAGTGTTCCTATTTCTCCACATCCTCTCTAGCACTTGTTGTTTCCTGACTTTTTAATGATTGCCATTCTAACTGGTGTGAGATGGTATCTCATTGTGGTTTTGATTTGCATTTCTCTGATGGCCAGTGATGGTGAGCATTTTTTCATGTGTTTTTTGGCTACATAAATGTCTTCTTTTGAGAAGTGTCTGTTCATGTCCTTCACCCACTTTTTGATGGGGTTGTTTGTTTTTTTCTTGTAAATTTGTTTGAGTTCATTGTAGATTCTAGATATTAGCCCTTTGTCAGATGAGTAGGTTGCGAAAATTTTCTCCCATTTTGTGGGTTGCCTGTTCACTCTGATGGTAGTTTCTTTTGCTGTGCAGAAGCTCTTTAGTTTAATTAGATCCCATTTGTCAATTTTGGCTTTTGTTGCCATTGCTTTTGGTGTTTGACATGAAGTCCTTGCCGATGCCTATGTCCTGAATGGTAATTCCTAGGTTTTCTTCTAGGGTTTTTATGGTTTTAGGTCTAACGTTTAAGTCTTTAATCCATCTTGAATTAATTTTTGTATAAGGTGTAAGGAAGGGATCCAGT
The DNA here is from genome assembly GCF_000001405.40 of Homo sapiens. Taxonomy (NCBI): domain Eukaryota; kingdom Metazoa; phylum Chordata; class Mammalia; order Primates; family Hominidae; genus Homo; species Homo sapiens. The sequence continues at coordinate 178,709,016 of NC_000004.12, read as the reverse complement.
TTCAGCTTTCTACATATGGCTAGCCAGTTTTCCCAGCACCATTTATTAAATAGGGAATCCTTTCCCCATTGCTTGTTTTTCTCAGGTTTGTCAAAGATCAGATAGTTGTAGATATGTGGCATTATTTCTGAGGGCTCTGTTCTGTTCCATTGATCTGTATCTCTGTTTTGGTGCCAGTACCATGCTGTTTTGGTTACTGTAGCCTTGTAGTAGAGTTTGAAGTCAGGTATCTTGATGCCTCCAGCTTTGTTCTTTTGGCTTAGGATTGACTTGGCGATGCGGGCTCTGTTTTGGTTCCATATGAACTTTAAAGTAGTTTTTTCCAATTCTGTGAAGAAAGTCATTGGTAGCTTGATGGGGATGGCATTGAATCTATAAATTACCTTGGGCAGTATGGCCATTTTCACGATATTGATTCTTCCTACCCATGAGCATGGAATGTTCTTCCATTTCTTTGTATCCCCTTTTATTTCCTTGAGCAGTGGTTTGTAGTTCTCCTTGAAGAGGTCCTTCACGTCCCTTGTAAATTGGATTCCTAGGTATTTTATTCTCCCTGAAGCAATTGTGACTGGGAGTTCACTCATGATTTGGCTCTCTGTTTGTCTGCTATTGGTGTATAAGAATGCTTGTGATTTTTGTACATTGCTTTTGTATCCTGAGACTTTGCTGAAGTTGCTTATCAGCTTAAGGAGATTTTGGGCTGAGACATGGGGTTTTCTAGATATACAATCATGTCAAAATATAGGAAAGAGTAGAGCCTTTACATGGATTTGGTGCAGGGACTTCTCTAGTTTCATGTGTATATCTATCTATTTTTTAGCTAATTAGCTATTATCTCCCTAATAAAAAGTGATCTATTTGATTATTCTTATTTGGAAGATTACAACAGGGAATAAAGAAAAAATCCTCATAAAGAAATAATTTTTCTCCCTCTGATCTCTTTAAGTCTCATCCTCTGAAGATTTTATTACGGAAAAGATGGTCCTTCCATAGCTGGATGACATCCCGACCAAGTGGAAAGTTGTTTACACATCCACATTCCCACCTCTGATGGCATAAGTGAGGCATTTTATGCTCCATGGATGAAAGGCCTGCCGTGCACTGAAGGTAGCATCATTGTTATTACACCCAGAGCCTTTGTTTAAATATCTGTCTTTAAACAACAACTACAAAGCCCATTTAAAACTCACTTTAGTTATGAACATACTAGCAATTTAACTAGAGAATACCCAAATCGCCAATGTATTATTTGTAGGATATAGTTCTGATCCAATCTACACAGATTATTACTGATATCTAAAAATAGTTCAAAGAGATGTGAAATTCAGTCAGTAGAAGGTTAAATAACCAAAAGACAATTATCAAGTGAAGAATCAAACACTGTAATTCAGTAAGACGCTTACACATCAGGAAAAATATAGATGAAACTATTTGCCTTGTATACTACAGTTACAACAATTGTAAACAGTATAAAAATAGTTCCTTGCACTCTAAAATAAAGGTTTTAAGTTGAAATCCATTACAAAGGTTCAAAAAGTTCATGAAGTGAAATATAAGAAATAAACACTTGTGCTTTTTCTAAATGTTTGTTTTGTTTTCTGCTGGAGGGAATCTAGAGCTTTAATCAAATCTCGAAGGTAACTATAACTCTGAAATGTTTATATTCATGAATATAAATGGAGAACGTCCTCGTGACAATCATTACAATTTGCTAGAATAGCAGCTGAAAATTAACATCCTTATGGATATCTGATCAAAAATATTTTCTGCATCTCTAGATTATTAAAAATTACCACATGCTTCTCTAACCCCAACTTACCTATGTTAAATCATAACTGGAAATGGAAGCATGTATGAATATTTAACATTTTTACATGTGTTCCTGTACAACTCAGGTTGTGATCTACTTGACAGTATGATTTGTATTCTTTTTGGCTACTTCTAACTCTCTATATCTCTCCCTAGAAAACTCTGGATAAAAATTGTACATTATCTATTATATGTCAGACATCAAGGATACAGTTATGAAGTAGCAACACAGACCCTGTTCACATTGGACACACAACCTAGCGTGAAAAAACAATTAAACAATTTCCAAATAAAATTAAATGCAGTTGTAACGAATGACATAAAGGAGAAATATCAGATTTTATGCCAGTACATAATAGAGTCTTAACTATAAAAAGAGTGGAATGATCTCAGCATATGGGAATAAGTTTAGATAAAAAAGAACGTGCTTTAATGGACACTATACGTAAGCTCAAGTAACCTGAAAAATTGTTCAAATTCTCACCTAATTAATTTCAAACATATTTTTATTTATACAATTACTATGTCAACGTATCATCCAATATCACCTTCCTGCCTGATGATGGACTCATCCATGATGTCTTCGTCAGACTGTGTACTTCTTTGTGTTTGATTTCTAGAATATTGGAATTATGATTACTATAATGACCTTCTATCTCTTTCAATATTCATCTGTAAATATACTTACATTCTGATTTTTCCTTCTTAATGTAATTTACATTTTACACTGTTGCTAAGAGACTGTAGTCAAGAGTATATCAAAATACTGTTTAATTAAATGAAGTCTCAAACTCCTTGACCTACTGCCTCAAAATGAAAAGTTATGCAAAAATATCTACAAATGTAATGATTGACATTCCATATTTTGAAATGTTTAGATTTAATATTTCTGCTACTGTTCAGTGTTGAGAAGTTGGTTCAGACTCTATTGTCTTTATCAGTAAATTCCATGCTGCAAAGGCCACAAGATGATATTATTTTTCTGAAATGCACCTTTGCTCTACTTGCATTTAAAGGGCATGTTGGCACCAATAACTTTTCTAAAAGCCTGGAGTATACTGTACAATATACTAAGCTATTGTACATTTGTTACAGCTTTGGTATTTATAAATAATGAGACACTGAGACGGTTTTTGTGTTTCCAAAATGCAATTTACTAAATGAGTAATTTGTACGTTGACAAGAAATTCTCATGCCAAAAACCTCTAAATAGAACAAAACCATAATAATACAATGTGTAGCTTTTCGAAAAATATTGAAATTATTAACAAAGGCCAGCATGGTGGCTCATGCCTGTAATCACAGCACTTTAGGAGGCTGAGGCACGTGGATCACTTGAGGCCAAGAGTTCAAGACCAACCTGGCCAACATGGTGAAACCCTATCTCTATTAAAAATACCAAAATTAGCCAGCCTTGGTGGTGTACACCTGTAATCTCAGCTACTTGGGAGGCTGAGGCACGAGAGTTGCTTGAACCCAGGAGGCAAAGGTTGCTATGAGCTGAAGGTTGTGCTCCAGTCTGGGTGACAGAGAGACTCTGTCTCAAAAAAAAAAGAAAGAAATTCTTAACAAAAATAAATCCTTTAAAAGAAAGAGAGTTATATAAATTTTTTTTAAAGAAACAATCAGCCAATATTGGCATTTCTGAGACTTTAATTACAACTTGTAATCGTTTACACACATTTTCCATTCAAATTTTGACTCTCTAGTTACCTTAGCTTAAAGAAAACAAGCACAGTTTTAATTTTAATCCAATGGAAGATAGGAGGTTGAATGTTGAGAAAAAGTCCTTATCTAAATACTTTATCAAACGCATATTGTACTTTCAATGAATGAAATAGCATGGTATTTCTAAAGGGCAATGAACTTAAGAAAGTTGAGAACATAGGAAATGACAAGATTTTTTTTTTTTTTTTTCTCCCTCCTTTTCTAGCACTTTTGTGGGAGTTTTATTCTTTAAAGTATAATGTGAAATAATTGATTTCTTACTTATTTGTGCCAGGGATTCTGCACATTCTATGGCCCAGATTCACAGATGCCTCAGGAGAAAATCTCTCCTTAGAATTATTGAAAACCCTATTGTGCCTTTATCTGGAGAGTGAGTGGCAGAACTAAAGGCTTTGTTAAACATTTCTATCCTATCTCATAGTTACTCAGACTTCCATCATCTTTTTCTGCAAAATGGGAATAAAAATTGTGTTTATTTCCTACAGTAGATATGAGGTTAACTAAAGGAATCTATGTAAAATAGTTGGCATAATGATTGGCAAAGAAGCCTAATGAATCAACTATTTATTTATACTGTTGTCCAAGTTCACAATTTTTCTACATTTGATGCCATCCCACCTTGAAATTCATGTAACTTTGTTTATAAGAAATCAGCTAAATCTCATTTTAAGCTATTGTGTGCATTAAAGGTAAATCAAATATTTTTGAGCTATCATCTATAAAAACTTGTATAAATTGTAGAAAACTCATTTTAAAAAGGAAATTAGTTTTGATCTACCATATTTATTTACCTAATATTCATTAGGCACCTGCTATGAAAAAAATAAGATTAGTGTGTTAAGAAAACCAGAGTGAATATTAGATACTGTTTTTTTATCAGTCAAAGATTCTCACACAACCTTTTGTGTTACCTTCTCATCCAAGCTGTCAGACGGTGTTGTCTGCTCATATATTTAACTCTCACTTTCTATACATTTCTGGACATTGAAAAGAAACTCAAGATTTCTGGATCATTGTCTTTATTTCAATTCTTCTTTTATTTTATTCCTGAGAGTGGGCCTTGCTCTGTTGTCCAAGCTAGAGAACAGTGGCCAAATTATGGCTCACCTCAGCCTTGACCTCCTGTGCTAAAGCAATCCTCCCATCTCAGCCTCCCAAGTAGCTGGGACCAAAGTGTGCACCACCATGCCTGGCCTATTTCAATTCTTCATTTAGATATACTTTAGTGATTTGAGATGCCTGGAATTCATTTCCAGTGGATACATCCAGTGGAATACATTTCCAGTGTATTAATTTTGAATGAGGGATTTTTCCTACTGAAGTATCGTTATATGTGCACATATATGCAAGCATATATATTATTATTAACTATTACTTGTCCGTTGTGCAGAATAATAGGTAAATTTTGCTTTGAAAGGGAATTTCAATGTATGAAAACCACCATATCTGTTATTAAAACACTAGACTAAGAAACCATAAACATAATAATCATTTATTTAAGATTCCAAATACATTCTAAAATCCTGGGGTTTTTTTTTTGAGTGGAAGAATCATATTGTAGTCAACTCATTCATCCTTGTACTGCACAGCACAGGGATTGCACATAGCAATTTCTAAGTAAAATTAAATAAACAAATATCTGTTCTCCACACCATTGCCTGCCTCTACCATAGGACAAATCATAACATTATTTTGCTTCTTATTCTCTTTCTTCCCATCTTATTTCTTTCTGTCAACCTAATATTTATGACAATATTTTAGATAGCATTCTAAAACATTATTCTGATTATAGCAGTTCAGTAATTAAAAATCCTTCATGTCACCAAATCTTCTCAGGATGTTGTGATAGATTACTTATACAATAGTCCTAATTATAAATTCTTTTCTTGTTACTCTCTCTCTGTAATTCAGACTTCCATTCTCTCAGAATGTCTTAGATTCTGCTCCTCCCCAGGCATTCTCTATTAGAGAAATGAAATATGTATATTCCAGTTGTTCACATCAGAAAGGTGGGATCAAGTTCAATTCCTCTCTTTCCTTCACACCTGAAAAATCAGTCTTTCTTAATGCACTGTGGGCTTGATTTCAATAAATATTCTAAATTGAAACACTTTGCCACCTCCATTGCCACCATTTTATTCCAAAACCTCATCATTCTGACCTGTCATGTAAACTACTATGATAACCTCCTAGGTGGTATCCATACTTCCACTCTTTCTCATTCAGAATACATTTTCCACAGAGTCCAAGTCATCCTTGCCCAACACAAAATTCGATGCCTTTCCAATGTGCTTGGTCTTACATCCAAGGCCTTGTTTTGCCTTGCTGTGTTGTCTTCTCTGATATCACTTCCTCTATTCCATGGTACTCCAACAATACTAACTTTTATCAGTTAAATACAGCAAAGATGTTTCTGCGTCAAAACCATTGCCCTTGTGTTCCTATATCTGGAACAATCATCTCTCAGATATAGGTTCATTTTTTCTCTTAAGTTTCTGCTTAATTGTTACCTTCTTAAAGGCCATTTATATATATATGTGGTTTCTTTGTATGTTTATATGTGTGTATAAAACACATATATATTCACACATATATAGGTGTATGTGCACACATATATAGGTGTGTGTGAGCACATATATGCATAAACATATATAACTATATTTATATTACAATGTATAACTCTTAAAAGATATTTAATTTGTATTATCTAATGTCGTGTTTCTAAAACCCAGCCCAGCGAATTGGTAAAGTTTAGACATTTCATAAAGGAATGGGTGATAGAAATTTTAAAAAAGTAAAGAAAAGAAAGTCGACAGAAAGAAAGATAATATTTATATATGTGTGTGTGTGTTCACTGAATTTCTAAAAACTTGTATTCTGCCTTTGACCAGAAGTTTCTTTGCATATTTTCCTACTTGACTACTGGCTAATTTCCACGCACCTTTCATGACCCCAATCTAATGCTAGTTCCTTTGAAAAGCAATTTCTAACATGAATAGTCACAGTCTAAATTTCCTTGTATCTGTTTTGCCACAACACTTATTTATTTTTATGTTGCATTGTTTTACATAGACGTCTGAGTTTTAGTTCCTTCCCCTCTAGAAAGTGGGCTTTTGCTATAAAGACACATGCACACGTATGTTTATTGCGGCATTATTCACAATAACAAAGACTTGGAACCAACCCAAATGTCCAACAATGATAGACTGGATTAAGAAAATGTGCACATATACACCATGGAATATTATGCAGCCATAAAAAATGATGAGTTCATGTCCTTTGTAGGGACATGAATGAAATTGGAAATCATCATTCTCAGTAAACTATCGCAAGGACAAAAAACCAAACACCGCATATTCTCACTCATAGGTTGGATTGAACAGTGAGAACACATGGACACAGGAAGGGGAACATCACATTCTGGGGACTGTTTTGGGGTGGGGGGAGGGGGAAGGGATAGCACTGGGAGATATACCTAATGCTAGATGACGAGTTAGTGGGTGCAGCGCACCAGCATGTCACATGTATACATATGTAACTAACCTGCACATTGTGCACATGTACCCTAAAACTTAAAGTATAATAATTAAAAAAAAAAAAAAGAAAGAAAGAAAATTTGGAACCCATGTTCTCTTTATCACCTTCCTGCCCGGTGATACCTTTCATAATGAAAGTGATCAATTATTGTTCAGAGAGATTATGAGAATTGAGGTCCTTGCTTATCTTTTTTTTAAGATAAAATAAAAAATATTTCTTCATTGTTTTCCTTGTGACCCTTTTATTACTTAACAACTTCTGTACACAGAAGAGCAAATTACAATGTAAATCAAATCATCTTCAAATATATAATCCATTGGTTTTACAACTGAAAAGATCTAAAAACCTTGAATAAATTTTCAGAGACACAAACATATTTATATAAATACATACATAGTTAAACCCACATATTTAAAAATATTGCTTTTCTCTAATTTTCTTTAATGAAACATCTTGTCCAAGCTTTTTACATGTACTTTAATATCAGCATCCATTATCATAGTGTCACTTCTTGAGTCATCTAACACCATTTACTGGAGCATTATATTTGTCAGGAGTTCAGCTGAGCAGGAAAGAGCTGAGCTGCCAGGAGTTGGGGTGGTTTATTAAGAAAACACCTACCATGAAAGGGACAGGCCAGGCTTTTGTCACTCACTGTGACAGAGGCCAAGCTGGAGAAAGTGTCAACCCTTGACCCCCACTCCGCTCCATTTTTCCTCAGAGAGCAGTGCCAGTGGAGGGCCAGGTGGGTTCTAAGGACTGAGAGTGAAGAAAAGTGTTTGTTTTTTCAATCAAATAGATCTATCAAAACATGAAACCAGATTCACCTTTTTGACTTTTGGTTTTTGATTTCTGATTGTGAGCCATTATTGCTAATCCAATCGCCATTCACTTACCCTATCTGTAATTTGAATGCTCTATAAATATATTTTACTGAAATAGAACAGTGGTTCCTGAGCTAGTCATAATAATAGGTATTATTCATGAGGTTTTAATATTTATGAGCAGCATGTTTGGCATTTTTACAAACATTGTATTAACTCACCGAACATCATAATAACGACATCAGATAGGTACAATTTTTATGACAGTTTCAGACAAGAAAAAACAAAGAGTTAATAGTTACATGTTTTACAAAGATTATTGACTAATGCTAATTTTAGCAAGTGATCAAAAGCTAATGTTAAGTTGTTTGTGTATTTATCTACTGTGAAATAATAATTTAGAGAAGTGTCTATCTGCAGTGACAGAAACTGTTCAATAATATATAAATTCAAATTTCCCTACAAAACTCTAAAATAAGAAGAAATGCCTAGAACAGGGATTCTTTATCCAAGGTTCTGTTCATAGAAGCAGGGTCCAATTATTTCATGTTTCTCAGTATTCAATGTGAGAATACATACCAATTTTTGTCCCCTTACCCCCATCCCTGTAAATGGAATGAACAAAAATCAGAATTAAATTTTTAAATCTTCCATTTCCTGGAGTATTCAATTCTGTCCACACTCCCCCTGCCACAACAGAAACTTTTTTTTCAAACAGTAAGGATGGCATAAATAACCTAGAGTATTTACTTCAAGTATAGCCAAGCATTCTGTGCTGTAGCTTCTATCTGCACTAGAGTGTTTAAAAAGATTTATAAAGAGTTACATATCTTCTATAAATGTCAAAAGATAATGTCCACTATTGGTTTTCAAAACATTGAGGTTTGTAATATAAAATAATGGTTTCTCTGTAATTTTTGACAAATAGTAACATTTCTTAATCTAGTTGAAGCCCAAATGCTCTGTTTTAGAAGCAATTGATAATCTACATTTTCTTGTCAGACTGAGCACTAGATTGCATACGATTTTCTGGCTACTTAGCTAATGGGAGAATGGAATAAACTATGTAGCAGGTCATTTAACTCCTCTTTCTTGTTGGGAAAAATGATAAATTTTGAGACTTGAATCATTATTTAGTGTTATCTTTCATTATTTTGAAATATACTATTAAGTTACAGTGAGTGTTTTGAAATATTTCCAGGAGACACTTAGTGTTATTACAAACACTACTGATAATAGACCATGATATTCAAAGAAATAGAAGGAAAAAAAAGGTGGTTTAAAGTCATATAACTGTAAATAACATGGTCTTACCAGAAAAGTCATCCATCCATCCACTCACTCATTTGTAAAGTGCCTGATGCCACTATAAAATATTACTATGACAGGATGCCATAACAGAATTCTTAAAGATCCCAGAGTTTTGCAGAGTGGTCTCAGTAATGCAAAGATGCTTTACATTTGAGAGCAGGAATATCAGTGTAGACAACAGGCATATATTGAAAATCAAGTAATTGGCAGACACTATAATCTTTCAGACATAACCCAGTCTTTTAACTCATTGCCTGGTGGCAAACAGATTTAAAAAAATGTCAACAATACTATAAGAGATCAGATAAAGTGTTTTGAGAATTTCAAGGATAAGATATAAAAGAAATGCCTAGAACAGGGATCCTTTATCCAAAGTTCTATTCATAGAAGCAAGGTCCAATTATGTCATGTCTCTCAGTATTCAATGTGAAGATTGATTCGTGAGATGTCAAATAAAGAAAATATGAAATCTAATTATGTTTTTTTCAGATTGTCTACTTATTCCAGAATACATGGATCTCTGTCAAAGAAAACTGAAAAAGAAGAAAAACATTATTCATCAAGGTTGTCTAAGTACTTATTAATAGGCAATATTTATATATGGTATCTGACTACTGATCCTTTCAGTACATTTTGGTTTTTCAATTTCCATTCATATAAACAGACAAAAGGAAGACAATAAATAGAATTAAATGGAGTGGAACTGAATAAGAAATAGATATACAAAAGATGATGATACCTGTATTTATTATGAGAGACTATTAATGGTAGCTTCAATTTTCTAAAAGCCAGTAAAGAAAAACAAAACAAAAGAAAAAACATGCTTTTCATGATCAGCTGGAGGAAAAGATACTCTTCCCTTTTTGTTAAATATATTTTTAATTCATGTATACCATAAACACAGAAAAATTCACAAATGTTGTTTGACTGTTAATCAAATGTACACACATGTGTAACTAGCTCAAATCAAGCCCTCAAGAGTCCCCATCGTGTCCCCTTCCTGTTACATACTCAGAGCAAATGCTCTCGCTTTTATGTCATGTACACCCCGTACCTAGCTCCTTTCATTCAGTATCGTGTTTGTAAGATGAGTCCATGTCCAGGCATGTAGTTCCATTGACTTTGTTTTCATTGCTGTATAGTATTCCACAGAGCATGTGGCTCTTTCTGAAGCACAAACTCATCCCTGTTTTTTCATGGGCAGGAGAGGAAGGCTAGCATAGCTGTGAAGAGCACAGGCTCTGCAGGCTGTGTTTGCTCTGCCCCTTACCGTCTATGTGCTCCTGAGCAACCTAATTTTTTGTTGTTAAAATTTTCTTCTCTGGAATGGGAATAGCAGTGTTACCACATTTTTTCTTAGGGGAACTAATTGACAAAAAAATCAAAATGAAAGCATGTTCCTATTCAGGGCAGTCTGTCAAATATGAGTAGCAGCATTAGGGCAAGGATAAACCCCATCAATAGCTTTATGTAAAACTTAAGTGGTCTATTCCATTAACTGGTACTTCAGCACAAACTTACTTCATAGCTTCATTTTATCTCGCTTTTTATATAGACATAAAAATGAAATGTGTGTTATTAATAACTGAAGTACTTTTCTTCTTTTAAAATTTCATAATGATTTTCCAAAGTAAAACAAACTGAAATACTTTACCCAGTTCTTTAAAATAAACCATCGAGCGGTTGAGATATTTAGAATCATGTCCTTCTTTACCTTGGTTTTTCTTTTTAATTTTAATACACAATTAGTACTGACTACCTTTATCATCACCTTTTTAACATCAAAAAGAATTCAAATACTATTCCTAGTCAGCATGTCCTGTTCCCACTCTGGATCATCCCATTAAACATTTTCTTTTTCTTTTTTTTTTTTTTTTTTTTTTTTGAGATGGAGTCTTGCTCCGTTGTCAGGCTAGAGTGCATTGGCACTATTTCAGCTCACCGCAACCTCTGCCTCCCGGGTTCAAGCTATTCTCCTACCTCAGTCTCCCAAGTAGCTGGGATTACAGGCACCTGCCACCAATTATTTGTATTTGTAAAAATACAAATAATTTTGTATTTTTAGTAGAGACGGGGTTTCTCCGTGTTGGTCAGGCTGGTCTTGAACTCCCGACCTCAGGTAATCTGCCCACCTTGGCCTCCCAAAGTGCTGGGATTACAGCCATGAGCCACCGCCCCTGGCCTAAACCTTTTTGTTTATCCACATAGACCTTCAATGTGTTTATATATGTGCATGCATATATACAAACAATAATTTTAGTAAACAATATTTTTAGTAAATATGACATAGAGAGTCATATTTGCCTGATTTTTAATTGTATCAGTCAAAGAGAGACAGGGAGAGAGAGAAATAAAGAGATCAAAATTTTGTGCTAGGCAAAAATCCAAGGTGGCACCAAGATTCTTGCTGCCTAGTGTATACAGTTCTTCTGTCAAACAGTAATTCGGTTGTTCTATGTTGTGGAAAAGCTGTTAAAGACATAATTAAATCTGTGGTAATTTTTAACGCAGAAATAGAAAAATAATACAAATTATGTCCAGGTGCTCCTTTTCATGTCAAAACTTAGAAAATTTAAAAGGGTATTTACATAAAAAGCTCTTCTCCATCCAGGTCTTTCCTCCACATAATAACTGTTCCCCAGACTATGTCCAGACAAAAACAATGTACACACACTACACATTGTCATTTAAACAATAGATACCTATAGAAAATATTTTACAGCTTTAAAAAATTTTCTTTATACCTTGCCAATAACTGCATAGCAAAATATAATCAATCTCTCTATTGTGGAGACTATATTTGCTTCCAAATGTTTACTGCTGCAACAAGTGTGCAATAATAAGCTCTCTGTTGCTGCAATTTAATTGTGAGATTGTCCTTTTATAGTTATGGGGAATTAGCAATCTTTTGCTCTACAGTTGTTTCTCCTAACCATGATTTCACTTCTTACTGTTTCAGTTGCCTGTGGTTAACTATGGTCTGAAGATATTAAATAAAAAATTCCATAAGTAAAGAATTCATAATTAATAAATTGTGTACCATGCTCGGTAGAGTGATGAAATCGCATGTTGTCCAGCTCTGTCCTGGAAGATGAATCATACCTTCCTCCAGAGGTTCCAGGCTGCAGAAGCTCCTTTCTGATTAGCCACTTAGAAGCCCAAACACAAGAGTAGCGATGCTGGCAAAAAAGATATAACAAAGAGAAGTTATAAAGTGTTTTCCCTAAGTAAAAAGGAGAAAATTGTTTTATTTTTTATTTTTTATTTTTTTGAGACAGGGTCTTTTTTTGCCACCCAGGCTGAAGTGTAGTGGGTCAATCACAGCCCACTGCAGCCTCGATCTCCCAGGCTCAAGCAATCCTCCTGACTCCGCCTCTGGTTATCTGGGACGACAGTAGTGCACCATATGGCCCAGCTAATTTTTTGTAGAGATGGGGTTTTGCCATGTTGCCCAGGCTGGTCTCCAACTCCTGGACTCAAGCAACACACCCACATCAGCCTCCCAAAAGTGCTAGAATTACAAGCATGTGCTGTCGTGTCAAGCTGAAATTTCTTTACTTAACAAGAAAAGAAAAATATTTGTATACTGGGGTTGCTAAAACCTACCTTAAGAACAAATCTATCCATAATGATGTGAAGAAAAAAGAAAAAAATTGGTGCTAGTTCTGCTGTAGCACAACAAACTTCAAAAGTTACAGCCACATGCGTGATAAGTGCTTAGTTAAGATGGAAAAGGCATTAAATTTGTGAGTGGAAGGCATCATGGTTTAATTGAGAGCATTCAGATTCAGTATCTAAACAGACCTAACACAGAAAAAGTACAGTAAAAATACAGCATAAAAGACTAAAATATGGCACACCTATATAGGGTAGCTCCTATTATGGCAAAATAGATGTATATACAGTGCATATTTGACAGAGACACCATTATATGATGCATGTCTGTATTTATAAAAAATCTGAAATGGGCATACTTTATGCCAAATTAATTTGTGTTACATAAATTAGTCTTAAAATATTATCTCTGCTTAAACCCAGGAGTTCGAGTTTAAGGTGAGCTATGATTGCGCCACTGCACTCTAGCCTGGACAATAGGTAGACCTTGTCTCTAATAAGTATATTAAAAATTATCTCATTGATAAAATAAATAAAAATGGTAAAGCATCTGATCGGGAAAATGGGCAACAGAAATAAAAAATGGTAGAATAGTCTGTCTTTCTCTACTTGAAATATGTTCCCAAATCCCTAGTGAGTGACACTACTTGGGATGGTAGAATGAACCTGCCTGCCTTATATCAGAATACATTTCTGTTCATGTCTTTCACCCACAAATTTGAAGTCTTTTTAACTGAGCATGTAACATGCTCTGTGGCCATAACTTTTGCAGTTTGAGGTGCAACAGGAGATCTAGCACAATTTTTTTCTTCTTCACAATTTCATGGATAGATTTGTTCTTAGGGTAAATTTTAGCAAGCTCAGTATACATTTTTCCTTTTTGGCTTATTAAGTTGAGAATTTTTACCTTTTCACTGAAATGAAGCACTTTATAGTTTCTCTTTGTCATATCTCAATTGCCAGTATCACTACTCTTGTGCTTTGGGGACGTTATTTAGTAAAATATGGGTTCCTTTAATACAAGTGTTGTGATTCTGGGACAGTGGATCTGATAACCAAGAGGGCTACTGAGTGGCTACTGAGCAGGTAGAGTGGAGATGCTGGACAAAGGGAGAATTCATGTCTTGAGCGGGACTGAGTGAGATTTCCTCATACTACTCGGAACATGGCTCAATTTAAAGTTTATGAATTGTTTATTTTTGGAACTTTCCATTTAATAGTTTTGAACTGTGGTTGACCTCAGGAAACTGAAAACCCAGAAAGTGAAACTGTGGATTAGAGAGGACTACTGTACACTTTATACAGAGTTTTGTCTCCTTAATTTCTAAAGTTGCTTATAGAGCTAGAAGAGTGACTATATAGTCGTCACGCTATCCTGATAGCTAAATGAGAAAATCCAGGCCAAGATATGTGACCTAGTGATTGTTTTGTAGTTGTGTCCTTGTTTTTAATCTTCCTTACAAAGCTACAGGGCTCTTAGGCATTGTGGTTAGTAGCTTATATTTTTAAATTATTATGTCTGTTATGGTTATGTAGATATTAACATATATAAGTTTAATAAACTAATTTGATTTAGACTTAAAATTATAGTCACATTTTAATAAAGAATAATTTAATCAGTAATAAACTGATCTCTGTTACTTTTTTTAAAAAATATTTTATTTGCAGGTTGTCACTTATTTTCTAATGTTTATATTAAAGCAAGAGAATTTTAAGAGTTGATCTTTTGCTCCATTATTATAAAGTGGGTCAATGAATGATAAGACAGATGATAGAATGAACTTTTTCAGAATTGGGATCAAACTGCATATCCTTATCACCAGGGCTTCACTCTACCATCTTTAAAGAGATGTGATATCAATATATCAATACAGAGATACTACATCAGTATATCAATACAGAAATACTATACCAATATATTGATAATAATCATATCAACACTTTTGTATTTGACCCCACAGAATGTTAAATAAGGTTGACTTGTAGACCACCTTTGCTTTCTGTTGTCACACATTTTGAAGACAGACAAGGATTTAAACAGGTTACCAAGTGAATGTTAAAAAAAAAAAAAAAACTCTTGAGGTTTGAGAAAAGTGGCTTATGAATCAGTAGTTTGCTACTTTCCGTTATTTTCTTACTGCTTTCTGAATCTAATGGCTCCTATGGCAGGAATAGCTGTAAGAAATGATTCAGACCTGCTGAAATGTAGAAGGGTAGAACCACATGTTCTTCATTATTTGTGTGGATATCATATATTTCTTCCTTCTAATGCTTCCTAGTTCCCTTTAAGTTAACATTGCTGCCTCTTGCCTTGAAGAAAAGCATCCATCTCTGTTCTGAGAAAAAGTTGAACATTACTACTGTATTTTTCTCTCCAACTAAATGCTAGGTGAGCATGATTTCTCCTTTACTTATTTCTGAAGCATGAAGGCAAAGGCTCAATATTTTCTTTATCAACTTCCTTAGAGGTTCTGCTTGACAAAGTTGGATGAGGAAGAATTTACCACCTCCCTCAGGCTTACAGGTTGTATAATTCTCAGAGAGTTCCACTGAGTAGCTTTCAACAAATCATTTTAAGGAAAAAAAAAGTTAAAAATAAACAATAAGCCAGGCACTGTGGCTCATTTGTGTCCCAGCACTCTGGGAGGCGGAAGTGAGAGGACTGTTTGAGCCCAAGAGTTTGAGACCAGCCTGTGTAATACAGTGATACCCCATCTTTATTAAAAAATCAAAAAATTAGCCAGATATGGTGGTGCATGCCTGTAGTCCCAGCTACATGGGCTGAGGCAGGAGGATCCTTTGAGCCCAGTAGGTAGAGGCTGCAGTGAGCCATGTTTATACCACTGCACTCCAGCCTGGGTGACAGAGGGAGACACTGTCTAAAAAAAAAACAAAGCAGAAGTAAGCAATGTTAAGTGTTACCAAAAAAAAATGACTCTATCAATGTCATGATCTATTCCAGCAAGTTGCATTCTGTTATGTGCTAACCTTTAATTGATGTGTGTCTCTAAATATGACAATGGCTTGGAAATCCCAACAGTGTTTACATACAAGACTGATTAAACTATAATTTCTTGATCCATCTACATCTAGATCTGACTCACTCATGCCTGTTGGTTATTTAGCATGTTTTTCTTAAATCATGTTTAAATAAATTTGTTAAATTTGGTTGTTAATTTTATAAACATCCTTAGGGATAATCATTATTTTACAAAACATTATTTTTAAACAGTATAAAACATTTTTATTTAAACAACTTCAATTTAACGCTAAAATTATTTAATTATTATTTAACCAATCTATTGAGGATAAACATTTTTCTGATATATAAATTTATATTAATTCAAAATATTTCCAGGATATATGAAAGCTATTCATTAATTTCAATCATCATTACATTTGTTCTTTATTTTCCCTCCTCTTTTTCTATTTTCTCTGGTTTTAATTTAGTATGTTATACTTTTTAATTTTATTTTCTGTCAGCATTTAATTTATACTTAACACAAACATTTTAAATGGTTGCCCTAGGGTTTCCAACATATATGTTTAAATAATCCAAGTACAATGTCAAATAAAAACTTATGAGCCAGGAGAGGTGGCTCACGCCTGTAATCCAAGCACTTTGGGAGGCTGAGGCGGGCAGATCATGAGGTCAGGAGATCAAGACCCTCCTGGCTAACACGGTGAAACCCAGTATCTACTAAAAATACAAAAAAATAGCCGGGCGTGGTGGCACACGCCTGTAGTCCTAGCTACTCAGGAGACTGAGGCAGGAAAATCGCTTGAATCTGGGATGCAGAGGCTGCAGTGAGCCGAGATTGTGCCACTGCACTCCAGCCTGGGCAACAGAGTGAGACTCCGTTTCCAAAAAAAAAAAAAATTACTGTGAGCGTAGTGGGGATACCTCATAACATAGTATTACCAGTACGTCTGTCTTATTTCTTGTGATTTTACTGCCATTTATTTATTTATTTTGAGACAAAGTCTAGTTCTGTCACTCAGGCTGGAGTGCAGTGGCCTGATCTCAGCTCACTGCAACCTCTGCCTCCCAGGTTCAAACATTTCTCCTGCCTCAGCCTCCCGAGTAGCTGGGATTATAGGCGCCCACCACCATGCCTGGCTAATTTTTGCATTTTTAGTAGAGATGGGGTTTTGCCTTGTTGGCCATGCTGGTTGTGAACTCCTGACCTCAGGTGATCCACTCGTCTCGGCCTCCCAAAGTGCTGGGATTATAGGCGTGAGGATTTGACTGCCATTTATCTAACATCCCTGAGCAATGATGAATTAATTATTGTTGCTATTATTGCTGTCCATAATTATCTTGTCGATCTATTAAGATAAGAAAAACTTTTTAAAAATTACACATCAATCCAAGTTTCTCATGTATATTACTTTATTTAACCTAAAGAATTTCTTTTAATATTTTTGCAGTGTAGATCTTCCAGTAATGAATTCCTTCAGTTGTTCTTCTGAAAAAGCCTTTATTTCTTCTTCACTTTTGAAGGATAATTTTGCTACGTATGTTATTCTAAGTTGGCAGGTTTTTTTTCTTTCAACACTTAAAAACGTTACTCCAGGCTATTTGGTTGCATGATTTCTGATGAGAGGTGCATTGTCATTCTTATCTTTGCTTCTCTATAGTTAAGATGTACCCAACTTTCTATAAGATTTTCCCCGTTTTTTTTTTTTTTTTTTTGCAGCTTGATGATGTTATGCTTAGATACATGTATGTGTGTGTGTGTGTGTGTGTGTGTGTGTATGTGTGTATTTCATATTCATCTTGCCTGGCATTCTCTGAGCATCCTGGATGTGTGATTTGATTTATCATATTAATTTTGGAAAGTTCTCAGTCATTACTGTTTCAAATATTTATTTTGCCTTATTCTTAATCTTTTCTTTTCCTGGCATTTGATATGGATATAACTTTTGATATTGTTCCGCAGTTCTTGGATGTCCTGATCTGTGTCTTCGTTCTTTGGTTCCCTTTGAGTTACAGGTTATATTAACCTATCTTCAAGCTCATTAATCCTTCCCTCAGTTTTCTTGAAAGTCTTCATGAGCTTTGTCTTAGTCCTTTGCTGCTGTTATAACAAAATACTTGAGACTGGGTAATGTATGAAGAATAGAAATTTGTTTCTCACACAAATCTGGAGGCTGGAATTTCAAGAGCAAGGCAGTAGCAGGTTCGACGTCTAGTAAGGGCCAAGTCTTCACTTCAAAGATGACACCTTGTTGCTGCATCCTCCAGGGAAGATGAACGCTGTTTCTTCACATGGCCTTAAGGGTGAAAGGGCAGAAAGGACCCAGCAACATCTCTTCAGCCCTTCCTGGTTACTAATCTCATTCATGAGCATGGGGCCCTCATGGAGTCATCACCCACTAATGGCCCACCTCTTAAATACTGTTGCACTGGTACTTAAATTTCAAAGCTGATTTTAAAGGGAGCACATATTCAAACCATAGCAAGCCTATTAAGAGCATTCTTAATTTCCATTTCAGTAGTTTTGATTTCAGGATTTTCTTTTGATTTTTTTTCCTTATAGGTCTTCTCTCTCTGCTGACATTAATGTAAGAAAAATAAATATTCCATTAGATATCTTAATAAGAAAAAACAAGTTTTCCATTAGATCTCTTAATACATTGAGCACAATCATTTTAAATATCTTTTCTGATAAATACAAGATCTGTGTTTTTCTATTCTGATCTTGATGATTGCTTGTCTATTCAGAATGCTTTCCTTTTCTATTTTTTTTTCTGTTTGCCTTTGGTATGCCTTGTAATTTTCTGTTGTCAGCTGGACATGTTGTATCAGGTAATACGAATTGTGGTAAATAGGTCCCTAGTGTAAGGACTGATATGTTAATCTGGCTAAGTGTGGACTGTATTTTATGTTTACTGTAGCTGTAGTTAGGAGAGAACTTAAATTTTGCTAGGGTGCCTGTTTTTCTCTCCAGTCTTGCCTTTGAGGTTTCCTTTTGTACTGCTCCTTAGATGGAGTCTTTGTCTTACAGCTACTTCTTCTGTAATCCAGTGTAATTAAACTGGCTTTTGTTAGAGTGTTGGTGGAGCTTAGAAAGGGACATGTTCTGTAATCCTCTAATTAAATCTCAGTCTCTAACTGGAGCTGTGTTTTGGGAATGTGGCCTTTACAAGTGTTTCTTGTCCTCTGTTTGGGTATAGTTTTTTTTTTTTTTTTTTAATGTTAATTCATTAACTATTGTTGCTATCTCTACTCCATTCTCTGGCCAAATATTCCCTGTCAGTTTCTTTAGCTCTCTCTCCCCTGTTGACTATGTTTTGTTCTTTTGTTTTGACTTTTTTTTCTTCCTTAGGTGAGGCAGAAAGGCTGAAGGTGTTGAAGTGAGAAGCATATGTCTTCCCACCGGGGATAAATTTTTAGTGTTGTTCTTTGGTGATGTCTTGCCTCCTGGACAGTAGGCATGTGTTAAAGAAATATCTTAGGGGCTTCATAATGACTATTTTTCCCCATTCCTTGTCAGCACTACTAGGAGATCTTTCTCAGATCCTTACCAAGAGAACCTGGTGAGGTTTCTGGAGGGAAACCACATGAAGTGTAGTCTCCACTGCTACCATTGCAACTAATTATGAAGTGATTCCTTTTTGTATTTCTATATTCACTTATTTTGGCTCACAATTAATTATATACTCAATTTTAACAAAATAGATGTATTTCTTGTAATGACTAATTTTCTAAGTAGTTAATTAGAATGCAACCCCATGTATAGTTTGTCCTAAGCCTATTTCTGCTTATTGTATAACTTTGGTGTTTCAGAAAAAGACAAATTGAATCAAAAGTTTTTATTATAAATTCATGGAGTTTCAGATTCTGGCAATACTTCTTTGAGCTCACACCTTAAAGTTTGTAATTTTCTTTTCTTATTGGTATTACTGAGCTGTTGGTGTTTCATTGTGTAAATAACTATAAAGCACTTTGCAGAAAATGAAAACATACACTCAGAAAGCATTTTAAAAGCTACTCAAAAAAGCTACACAACTTTTGCTATATTATCATTTATTATTGTACATTACATAATTATATATTTCTGAAAGTTTTTCCCAGATCATTCTTCTGGGGAGCTTTTAAAAAAATGAAACATAAAATATACACTCAAGTAATACAGAACCACTTTTTTGTTTGCTTTTTAGATTAAAAAGACAATAAAGAAAAGATCTAGAAACCAGAATAAAGACAGAGAGAAATGACCAATATCAGAAATTAAACAAGGAATATTACTACTGATTTCAAAATCATTAAAAGAGTAAAAGTGGGATGCCATAAACAACCCTATGCCACATTTGAAAACTTAGATGAAATGTAACCATTCTTAGAAGAAAAGAGACTGCTGAAACTCACATAAGATCTAGATAACATAAATAGTCTTGAATTTAAAGTTAAAAGCATTACCAAAGTAGAAATTTACCAAATATAAAATTTACAAAATATAGAGTTTCAGGCCCAGATAATTTTATAGGAAAGTACTTAAGATAAATTTGAGGAAGAAAAAATAACCATTACATATAATCTCTTCCATAAATGGGAGAGGACTTTGCAAGTCTTGTATGAAGTCAACATTACATTGATAGAAATACCAGACAAATAAATGATAAGTAAAATGCATGTCAGCATACTTTATAAAATTGAACACAAAATTCCTAATATTATATAAGCAAGCTGATTACAAAAAAAATAAAGATAAAATGAGTTTTTATTACTCTCTCCTCTACAATTTTTCGGAAGACTTTGAGAAGGAATAGTATTAGTTCTTATCTAAATGTTTGGTAGAATTCAGTATGAAGATTTTGGGCTTTTGTTTTATGAGAGGCTTTTTATTACTGATTCTATTTCCTTACTCATTACTGATCTCTTCAGATCTTCTATGTCTTCATGATTCAGTCTTGGTAGTTTGTATGTTCCCAGGAATTTATCTTTTTCTTCCAAGTTATCCAAACTTTAGTGTATAATTGTTCATATTAGACTCTTGTAATCTTTTGTACTTCTGTAATTTCAGTTGTAATATCTTTGCTTTCATTTGTAATTTTATTTGTTTGTGCCTTCTCTCTTTTATTCTTAGTCTATCATTATCCTAATATCAAAACTAGACAAAGATACTAGAAAAAAGGAAATTACAGGCCAATATCTCTAATAAAAATAGATGCAACAATTCTCAACAAAATACTACTAAATCAAATTAAGCAGCACATTAAAAGGATCACTCACCATGATTAAGTGGCATTTATTCTTGGGATGCGAGAATAATTCAACAGATGCAAATTAACAAAAGTGATAAACCACAGCAGATTGAAAGATAAAAATTATATCCATCATCTCAATAGATATGGAAAAAACATTTGACACAATTCAACATTCTTTCATGGTAAGAACTCTCAATAACTTAGGTATAGAAGGAGTGTATCTTATCACAAAAACAACCATATATGAGAAGCCCACAGATAACATCACACTTAATGGTGAAAAGTCAAAAACCTTTTCTCTAAGATTGTGAATAAGAACAGGATGTCTGCTCTCACCACTGCTATTTAACATAGTGCTGGAGTCCTAGACAAAGTAATTAGGCCAGAGAAAGATATAAAAGGCATCCAAATAGGAAAGGAAAAGGCTAAATTGACCTTGTTTGCAGGTGACATGATCTTATAAATAGTCAACTCTAAAGATTTCAACAGAAAACTGTTTTATTAAAGTTGCAGAATAAAAAGTCAACATACAAACATCAGTAGCATTTCTATACACTAACAGTGAACTATCTTAAAAAAAATTAAAAAAATCCATTTACAATAGTTATAAGAAGAAAGACCACAGAGAAATAAATTTAACCAAGGTGGTGAAAGACATGTACACTGAATATTATGAAATACTGACACAAGAAATTGAAGAAGACACAAGTGAATAGAAAAGTGGCCCCTATTCATGCATTGGAAGAGTTAATATTGTTAAAGTGTCCATACTATCAAAGGAATCAACATATCAAGTGTAATTACTCTTAAAGCTACAATGACATATTTTCATAGAAATGAAAAATTTTTTATTGAACTAAAAAGGACCTCAAATAGCCAAAGCAATCTTGAGCAAAAAGAACAAAGCTGGAAACATCGCAATACCTGACTTCAAAAGGTACCATAAATCTATGATAAGCAAGACAGCCTGGTACTAGCATAAAAAGAGACACACAGACCAGTGGAACAGAATAGAGGTCCCAGAAGTAAGTTTATGCATTTACTGTCCATTTATTTTTTTTGACAAAGATGCCAAGAATATACAAGTGGGAAAGAACAATCTCTTGCACAAACGGTGTTGGGAAAACTGCATGTCTACATACAGAAGAATAGAAATATACCCCATCTCACATCATATATAAAATTTAACTCAACATTGATTAAATACTACAAATATAACCTACACTGTAAAGCTCCTAGGAGAAAATAAAAAGGAAAAATTTTATAAAACTGGTTTGGGCAATAAATTTTTGGACATTACTGCAAAAGCACAAGCAACAAAAACAAAATACACAAATGAGATGATAGCAAAATAGAAGTCTCCCGCACAGCATAAAAAACAACCAATGTAATTAATAAACAACCTATAGGATAAGGGAAAATATTGGCAAACCATTCATCTGATAAGGGGTTAATATTCAAAATATGTAAGGAACTCAAACAACTCAATAGCGAGAAAAAAAATAACCTGATTAAAAATGGGCAAAGGATCAGAATAGGCACAACTATCAAAAGAAGACACGTAAATGGCCAAGAGATATTGGAAAAAATGCTCAACATCACTGATCACTGGGGAAATGCAAATTATAGCCACAATAAATTATGATCTCACACCTGTTAATATAGCTATTATAAAAAAGACTGGGCCAGGCGCGGTGGCTCACGCCTGTAATCCCAGCACTTTGGGAAGCTGAGGCGGGCGGATCACAAGGTCAGGAGATCGAGACCTTCTTGGCCAACATGGTGAAACCCTCTCTCTACTAAAATACAAAAAAAATTAGCTGGGCGTGGTGGCACGTGCCTGTAATCTCAGCTACTTGGGAGGCTGAGGCAGGGGAAATTGCTTGAACCAGGGAGGCAGAGGTTGCAGTGAGCTGAGATCGCCCCACTGCACTTCAGCCTGGCGACAGAGCAAGACTCCGTCTCAAAACAAAACAAAACAAAACAAAACAAAACAAAATAACAAAAAGAAGACTGAAAGTCAAATAATTAAATTTCTCCAAATAGCTGGAGTTACTGGCAAATTGTTTAGTGGCAAACATGGTTTTCTGAATAAAATAAAAGGACTAAAGATATTAAGTGTTGGCAATTACCTGGAGAAAAGGAAACCCTTGCAAGTTGTTGGTGAAAATGTAAATTAGTACAGCTATTTCATAAAACAGCATGGAGGACTGTTGAAAAATAAAATAAAAATAAAAATAGAACTACCATTATGAATCAGCAATTCTACATCTGCAAATATAGTCAAAGGAAATGAAATCAGTATGTCAAAGAAATACCTGCACTCCTTTGTTCATTGCAGCATTATTTAAAATGGCCAAGATATGGAATTAACCTAAGTGTCTATTAATGGAGGATTGAATCTAAGAATCTAATTATGGATAAATACAATGTGGTATATAAACACATGGAATATTATTTAACTTCATAAAGAGGGAAATTTTGTCATTGCTGGCATAATAGATGAACAC
The DNA here is from genome assembly GCF_000001405.40 of Homo sapiens. Lineage (NCBI taxonomy): Eukaryota > Metazoa > Chordata > Mammalia > Primates > Hominidae > Homo > Homo sapiens. Next base: position 178,685,468 of record NC_000004.12, on the reverse strand, counting down.
AGATGACATTATGTTAAGTGAAATAAGCCAGGAACCGAAAGACAAATATAGCATGATTTTACTTATGTACTTATGTACAGAATTTAAAGAGTGGAACTCAGAAGCAAAAAATAGAATGGTGGTTACCAGGGTCTGGGGTCAGGGGAGTTTGGGCAGATTTTGGTAGGAGGATACAAAATTTCAGTTAGATAGGAGCAACAATTTTAAGAGATCTATTGTAGAACATGGTGTTATTAACATAATTAATAACAATATGTTGTATACTTGGAAATTGCTAAAAGAGTAGATTTGAAGTGTTATAAAGAAGTATGTGAGATAACATATGTTAATTATGTTAACAATTTATTAATTTCACATCCTATACATATTTTAAAACATCTTGTTGTACATCATAACTATAAAAACAATTTTATGTTGTCAATTAAAAACATATTTAAAAATATTATAAAGACAGTACATATTGAACGATTGGGTTTCATCCTGGATATTCAACGATGGTTCAATATTTGAAAATTAAATCAGTGTTGTTTACTATAGTAATAAACTACGTAAGAAAAACCACAATCACTTTAACAAGTTCAACAAAAACATCCATTTGTAGCACTTGGAATCAAGTGTATTTACTATAGAAGGAGGGGAAAATACACAGCTATCACTTGTCATTCTGATAACTTATGAGCCATCAATTTGATTCCACTATAGTCCTGCAGGCACATAGTTTTGTCAACATCATAGTATAACTTTCTGTACCTGATTGTAATTTATGTCTCACATAGCCCAAAAATCACTTATAATTTACAATCAGTAGTCCACTGAAGAGCCTAGAATCACTATTTTACCCTCTCAAACACCAAATTCTTTATGTATTCATATCCTAATAACATTTTAGGTAGCAAAAACTGTGTTCTTTCATTCATTGAACTTATACGAGGATTCAACGTATTTCTGACAGTGCTAGGTGCTGCTATAACATTTTTTGAAAGGCAAAACAAAACAAAATCTATACAAAGTCAGTGACTATGTCCTTATGAATATTCCAAACTGAGGCACAGGTGACAAACTGGAGTCCTAGGATATATCCAATTTAATTTTCAACATGTCTGTATTCCACTAAGGGGAAGGATTTGCATGTTTTTTGAAAGAGCATCATGCACCCCTCCCTTAGATATTTTGTGTCTGCTTACTTTTATTCCACAAACTGTCCAATTCCATGATTTTATGCATGAACTTCCTGGGGCTGTAATTATTTGATTTTATGATCTGTTGTCTCTTAGAAGATGAGAAATTCAAACAAATAATAAATTAATGGGAAATTCCAACCATTATGAGCATCTCAAAGGAAAAGCCATTGGTGCTATGAAGATGAGACCAGATGTGTCAGAGAAGATTTCTATTAGCATGAATATAAGTTTATATCTGAAAATGTGTTTGAGATTTCTTGGACAGGCTGGGAGATTGTAGTGCAATAGAAACAGTAAACATGTAAAAATTATTCTTAGGCAGAGATTCTGAGACAGTGATCTGTGGACCTGTTAAAGGTCTCTGAGATTTTGTTCACGGTATTTGAGAGGTCAAAATTATGGCATTTCACTGTCTTGAGATTTGAAATGATAATACGAAGGCAATGGTGAGAAACACTGCTGGAACCCTAGAACATGTTAAAACAGGGCATCTGGCCGGGCGCGGTGGCTCACCCCTGTAATCCCAGCATTTTGGGAGGCCGAGGCGGGTGGATCACGGGGTCAGGTGATCGAGACCATCCTGGCCAACATGGTGAAATCTCGTCTCTATTAAAAATGTAAAAATTAGTCAGGCGTGGTGGCGGGCGCCTGTAGTCCCAGCTACTTGGGAGGCTGAGGCAGGAGAATCGCTTGAACCGGGGAAGCGGAGGTTACAGTGAGCCGAGATTATGCCACTGCACTCCAGCCTGGCAACAGAACAAGACTCCATCTCTAAATTAATTAATTAATTAAAAATAAAGTCCTTAGTAAAAAAGTAAAATTTAAAAATTTTGTTGCGTAACGATGCTTCAGTGTCATCTTTTGTTATTCTGTGCGACAAACTGGAACTACTCGTAAAGTGACTCTATTGAAAGTACAATGCTTTTGTTGAAGAACATGTGCAAGATTATTTGTGTTGTGAGTGGAGTGAGCTATTTCTACTTACAAGCATCAGTATGGTTAAACTAATATAGAAGTAGTTGGTGAGAGACAGGCCATAAAGGACCTCTGGGGCTGCATTAAAAACTGTGCTCTTATTTTAGGAAAAAACAGAAGCCATTTAAGGAACTCGAGCATATTGGGAGAAAACTTCAATATTTAGTTTACCAATTTTACTGAATTGTTTCAAGATTATAACTGTACCTCAGTAATGCCCCAAATCCAACAATGTTTTACTATTAAGTTTACTTCCCCACTCTATCAGCTAAAATTTGCTGTATCATTTGATGTCTTCATTTTTCCCATTCACTTTCCTCTATTCAAATCCTAAACTAATAACCTCACTTGTACCTCATGCGGTAAAAAAGAACACATCAGATGTATGATGGCAACTTCTTCATCATACTGAGAATATAATGCTGGGTCCTAAGAGACTATCTTTATAATCCTTTATAGTGAGGAAACTACAGGACCGAATTTTTTAGTTATAGTTTTAAAAGATATATCTACTGTCTGCTAGCCTTAGCAGTATCTATGTCTAAGATATTTATGAAAATATATTTTTTTCAATCCAGTGATTTTTAATCCATAATTAACAACAATGTTTACGGCTAAACATTGCAACCTAGGCAGAAATACATAACTACTGTAGTTTCAAAATTCTGAAGCTAAAATGTCTTTTTCTTCTTTGGAGCAATTTTACCTTAGATGCCATTCCTAGCCTGGAGCTCTGTGAAAACTTGGAGATAGATGATGCCTGAACAGGTCACTTAGAAAACAGACCCCCTAACAAAAACATTTCCTCACTTCAAAATTTTAGAGGGCCAGTTTATTTATTTATTTATTTATTTTAGGCACTTTCAGTCAACAACTAGAGGAAATGATCTTCAGTTCCCCAGGCAAGTCAAGATAGAATTATTCTTCCTTGCCATCAATTATTATTATTGACTGCTATTCTTAACTTCCTGTTGAAATTTCTTGAAGGTTTGATTTTGCTCGTCTAATGACTTCCCTTACTAAAATGGGTTGGATGGCCCTGAAAACATCCCTCTAACATTGTGCTTGAAGAAACCATGCAAAGTCATCCAATAAATGCCCGTTTCATGTCTAGATAGAAGATAAAAAACACAAACGGATAGAATCAGTGTCCATCACAGAGAAGCAAAAAGAAACATTTATAAGGGACTTAGAGTTCAGACTTGTGATCAAGCCCCTCCCATATGCTGTATATCCACTCACAGACGTAAACAGAATTGAAAGAAGCCTTTCATCATGCGACTGCACACTGGAATCCTAAATGATTACTCTGCCTCTGTGCTCCACAAATTCATAATTTTATACATTCTAAAATCATAGCTAGATTAACTATGTATGCTGTAGTGTATTTTTGTGTTAAAAATGTTTATTTGCTATACAAAGAGACATCTACAATAACCTAACTTTGGTGTTGTCTGTTTTTTTAAATTCTTCATTTTCTAATACACTCAAAGCCTTTATAAACAGAAGTTGCTCAGAGTTTTTCAATCCCTGAGAATCCAGGTTTATGGAAACACAAGAAAAATAAAATGCCAGTCCCATTTATTCTGCTAACAATCTATTACAGCAATTAGAAATAAGCGTATTTAGGGAGTTTATAGCAGCATAAAATCAGGAAGCCTATTTTGGGGGGCTTAGAAATGCAGTTTTAATGTCCTATTGCTATGTTTATTTTTCCTAATTTGATGTTATTTATTCATGAGTAATTGACATGTAAAAGTTAGCTAGCTATTCTTGTTGTTTTAGTGTTTTTATTTTTATAAGATGCTTATAATTACAGAAAAAATATTCACATAGCTAAGCATAAAATTATTCCATTATCTTAGAAATAAAAGATTATTTATTTTATACATATTATTAGGGTAACAAAATATTTTATATGAATATTGAACAGCTTGTAACTATTTTGCATATTCGTCAGAAACCATTTTATCAGTTATACAATTTATCTTTGCCTACTTGTAAATAGAAAATACAAATAAATGGTACAAACTTAATAAAACTTCATTGAAAACTCGATGTTGCCAATTAAAGTACACATTGTATAATTACTAAATAATTAATTTCTAGAAAGCTGTATTGTCTGCTCTAAGGATAAAATATACTGAAATATGGTTAAAAATATAAAAATATAACTCTGAGTGTTACCTATTACTTCATTAATTCGTAGAACTTTGGAAAAACTAATCTTCCACAACTGAATAAAGTGGTTCTTATTTTGAAAACGTGGATTTTCCTTTAGAACAGTTTCGGTGACATGTATCTTATGTAGCAGTCATGCTATTTAAGTTTCCTGTGTCATATACAAATATGATACTTTTCATTTTTACTGTGAAATGCTTCATATTGTAGCATTTAGATAATTAAGTGTTGAATTGTATGCATGCTTCTGTATGTGTACACAGAGTTTGTGCAATTTCTAAAAAGTGTATGATATATGGTACTAATGAATTCTCTTTAAAATTGCATAGAAATATTGAATTCATATAGTTTTTATAAAAGTAATTTTATTTGGCATTATGTTTATAAGTCATCTCTAGTATAAAGTGTATAGAATATAATGAGTTCAAATAATATGGAGAGATGTTTACTTGTTCTTCAGGTTATCATAAAATTTCTGTTGTAGATTCCTTTGAGTAGAGAGATTTCATGATATATGCTATTTGTATTCTCCTTTTCAATAACTTTCCAGATTTGTAATGTGCATTTCAGTTTGTGAAATATTAAATATCACAATATGATGCCTGATTTAGCATGAAGTGGGAAATTATAGCACATAATTGAAACCCATGGGTTCGTGAACTTCAGCCCATACTTTAAAAAGTTGTGTCAGTTTTAAAATTAAATATTAATTCACTTTGTTTTAAAACGTACAATTTATACACTTATCTTGTTTTATGAACAACTTAAAAGCTTTTTTTAAAGCTCTTAGAATTTTGTTACATTTTACTGTTTTATACAAGCAATCCAAGATGTGGGATTATTAGGGTGGTAGAGAGATACTAAGATACTAATAGAGAAATAGCATAACTCTTTTTTTTTTTTCCAAGATGGAGTCTCACTTGGTCATCCAGGCTGGAGTGCAGTAGTGTGGTCTCAGCTCACTGCAACTTCTGCCTCCCGGGTTCAAGCGATACTCCTGCTTCAGCCTCCCAAGTAGCTGGGATTACAGGCATGCACCCCCATGCCTGGCTAATTTTTGTATTTTTGGTAGAAACAGGGTTCCACCATGTTGCCCAGGCTGGTCTGGAACCCCTGACCTCAGGTGATCCACCCACTTTGGCCTCCCAAAGTGCTGGGATTACAGGCTTGATCTCTGTAACGCCTGGCCTCATTTTCATTTGAATAAATCTAGAAATTTTATGTCAGAAACACCATTGATAAAGAGTTTGCAATTTATTATCCAGAACATTGACTACTTATTTCCCATTTTTATTACATAGTATATATTTGTGGATTATGTGGCTATAATATGGGAAGTTATATTTAAAATGTTTATGACCAATAGTACTTTCCCCAAAATGTGCTAAGTAAGCTACTGAGAGTCTTGATGATTGTAATAATTAAATACAGTTAATTAATTAGGAATAATTAAATACAAAAAAACTATAAGTTGCAATTGGAAAGAACATTTTATGGTGAATAAAAAACATTTTGCTAGTCCTGGAACTTATTATTACTAATTATCTTTTAATGTCAACTATAATTCAGGTGCATGTTAGAAAAAAATATGTATCTATATAGAGATATGTAGACGTATAAATGTATATTAGATGTCAATCTATATGCAATTTAAATTATAAAACAGTAACAATAAAATATTAGAATTACATAGTTATATATTATTTTTTAGAAAAATTTCTAACCAAGGATATGTTTTAAAATGACAGCTGAATCATACCATAGTGATCACCTTGTTAAACCTATCATTTTTCAGGATAAGGTAAGGTAATTTATTGGAATGACAGAATCATTATCTAAAGTTCTGTGTTGAGATCAGAATATAGATACAAGCATTATTTTAGGAAAAAAATCTGTTGATGGCTTGCTTTATTTTAAGTAAATTTAAAACAAAATCTTAATTAACTGCATGAACATTTGGACATTTAAGTATTAATGTTATCTTTGTGCACATGATTTGCTAAATTTCAATGTTTAGAAACAAACATAATTAATGTATACACAACCTAATGATTAAAACGTTGAATATGAAATGAAACATGTGTTCAGTAAAACCCAACATCACTCATCTATATCTGTCAACTACAAAAGCAACGTGAAAAGTTAAGAAATTCAAAGGGTTGCTGCAAGTAGGGAAACAATGTTAGTAACAATGGAGATGCAAAGCCAATGAATATCATGTACGTATGCTGCTAACACTATGTGAAAATACATAAGGCACTAATACATAAACGGTTTCTTGTTGTGATAGTCAAACATTCAATTTGGTTAAGCCACATTATACGTCATTGTTGCCATTTCTTTTCTGCCAGAATTGATCAAATTTCTGGTACTACTTAATATTTTAACAGCGTAGAAGAATTAATCTGAATGATGTAGGAGCCTCAGTGTTTTGCAGTTTACAGTTAACATTTGAGAAGCATATAGATGAGCTGACTCTAAAGTCTAGATTTGTAATTCTCAGCTTTTTGAGATTGCCAGTGCGAACGCTGTATATATTGACTGATTCATTTAGTAAAGCAACTGATTCCTATCAATCACCAAATATATTAAAGAGCAGTAGATAAATAAAAGAGGACCAAGTTGGTGCTCTTAAGAATATATTTGCACGGGAGGTACAAACAATTTACAAACACACCTGCTGTAAAATTGGATGTAATGATACATGCTATGAAGACAATGAATGTGGTGAGGTGGTGCTGCTACAGAAATGATAGCTTCTCCAAGGATATGCATTTTGGGCAGAGATGTGAATGAAGGGATAGAATGCACCTTGTGAATATTTCAGTAGAGGACATTCCAGAAAGAGCATCCATGCAGTGCAAATGTCTGAGGCAAGAGCGTACTCCGAGGTGGTTGAAGCAGATTGATTGATAGGTGAGAGTAAGGCTACTAGATTTTGTAGAATCTTGTAAACTAAGAAAAGGATTTTTGATTTTGTTATGAGCAGGATAGCAAGACACGGGAGGAGCTGACAATGTGACACAGTTATGTTAATGTATTACAAGGGTCCACCTGGCTGCTCTAGAGGGGAATAATACTGGAAGACATTTTGACAGTTAAAGGGACATTGTAGGGGGTTGATATGACAGATTGGTTTGGACTATAGTGCGAACAGTGAAGGTGTTGAGGAGTAGTTGCCCCTAGATGTAATTTGAAGACAGATGACACAAGATATGCTGAGAGATTTGATGTAGGATATGAGAGGATAAAAGAATTATAAAAATGATTGTAAGGATTTTGAGCTAAGAAATTAGAAAAATGGATTTACCACTGATGAAGAGTTTCAGTATAACAAGAGATGAAAATTTGGAAAAAAAAGAATATCAAGCTCTGTATATTCGAAATTAGAGATTCCTGTGGGAACTCCTAGAGGAGATATCAGGTAGAAAGTTGGATATGTAAATTTTTAGTTCAAGGTGAGATTAGGATAAGAGATAAAAATTAAGGAGCCCTAATAACATGTACATTTTAATAGTTTTATTGGATTAGTTGTCAGTAAATAGCACATATTTTAAGTGTCTAGTTTCTAAGTTTGCATATATGTATAGATGCATAAAATCATTGTTGCAGTTAAGATAATGAGCTTATCACTCACTGCCAAGTTTCCTCTTGAAATATTGTAATTCTTTCCTCCTGCACATTGCTTTTCTCATATCTCTGTCCTCAACCAAGTACTATACTTTCTGTCAGCAAAATGAGGGTACATTTTATAGAACCATGTATAAATATAATCATAGAGTACATATTCTTTATTGTTTGGCTTCCTTCATGCAGCAAATTATTTTGAAGTTCATCTTTGTTGGTTCCTGAATCAACAGTTCATTCTTTGACAGCCAAGTAGTATTCCATTGTATGAATATATCACAACTTATTTGTCTATTTATCTGGTGATGGATATTCAAGCAGTGTCCAAGGTTTGGCTATTACAAAGAAAGCTGCTACACATTCATGCCTAAGAATCTACAAATACATGCTTTTGGTTTTCCTGGGTGAACATTTAACTGTGTCATGGCTAGGACAAATGGTAGGCATATGTATACCTTTTTATGAAACTGTTTTTCAAGGTGATCATAACACTTTTATTCCCAGAAGCCATGTATGATATTGCTACTTGCTCCACACACTCACTAGCAATGCTATGATCAACCTTTTTAATTTTAAATATTCTCATAGGCCCATGTAGGACTTACCTATTGGAATTTTAATTTGCATTTCTTCAGTGATCAATGGTATTGAGCAAAATTGCAGTTTCTTATTTGATTCATGCATCTTCTGTGGTGAAGGCGGCTCAAATCTTTTGACCACTTATAAATTGGGGTATCTATCTCCTTATTATTGAGTTTTCAGGGTTTTAAAAATATTTTGGATATAAAGATTGGAAAAGTTCTTTGTCATATGCATTTGCAAATATTTCCCCCTAGTATGTGAATTCTCTTTTTATTCACTTCAGGGTATCTTTTGAAGAAATGATGTTCCTCCCTTTGATGTTGGCTATTTATCTGCTACTATCTGTTGTGAGTCTGTTGATATCACATCTAGGAAATTGTTGCCTAATTGATATCACCAAGGTGTTCTTATAGGTGTGCGCTGATAATTTTCACAATCATAGGTTTTGACATGCAGGTTAATACTTTAAATTTCAATAGCTTTGTTTATGTATAACTGACCAAAGATAAACATGTATATTTAAAGTGTACAATTGCTGTTCTCATATACATACACACCCAATGACATCATCACCCCAATCATAACTATGCATATCTGTTACTACAAAGAGTTTCCACTCTCTCATTATAATTCCTCATTCCTTCTCCTTTTCACTTCTCCCCATTCAGACAACCATTGATTAACCCTTTGTCCTATGGATTCCTTTGTATATTCCAGAGATTTTTAGTTTTTTGATTTTTTATTCCTTTATTTCTCTATTTTATTAAAAACTTACATATGTCATGTACTCGTTATGTCTGCCATCTTTTACCCAGCATACTTACTTTGAGCTTCATTCGTTTTGCTGCAAATCTCAGTATTTCAATACTTTTTATGTCTCTATATAGTGCCATTATATGAATGCTCAATAGTATGTCAATATATGAACATACCATGATTCCTTTTACCCAACCACCAGTTGATAGACTCAAGTTATTTTCAGTTTTTCTCTATTTATAAATAAAGTTTCTATAAAAACTCATGTTCAAATATTTTATCTTGGATAAATATTTAGGAGTAGAATGACTATATCACATGAGAGATAAATACTTAACTTTTAAAGAAAATGAAAACATTTTCAAGATGAATGTTACATTTTGCATATCCACCAGCATTGTATGGGATTACAAGTTCCTTAAGATACTCTCTAAAACTTGTCATTGCTAGTCTTTTTTTTTTTTGAGACCGAGTTTCACTCTTGTTGCACAGGCTGGTGAAATGGCGTGATCTCAGCTCACCTCAACCTCCACCTCCCGGGTTCAAGTGATTCTTCTTCCTCAGCCTCCCAAGTAGCTGCAATTACAGACATGCGCCTCCACACCCAGCTAATTTTGTGTTTTTTAGTAGAGATGATTGCCAGTCTTTTAAATCTTAACCATTCTAATAGATATTGGTGTTGTTTCATTTTCACTTAATTTCCACTTACCTAATAACTGATTAGATTGAACATCTTTCATGTTCCTATTTGTTTACCATATATTTTACTTGGTGTTATGTATGGTTAAATCATTTTCACAATACATATTGGACTGTTTGTTTCCTTAAAATTGATTTTGGGGAGTACTTTATATATTCTATGTACAATTTCTTTATCTGATACTAGCTTTGCAAATATTTTCTCCCAGTCTTTGGCTTGTCTTTTTCATTCCTTTAGCAGTGATTTTTAAAGAACAGCCACTTTTAATTTCAAAGAAATCAAATTTATCATTTTTGTATTTTATGGTTCAGGCTTGTGGTATCAATTCTAAGAAATCTGGCTTTACCTAAGATTGCAAATATTTTTGCCTGTATTTTGTTTTAAAATTTTATAGTTTTAGGTCAGTGGTTCATCTTCAGTTCCTGTTGTTTATGGTATGAGCTATAAATTGGGTTTTCTTGTTTATATGTGTATCCGATTACCATCATTCCTTGAAGAGACTCTTCCTTTTCTATTGAACTATGTTTGTACTTTCATTGAAAACCAGTTGTCCACATATGCATGGTTCCATTTCTGGAATTGTGATTCTACTCCATTGATCTATGTGATCTTCATTGATGAGTTCTCCTCCATTGATCTATTTGTCTGTGTCTGTGTTTGGTGTATTATTGAATGCACTGTCTTAATTATTGTAGCATTTTGAAATCATGTAGTTTTGGCCTACCAATTTTGTTCCATCTCACAGTTACTTGGATATTTGGGTCCTTTGTATTACAAAATGAATTTTTTAAACAGCTTGTTAATTTCTACAAAAAAAAGTCTCCTGGGATTTTGGGACAATGGGCATCTTAAGGATGAGTTTTTCAGCTCTGTGAAATAATATATTTTTCTACTTATATAGGTTTTTAATTTCTTGCAGAATCTTTTTTCAGTTTTATCTGAACAGATCTTACGTATGTTTTGTCAGATTTATCTTCAAATGTTTTCCAAATTTGTATTTTTTGGTGATTGTTATTTTATTTCAATCTGTTTGGTAGTATATGAAAATACAATTGTTTGTTTATATTAATCTTATTTGAAAACTTTATAAACTGATCTATTATTTCCAGTAGCTATTTCATAGATTCAATTGTATTTTCTGTGTAATCATACCATCTGCACATAAGACCTTATTACTTCTTCATTTCTAAACTGAAAGTCTTTAAAAAAAATGCTTGCCTCATTGCTATGGCTAAAGCCTTTAGTAAAATATTGATGAAAGCAGATATCCTTCTGCTGTTCTGGAAATTAGGGAAAAGCATTTAGTATTCACCATTGTGTATAATACTACCTGGAGGCCAGTATTTCTCCACAATAAGTCATTGGGAATATCTGGAGATACTTTTGGTTGTCACAACCTGGAGGATGGCATGTAGTTGGTAGAAACTAGGTATGTAGCTAAATTTCTTTCAATACATGGGACAACAACCTCCCACACCAAGAAAGTTTTTGTTTGGTCCTAAATATCAATAGTGCTGAGATTAAGGAATCCTGTTCTATATTCAAAGTGATACTACATTATGTCATCTATAGGAGAGGAATTGTATTAAGGTATGCTTGCATTTCCTTCTCCCAGTGTTTGCATTATTGTGATCATATGTTTTACACACACACACACACACACACACACACACACACACACACATACACACACAGAGCTAAGGCCAGGCTCAATGTGCTCAATAAGCCTGGCCTTAGCAAACTATTATTTTTTGCTTTAAATTTTCAATTATTTGTTGTCAGAAAAACATCTTTAATATTTGCTTAGTCAACAGTTTTCAGTAATACTTATTCCTTTGCAAACATTTCGGTATCTCTGGATGCTTTTAAGGTTATCTCTTTATCACTCTTCTAAGCAATATGAGTATGTTGTGCCACCATAGAATTGCATTTCTTTTATGTTTATCTTACTTGGATAATTTTATTTCTTCTTGTTTTGTTTTGTGTTTTGCTTCCTTTTTTATTTAAAAAAATTCAACTCTTAGTTCCTACTTTTAATCACATTTAGAAAGAGTTCGGTCATTATACTAAAATATTGTTTTCTGTCCCTCTTCTGTGCCAATTTTTTGGGATGTCAATTATAGGTACGGTGTATTGCTTGATATCATCCTACAAGTAACTGAGTTACTACTTTTAAAAAAACTGTTTGTTTTCTCTATGTTGAAGTTTTAACTGTTTCTATTGCATGTTCTATGAGTTCCCTAATTTATTAGGCTTTAGTCCCTAATTGCTGTCAATCATATTTTCATTTCAGATATAGTCAATTTTATCTCTAAAGGATCTCATCTCATTTGGTTCTCTATTTACAATATAATTCTCTTGCATTCTGAAGAACATGTTGAATATTTGAACATATTGAACATATTTGCCATAACTGTCTTAAATTCCTTTAGTAGTAATTCATTATCTGTGTTATTTCTGTGTATGTTTATATTGATGAACATGTTTAGCTTTGTAAAGGTGGTTTAGATTAGCCATTATGTTACAATATATTTATTTTTACCACTAAGTTACAATACTTTAGAATTCTCTACTGAATGCTATCTTTGTGGGACACGAACTCTCCACCCTGGTAAGTCATGTCAGGAGTATGTCTTTCTCAAAAGTGTGGAACAAGTTTCTGCTCCTTCAGTTGCCCATCTTTGAGAAACTATGACCTTCAACAGAGGGATAAATACACACCCCATTCCATGAAACACTATTCAGTGATCAAAGAAATGAGCTGTTGAGTCATGCATATGCACCCACCACATGAATGGATCTTAAATGCACTTTACTAGGTGAAAGAAGGAAGAATTAAAAGTCACATATTTTATGATACAACTCATATGGAATTCTAGAAATTTAAAACTAAAGAAATAGAAAAGAATATTATTTTATTATTTTTGTGGCTTAAGAGAACATAGATTTATTGAATAAGAGGAGGGGAACAGGGACTTTTTAGAGTGATAAAACTCTTCTGTGTGGCACTACTATGTAGACACACTAGTCTGATTTTGCTAAAACCCACAGAACTGTAAAAGATAACAGGTGAAATTTAATGCATGTAAATTTAAAAAATACGGAAAGTTGGGGGATTTTTTTTTGATGAAATAGAGACTATAACAAGTGAATCTAGTATTATTACAAAAATATGACAAATCTCACTGAAATTATGAAAAAAAAAAGCAAGCTGACCAAAGTACCTTTAGAAAACAATGTTTTGACTGGAAATTTCAAGGCTAAGGATTTAAAACAAAATAAAAATAAAAATATACCTAAACATTCCACAGCTGTTTGACATTTTGTTTCTCACAATCAAGTGGATTCACAATTGTGAAACTAATTTACCTGTAGAGTTGGTTGGATGGAAAAAAAAAGATAAACAGATGGTAGAAAAGGAGATTCATGTTTCTCAGTCTCAGAGAAAGAAGTCACAAGCAGCCGTATGAAAGACAAAAATGAAACTTGCAGTACTGGATTAGAGTTGGAGACATCAGTATGAACTCGTGTTCACTCCCTCCCCACACGTACACATGCACACAAGGAGAGAGAGATAAATGTATACGGAAGTCATATATTATCTACACAAATATAGGTATTGTGTGTGTGTGTGTGTGTGTGTGTGTGTAAAGGTAGCTCTGCATACTAAGAGCCCTAGAAGCAGTGAGACTACAGTGGTCGTAAGCACACACAGAGCCAAGCTTTTGGTTTCTATCTATCTTTATCCACTAAGTATCTTCAAAAAATACCAGATTCTTGATCCAGGACAGAAAAAAATGCAAGCTGAGCCTAGAGCATCATGTAGTGCTATAAAATATGGACGTGTTCACAAAATAAAACGAATACATCAAAGGGACAGAGGGGTCAATCTGAAAGAGCACACAGAGATCAAAATTTGAAATAATTTGAACAACATGGTAGAGAATGTAGTGTTAGAATTGTAATCCAAAGTAAAAAAAAATCGATCACTTTATATTCACACAAATAAATGATTTAATATATAAATACATGAAGATGAGCGAAACTCATTTACAAAATCTTTTCAAATGATATATTGATGTGTTTCTCCCCCTTCCAAGAGTTGGAGTTTATCTGCCCCTCCGTAAGAATGAGCTGGAATTAGTGACTTGCTTCAAAAAATAGAATATGGAAATGAGAAAAATAGTAACTCACAATGGGAAACCACACAAACACTGCAAATTATCAAGGTCGACATAATCAGTGATAAAGCATTTTGACGTATTCTAGTCCTTGACACAATATAGTAAGAAGGGCACTTCACTCTTATGACCGTCTTCCTCAAAATCTATAACCCAGTGCAGCAATGGGAAAAAATACACATATATATACCCAAAATGAGAGTATTTCCACAGCTTCTAAAAACTGTCAAAATCATTAAAAAAAAAACCAAGGAAATGCTTAACATTTGTCATTGAAGAGTAGAAATTTAGAACACATAGAAATCACATGCAAACACCATGTACCATTTCTGATTGGATTCTGGAACAGAAAAGAGACATTAGTAAAAAAAAAACTAGTGAGATCCAAATAAACCCTCAAGTTTAGTTAATACTATTCATTAATTTTCAGTTTTGACACATGTGCCATAGTATGTAAGATGATAACATTAGAGGAAAATAGGTGAGGTGTATATTGGATCTCTCTGTACTACCTGTAAATCTTTTCTGTGAAGCTAAAATTATTCCCATTAAAAACTCAATAATCGCAGGCCATCAAAGATTTTAAAGTTGAAGAAAGGATGATTTCCATGACTGCACCAGAAGAACTCCATCTAACCAACATGCTGGCAGATGTAGTGGAAGGAAAATGACAAGAATGCTGTAAGAAGGAAGCTATGATTAGCAGCTTAAATCTCAGGACAATTTAAGAAGTGCTATGCTAGCACTTGAAGAAGTGCTATGTAGCTGTGTTTTAAGTGAATTAAAATTTCTTTTTATAATCCCTATTTGCTCATATACATTATTTGGAGTGTATGTCTATTTTCAAGTGAGAATATAACTGCATTAAAATCACTCTTAATAATACCATGGCTGATGGAAACTCGTGATTTTTTCTGTGATGGAAAGAAAGAGTTTTTCATGCAAATGACAAAGGGTAAAGAGGTGGACTGTAGTAAATGGGCTGTCTCTCCATAGCTACTCCTTACCCCTTTCCACCTTGTTCTGTTCCCTGGGAGTATGACATTCATGAACTGTGTTGATTAGAAACCCTTATAACTTCTGTTTCACTTCAGCTAGAAAATAAAAGAAAGAGAGAGTAAAACACATTGGCAGTGGCTGTATCCTCTACACAAGGCTCCCAGGAGGCAATTTTCTCCTATAGTTTTAGCTGTCTGTAGCTTCCAGTGATTACTCCCTGTGATGGACTGAACTGTGTACATCTCTTCCCCCTCCTGTGTTGAAGTCCTAACTCCCAGTACCTCAGAAGGTGACAGTGTTTGGAGATAGCATCTTTAAAGAAGTAATTCAGGTTAAATGAGGTTATTGAGGTGGGTTCTAGTCTAACATGACTGGTGTCCTTATAAGAAGAGGAGATTAAGACAGAGTCACACACAGAGGACAATACCATGTGAAGACACTTGGAGAAGACAGTATCTATAAGCCAAGGAGAGAACCTTCAAATGAAACCAACCCTGCTGACACCTTGATTGTGGACTTCCAGCCTCCAGAATCATGAGAAAATAATTCTGTTGTTCTAGCCACTGAGTCTGTGGTAATTTGTTATGGCATTGCTAGCAAACTAATACTTCCACACATTTTCCTTTCCGGAATAACATCTTACTTGCTAGCACTGAGATGCTTTACCATCCCTTGTTGGTTTCTCTGATTCCTGAAAAAAATTATGAACTATTTTAATTACTTATGTTTACTATATTATTTGTTTTCTGTTAAAACCCTATTGGTTGTATTGCTCTGACAAGTGAATGAAATAACAATCCTTTTCTCTTGATATTCTAACTAAAACACCTGTCAGTTTTTTGTATCATGTGAAGTAACTCAGGAATGGGAAACCAAATATCGTATGTTCTCACTTGTAAGTGGGAGCTAAGCTATGAGGATGCAAAAGCGTATGAATTATATAAGGGACTTTGGGGACTTGGAGGGTGGGCAGGAGAGGTGTGGGAGGGGGATGATGGATAAAAGACTACACATTGGTTACAATATACAGTGCTTGGGTGATAGGTGCAACAAAATCTCAGAAATCACTACAAAAGAACGTATTCATGTGACCAGAAACCACCTGTTCACCAAAAACTACTGAAATAAAATTCAAAAAAATATATAAATAAACGTTTTCAATGAGAAATTTCTGGAGTTTGGAAGTAAGTATTCCACTACTGATCATTCTCATATAGCTCATCATCTTCCAAAAACTTGAGTGTATATTAATGAGATTAATTTGTTAGCATACCAAAATGTATATATTTAAGTAACTGGCCTCTTCAAATTATGTTTCTTGAAAGAGTAAGACAACCTTTTTTTTTTTCAATATGTCACCTTCATTTTGAAGCTCATTTGGAATCAGTTCATGGCACACATAAGATTATCAATCTTAATAGTTTTTATGACTTCTTCATTTGATAACATGGGTGTTATTCATCTAGATTACTCTATTAAAAAATAAATCTTCCTAAGTTCTGACAATGATGAAGATAGTCAACACAGAATACTGTAAAAACTCTTCCAGGGATGTCTAAAAGGAAGTGTGCCAAAACTGACTATATTCATAAAAATGATTTTGGAAGAAGTGTTTGTATAGCCTAATGACTACTTTCAAAATACTACTTATATAAATGTGCATGCTCGCAGCTAATTTCTATAATTTTTCTAGTATCATCAAAATGTATTTTACTCTATGATATATTTACTTTCAGGAAGCATACGTTACTAAGTACTGACAAAGCATGGGTCAAAAAAAGTTGTTTGTATAATATTCAAAAAGAGAAAATAAAACCAGAATAAATTGTTAACAAATTTCAAATGTTGAGGGTCCTTGTATTGCTTTATATAGGCAGTTTCATATTTATATACAGAAAGCCTTTCTGATATTTAGCAGATTTGACATTTTCAAAGAAATCACTACATTTTTTTTCACTGGATATTACTAAGTATGACAGTTATATGGAGAAGGCTTTGTAAACTAAAATGACTAAAACGGATTTATATGCATAGACTATATATTTTTCCTGTGAATCCAAATTTAGGTAAGAATGCATATCCCTTGAATTTTACGTAAATATTCACGAGCCATTGCTGCTTTCAATTTTTAGAGAGAGAAAGATAAAAAAAAAATGATTTATCATCTTTTGTGAAAGCATTGTCCATCAGGCTTGCATTTCGAATGGTACAAAAAAATTTCACCAGAAGAGAAATCCATGTCTGTCAGTCAAACTAAAATGGATACATTGGATTTCATAGAGAGTCAAAATGAAACAATTGCCCTGCTGATTGTAGCACAAATCAGTGAATCTTTTTGCAACATCTGCTGGAAGTTGGTAAGTGTTTGTTGATAGGAAGCCGGCATTCTATTCCCAGCCATCACTCAGAAAAGTTCTGACCAGTATAAAAATTATAGAACTGAAAAGCTAACAGAAAATAAAGTTAAAAGAGTGAGAGCGAGGATAGCATCTTTGAAGATTTCAATATGGTTGCCTTTGGACAAAATGGACAAGAATGAACAGTTAGCTTTCAGCTTCCCCTAACTCTATCTTTATTCCTTTCTAGTACTTAAATTTACCTCTATTTCACTTAGATAAAAAGGCTTGTTCTGTCGCATAGCAGAAAAAGTCACATTTGGGGAGGTTATAAAAACCATCTTTAACATTTACTTATACTAACAATATATTTCTTAATAATAGTATATACTTTTAAAATGTAGGATTAAATTAGTCATTGAAATGCACTTGGGACAGTGTCTGGCATATTTTAAAGAGGTAGATGAATGTTACCGACCTATCGTCATCACCCTCACTATCATTATTAGAAGGATAATTTGATTAGCAAAAGTGAATTATAGTTATTTACCTTGCTTCAGGAATTTAAAAAAAAACCACTCTGGAATATATTCAAATTCAGTAGGTTGTCACCCTACTGAAAATAGGCCAATATTTGATTCCTGAGTGATCTGAGCCCTTGATATTTTGACTCTTCCTAGAGGAATCATAAGAATGTGCCCTAGAAAATTCTCTAAATTTTAGTACCCTTTCTTTTTGAAACTAAAGTTGTCAGTATCACTGTTAACTTTGATAGTTAAGATTAGTCCATTACACCCATTCAGAGAACATTTGTTGCTTGCTAGTTCAGTAAATATCTTATTTTTCTATCAAAGGAATCAATATACATACATCAATAAAGAATTTCTCACTTGGACAACAGAAATTCTAAGCCAGATTAACCCAGTAGACCAGTTTAAAAAAAATTTATTAGGGAATCTTCAAATACAACAGTGAAAGAGCTAATTCCTTTTTCCATTTATTGTTTTGTTTTTGTTTTTTAATTCTACCTTCTGACTAAGCAGAATCACCAACATCGTTTGCTAATCCATATGTAGACGTCCTCAACCCTAAATATGTTTTCACCCAGCAGACTTTATTATTAAATTTTCAAGATGTTATTCTATATTACAGGAACATCATTACAATGTGATGGGGAGTACAATAACCCCAATGAGGGCCAGGAGTGGTGGCTCACGCCTGTGATCCCAGCACTTTGGGAGGCCGAGGTGGGCAGATCGTGAGGTCAGGAGATTGAGACCATCCTGACCAACATGGTGAAACCCCTTCTCTACTAAAAATACAAAAATTATCTGGGCATGGTGGCACGTGCCTGTAATCCCAATTACTCGGGAGGCTGGGGCAGGAGAATTGCTTGAACCAGGGAGGCGTAGATTGCAGTGAGCCGAGATTGGGCCACTGCACTCCAGCCTGGCAACAGAGGGAGACTCTGTCTCAAAAAAAATAAAGAAATAAAGAAAAAATAAGTCCAATGAAAGAGATGAGTTTTTAAAAAGTTATTTATCATACAGATAGAAACATTTTTAAAGATTCTGAGAAAAAAATGAAGACAATAAATATATAACACAATTTTGTCTAATCCAGAAATGTCTCAGACAACCTGAATTTAAAGTTATCCACCAGTAATGCCATGGATTTCAAACCATGATATTAAATATGTGGTTGTAAAATGAATTATTTGCATGAAAGCATTGCCATTATAGTTCCTCGTGATATTGTGTAAGGCATCGAACAAGCCCAAGCACGCTGGAATTGACAGTAAGTAGAAAGAAACCCAAATCCCAAATAACTGTGTTTCAAATGACAACTACTCCAAACATTATCAACCTGCTGTGACGTGTTTGCTCTGCTGTAAGAGGATGTTGTAAGATACTATTCTTGAGCCTGAAGTGCTTAGCAGTCTGGCAATTTTTATCCAACAGCAGTATAGCCTTATCACTTTTGGTGAGGGTAATTCCATATCTGTGAGTTCATTCTTTGTTCCATCTTGAAAGCGTTGCCTATCTGTTAATGAATTGATATAGTAAAAGTGGGAGAGGAGAGGAAGGGTAAGAGATGGTGACAATCCCAGGGTGGAACATTATCTGCATCTTTTATATTGAATGACTTCACAACCATAAAGGTCTCTTAATGATACACAATTATTGTCTGATTTTGGAAAAACTCTAAGCAATCCATCTATATACCCTTGCCCCAAACTTTCTTACTACCAATCTTCCGAATCTTATTTCATTGAGCACCTTAACAGTGAACTACAACTTTAGTCATTACTCTGAATAAAAGTAGATATTTACTTTAGATCTAAAATAATTTCTGGAAAAGTAAACAATATGAGCTACTGCAAAGGTAATTCTGGGATGACTTTCCTGCTTCATTCTTCTTTTGGACTATTCCTGAGAGGGTTATGATGCCATAGCTGTCACTTTGGGTTAGTTCCATCCTGTAATTTTAGAGCTACCTATTATCTGGCTTGGATTTTTCTTTTCAGTCAACTCGTGATGGGGAAATTCCGCAGAGGCCACCGGCATAGATTGAGAAGAATGTGGTAGCACAACCAATGTCAGAGTGCTGAAAGAGTCAGCAAACCACTCATGAAAATATTTGTACCTTTGGGATCTGTTTAAGGCCAATATTACATATGTTACTTCCACTTGATGAAGTCCTGTTTGCCAGATTTATTTCACCAAGGGCAGCATCAGTAATATAATTGCCTCTGGATTACCTTAAGAACAGTTGCTTGCACTACAGAAATCCTTCTTTAATTTGCTTCCATTCAATGCAGAATGGTCAGATCAGTACAACAAATGTGGATTTAAAGAATCATGTTACTTCATTCATTTTGGTAATGATGATTTGACATTCCTCAGAACACTAGACCAACAGAAATTTTACTGAAATAACAGAAATCTAATTTTTATGGAATTAATCTCCTACCTTGTTCCTCCAATAGATAGTTTTAGTCATAGAGGCAGGAAGACATATTTTAAAAAGTATGCCATAACAGCTTGTGGAATGCTAGACAATTAAAGCCCTTTTATTTTAGTTTGTGTCATGGAGCCAAAGGTTGGCTAAACCTCAATGAGATGGAAACACACATATGGTTCTCTTGGCCTTCTGCTTCCAGTATTCTCTAATCATCGGAGTAAGGGGGAAAATACCACACATTTGACAGCTTGGTGGTTGTTTATCAAATTCTAGGGCTGTGTTGATTTACTCTAGCAAAGAAGACATATCAGGAAAAAACATCATTAAATTTGGAATTGCTGATTCATATGTCTTATGTTACCCTATTATATTTCCCTCACAGCCAACTTACTTCTTCAGAGTAAAAACAGGGAGTCATATTTTATGTCTTAAATGGTAACACTAATCTCTGATTCTCCACGTGAGAGTATTGACTTTGATTTATTATTTTAAAAGAAAGATGCTTTGGTTTGGCCTCTCTTACTCTAATGATCATACAAGGATTAAAACTGATATGAGAATTCTGTCAGGTGCTGTTATAAATATATATTTAAAGACCAAGAAAATAATTTTAGGTGGGATTAAAAGAGTCCCAGGGAATAATATGTATCACCTGACAAAGTGAGCTCTACTCTGAGCAGTGAACCACAGAGGTTTTCAGTTTGCTTGGAGTTCATGATTACCTCAGAGCCAGTTTCTAATATTTTCTGTCATGTTAACGTTTGAGTATTCTGATTGTCTAGTACGTACTTACTCTAAAAAAATATGGCAGCAGTTCCATCTAAGGCACTCGAGAAGCAAGTTTATAGACCATACCTGTAATGTTTTATGAAATATTTTCTCAGCCTTTGCTATCCTGGGGATCCTGGATTTCAGTAGAAATCAGAAAGATTACTTAACTGAAGTATCCCCCTACAGGGAATAATTAATCAATAAATAATTTTTAAAGACCACGAGGATCCTCTTTGGTAGATTTCTTAAAGATTTGGTGAATAAATTGACCTCTTGGTCCTTCAGAGGACATAGTTCATAGTGAGTGTCTTAAACCTGATAATTCTACTCAAATTTTTTATTTCTCTACATTTTTATATTTTTAAAATACATTATAATTAGGAATTACTGGCATATTAATTTTAGTTTCCATGGCCCACTACTGATCCCAAATGTGTCAACTAATCAAGAAGAGCGATGATAAAGATTCCCGTCTGCTTGACCTAGCACACCGGATGCAGAGTATCTGCCAACGCACTCATGCTCAAACTCAACCAAACTACAATCATGTTCAACCCTAATTTTCTACAGTTTTCATAAGACATTCACAGATATATTTCTCCTCATTTTTTCTAAATTATAAATTTTACAACAATTCTACACTCCTGTGTGCACCTCTTCAGTTCCCAGGTTTAACATTGTAATTGATCCACAGAGCATGCTCTCTAATCTGGTTTAACAGACAGTGAAGATGTGGCTTCAGTAACATGGCTTTCCTATTGCAAGTTTATTTTGTTAGAAAAGTTTGTTAAAGGATCTTCAAAAAGGAGAGGAAGGAATAATTCTGCTAGCAGGGGAGACTGTTATAAGCTATATTTCATGAAAGTAGGAGCTATGTTTTCTTCAGCATCTAGAATAGGGTGTAGCACATAATAAACACTCAATTAAGGCTCACTGAATGAACAAATAAATCTAAACCTTCATATTCCCCCCCCGCCGCCCCACTGTTTTTTCAATCAATTCCCAAATGTTTAGACAGGAAGTCTAGAAAGATAATGAATTTAAGTGATATTAAAATTTGACAACAGATTGAAATTTGAATTTTTTGTTAGCTGTATGGTTGAAAGAGTTAGGATAGTATTTTAGCATAATCATAGAATTTATCTGGAACTTAATACAAAGAACTTCGATGTGTGAAGCTTGCATGCTCTTTATTTATGCAGAGTATTTGAAAGAATCGTCTTTCCCCCACAGTCTTTGAAATAATAGTTTCCTAAATTTTCTACTGTAAATTTATCATTCACTCACTATCCATTGTATTTGTTTATCTATTCAGTGCAAACTAATTGTTGAGCATCGATTCTATTTCTGACACCATTCTAGGCTAAAGGAACATGATAACAAACAAAAGAGATTGTATCTGTCTCCTATGGAGCTAATATTTTAATGAAATGAGATAAGCAATAAATAAGTTGAGTGAATATATGACATGTCCAGTGATGGTGGGTACTATGGGAAGAAAGTAGTTACAGGGGCAAAGAAAGTACTGGCAATGAGAATGAGTGGCTACTTTGTATCACTTGACTTTTCCTATAAGACAATAAAAGATCAGGCCAGGCGGGGTGGCTCACGCCTGTAATCCCAACACTTTGGGAGGCCGAGGTGGGCAGATGACAAGGTCAGGAGATCGAGACCATCCTGGCTAGCACAGTGAAACCTCGTCTCTACTAAAAATACAAAAAATTAGCCCGGCATTGGTGGCGGGCGCCTGTAGTCCCAGCTACTTGAGAGGCTGAGGCAGGAGAATGGCGTGAACCCGGAAGGCGGAGCTTGCAGTGAGCCGAGATTGCGCCAATGCACTCCGGCCTGGGTGACAGAGAGAGACTTTGTCTCAAAAAAAAAAAAAAAAAAAGAAAAGAAAAGAAAAGATCAAAAGTAAACTGGTAGATCTCAGAAGTGAAAAAAAGGTAAAAAGTGATTATAGAATTTAGGTAAATATGAAAGCTGTACAAAATAACACCGTTAATATAATAAGAAACATAAAATTGTATGATGAAGAGTAGTTAGAGAAAGGAAATGAAAAGTAATAAAGTGTTAGATAAATTCTTAGTGAAATAGTTGAAGTGGAAGACAGGAAAGGAGATCCAACTTCTTTTACTTGGTTGGTGCTCCTGAGGGAACAAAATTAAAACAATAGATGAAAAAATATAATATTTAAGAGACAAAAAATCCAGAAAGTAAAAATTTATATTTACGCATGCAGATTAAATGGACATATCTTCTCCAAAGAGATAAAGAAGATTTTGGCATAGAATAATCAACATGGAGTTATATTTTGTTAAAGGTAATGAAAATCTAATATAAATGAGTAATTATTGATGGAGAGAGGCAAATTATTATAGTCATCTATAACAGAAAATGTGAGTTCATATCCCACTTCTCCATTATAATATCAAATGACAAGAAATAGTGACACAATGAGATGTTTTTCCAAGAAATTTTATAGTAAACAAACTATTGTTCAAGAAAAATGGTAGCAGAAACTTCATTATAACTTGTAACAACTAGTTCCCATAAGCCCTTCTTTCAAAAAGTACTAAATACTGATGTTGAATCAAGCAGAAAATTACTCATGTGGTTTTACCAAAAAGCCCAATGGTGACTATTAAATCTATCCCTGTAGGAAAAATACCAAAATAAATACAGTTACAAACAAGAGTAGTAATGATATAAAATTTGCCTGTATATGTAGAAATGATATGAAAATATATGAATAAAGAAACTGTATGCAGGAAACTATAAAACAATGATGCAAAAAACCAGAGAAGATCTAAGTAAAGGGAGAAATATTCCATATACATTGCCTGAGAACCTCAATATTGTTGAGATATTTGTTCCACACAAATTTATCAATAGATTCAATATAATCCAAATCAAAATCCTAGAAAGCTGTATGAGAATATCAGTAAACTAATTCTAATGTATATGTGGAAAGTAAAACAGTACCTAGATTACCCAACACAGTATTGAAGAAGAAGAAAAATACTAAAGGACTCACACTACCTGATCTCAAGCTTAGTAATTAAGGCTATCGTAATTAACATGATGTGGCATTGGTAGAACAAGAGACACATAGATTAGTGGAACAGAATAGAGAACCCAGAAATAGATCTGCAAAATTATAGTCAAGCAATCTTTTCTAAAAAGAAAAATAAGGGAACAATTTTATTCGTAATAACACTCAGAAGTTCTAAATTAGCCTACAGAAATTTTTAGACTTCTCATATAAAAATCCATAAACAGAAAGAAAATATATTTTTAAAAGCCCATTTACAAAATTCAATGCTGAAAAAATTTCTAGATAGAAACATAACATGAGATAAGCTTGATATATATGAAGAAATATTTAAAATATTACTAAAATACCTAAATATGGCATAAACAAATATAACAAATACCATGTTCTGTATAGCAAGATTCAAAATAACAAAATGCTACTTCTCTCTATGTAATCCATAAATATAATGAAAAATCTCAAAAATAAAAATAGCATTAGGCATGAA
Organism: Homo sapiens; assembly: GCF_000001405.40. NCBI lineage: Eukaryota > Metazoa > Chordata > Mammalia > Primates > Hominidae > Homo > Homo sapiens. The sequence continues at coordinate 178,660,673 of NC_000004.12, read as the reverse complement.
GAAGATGCAACAGATGAAAGGTCATAGGAAAGAGTAAATCAACATGATCTGCTGAGAAATTTCTAAAACACAGAGTAATAATGGGCAGGCAGGGGAGATTATGCCCACTAGATATTAAAGTATAAGATAACAATGCATAGATTTAAAGAACAAACTCAAAATTCTACAAATACACAAAATTCTGAGATAACGTATACTCATAATCATATACTTAAAGCCAGTGTAAAGAAAAGATTGATTACTTCATAATTTATGATGAGAAAATTGGAATATCATATGGGAAGAATTTGGTTTTTAATAGACATAGTTTTTAACTTCTTCTTTGGAAAAATATTCACTGTTCATAATTTACATAAGTTTCAAGAATACATTAAGGTAATATAATGCATGATAATTCTCCTGGAAACTAGAAATATTTTAAAGTTTGCATGGAAATGTACAACATATTGCAGCACTGGAAATTGAGCGAACTTCCTTTATGAACTAACTTTTGGATTTTTCTTCATTTTCTACTTTATAAATCTATCAACTTGATTGTTCATATAATTTCCATTTTATTTGTAAATGTTGCAGTCGAAAAACAAATGTATGACTTCTATTTGCAAGGTTTTCTTAAGACATAAAATTTTATAATGTAGAAATATTTATAATAAATAAAAAGTCTTATTGAATATGTTAGTTACTATATTTTCTCACTTAATGATTTTCAAAGTTTTTGAAACATTAATTTACTACATAAATGTATTGATTAGGCAAATGGAGGTTACGTACCTTCAAATGTTAAGACAATATATTTAATAGTTATAACACAGTTTTTTTACATTAACTTGTAGTTCAACATTACTGTCATATATGATTCATTTCTGGTTTATCTGTACATCAGTTTTGTACACAAATAATATACAATAGATAATAAATAGCTAATGTGGCTGAGAAAAAATTACATATAAATCAATGATCATCTCATCTGCAAACAAGTCTTTCTGACTTGTATGTCTTTTATATAGAAGTGTCAAAAGTAAGCAACTTAGGCTTGTTCCTCACCTTACAGAAAAATTTTTCAATTTTTCACCATTGAGTATCATTGAGTATGCTACTAACTCTACGCTTGTCATATATGGCCTTTATTATTTTGAAGTACATTCCTTATGTTTCTAGTTTATTGAGAGATTTTATCATGAAAAGGTGTTAAATTTTCTCTAATGCTTTTTCTGTATCTACTGAGATAATCCTGTAGTTTTCATTTTTCATTTTGTTAATGTGATATATCACCTTAATTGATTTTTCTAAGTTGAACTATCTTTACGTCCCAGGGATAAATCCCATTTGATCTAGATGTATGATCTTTTCAATGTACTAGCGAATTATATTTTCTATTACTTTATTGAAAATTTTTGCATCTGTTATTACCAGAGATATTAACCTGTATTTTTCTTTTCCCATATTGTCTTTATTTGGCTTTGCTAGCAGGATAATACTAATCTCAAAAAGTAATTTTGGAGAATTTCTTCGTCTTCACATTTTTGGAAGAGTTTGGGAAGGATTGATAATTTTTAAAAGATTGGTAGAATTCAGCAGTGAAGACATCAGGTCCCGGATTTTTTTTTTTTTTTTTTTGAGATGGAGTCTTGCTCTGTTGCCCAGGCTGGAGTGCAGTGGCACAATCTCAGCTCACTGTAAGCTCCACCTCCTGGGTTCACACCATTCTCCTGCAGTGGAGAATGACAGTGAGTGAGTTTTTACAAGATCTGATGGTTTCATAAGGGCTTCTCCCTTCTCTCAGCTCCCATTCTTCTCACTCCTGCAACCATGTGAAGAAGGATGTGTTTGTTTCTCCTTCTGCTATGATTGTAAGTTTCCTGAGGTCTCCCCAGCCATGCGGAACTATGAGTCAATTAAACTTCTTTCCTTTATAAATTACCCAGCTTAGGGTATTTCTCCATAGTAGTGCAAAAATGAATGAATACATTAAATGAAATAAGCCAGTCACAGGAGGACAAATACTGCACGATTTTATTTATATGATGTATGTAAAATAGCCAAATTTATAGAAACAAAGAACAGAATGGTAGGCCCTGAGGAGACAGGAAAATGAGGAGTTGGTAATAAACATGTATAAAATTTCAGTTATGCAAGATGAATTAGTTCTGGAGATTCGATGTACAACATCGTGCTTGTAATAAGCAATAAGGTGCTCTATACTTCAAAATTTGTTAACAGAGTAGATCCCATGTTATCTCTTGCTGCCACAATAAAAAAAGACAACAGAAAATCAATGATTCTCTTATACAGAAATAAATACCTGTTAATAAGAGCCAAACATATCAAATTATGAAATCATGAACAAGCTGGTCTGTTCTTATATTTACATCATCTTACACGATACATGATCAGAGGTTCTTAAACAGTTTCATAATAGAGAATATTTGTAAATTACTGTATTGCCAACAAAAGACATTTTTAGCCTGGGATAGTTGTACCTTTAACAAAATAATTCCTTGCAATGTATTAATAATGAAACCCTAAAGAGTTCACAAGCCAAAGGTTAGCAAATTTTTCAGCAGACTCTACGTAACTGTAAATTTTTTGTTCACTCCCGTGTTTCTAAAGCTTAGCATAGAGCATCATACCTTCCAGGCACTGAATAAATGCATTAAAAATACAAGAATAATTGAAGGAGCGAATAAAGGAATGAAGCCTCACCAATACAAGCTGGCACACAATAAGCTCCAATTATTTATATGATAAATGTCCTAATAAACATTAAGTTGTCCTAAGAAGAATTTTATTTTCATTTATAGAATTTTACGTCCTAACATATTACTAAGCATTCTCTTTATAAGTCCTGACTTCTCAGTGTACTAATGAAGCAAATGATGTCCAGAGATTTTAAGAAATTTTCTGAATGGTATAAATTTTAAGTGAGACAAAGCAGAACTGAGACCCAAGTTTGCATAAGATATTTTTAACTTAAAACCTTTATAACTTTTAAGGACAATTACTAAATAAATATTTTGAAAAGAAATATATTTTATGTAGATACAGGCTATATTATTTAGCAAAGTTCCAATTCATATCAATTTCTATTATTGTCCCCATCATTATCTGTCTTTTCTGTTTCCTGTTGTCATACTAAATAACAAAACAATTAAAGTTAAAATGTAGACCAACACAGTAACACATTTCTCCCAAACATTGATACATAATATTGATTATGTTTCAGTCTTCATACACTAAGGAACTAAAAAGCAGAAAAGGAGTTTTGTTTTGTTTTTCCTATATTCCCAGTTTTCTTGCATGATGGATACAGTGTCATCCTCTATTGATTAATGAAGGCCTTAAGAAGAATTTATATTGTGCTTTGTTAAAGTGTATTTTAAATATGCAGCCTGAAGTTATATGGTATATGTCTTCAAGTTATTTACCAGGAATTGTTTATATTGTCAGAGGAAGTGTGTTTTCTTTTCTTTATAACACACAGGCTAGTCTAAAGAAAAGAATTTTAATATTGATACCTCTGTTAAAAAGTCAACTTTCAGAAATAGCATGAATTCATGACTAGATACTTTTGAATGAGATTCTGTATTTTTCTACTGGGAACTTATTAACAGATGTAGCGTAGGCTTTATAATAGCAATGATATCTCAAAGGAGTTGCCAGAATTTAGGCATCAGAGAAGGATCAATATAATGACAAATTTTAAAAAATGATATAAAATAACTTCCAAATTGTTCATAATATTCCTTGATTTTTCCTTTTTATGATAAGAATACTGGGTATTAACCTTAATAGTCCAAAATCAATGGAAAGACATTGTCATGAATAGGCCAATTGAAATAGAAATTTCAGTCATAAGCATTTTTAGTTGTCCTTAATTTTCACATATACACATTGCCTTAAAATATATTAAATTATGCAGGTATATGTGTTATGAAAATAGCTGCCCGTATGAGATTAAACAATAACACACAATAAGAACTATTACAATCAAAATTTAAAATTGCATTCATTTATCTTGAACCTTTTCATTTCATTTCCATTCTTCAATATGCAGGTACTAATTTCATTTTTTTCATAAAAAGTAATTGTAACTTGCACATTGTTTTCATCAAGAAACAGATACCGTATGTCTTTTTTTAAACTGTGCCAACCAGATATAATCTGGTAACATTATTCTCCTCCTTGTTTAAAAATTGACTTAAAACTTCAAATTCTGTATCATGGGGAGATCCACATCCATCCTCAAGATTTTCCCAGATATGCTGGGATATTTTTTCTCTTACTTTTGTGTCAGGTTTTCTTCTATGAATACTATCTCTGTTTTATGTATTGTGGTAGGGCCCATAATTGAACTTCTCCATTAATTTCCTCATACTGTGATTATGTACGTATTGTCATGTAAGTGTTAGGCTATGTTATGTTAGGATAGCATGTCACAGACAGCTAAAGAATGCCAGGAGATGCTAAGAATGTGGAGATTCAGGAACTTTTATATATTGTTGGTGGAAGGGTAGACTGGTGAAGCAATGTTGAGGGGCATTCTGGCTCTAATGAAGTTGCACCTGATGGATAAGAAAGGAAAGTGGTTTAATCAGAGAGAGAGAGAGAGCAAGCATGAAACAGAGAGTGAGGCAGAGAGAGAGAGAGAGAGAGAAAGGAAAAATAAATTAGCTTATTTTTTCTTATAAAATCATGTGGCCATTTGTCATAGGGCAGTTTCCTTTTAGCCTTTCAACCCACAAGCTTCCTGGCCATGTACCTATCCTCCCACCCCACCACCATCCTTTGTCTTTGTCCCTTTCTATATTCTTCTTTGCTTTATAGCTCATTGAAATTTCCCAAAATTTCCTATTAGGAGTAGTTTAAGTCTCTTAATTTTTTAATTTTCTTTTTTTGACTAGTTCCATAGCCCTTACCTTCAGGCTAAACCTTTGTATTAGTTTGTTCTCACAGTGCTATACAGATACTACCAGAGACTGGGTAATTTATAAAGAAAAGATGTTTAGTTGACTCACAGTTCTGTGTGGCTGTGGAGGCCTCAGAAAACTTATAATCATGGTAGAATGCAAAGGGGAAGCAAGGCACACCTTACATGGCAGCAGATGAGAGAGGGAGCGCAGGGGAAATTGCCAGACACTTATCAAACAACCAGATCTCATGAGAACTCACTCACTATTAGGAGAACGTCATGGGGAAAACTGCCCCCATGATCCAATCACCTCCCAGAAGAACCCTTCCTCAACATGTGGGATTAGAATTCAGATTACAGTAAGAGATGTGATTTGGGTAGTGATATAGCCAAGCTATATCAATAATTTATTTAAAAAAGAGGTTTAATTGGTTCGCAGTTCCACATGCTATACAGGAAGCATAGCCAGGGAGGCGTAAGGAAACTTACAATTATAGTAGAAGGTAAAGGGGAAGCATGCATGTCTCACATGGCCAGAGCAGGAGGAAGAGGGAGAGGCGGGAGATGCTACACACTTTTAAACTATATCATCTGAGAGAACTCTATCACAAGAACAGCACCAAAGGGGGAATTGCGACCCCATGATTCAATCACCTCCCACCAAGCCCTGCCTCCAACATTGGGGATTATAATTTGAATTGAGATTTGGGTGTGGACACAAATTCAAACCTGCTCACATTGCAAAATACAATGATTCCTTCTCAATAGTCTCCCAAAGTCTTAACTCATTTCAACATTAACTCAAAAGTACATAATCCAGAGTCTCATCTGAGACAACACAAGTCCCTTCCACCAATGAGCCTGTAAAATCAAAAACAAATTAGTTACTTCCAAGATACAATGGGGGTACAGGTATTGGGCAAATACTTCCATTTCAAAAGGGAGAAATCAACCAAAAGAAAGCGGCTGCAGGCCCCATACAAGTCCAAAATCCAGAAGGGCAGTAATTAAATTTAAAGCCCCAAAATTATCTCTTTTGACTCCATTTCTCGAATCCAGGCCACACTGATGCAAGGGGTGGGATCCCCAGGCCTTAGGCAGCTCTGTCCCTGAGTCTGTGCAGGGTATAGCCTTTCTATTAGTCTGTTTTCACACAGCTGATAAGGACATACCCAAGACTGGGAAGAAAAGGACATTTAATTCGATGTACATTTCCACATATCTGGGGAGGCCTCAGAATCATGGTGAAAGTCAAAAGGCACTTCTTACATAGTGGCAGCAAGAGAAAATGGGGAAGATTCAAAAGCAGAAACCCCCGATGAAACCATCGGATCTCATGAGACTTATTCACTACCACAAGAACAGGGTGCAGAAACTGCCTCCATGATTCAAATTATCTCCCAATGGATCCCTCTCACAACACATGGGAATTATGGGAGTACAATTCAAGATGAGATTTGGGTGGGGACAACACAAAGCCAAACCATATCATTCTGCCCCTGGCCCCTCCAAATCTCATATTCTCAGGTTTAGAAACCATTCATGCCTTCCCAACAGTCCACCAAAGTCTTAACTCATTTCAACATTAACCCAAAAGTCCACAGTCCAAAGTCTCATCTGAGACAAGCACGTCCCTTCCACCTGTGAGCCTGTGAAACCAAAAGCAAGCTAGTTACTTCCAAGACACAATGGAGATACAGGTATAGGGTAAATACATCCATTCCAAATGAAAGAAATTGGCCAAAACAAAATGGTTATGGGGCCCATGCAAGTCTGAAATCCAGCAGGGCAGTCAAATTTTAAAGCTCCAAAGTGATCTCCTTTGACTCCAGATCTCACATCCAGGTCATGCTGATGCAAGAGATGTGTTTCCAGATGTGTATCCATGGTCTTGGGCAGCTCCCCAACCTGTGGTTTTTCAGGGTACAGCCTCCCTCCTAGCTGCTGTCATGGGCTGGTGTTGCATGTCTGTGGCTTTTCCAAGTGCATAGGTGCAAGCTGTCCAGGGATCTACCATTCTGGGGTGTGGAGGATGGTGGCCTTCTTCTTACAGCATCACTAGGTGATGCCCCAGTAAGGACTCTGTATTTGGGCTCCAACCCCACATTTCTCTTCTGCACTGCCCTAGCAGAGGTTCTTCATGAGCACCCCACCCGTGCAGCAAACTTCTGCCTGGGTACCCAGGCATATCCATACATCTTCTGAAATCTAGGTAGAGGTTCCCAAAACCTAATTCTTGACTTCTGTGCCCTTATGGGTTCAACAGCATGTAGCAGCTGCCAAGGCTTGGGGCTTGCACCCTCTGAAGCCATGGCCTGAGCCCTACCTTGGCCCCTTTCAGCCATCGCTGGAGCAGCTGGGATGCAGGGCACAAAGTCCCAGGCTGCCCACAGCTTGGAAACCCTGGGCACGACCCATAAAATCATTTTCCCTCCTAGGCCTCTGGGCCTGTGATGGGAGGGAGGGGCTGCTGTGAAGACCTCTGACATGCCCTGGAGACATTTTTCCCATTGTCTCGGGATTAACATTTGGCTCCTTGTTAATTTTGCAAATTTCTGCAGCCAGCTTAAATTATAGTCAGAAAATGGGTTTTTCTTTTCTATCACATTGTCAGGCTGAAAATTTTCTGAAATTTTATGCTCTGCTTCTCTTATAAAATTGAATGCCCTTAACAGCACCCAAGTCACACCATGAATGCTTTGCTGCTTAGAAATTTCTTCTGCCAGATACCCCACATCATCTCTCTCAAGTTCAAAGTTCCACAGATATCTAGGGCAGGGGAAAATGCTGCTAGTCTCTTTGCTAAAACATAACAAGAGTCATCTTTGCTCCAGTTCCCAGCAAGTTCCTCATCTCTATCTGAGACCACCTCAGCCTGGACCTTATTGTCTATATGCTATCAGGCTTTTGGTAAAAGCCATTCCACAAGTCTCTAGAAAGTTCCAAACTTTCTCACGTTTTCCTGCTTTCTTTTGAGCCCTCCAAATTGTTCCACTCTCTACCTGTTACGCAGTTCCAAAGTTACTTCCACATTTTTGCTTACCTTTTTAGCAATGCCCCGCTCTACTGGTACCAGTTTACTGTATTAGTCCATTTTCATGCTGCTGATAAAGATATATCTAGGACTGGGAAGAAAAAAAGTTTTAATTGGACTTACAGTTCCACATGTTTGGGGAGGCCTCCAAATCATGGCAGAAGGCAAAAGGCACTTCTTACATGGCGGCAGCAGGAGAAAATGAGGAAGATGCAAAAGCGGAAACCCCTGATGAAACCATCAGATCTCATGAGACTTATTCACTACCACAAGAACAATATGGGGAAAACCACCCCCGTGATTCAAATTATCTACTACTGCATCCCTCCTACAAAGCGTGGGAATTATAGGAGTATAATTCATGATGAGATTTGGCTGGGTCAGAGGGCCAAACCATGTCAGCCCTGTGGTTGCTTTCATGGGCTGGCATTGAGTGCCTGAAGCGTTTCCAGGCACATGGTGCAAGATTTTGGTGGAGCTACAATTCTAGGGGCTGGAGCACAGTGACTCTCTTCTCATACTCATAGCTTCACTGGACAGTGCCACCTCACCATCAGCTCCAGGCAGCTCAGCACAGAGAGAGTGACTCTGTTTGTTTGGGAGAAAGTAAGGGAAGAGAACAAGAGTCTTTGCCTGGTAATCCAGAGAATTCTTCCAAATCATATCCAAGACTATAAAGGTGGCACCTCTATGATTCTGCAAGAACCACAGTGTTACTGGGCTTCGGGTGTCCTCAATGCAGATATAGCTTAGACCACAACATCTGATTCCTTTCTAATACCTGGAAAGCCTTCAGAAGAAGGACTGCAAAGACTGCAGTAAATACCTAACGCTTATGCCCAGACACAGAAAACTTCCAAAAGAGCACTCAGGACAAACAGGACATCACCACACAAAGTAAATAAGGTACTAGGAAACAATCCTGGAGAAATAGAGATATGTGACTTTTCTTTCTTTCTTTCTTTCTTTCTTTCTTTCTTTCTTTCTTTTTTTTTTTTGAGATGGAGTCTTGCTCTGTCCCCCAGGCTGGAGTGCAGTGGCACCATCTCAGCTCACTGCAACTTCCGCCTCTGTCTCAGACTCCTGAGTAGCTGGGATGCAGGTGCATGCCACCATGCCTGGCTAACTTTTGTATTTTTAGTAGAGATGGGGTTTCACCATGTTGGTCAGGCTGGTCTCAACCTCCTGATCTTGTGATCCACCCACCTCGGCCTCCCAAAGTGCTGGGAGATATGTGACCTTTCATAAAGAGAATTCAAAATAGTGGTTGAGGAAACTCAAAGAAATTGAAGATATCACAGAGAAAGAATCCAGAATTCTATCAGATAAATTTAACAAATACATGGAAATAATTAAAAAGAATTAAGCAGAAATTCTGGAGCTGACAAGTGCAATTGACATACTGAAGAGTGTGTTAGCATCTCTTAATAGCAGATTGACCAAGCAGAATGAAGAATTAGTGAGCTTGAACACAGGCTACTTGAAAATATACTCAGAAGAGAGATAAAAAAGGAATAAAAAAGAATGAAATATGCTCATAGGATCTAGAAAATAAGCTCAAAAGGGCAAACTTAAGAGTTATTGGCCTTAAAGACTAGGTAGAGAAAGATATCTGGGTAGAAAATTTATTCAATGGAATCATAACAAGGAAGTTCTCAAATGTAGAGAAATATATCAATATCCAAGTTCAAGAAGGTTATAGAAAACAAATAGCTTTAATCCAAAGAAGACTACATCAAGACATTTAATAATCAAACACCTAAAGATCAAAGATAAAGAAAGGATCCTAAAAGCATCAAGAGAAAAGAAACAAATAATATACATTGGAGCTCCAGTATGTCTGGCAGCAGTCTTTTCAGTGAAAACCTTATAGGCCAGAAGTGAACGGTGTGACATATTTCAATGCTGAAGAAAAAAATTTTTGACCTAGAACAGTATATTCAGTGAAAATATCCTTCAAACCTTAAGGAGAAATACTTTCCCAGAAAAACAAAAGTTAAAGGATTTCATAAATACCAGAATTGTCCCACAAGAAATGCAAAAGAGAGTACTTCAATCAGCAAAAAAAAAAAAAAAAAAAAAAATGAATTTTAATGAGCAATAATAAATAATCTCAAGGAACAAAACTCACTGATAGTAATAAGTACACAGAAAAACACAGAATATTTTAATGTTGTAACTGTGATATGTAAACTACTCTCAAGTAGAAAGACTAAAAGGTGAACCAATCAAAAATAATAACTACAACAACTTTTCAAGGCATAAGCAGTAAAATAAGATATAAATAGAAACAACAAGAAGTTAAACAACGGGGAGATGAAGTTAAGAAGTGGTATAATTTTTATTAGTTTTCTTTTTGCTTGTTTGTTTATTCAAACAGTGTTAAGTTTTTGTCAGCTTAAAATAATGGGTTACAAAGCAGTATTTACAAGCTACATTGTAACTTCAAATCAAAAAACACACAGTACATATACAAAAACTTAAAAGCAAGAAATTAAATTCTACAGTCAGAGAAAATCACCTTCACTAAAAGGAAGACATGAAGGAAGGAAAGAAGGAAGAGAAGACTACAAAACAACCAGAAAGCAAATATCAAAATGGCAGGGGTAAGTCATTAGTTATCAATAATAATACTGAATGTTAGTAAACTAAACTCCTCAATGAAAAAAAGTGGGGTGACTGAATGCATTTAAAAAAAAGAGCCAATAATCTGTTGACTACAAGAAACATACTTCAACTATAAAGACACATATACATGGAAAATAAAGAGATGAAACAAGATATTTCATGCCAATGGAAACTGCAAAAGAACAGGAGTAGCTATACTTATATCAGACAAAATAGATTTCAAGACAAAAACTATAATAAAAGACAAAAAAGTCACCATATAATGATAAAGGGATCAATTCAGCAAGAGAATATAACAATTGTAAGTATGTATACACCCAACACTGGAGCACCCAGATATGTAAAGCAATTGTTATTAGAGCTAAAGAGAGACCTCAGTACAAATAATAGCTGGAGAATTTAACACCTCATTTTCAGCACTGGACAGTTATTACAGACAGAATATCAACAAAGATACATTGGATTTGATCTGCACTATACACAAAATGAACCTAATAGTTATTTACGGAACAGTTTATTCAACAGCTGTAGATTACACATTTTTCTCCTCAGACATGGATCATTCTCAAGGAGACACCATACGTTAGGTCACAAGTCTTAAAACATTCAAAAAAGTTAAATAGTATCAAACATCTTCTCTGACTACAAGGGAACAAAACTAGAAATCAATGACAACAGGAATTTTTGAAACTATACAACCACAGGAAATTAAACAATACTCTCCTGAATTACCAGTGGGTTAATAAAGAAATTAAAAGAAAATTGAAAAATTTATTGAAGCAAATGATAATGCAAGCACAACATACAAAAACATGTGGGATACAGCAAAAGCATTACTAAGATAGAATTTTATAGCTATAAGCACATACATAAAAAAAGAAGAAAAACTGTACATAACCTAATGATGCATCTTAAACAACTAGAAAAGCAAGAGCAAACTGAACCCAATTTAGTAGAAGAAAGGAAATAATAAAGTTCAGAGTAGAGATAAATGAAATTGAAACAAACAAAAATAATACAAAAGATCAATAAAATAAAAATTTGGGTTTTTGTTTTTGAGAAATAAACAAAAATGACAAACAATTATCCAATAACTAAGAGAAAAAAAGAGAAGACCTAAATAAATAAAGTTGGACATGAAAAAGGAGACATTGCAATTGACACCACAGAAATTCAAAGAATCATTAGTGGCTACTTTGAGTAACTATATGCCAGTAAATTTGAAATTGTGGAAGAAATAGATAGATTCATAGACACATACAATCTACTAAGATTGAACCATGAAGAAATCTAAAACATGAATAGACCAATAACAAATAATGAAATTAAAGTTGTAATAAAAAAGTTTCCCAGCAAAGACAAGCCCAGGACCTGATGGCTTCACTGCTCAATTCTACCAAAGTTTTTTTTTTCTTTTTTTTAAAAAACTAATACCAATGCTATTTAAACTATTCTAAAAAATAGAGGAGATAGAAATACTTTCAAACTCATTCTATTATGCGAGTATACCCTGATACCAAAAACAGAGAAAGACACATCAAAAAGAAAAAAAAACTATATGCAAATATTACTGATGAATGTTTCTTCAAAAATCCCCAACAACATACTAGCAAACCGAATTCAACAACATATTAAAAAGATCATTCACCATGACCAGGTGCATTTTATCCCAGGGATGCAAGAATGATTCAACATACACAAATCAAACAATGTGATACATAATATTAACAGAATGAAGGACAAAACTCATATAATCATTTCAACTGATGCTGAAAAAGCATTTGATAAAATTCAACATCCCTTCATGATAAAAACCTTTAAGAACTGGTTATAGAAGGAACAGACCTCAATATAATAAAAGCCACATATGACAAACTCACAGGTAGTAAATTATTGAATGGGGAAAACTAAAATGCATTAATTAGCAAACCAATCAATGTGATACATAATAATAACAGAATGAAGTACAAAAGTCATATAATCATTTCAACTGATGCTGAAAAACCATTTGATAAAATTCAAAATCCCTTCATAATAAAAAAAACCCTTAAAAAAGTGGATATAGAAGAAACAGACTTCAATATAATAAAAGCCACACATGACAAACTCACAGGTAGTAAATTAATGAATGGGAAAAACTAAAAGGCGTTCTTCTATAATTGGAAACACAACAAGGATGCCCACTTTTTCCCCTGATATTCAACATAGTACTGGAAATTCTAGATAGAACAATCAGACAAGAAAACAAAATAAAAGGCATCCAAATTGGAAAGAAAGAAGTCAAATTATCCTTGTTTGCAGATATTATGGTCTTATATTTGGAAAAACCTAAAGACTTCACCAAAAATCTGTTAGAACTGATAAATTCAGTAAAGTTGTGGGATACAAAATCAACATACCACAAAATCAGTAGCATTTCTTTTTTTTTTTTTTTTTTTTTTGAGATGGAGTCCCACTCTGTCACCCAGGCTGGAGTACAATGGCATGATCTCGGCTCGCTGCATCCTCTGCCTCCTGGGTTCAAGCAATTCTCCTGCCTCAGCCTCCTGAGTAGTTGAGACTACAGTTGCATGCCACCATGACTGGCTGATTTCTAATTTTTTGTATTTTTAGCAGAGATGGTGTTTCACTGTGTTATCCAGGTTGGTCTTGATCTCCTGAGCTCGTGATCTGCCACCTTGGCCTCCCAACATGCTGGGATCACAAGCACGAGTTACCACACCTGGCCAATCAGTAGCATTTCTATATACAGACAACGAACAACCGAAAAACAAATCAAGAACGTAATTCCATTTACAATAGTTTCAAATGAAATAAAATATCTCAGAATAAACTTAACCAAAGACCTCAAAGAACTCTACAATAAAAACTATGAAGCACTGATGCAAGAAATTGAAGAATGTTGGGAAAAGCTGAATGTTGGGAGAAGCTGAGGCAGGGCATGCATGTCTGACATAATGTTAAAGAGTCTTGGAACATGTCCGGGGTCCAGGGTCTAAAACCCCTTGTGGCCTTTGGAACACCAAGCTCTGTGCTAAAGGGTGGAAGTCTACCCTGACATGCCATAGCCTAAGCCCAGGGCATATAATCACTTGTGGCTTGGATAGAATCCAAGCTTCATGGCTCTGGAATGTGTCTAGAAGTGCTGTCTCCTTGCTCCTTGCTCTCCCAGGATCGATTGTATCTTGAGTTAAAAGAACCTGCTCTCCATTATCTCAAGTAGCAGAGCAAATGCTAAACCATAACAGCTGTAAATCATGTGCTTAATGCAACGCGCCCCTTCGACCTCCACATTCTCACCATCTGTTTCTTTGCTGGATTACCAAGAAATAGTGTGGGCTCTCAGATCTCAGGGCCTTCACAGCCTCCATGATCGCAATGGCCCCCTGGTCCCACTTCTCTCTCTCAGACAGTCTTTTCTCAATCCTTTGACTCCACCAGACTTTGTCACCCCCACGACCTGGTGTTCAGTCTGATCACTCCCACAGAATAACACACAAAGAATGTAAAGATATTCCATGTTCATGGGTTGGAAGAATTAATACTGTTAAAAGGTCTACACTACCTAAACCACTCTACAGATTTAATGCAATCCCTATCAAAATATCAATGACATTCTTCACAGAAATCATAAAAAATTCTAAAATGTATATAGAACCACAAATGCTCAGAATAGCCATAGCTATCCTAAGCAAAAATAACAAAACTGGAGGAATCATATTACCTGACTTTAAATTATACTACAGAGCAATAGTAAAAAAAACAGCCTGAGATTGGCATAAAACAGACACACAGATTAGTGGAACAGAATAGAGAACACAGACATAAATCCATACATCTACAGTGAACTCATTTTTCACAAAGATGCAAAAGAATATATATTGTAAAAAAAAGACAATCTCTTTGATAAATGGGACTGGGAAAACTGGATATCTATATGCAAAAGAATGAAATTAAACCCATATCTCTTGTCATGTACAAAAATCAAATCAAAATGGATTAAAGACTTAAATCTAAGACCTCAAATTATGCAAGTACTAAAAGAAAACATTGCAGAAACTCTCCAGGACATTGGAATGGGCAAAAATTTTCTGAGTAATATCCCACAACACAGGCAATCAAAGCAACAATTAACCAATGAGATCATATCAAGTGAAAAAGCTTCTGCACTGCACAAGAAGCAACAAAGTGAAGAGACAACCCACAGAAGGAGAGAAAATATTTGCAAAGTATGATTAATAACTAGAATATGTAAGGAGCTCAAACAATTCTACAGGAAAAAACATCTGATAATCTAATTATAAAATGGGCATAAGATCTGAACAAATATTTCTCAAAAGAAGACATACAAATGTCAAACAAGTATATGAAAAGATGCTCAACATCAGCAATCATTAAAGAAATGCAAATCACAACTACAATGATATATAATTTCATCACAGTCAAAATGGCTTATATCCAAAAAATAGGTGATAACAAATGCTGGTGAGGCTGTGGAGAAAAGGGAACCCTTGTACACTGTTGATGGGAATGTATGTTAGTGCAACCACTATGGAGAACCATTTGGAGCTTCCTCAAAAATCCAGGAACAGAGCTACCATATGATCCAGGAACCGTCCTTTTGGTATATACCCAAAAGCAAGGAAGCTAGCATATGGAAGAGATATATGCACTCCCACACTTATTGGAGCACTATTAACAATAGTCAAGATTTGGAAGCAACGTAAGTATCCAGCAAGAGATGAATGAATAAAGAAAATATGGTATATATACACAAGTGGGTACTATTTGGCCATAGAAAGAATGAGATCCTGTCATTTGCAATAACATGGATGGAACTGGAGGTCATTATGTTAAGTGAAATAAACCAGGCACAGAAACGTATGAATCACATGCTCTCACTTATTTTGGGGAGCTAAAAATTAAAACAATTGATCTCATGGAGATTGAGAGTAGAAGGATGGTTACTGCACACTGGAAAGGATAGTGGGGGCTGGGGGAAAGTGAGAGTGGTTAATGGGTTCAAAAATTAGTTAGGAAGAATAAATAAGACCTAGTATTTGATAGCACAACAGGGTGACTATAGTCATAAATAATGTAATTGCACATTTAAAAATAACTAAAAGAGCATAATTGCATTGTTTGTATCACAAAAGGATAAATGCCTGAGGTTATGGATATCCCATTTACCTTGATATGATTATTACACATTGTGTACCTGTTTAACATTATTCTGTAATGTTCTTGATATGATTATTACACATTGTGTACCTGTTTAATGTTATTCTGTAATGTACTAGAAAAGTTTTTTTCATGGAATTAGGAATGGAATTACTATAACTATAAAACATAATCATATATATAATTTCATTAGAAAATTACATTTATGTAATACTAAAATATAGAATTGCAAGGTAAGCCATAACTCAAACTACAATAGAACCATCAGATTTAAAGTGTGAAAATATTCTATTGACTTAAAATTTTGTCATAGTTTTATTTTTTAAAATAAATATACTCTATTAAGGAATTCCTCTTAAGGGACAGGTTGCAATAGCAATATTACAATCATTTGGCATTTTGTTATGTCTTACAGGTATATTATAAAAAGAAAATGTTGGATTTTGTGGATGAATCTGAGCTAAACATAATCCTATTCAAAAGATCCTTTAGTTCCCGTACATATCATGGACCATCTCCCTCCCCACACTCAGTAGAAAGAACTGCAGAATGCACTTAAATTAGCAATAAAGACGAGGGAGGCTTTTTCCTTGTGGAGAGGAAAGCACAGTTAGGTAAATCATAAATTCCATCAATGCCTTATTACAGGTTGCAAAGTTTGAATCATTCACATTTACCCAGGTTGGTCTCCCGGGTTATCCAGGGTTCTTGAAAAAGCAATAGTGAACTGACTGAGTTGATTAGACTAGGGGTTTCAAAACTCACTGCGATTTTGAGTAAGCTTTAAAATAATACAACATCCTCCTTTTAGATCAGTGTTACTCAGACTTTAATGTGCATTCAAATCTTTGGGGATCTTGTCAAAACGTAGATTCTTACACAGTAGATGTCAGATGGGATTGCAGGTGCTGCACTTCTAACAAGCTTCTGGGCGACGCTGACACTGATGCTGTGTGAGTCTGTAGACCACACTCGTGTAGAAAGGCTTTAATAAAAGCGAGATAGATACAAATATTGCCTGACATATAAGGCTTACTGTGTGGGTCTAGAGCTTAGTTTACTTTAAAGTTTTGCTGCAATTTTAGGCCAGGCACAGTGGCTCACGCCTGTAATCCCAACACTTTGGGACACTGAGGCATGCCGATCACCTGAGATCAGGAGTTCAAGATCAGCCTGGCCAACATGATGAAACCCCGTCTCTACTAAAAATACAAAACATAGCCGGGAGTGATGGCAGGTACCTGTAATCCCAGCTAATCGGGAGGCTGAGGCGGGAGAATCGCTTGGACCCGGGAGGCAGAGGTTGCAGTAAGCCAAGATCGCGCCACTGCACTCCACCCTAGGAGACAGAGCAAGACTCTGTCTCAAAAATAAATAAATAAATAAATAATGCATTTATTTGTAGATAATTAACGATTTTTTACCTTTGTTTTGAGATAATTATATACACAGCAGGCTGCCAAGGTACCACAGAGAGGACCCATGTACCCTTTCAATGATTTAACTGATACAATTTTAGTAAAATATCAAAACCAGGAATTTGACATTGGCACAATGTGTAAGTATCGGTACGTGTTATTATATCACATGTTCAGATTTATGTAATGACCACTGCAACCATGAGACAGAATTCTTTTATTATCACAAATATCTCCCTTCTGTTATCCCTTTCCACCCACTCCTCCACTATCCCTAACTCCCAACAATCCTAATCTGTTATTCATCTCTGTATTTTGTCATTTAAAAAATGTAATATAAATGAATTCATTCACTATGTAACCTTTTGAAATTGATTTTTTTTTACTCAAAATACTTCACTGGAGATTCGTGGCATGGATGTACTACAGATTGTTTTGTTTTGCTTTGTTTTTAGCCATTTATGTATTGAGGGGCATTTTGGTAATTTTAAACTCTGAGCAATTACAAATAAAGCTGCTATGGATAAATGTGTACAAATTTTTGTTTGGACATATGTTTTCATTTCTTTGAGGCAAATGGCCAGAGGTGCAATTGCAGGGTTATATAGTTTAAGTGTATATTTTGTTTATTTTACAAACTTCTATTCTCCAGAGTGACTGTATCATTTTATATTCCCCATCAGCAATGTCCAAGTGATCTATTTTCTCTGCATCCTTAAGAGTATTTCACAATGTCACAATGTTTTAGTTGGTTTTTAGATGTGTAGTGAGATCTCATAGTAGTTTCTACTTTCATTTCACTAATGCCAATGATGTTTAGCATTGTTTCATGTGTTTATTTGCCATCTCTATTTTTTTAGGTGAAATGTATCTTCATGCCTTTTATTCATATTTTAATTGGCTGGTTTTTTATAGTTGAATGTTGAGAGCTCTTTATATATTCTATGTGGCAGTCCTTTATTAGATACAGGGTTTGTAAATATTTTTCCTCAGTCTGAAGCTTGTCTTTTCATCATCTTAGGGTATTTTACAAAGTCAATATTTTAAAATTTGAATTTAGTCCTACTTAGTGATTTTTTTTCCATTTACAGATTGTGTATTAGGAGTCAAGTCTAAGAATTCTTTGCTCAGCCCTAGGTTCTGAGGATTTTCTCCTATGCTATCACTGAAAGTATTTATAGTTTTATATTCCATCTCAAAAAAAAAAAAGGTATTAGGTTTAGGTCAGATTCTTTTTTATTTTTTTTCCTTTTATTTTATTTTGGTTATGAATATCTAATTGCTCTAGCACCATTTGCTGAAAAGACTAATATTTCACCACTATTATTAAATTGTTTTTGAGCCTTTATAAAATCAGCTCATACTTCTATGGAGTTATTTATGGGTTCTGTATCTGGTCCCATGGATCTATGTGTCTGTCCTCATGTAATATCACACATCTCGATTACTGTAGCTTTGTAATAAAGTATCTTCTAGGGTTTTTATGGTTTTAGGTCTTACATTTAAATCTTTAACAGATCTTGAGTTATTTTTTGTATAAGGTGTATTTTTTGTATAAGGGGTCCAGTTTCAGTTTTCTGCACATGGCTAGCCAGTTTTCCCAACACCTTTTTTTAAGTAGGAAATTCTTTCCTCATTGCTTGTTTTTGTCATGTTTGTCAAAGATCAAATGGTTGTAGATATGTGGTATCATTTCTGAGGCCTCTGTTCTGTTCCATTGGTCTATATATCTGTTTTGGTACCCATACCATGCTGTTTGGTTACTGTAGCCTTGTAGTATAGTTTGAGGTCAGGTAGTGTGATGCCTCCAGCTTTGTTCTTTTTGCTTAGGATTGTCTTGGCTATACGGGCTCTTTTTTGGCTCCATACAAAATTTAAAGTGGTTTTTTCTAATTCTGTGAAGAAAGTCAATGGTAGCTCTTTGAGAATAACATTGAATCTATAAATTACTTAGGGCAGTATGGCCATTTTCACAATATTGATTCTTCCTATCCATCAGCATGGTATGTTTTTCCATTTGTTTGAGTCCTCTCTTATTTCCTTGAGCAGTGGTTTGTAGTTCCCCTTGAAGAGTTCCTTCACATCCCTTGTAAGTTGTATTCCTAGGCCTTTTATTCTCTTTGTAGCAATTGTGAATGGGATTTTACTCATGATTTGGCTCTCTGCTTGTCTATTATTGGTGTATAGAAATACTTGTGATATTTTCATATTGATTTTGTATCCTGAGACTTTGCTGAAGTTGTTTATCAGCTTAAGGAGTTTTGGGCTGAGATAATGGGGTTTCTAAATATTCAATTATGTCATCTGCAAACAGATAAATTGGCTTCCCTTATTCCTATTTGAATATGCTTTATTTCCTTCTCTTGCCTGATTGCCCTGGCCAGAACTTCCAATACTATGTTGAATAGGAGTGGTGAGAGATGGCATCCTTGTCTTGTGCCAGTTTTCAAAGGGATTGCTTCTAGGTTTTGCCCATTTAGTATGATATTGGCTGTGGATTTGTCACAAATAGCTCTTATTATTTTGAGATACATTCAATCAATACATAGTTTATTGAGAGTTTTTATCATGAAGGGATGTTAAGTTTTATTGCAGGCCTTTTCTGCATCTATTGAGATAACCATGTGGTTTTTGTCATTGGTTCTGTTTATGTGATGGATTATGTTTATTGATTTGCATATGTTGAAGCAGCCTTGCATCCCAGGGATGAAGCTGACTTGATCGTGGTGGATAAGCTTTTTAATATGCTGCTGGATTCGTTTTGCCAGTATTTTATTGAGGATTTTTGCATCAATGTTCATCAGGGATATTGGCCTGAAATTTTCTTTTTTTATTTTTCCTCTGCCAGGTTTTGGTATCAGGATGATGCTGGCCTCATAAAATGAGTTAGGGAGGAGTCTCTCTTTTTCTGTTGTTTTGAATATTTACAGGAGAAATGGTACCAGCTCCTCTTTGTACCTCTGGTAGAATTAGGCTGTGAATCCATCTGGTCCTCGGCTTTTATTGGTTGGTAGGCTATTAATTACGGCCTCAATTTCAGAACTTGTTATTGGTCTATTCAAGGATTCTACTTCTTCTTTGTTTGAATTGGGAGGGTGTATGTGTCCAGGAATTTACCCATTTCTTCTAGATTTTCTAGTTTATTTGTGTAGACGTATTTATAGTATTCTCCGATGGTAGTTTGTATTTCTGTGGGATCAGTGGTGATATCTCATTTATCATTTTTTACTGTGTCTATTTCATTCTTCTCTCATTTCTTTTTTATTAGCCTGGCTAGCAAGCTATCGATTTTGTTGATCTTTTCAAAAAATCAGCTCCTGGATTCATTGATTTTTAGAAGGGTTTTTTGTGTCTCTATCTCCTTCAGTTCTTTTCTGATCTTAGTTATTTCTTATATTCTGCTAGCTTTTGAATTTGCTCTTGGTTCTCCAGTTGTTTTAATTGTGATGTTAGGATTTTGATTTTAGATCTTTCCCACTTTCTCCTGTGGGATTTAGTTCTATAAATTTCCACCTAAACACTGCTTTAGCTGTGTCCCAGTGATTCTGGTATATTGTGTCTTTGTTCTCATTGGTTTCAAACAACTTATGTTTCTGCCTTAATTTCATTATTTACCCAGTAGTCCCTCAGGAGCAGGTTGTTCAGTTTCCATATAGTTGTGCGGATTTGGGTGAGTTTCTTAATCCTGAGTTCTAATTTGATTGCACTGTCCTCTGACAGACTGTTTGTTATGATTTCAGTTCTTTTGCATCTGCTGAGGAGTATTTTCCTTCCAATTATGTGGTCAGTTTTAGAATAAGTGCTATGTGTGCTGAGAAGAATGTATGTTCTGTTGATTTGGGGTGGAGAGTTCTGGAGATGTCTATTAGGTCCACTTAGTCCAGAGCTGAGTTCAAGTCCTGAATATCCTTGTTAATTTTCTGTCTTGTTGATCTGTCTAATATTGACAGTGGGGTGTTAAAGTCTCCCAGTATTATTGTGTAGGAGTCTAAGTCTCTTTGTAGGTCTTTAAGAACTTTCTTTATGAAGCTGGGTGCTCCAGTATTGGGTGCATATATATTTAGCATTGTTAGCTTTGCTTGCTGCTTTGATCACTTTACCATTATGTAATGCCATTCTTTGTCTTTTTTATGTTTGTTGGTTTAAAATCTGTTTTATCAGAAACTAGGATTGCAACCCCTGCTGTTTTTTTTTCTTTCCATTTGCTTGGTAAATATTCCTCCATCTCTTTATTTTGAGCCTTTGTGTGTCTTTGCACATGAAATGGATCTCCTGAATACTGCACATTGATGGGTCTCGACTCTATTTAATTTGCCAGTCTGTGTATTTTAATTGGGGCATTTAGCCTGTTTACATTTAAGGTTAATATTGTTATGTGTGAATCTGATCCTGTCATTATGATGCTAGCTGGTTATTTTGCCCATTAGCTTATGCAGTTTCTTCATAGTGTCAATGGTATTTACATTTTGGTATGTTTTTGCAGAGGCTGGTACTGCTTTTTCCTTCTCATATATAGTGCTTCTTTCAGGAGCTCTTGTAAGGCAGGCCTGGTGGTGACAAAATCCCTCAGCATTTGCTTGTCTGTAAAGGATTTTACTTATCATTAACTTATGAAGTTTAGTTTGGCTGGATATGAAACTTTGAGTTGAAAATTATTTTCTTTAAGCATGCTGAATGTTGGCCCCTACTCTCTTCTGGTTTGTAGAGTTTCTGCAGAAAGATCCACTGCTAGTCTGATGGGCTTCCCTTTGTGGGTAACCTGACCTTTCTCTCTGGATGCCCCTAACGTTTTTTCCTTTATTTCAACTTTGGCAAATCTGATGATTATGTGTCTTATGGCTGCTCTTCTCAAGGTGTATCTTTGTGGTATTCTCTGTATCTCCTGAGTTTGAATGTTGGCCTGTTCCACTATGTTGTGGAAGTTCTCCTGGATAATATCCTGAAGTGTGTTTTCCAACTTGGTTCCATTCTCCCCATCACTTTCAGGTAAACCAATCAAATGTCGGTTTGGTCTTTTCACATAGTCCCATATTTCTTGGAGGCTTTGTTCATTCCTTTTCATATTTTTTCTCTAATCTTGTCTTCATACTTTATTTCATTAAGTTGATCTTCAATCTCTGATATCCTTTCTTCCGCTTGATTGATTCGGCTATTGATACTTGCGTATGCTTCACAAAGTTCTCGTGCTGTGTTTTTCAGCTCTATCAGCTCATTTATATTCTTCTCTAAACTGGTTATTCTAGTTAGCAGTTCCTGTAACCTTTTATCAAGGTTCTTAGCTTCCTTGCATTGGTATAGAATATGCTCCTTTAGCTCAGAGGTGTTTGTTAGTACTGACCTTCTGAAGCCTACTTCTGTCAATTCGTCAAACGCATTCTCACTCTGGTTTTGTTCTCTTGCTGGCGAGGAGTTGTGATCCTTTGGAGGAGAAGAGACATTCTGGTTTTTGGAATTTTTAGACTTTTTGCACTGGTTTTTAATCATCTTCGTGGATTTATGTACCTTTGATCTTTGATGTTGGCGACCTTCACATGGGGTTTTTGCTTGGTTGTCTTTTTGTTGATGTTGATGCTATTGCTTTCTGTTTGTTAGTTTTCCTTCTAACAGTCAGGGCCCTCTTCTGCAGGTCTGCTGGAGTTTGCTGGAGGTCCACTCCAGACCCTGTTTTCCTGGGTATCACCACCAAAGGCTGCAGAACAGCAAAGATTGCTGCCTCCTCCTTTCTCTGGAAGTTTCATCCCAGAGGGGCACCTACCAGATGCCAGCCAGAGCTCTCCTGTATGAGATGTCTGTCAAGCCCTGTTGGGAGGTGTCTCCTTGTCAGGAGGCACAGGCGTCAGGGACCCACTTCAGGAGGCAGTCTGTCCCTTAGCAGAGCTCGAGTGCTGTGCTGGGAGATCTGCTGCTCTCTTTAGAGTTGGCGGGAAGGAAAGTTTAAGTCTGCTGAACCTGTGCCCACAGCCACCCCTTTCCCCAGGTGCTCTGTCCCAGAGAGATGGGAGTTTTAACTATAAGCCCCTGACTGGGGCTGCTGCCTTTCTTTCAGAGTTATCCTGCCCAGAGAGGAGGAATCTAGAGAGGCAATTTGGCTACGGTGGCTTTGTGGCACTGTGGTGGGCTCTGCCAAGTCTAAACTTTCCAGGGCTTTGTTTACACTGTGAGGGCAAAACTGCCTACTCAAGCCTCAGTAATGGTGGAAGCCCCTCACCTCACCAAGCTCGAGCTTCCCAGGTTGACCTCAGACTGCTGTACTGCCAGCAAGAATTTCAAGCCAGTGGATCTTAGCTTGCTGGGCTTCGTTGGGGGTGGGATACACTGAGCAAGACCACATGGCTCCCTGGCTTCAGCCCCGTTTCCAGGGCAGTGAACTGTTCTGTCTCATTGGTGTTCCAGGAGCCACTGGAGTACAAAAGAAAACTCCTGCAGTTAGCTCGGTGTCTGCCCAAATGGCCGCCCAGTTTTGGGCTTGAAACCCAGGGCCCCGGTGTTGTAGCCACCCGAGGGAATTTCCTGGTCTGCGGGTTCCAAAGACAGTGGGAAAAGTGCAGTATCTGGACTGGATAGCACTGTCCCTCACAGCACGGTCCCTCACGGCTTCCCTTGGCTAGGGGAGGGAGTTCCCAAACCCCTTGCACTTCCTGGGTGAGGCGATCCCCCACTCTGCTTCTGCTTGCCCTCCGTGGGCTGCACCCACTGTCTAACCAGTCCCAATGAGATGAGCCGGGTACCTCAGTTGGAAATGCAGAAATCACTCGCCTTCTGTGTTAGTCTTGCTGGGAGCTGCAGGCCAGAGCTGTTCCTGTTCAGCCATCTTGACTTTTCTCCCTCTTTTTTCTTAATCTAACCAAAAGTTCTTCAATTTTATCTTCAAGTTTATCTTTGTTCATTTTGACTCCTTAGCTAAAATCAAAAAAGGAAAGAAATATAAGTTACTTTTCTGCTTTTCTTGCTAGCAATGCTTCATCAAATTACAGAGCTTCAGGGACTTGCACATGAAAGTTAATGGAATTGGATCAGTCTTGTGAGTCCTTATACGCCTAAGAAAGAGATCTTTCTCCCTGTCCCCATCAGCTCTTCTATTCCTCTGAGATTCATTGGCCAATTTAACTTCAATTTCTTTATCTTTTTGTAAAACTTTTCCCCACTTTAACCAAAGAGAAAATATGTATTAGTAATTCATGCATTTATTCATTTTAAAAGTAATTCTTTTAATGAAAGTAGTACACATTGTTGAGAATATGAATGTGAGCACTGGTTTCAAGGTGCTTTTACATTAAGAATGAAAAACAAGATAAGGATTTGCACAATTGCAGAAACTTGATATCTCAGGCTGTTTTTAGTTAGAATAAAATATCCTGAAAAAGTGCCTCTCAAACTTTAGTGCGAAGGTTAGTAAGAACCGATTCTGATTTATTAGGTTTGGCATGGGGCCTGAGACTTTCCATTTTTCGTAAGCCAGTCAAAGTGACACAGTTTGAGTAACAAGGGCCTAGGTAATTTCAACTGAACAGATCTTTTTCTACATGACTTAAGCAAAAATCCTTTAAAATAATATAAAACAAGTAAAACACAAGCTAGGATGAAGTGCACACTATGTGTAAAAAAAAAATATTAATTTATATTTAATTTTGTCACCATCATTTTTCCTTTTATTTTGCTTTTCAACTAGCTCCACTCAACTTGAATCAAGAATTCATAGTCTTGCCTATTCCCATGTGTCTGTCAGAAAATTATCAAAGTGACACTGTTTGATTACTTCAGTAGTAATCTTTTTCTTAAAGAGTGTGTCTTGTATATTTTGTTTAAAATTTAAAATACATAGATACACATATGTTCTGATATATCTTAAATGCTTGACATTCATTAAAAAAGAACTTTAGATCATTTTGTGTAAACATAAATTTTTGAATTTAGGCTTTCTTTAGGTTATTTCAGCATTCATATTCTTAGTTGTCTAGTAACCTATTACTTTTTAGATCATATATCATTATTTGAATCATTTCTATAATTTTCCCCATAGTATTTAATTGCAAGAGAATAACTCATTATGTAAAGTTAAAAGAAAACAGCAAACTACAGATTTTTTTATGACACTACAGCCTGAATTATACTTCAAAAGTGATAGGTCACTTAGAAATGCTAATAAAACACGTTGAATATACTTTTTCTTTTCTTTTTTTTTTTAGTTATACTTTTTAAATTCTGGGATACACGTGTAGAACATGCAGGTTTGTTACATAGGTATATATGTGCCATGGTGGTTTGCTGCATCCATCAACCTGTCGTCTACATTAGGCATTTCTCCTAATGCTATCCCTCCCCTAGACTGCCACCCTCCAACAGGCCCCAGTGTGGGATGTTCCCCTCCCTGTGTTCTCATTGTTCAACTCCCACTTATGAGTGAGAACATGCAGTGTTTGGTTTTCTGTTCTTGTGTTAGTTTGCTGAGAATGATGGTTTCTAGCTTCATCCATGTCTCTGCAAAGGACATGAACTCATATTTTTTATGGCCGCATAGTATTCCATGGTGTATATGTGCCACATTTTCTTTATCCAGTTTACCATTGATGGGCATTTGGGTTGGTTCCAAGTCTTTGCTATTGTGAACAGCACTGCAATAAACATATGTGTGCATGTGTCTTTATAGTGGAATGATTTATAATTCTTTGGGTATATACCCAGTAATGAGATTGCTGGGTCAAATGGTATTTCTGTTTCTAGATCCTTGAGGAATTAGCACAATGTCTTCCGCAATGGTTGAACTAATTTACACTCCCACCAACAGTGAAAAAGCGTTCCTATTTCCCCACATCCTCTCCAGCATCTGAATATACTTTTGTGTCTATCTACCAAAATGAGAAAGTTGTTCTTTATATTAAATAGCTGTGTATCTTGCTGAAAATTGACACAGAAAAATTTAAAAATATATGTTTATTTTCAAGATTCCAATATTATGAGAATTTAACTTCTAAGAAGAAACTGAAATTACCACCACACCCAAAAATCTTGTATGGCATCTAAAGGTCAGGTGGCCTATGAGCTTATGAAGTTTAATTTGCATCACTATTGTACTAGCTACGTTCAATATCAACCAGGCAGCAAGTGTTTACTAATCTTTTACCTCTAGTAATTCTACTCATGATATCCCTTCAAGGTGGTAAATATATGAAATGTAGTTACACAGTAATAAATTTTTAAATACAGATACTCAGAAAGTTCACTTTGGAAAACTAGCCATTGATTTTAGAAAGAGCTTTGTAATCTATCGTTTTTTTTTATTTTCTTTGGTTGACACAAAGGTCAGAGCTACAGTTTTAGTGCCGGTATAATTGCCTTAGTTCATTCAGATCTTCCAGCATAGATACCTTCTTAAAAATTATTGAGATACTATACTCAAGTATAACCCCTTGATTTTCTAGATTTTATTATATAATGTTATCTTCACAGGCTTTAGAATTTTGCTGCTTCAAATAGTGAAGAAACTGATAATTTATTGTTAAAGAAATCTCATGCGCACAATATTTCTGAAGCTTTTTTTTAAGATATAATTTCAAGGTCATTGTGAAGCCCTGTAATAAAGCCAGTCTCATTAATTTATAGTTTCATCTGATTTCTGACCATATATATTTTCATTCAGCTTATTTATCACATTAATTTTCTTTCTTTAAAAGAAACTATGAGTGCCAAGTTTTCTATGCCCATGTACAGACATAAAACTAAAAGCACCAAGTTATGAGTATAAGTTAGGTGAGGTTTATAATCTATAGGCACATCTCAAAAGTTTGGTAAGTCAGAATCTAGGAAGAATTTATGAGTAAGATGTAAACCATGAGAATTTTCTTTAAAAAGGTAATAAACATGTCCAGAGTTTGAGGGGAAAAAAGTCAATACACCTCTAATATATCCTATTCTTATTGTTATTCATACTGTTTTATGTATTGTGAACTCTGCCTACTTGAATTGCCTTCTGTCTTTGATTATACAAATGTTCTATCTTCTTCAAGGCTAGTTGAAGTGTCAGTACTTCCGCTAGGGGGCCTGACTGATCCTATGCAAAACATTCTTTTATTAAAAGTTACAATTAGTATGTCATCATGTAATGACTATTCCCCAAACATATCATGTGTTACCCTTCTTTTCACAACTAGATTTTGTGTCAACTTATTTTCAAAACCTCATGGCAGAGAGCTCAGAAGTGGGTACATGGTAGATAAAATAATTAAAACAATAATATAATTGATATAATGTCTAGGATAGCAGTAGAGAGCAATGATCATAGTCAAATTGCGGCCTTGACTTGCAACTTTATCGTGTTTTGGGTGTTACTTCCCTGCTCTGTGATTTAGTTCCCTTATCAGAAATAACGAGAGTAATGCTACCTTTTAGGTTTGTTGTGATGATTAGCAAGCTAATATATATAAGAACTTATTCCAGTTCCGGAAAAAGATAAGTATTCGGTAAATGTTAACTATTATTATATGATACAGGCATTTGTGTTAATGTTTTCATGGTGTCAATGCTAAAAGTTTACTTCCTGTATGAAGATAGTCAATTACTGGGTAACATATTTAAGATTCTTAAATATTTATTGCAATTATCTGAATACTATTTTGTTATAAATTGTAATTAATAAAATATTTAAATGATACCCTGACATTTTGGTTCATATTTGCTTCATTTCAAAGTAAATTCTATGAATTTTCTCAAGTCCTCTTCATTTAAATGATATTAATTTTATTTGTGTTCTACAAACTTCTCTGTCACTCATATACAGTGGTTAGGATTAGCTTCTTGCCCTTCGGCATCAGTGGTCTGTTGCCAGATTGCCCTTCCACAATACAAAATAGAGTAAATGGTCATATTTAATGAGTCAGTGAATCAGCAGCACTCTTAGGAAGAAGGCAATTATGGACATACACTGTCATCATTCATGAGATAATTAGATGCAAGCTGATTGTGGTCTCAGATATGAGTAACCAAAGCACTCATATCTGACCTCACACTTAGATAAGCTCTTGTACCTTTGACTTTAGATTTGCATACCTTCCACAGAGCAACCAAGGCAAAGTATAAAAATAGATGTGGAAACGTACAATCTCTTTGTGCCATGTTAAATACATGAGCAGGATAAGCAGATTATAAACCTAAAACCAAATAAGTGGAAGGAATCCAAGCAGTTAATGGGATATTACATGCAGAATTTCAGTTATCGCTGTATACTCTAATTCAATGCATCTGATTTTGTTTGTTGGCTTGTTTTCCAAACTAGAATTCCTTTAACTGAAGGGAGAATGGGCAATGTTTAACAAATGACTGTGAATCAGCTATACATAATCAGAAAAACACACAATGATGCAAAATTGGGAAGAGGTACTAATCAATACATAAGGGACATACTGTGCTGTATGATTGCTTGAGGAACCCAAATAATTAGTATAAATACACAACAAACTATCTTGTATTTTTCTTCACAAAGTAGATTAAGCATATGGCTGAACCAAACGAGAACAGGGAGAGAAAGAAAGATTGGTGATTAGGGGGCAGTTCTCCCAGGTTATGTAGAAAACATTTTATAATTTAACATAGTATATAGCAGCTTCTGTCTAAATATAGAATATACAGTGAGAGACTATTTTGATAAAATTGGAACATGTAACTGTTACCTATTGTAAGGTAGCTGTATGATCCATTTGCATTAAGACTTTTAAAGAACTCTAATATGTGATATATATATATAATATCAAGTAAATAAAAAATATTTAAATTATGACACTATTCCCAGGCAATATTGTGCTATACAATTATAAAATCCTTGTTTATAGCTGTTAGCGTAACTTCATATGTTTTAGCCTAATACTTTACATAGCAGGACTTAATGCAGATATCTGTTGGTGATCAAAACTAGCTTAATGAAGTACTGACCGGCTTAAAGAACTGAACACATGTGGCTTTGTAAGGAAAATCAAAACAAGTTTTTAGTTCCTCAAACTGAGCTCAAATTCTGTATTTTCATACTGGTTAACTAACTGACATTTCACAAACTATTTGTCTTCTCTAAACTAGAGGAATTTTCTTGTCTGTGAAAACAAAGAACTAGTAAGGTTCAGATGAACAATCTGAAACTTCCATTTTGTACATCCAAATGATCAAACACCAACAACTTCATATATTTCTAACTTTAGCTTTCTAGAGCATTAGTCGTGCTTTCAAAGGTTAGTTTTCATTCATTTCAGCATTGTTATATTAGTAAAAAACTATCAACAACTCATTTTCTATCAAAGGAAATTAGTCAAGTAAATTATGATATCAAAACTATGTCTCAAAATAATAATTTTAATAAATCTAAAAATATTACTTAACAAAAGAGAAAATTAAGTATATTTTTTCTTACTGTATAATGTTAGATTTTAATAATTTTGAAGCACTTGAATGCCTTCAGAAATTACAAATAAAAGCCATAGATGTTTATTGTTTTCTCCCCATTGTCATCTTTCTTTTACTCAGTCTTTTATTTCCCGTTGCATTAAGAGTAATACCACTTTTCCTCATAAATCTTTTTAGTGCTTTATACTTTAATCTCAAAAGAGAAACATTACAAAGTAATTCATTTTTTCTTGCACTTCTTAGTCTTCTTTCATTTCGTATATTTGCAGCATTTAATTTTAGGCCCTTTCACAATATCAAGATAGCTATTGCACCATGTTGGTGGGCCACGTAGTATACTACATGTGTGTATCATCTTCTGCAAATGAATATGGCTGTTTATGTTAGAGGAAGGTATAATTCCTCTTAGGCAGTCACATTGGCTTAATGGTTGGAAGCCTAAGGAATACATCTCATCTTTAGATCAGAATCTCCTTCTGATTCTTCTATAATAATCAAACAGCATATCATTTTAACTCTTTCATTCCAGGTTTTCAAAAAAATTATTATTTATTAATCATAGTTGTTAATGTGAAAAAATATATTTGACATTCAACATGCAATGTTTTGGGAAAATACAAAATACTATTAATGGATTTAAAGAATCATAAGAATAAGGTATTATTTTTCCATTACTGCAGTATGTTTATGTGTTGGGTAATTGGAAATAAATATTAGTACATTGCTTGTGTATTTCCTGATGCTTTGTTACAAGGAAGGAAAATAAAGAAAAGTAATATAAATGTGGTAGTATATGAATCTATGTGCCAGACCGCTGAATTATGCCTTTTCATCTCTTAAGATTTTTCCAACCTTCTACAATTGAGTGTTCTCTTGTTAAAAATGTCTAGCCTAATACTTGGTAATGGGGTCAGTTAGTTTATAGTGAGTATGTCTCTAGAATTCACAGACATCTTCCCTGATTCATACATCCCAGTTTTCTTATAATTAACATAGATGTTTGTTTTTCATATTTTTCTCTGATTATACTTGAAAATTTCCAACTATTGTCAATGAAAGCTCACGTTTGTTCCCTTCTATTTTCCATATAGCATTTTTAGTTATAAAAGAACTTGGAAGTAAAAGATACATATAAAAATATTTATGCATATATGTGTATGTACAATGTTTTATTATTTGAATTATAATACAAGCGTATGAAACAAGATTCACAAACAGATATTAAAACATTTTAAATATTTTTTTGTTATGTATATTTTTCATGATAAAATAGTTTTCCACAGAGTCATTTAAGTCACAGAGTGCTAAAACACTAAATCTGTATCATTTGCAAAATTAAACATGCTTTTTAACTATTAAAGTAAAACTATTTAATTATTAAAGCTTACAATTAGTTGCTATTTTATATGAAGTATGTGGATACTTAGTCTATTTTACTTTTCTTCATAATATTTTGATGGAAATCTTTTCTAGATTTTTAGGTAGGGCAAAAACTCTAAATAACATAAATTTTTATATCGAATTGACATATATATTTACAAATTAGCACATCATTGTGTTATTACTATTTTTTCCTTTCAATCAGAGTTCAAAAATTGAATTTTGAACCAGAATCCACATAAATGTAAGTACAATCATTTAGTAATCAAAACCTTGCAATTTATAGTTACCATGTAATTAAAGAATGATTATTGGTTTTTAAATTTTGTTTTCTAAATTTATAAAATACTTTTATGTTAACTCTGTTTACTTTGAAATGTTATAAACATATCAAGTTATCTATTTATCTCAAAGACTTGTCTGAAATCAGTGTTAGTTTTAAGTTAATGTGATATATTATTTACTAACCTAATATTTTTAAGTCTCATATTGGCTTCCTGACATGAACTGAAACAGGACTTACATTCTATTGGATTAAGATCCTTATTTTAAATTCTGACTAAAAGGGGAATAAGTCTGAAAGCTAATATAAAAATAAATAATTATTAGACTGTCAATTCTGCTTAATTGTGGGTGATGTGAATGTACTTTAAGTGCATATCAGATATGTAAGAAATTATAAGCAAAAGCAGTTCAATAAAAGTAAAGATTCTTGTGAGACTCAGATTTCAAAAGCTGCAGTGTACAGCAGAACTCATGGAGAATTCCATCAGTGCCTCCTCTTTTTCCAATACACAACAGAAGAGGCAGTTGCCCAGTTTACTTGTTAACATTGTATCCATTTTGATTCCTTTAAATTTCTGTGTTTTGATTTTCTCCTCCTTGTACATCAATATCACACTTCACAATAGAGAAATACCCATTGGGAGTGTCTCATCCATGTTTAATAAAAGCAGAAACACCATTTGGAGTTTTGCATTCACACAAGAAGTCTCAAACCACACCGATGTGTGGGGGTCCTCATTAATACCCAGCCTACAGATTCTTGCTTTTGGCTCAGTCATTGATCCACAGGACACTACATTGTGGTTATGATGGTAGAGCCATGTTGCATCAGACTTTCCAAACACAAACAGGAAACTTTGTCTGTATTTTGCCACAGTGGTACCCTGAATATAGCAAAGCCTTAGAGTTTCTGTGAATGTCAATTATTTACACAAACATCAAAGACCATCGTGAACTATTTTATTGATGAGGAAATATTAAAAATTTGAAGACCGTAATGACATAATATGGCTTACAGTTTTCAAGTAGACCTTGGGTGCTACATGAGGAATATTATGAGGGAGCAGGGGCAGTATGAAATTGAGAAGACCAGTGATCATACGTTTCCCAAGAGAGAAACAACAGGAGACTAGTCTAACTCCCAGGCTGTTTCCTAGCTGACTAGGTTTTTATTCGTTTTTAAAATTGACATTTAGAACATAGAAGTAGGAGCAACTTTGATGGAGTTACTGAGAGAAATTTTGATGTTTTTGTTGTTTTTAATTCTAGGACATCCAAATTGTATAATAATAATAATATTTTGGGACACTACAGAGAAGACTCAGATGAAGATATAAATTTAGACATTGCCATAATTAAAAAGAAAGTTCATAATACTCTTTTAAAAATATTCATTTAATTCAAAATAATATAAAAACATGAATCAGTCTTTTATAACACTATTTTTTTTTTTTTGAGATGGAGTCTCACTGTGTTGCCCAGGCTGGAGTGCAGTGCCGCGATCCCGGTTCACTGCAGCGTCTGCCTCCCGGATTCAAGCAAT
Organism: Homo sapiens; assembly: GCF_000001405.40. Classification (NCBI taxonomy): domain Eukaryota; kingdom Metazoa; phylum Chordata; class Mammalia; order Primates; family Hominidae; genus Homo; species Homo sapiens. The sequence goes on along the minus strand of NC_000004.12, from coordinate 178,627,911 downwards.
TCTCCTGCCTCAGCCTCCTGAGTTGCTGGGACCACAGGCGCACACAACCACACCCGCCTGTTTTTTGTATTTTTAGTAGAAACAGGGTTTCACCATGTTGGCCAGGCTGGTTTTGCACTCCTGATCTCAGGTGATCCACCCACCTTGGCCTCCCAAAGTGCTGGGTTTACAGGCGTGAGCTACCGTGCCCAGCACATAATACTAATTTTAAAACAAACAAAAGACTTGTTTTCCTTTATTCCCCTATTTGAATCCAAATTCTGACCAACTTGTGCTGTCACGATTGTGGGAGCACTCAAATGGCAGTATTGACGAATTGCTGAAGGCTGAATGTGAGCTAGTGTGAGTGATGAACCCCTGGGGAACCCATTCTTGAAGGAGGGATACCCATTTGTTATTGGCATTACCTCAAGTGGCCCAACCAGGTTTTCACAGTGAAGATTCAGTAAAGATCCTTTGCAGATTTGTCAAGAAAAAGGGAAAAGTAATTATTGTGAAACACATGCAGAACTTTCTCCATAAGAAGAAGGCTACTCTCCAGAGGAAAATTTTCCAAAGCCTTATTGCGGATGGAGGAAGGGGATTCTTCCCATTCAATCTCTTTCTAGTCTTTTTCTACTGAAGTGTGATAAAAATATAGTCAATAGAGGTCAGAACTTCAAGGACATAAGTTGGGAATGCTACAGCCGAGAAAGGCAGTAGCAGGCAGAAGTGATACCACTGAAGAAGCACTTGTGACAAGCACAGCCAGGAGACACAGCCTCATGAAAAGACTGAGATTTAATCATAACACTACACAATATTCCCCTTCTAATGCACCTTATCACCATCGCAACAGGGATCCAGTACATTAAAAATAAAGTACGTCTGAAGAGCTGTGTGATGCAGCCTCTATCTGAAGAGGTGATCTTAGGAAAGTTCAAAGACAACACAGAGGACCAAAAGAAAGACACTGGAAACATCTGAAGTGTCTGGCACCCAGCAAACGTTAAACACAGTCTAACTCCTAAACAGAGTAACATAAAACCTCACACTGACGACCTACTTACTTTCATTACTTTTATCTGATACATACTGTACATACTGTATGACTTCCAACAACAACAACAACAAAAGTGCAAGCCATGCGAAATGACAAAAAAAAATTTAGTCTGAAGAGCCAAATTATGCATTAGAGTCAGATTCAGATATGATGCAGACTTTGGAATTATCAGGGATTTTAAATAACTGTGACTAATATGTTAAGAGAACTAATAAAAAATTAGATAACATGCAAGAACATATTAGTGCTGCAAGCAGAAAGATTGAAAGTAATAAAGAATTAATGGAATGCTAGAAATAAAAAACACTGCAACAGAAATGGAGAATGCCTACAATGAGATCATCAGCAGACTGGACATAGCTGAGGAAAGAATTCATGAACTGTAACCTAGGTCAATAGAAACATTCCAAATTGCAATTCAAACAGAACAACAACAAAAAAAGAAAGAAAAAACACCTAACAGAACATGCAAGAACTGTGGCAGAATTTCAAAATTAGCAACATATATATAATTTAGAGAAGAAGAAAAAGAGCATGGAACAGAAGAAATATGTGAAGTAATAATGGCCAGGTCATTTCAAAATTAATGACAGACAGTAAATCACAAATCCAGAAAGTTCAGAAATCATTAATCAGGATAAATACAAAGGAAAACAGAAAGAGAAACAAAAATGAATCAAACAAACAAAGCACAAAATTATGTCATATTCAAAATTCAGAAAACCAAATACCAAGGAAAATTTTTTAAAGAAGCCATAGAAAACCTATAGTGGAACAGAGATAAGAACTATGGACAACTCATCAGAAACCATGCAAGCAAATGAGTAGAGTGGAATATCTAAAAGATTTATAAAAGAAAAATAACCCAACCTATAATTCTATTCTGGCAAAATTATCTACCAACAGTGAAAGAGAAATAAAATCTCTTTCTGTTAAACAAAAACTGAGAAAATTCACTGATAGAAAACCCTTCCTGAAAAAAATGTTAAAAGTTATTCAGGTATAAAAAAATGATATATATCTGAGACTTGGATCTATACAAAGAAGAGAGAAGTATCAGGGAAGAAAAAAAATGAAGGTAAAATATAATCTTGTTTTATTCTTAATGATATTTAACCTAAAGATAAAATAAAATAATATGTGAGTAAATATAACATGTAGATAAGTAAAATTAATAATAGTAATTTCACAAAGGGTGAGGAGAAGAATTGAAAATAGTCAGGTATGAAGTATCTATACAGGAAATGTAATAATAGTATTTCAATGTTGGCTTAGGTTAGTTAAAAATACATATCTAAATATTGCATCAATATTAGAGTAAAAGCAGTTGAAAAGATCCTTTCAAAATACTGAAGAATTGTAAATATAAGAAACATTCACAACTTAACAAAAGGCATCAACAAAAACACACAACAAACATTGTACTTAACATTGAAAGGTGGAATGCATCCCCTGAGTTCAGGAACAAGGCAAAGATATCTGTTTTCACTACTTTGATTTAATGTTGAACTAGAAATTCTAGCCAGTGCAACTAGATAAGAAAAAGATATAAAAAACTGAAATTGGAAATGAATAAATAAAATTATTTCCACTTGTAAATGACATTTATATAGAAAATCTTATATAATTAATCAGCAAATTTAGTAAATTAATGTAATGCAAAATCACTAAATAATAATCTATATTATTTCTATACAGTAGTGATAAACATTTCCAAATGAAATTAAGTAAATAATTCCATTTTTATACAATCAAAAAGGATAAAATAGTACAAATTTAACAAAATAAGTTACTTGTAAACTAAAAGTACAATATATTGTTTGAAATATTTTAAATGTCAAGATAAATAAATAAATCCTATATTCATGAATAAGAAGATGATATTATTCAAGTAGCAATGCTCTTAATTTGGTCTATAAGTTAAACACAATACTTCTCAAAAGTTCAGCTGTATTTTATTACAAATATCACTAATATAAAGATACAAGAAACACTGAATAGCGAAAACAACCTTGAAACCAATGAACAAATTGCAGAATTCACACTTTTTAATTACTACCAGATACAGTAATCAAGAGACAATGGTACTGGCATAAGGATAGAATTGTAGATCAATGAAATCATATTAAGAATTTATGGTTCATTGACGTTCAACAGTGACAAGACAATTTAATAAAGTAAAAGATGTCTTCATAATAAATTCTGCTGGGATAGTAGGCTATTTACATGAAAAAGAATGAAGAAGGAGACTGACCTCTCATCATACTCAAAACTAACAAAATGGATTATAGAATCAATATGAGACTTAAACCTACAAAACTCCTTGAAAAAAATGAGGAAGTAAATCTTTATTAACTTGAGTTAGCTAATGTATTCTTAGGTATAATATCAAAGCACAAGCAAAAAAGAAAATTATAAATAAGTTGGGCTATGTCCAAATTAATTATTTTTGTGTGGGCAGCAAACAATGTCATCAAGAAAGTGAAAAATTTTTCAAATGATTCAAAATCAGATGTAAGAACCCTTTATCATGCATAAAGGAAAAATTTAAAAAATTGGTAACTTTATTATACATAAAGAAAATTAACAAAAATTGGTAACTATTAAACATACTGCTCATATTTTAAGATAATATTTTACTTATTAGAAATAATATTTTAGAATTAAAATGTAAATAAAAGAATAACCAGTGTATCTTTGTTTTCATCCAATTACTATTAAAAATCAGATTATTTAAATACTATTTTTATAATGGTTATTAAGAAAATAATTGGTGTCTTTGGGAACATCCAAATCATTTTGATATTGGTAAGCAGATCAAGAATCAGCAAACTTGGATAAAGTTACCAATTATGAAAAAAATAGATTAATAAAATTCACTGGGCAAAGTTGTGAACACTAATATACTAAGTGCTACCTTTTTAAATATATGCATATTTAGTAGTCTCTGTTTATGCATATAATTAAAGATTATTTTATTGGCAAATGGCAGACACCAAAGTCAAATTATTAGCAAAAAATTTTTCTTAAGTACTAAGTACAAAAATAGTTCACAAGATCAAAGAAATTGCTCAGATTTGTACTAGTGCTTTTGTTTCTAGTTTTTGTTTGTTTTTGTTTTGCATATCCATGTATCATTTTTGCTTGTCCTTACTTGGCTTCATTCTGCCAAGTTCTTTCCCTAAATAGTTCAAAGTATAGTTTTACATCAGTGGAAAAAAATTAATTCAGCCTTGCAATGTTTACAGAGTAGTTCTTAAAAAAACTATGGATACTTTGTCATTTGCTTATCACTTAGACCAGTTAATATTGCCAATAAAAGATGTATGGGGCATAGATAGACCTGGGACATGTCTATTTCAGTGTGCTGTATCAGTTTTTTTAACTAGAATAAAGATGGAAAAATTTATATGCAGAGCTAAAAATAAGTTACCATAATTCACTCAACAACGACTGAGAAAATAATGTATGTATCAAGAGAAACATTTCTCCATTTTATCAATAACCTATCTTCAAAAAACAATGTCTATTTCTTCCTTTTCAAAGTATGTTACTGATATGGTTTGCCTGTGCCACCACCCAAATCTCATCTTGAATTGTAGCTCCCAAAATTCCCACATATAGTAGGAGGGATCTGGTGAGAGGTAATTGAATTATGAGGCAAGTCTCTCTTACATTGTTCTCAATATAGTGAATAAGTCTCATGAGAGCTGATGGTCTTATAAAGGGGAGTTTCCCTACACAAGCTCTCTTCTTTGGTCTGCCCCCATGTGAGATGTGCCTTTCACCTTCCGCCATGATTGTAAGACCTCCACAGCCATGTGGAATTGTGAGTCCATTAAGCCTCTTTCTTTTGTAAATTGCCCAGTCTCTGGTATGTCTTTATCAAAAGTATAAAAACGGACTAATACAGTAAACTTTATCAGTAGAGTGCGACACTGCTGAAGGTACCCAAAAATGTAGAAGCGACTTTGGAACTGGGTAACAGGCAGAGGGTGGGACAGTTTGGAGGGCTCAGAAGAAGACAGGAAAATGTGGGAAAGTTTGGAACTCCCTAGAGACTTGTTGAATGGCTTTGACCAAAATGTTGATAATGATATAGACAATGAAATCCAGGCTGAGGTGGTCTCAGATAGAAGTAAGAAGCTTGTTGGGAACTGGAGTAAAGGTGATTCTTGCTATGTTTTAGCAAAGAGACTGGCAGCATTTTGCCCCTGCCCTAGATATTTGTGGAACTTTGAACTTGAGAGAGATAATTTAGGGTATCTGGCAGAAGAAATATCTAAGCAGCAAAGCATTCAAGAAGTGACTTGGGCACTGTTAAGTACATTCAGTTTTGAAAGAGAAACAGAGCATAAAAGTTCAGAAATTTTGCAGCTTGACAATGCAATAGAAAAGAAAAATTCATTTTCTAAGGAGAAATTCAAGCCAGCTGCAGAAATCTGCATAAGTACCTAGGAGCCAAATGTTAATCACCAAGACAATGGGGAAAATGTCCCCAGGGCACATCAGAGACCTTTGCAGCAGCCCCTTCCATCACAGGTCCAGAGGCGTAGGAGGAAAAATGGTTTCACAGGCTGGGTCCAGGGTTCTTCTGCTGTGTGCAGTCTAGGGACTTGGTTCCCTGTATCCCAGCTGCTCCAGCCATGACTAAAAGGTGCCAAGGTACAGCTCTGGCCGTTGCTTCAGAGGGTGCAAGCCCCAAGCCTTGGCAGCTTCCATGTGGTGTTGAGCCTGTGGGTGCTCAGAAGAGTTGAGGTTTAGGAACCTCCACTTAGATTTCAAAGGATGTATATAAACACCTAGATGTCCAGGCAGAAGTTTGCTGCAGGGGCAGAGCACTCATACAGAACCTCCACTAGGGCAGTGTGGAAGGAAAATGTGGGAATGTGGGGTGGGCACCCTCACACAGTGTCCCCACTGGGACAGTGTCCCCACTGGGGCAGTGTCTAGTGGAGCTGTGAGAAGAGGGCCACCATTCTCAAGACCCTAGAATGGCAGATGGACTGACAGCTTGCACCTTGAGCCTGGAAAAGCCACAGACACTCAAAGCCAGCCTCTGAAACTAGCCAGGAGGGAGGCTATCCCCTGCAAAGCCACAGAGGCAGAGCTGCCCAAAACCATGAGGACTCACTTCTGCATCAGTGTGACTTAGATGTGAGACATAAAGTCAAAGGAAATCATTTTGGAACATTAAGATTTGACTGCCCTTCTGGATTTCAGACTTTCATGGGGCCTGTAGCCCCTTTGTTTGGGCCAATTTATCCCATTTGGAATGGCTGTATTTACTCAATTCCTGTACCCCCATTGTATCTAGGAAGTAACTAATTGCTTTTGATTTTACAGGCTCATAGGAAAAAGGGACTTGCCTTGTCTCAGTTGGGCCTTTGGACTGTGAACTTTTGAGTTAATGCTGAAATGAGTTAAGACTTTTGGTGACAGCATGATTAGTTTTTAAATATGAGGACAGGAGATTTAGGAGGGGCCAGGGTGACTATGGTTTAGCTGTGTCCCCACCAAAATCTCATCTTGAATTGTAGCCCCCACAATTCCCATGTGTTATGGGAGGGACCCGGTGGCAGGTAATTGAATCATGGAGGCGGGTCTTTCTCATGCTGTTCTCATGATTGTGAATACGTCTCATGAGATCTGGTGGTCTTACAAAGGGGAGTTTCCTTGCACAAGTTGTCTTCTCTTGTCTGCCACCATGTGAGACATGCCTTTCACCTACCACCATGATTTTGAGGCCTCCCCAGCCACATGGAATTGTGAGTCCATTAAATCTCTTTCTTTTGTAAATCGTTCAGTCTCGGGTTTGTCTTTACCAGCAGCATTAAAATGGACTAATAGAGTTACTATAAACAATAAATGTGCATTTTCCCTAAAGGATCACCAATATTGAGTGCTATGTGATAATAAATTTATTTTCTGTTATGACATACCACATATAAACTACTGACCAACTAGTTAGATGATAGTGATTCTTTTGTTTCTTTAAATCAGTGGTTTTCAAAATTGTTTTTAACAAGTTACCAAGAGTACAAGAAGATGCTGATCTGGAGGTCTCACTATAAGAACTATTACTTTAAAACATCCCTGCAATCTATGAATCATATACATATATAAAGAAAAATCTCCATTCATAAATCTTATTTCAACCTATGAGCCTCATGGTTATCAGGAAATATGCATAAATATTTATGAAGAACAAATAGTGATAAAATCTTATAAAAGATCACACAGTGTTCCTGAAAATTTGAGAGTTAGGTCAAGGTGTGATAAGTAATATAAAACCCAATTCATACTAGCCTTGACAAAAACTGGTTTTATTTATTTATATAATGAAAAGACCAAGGATGGTTCTGGATCCAGTTGAGACTAAATTGAATGACTCTAATGATGTCATCGAGGTCATAGTCTTTCTTGTTTTACATTGCTGCTCTACAGAGTCTATTCCTGGGTCATAAGTGCCTTTCCCATCTGCAACCAACACTGATAACTCCTGGTACTCCTGAAGTGGTCCAAAAGAGTTGTGGAAGCCACAGTCCTTCATTCTTCCACTATAGCATAAAAGGGAATGGAATAGTTAATTTCTTTTTCCACTGTCTATAACACTATCTGCTTATGCCCCATTGGTTCTTCTTGGGTAACATGCACGTTTATTACATTAACATGTCCAGTTTATGAAAAGAGCATGACTAGTGTAACTAAAGATTAAAAAGGAAAAGGAAAACATGTCTACCATGCTATTAATAGTTAACCAACATCAGATATATAATCTTGATGATTAGATTTATGTAATCCTCTAAACGAATGAATATATTCTAACATATTGTTATACATGAAGAGTAAGAAAAAAACTTATATGTTGGTAATTTCAATCTGCAAGTACTTTTTATTTTAATTAGTTATCATTAGACGGCGGTTCTCAAATTTTATTGAGTTTCATAAATCATTATGGAATTTTATAAAAACACAGACTTTGGACGTCTACACCCTCAGATTCTTCTTCACCAAGTATATAGTGGGTGTTCATTTACTCATTTTTAATAAGCACCACAGGCCACTCTTCCACTCAGTCAGTCCCTCTAACATACCATATTAGAGTTTTTTGGGGTTTTTTTTTACTTAGTTTTCATCTTCAAATTTAGAATTTAAAATGAAAAATTGGGGTACAGTAACATATGGTATATGTGTTAGACTATTTTCATTGCAAGAGAAAGAAAAGAGACTCAAATTCAAATAAACAATAATTACAAAAATAATGTGTAGGCTTGAGGGAAAAAGATAAAGTAACCTCAGAAGGATCTACATCTTCTAAAGCTCTTTGTGGTTTCCACTGCTTCAGGGTCTTCACTCATGGCTACCAGATGGCTATAGTCTCAGGATTTGTAATATTACCCTACCAACGTCTGTGAAAGGGAGAGAAATGTAACATAGAGGTAACTTCAACAAAAGTGTTTGGACACTTTGGTGTTTCCTTGGTTTTCATGAAGGAAAGTGCTTATCCCTGAACTAAAAACATTTTCTAGAAGAAAAATATATACCTTGATATGCCAATCAGAGCTAAAAATGTTGTCAGTCTTTCCACACATGATTGGAATGAGGGAGACATGATTTCACAAATGAAATGAAAAGGCTGTCTTTGGAAGAAGGGGGAAATGGATGTTGTGAACAAAGTCAACTTGATGGAATGTCAAAAATAAACTTGGTGTACTTATTTTTGATTGGTGCCATTAAAAATGACCACAACTACATGACTTAAGATAATACAGTTTATTATCTCACAGTTCTATAGGTCAGAAGTCTGGTATGGTTCTCACAGATCTAAAATCAAGGTGTAGATGGAGCTGCATTCCTTTTTGAAGGCCTTGGAAACATGGAGCTCTGTTTCATTGCTTACTCAGTTATTGGCAGAATTAATTTCCTTGCTGCTGTGGGACAGAGGTCCCCATTTCCTAGCTGGCTTTCAGCTGTGGGCAGTTCCCAACTTTTAGAGGCTTCCTTCATTCCTTGGCTCATGGACCCCTTTCTCCATCTTCAAAGCCAACAAGAGAGAGTGAAGTCTGTCTCACAGTTTGGGTTTCTCCTGCATTTTCTTCTCTTTTCTTTCTCTCTAACATTAGCCAGGAAAGATACTCTGCTTTTGAGGGCTCGTATGATAAACTAGGAAATTCTCCCCATCTCATAACATCTACTTTAATCACATATTAAAGTCCCTTTTGCTTGGTAATGTAACATATTGACAAGTTTTTGAAATCAGAGTTCAGGCATTTGGGGAGAAGGTCATTATGCAATGTACCACACATTTAATGTTGTTATAAACTGAAAAATCTACGCTTTTTTAATCAATATTGTTTTTGTTAACTTTATAAATGTAAATTTAAGCTTTGCTGTTAAATCACAAACTGTGAAGATCTTACTCTACTTGCTAACACAGGTACTCCAACAGTACTTCATGTATGTGTGTACGTATGATATATGTATGTGTATATATACACACATATATACACACACACATATATATACACACACACATATATATTCCATACACAAATACATATAGATGATATACATATAGATATGGTACGTGTGTGTAATTACAGAAGGTCAAAAAGTTGTTCAGACAATGAAATAGATTTTTTATTCCTTACAGCACAAACTGCACCCTGAGCAGCACCTTGCTGTGATGATGGTTGGATGTCCCCTGTGCCTGCATTGGAGCATACCACAGGTGCAGATCCCAAAATTAGGGTGTCAAATTTGGACAGTCCCTAGGAGAGGCTGGGCTTTATGGGGCTGCTGGCAGATCTTTTCATCCTTCCCTTCAGCGAGATAGATGACTCAATACCCTTAAATATAGGTAAATCTCCTCTGGGGTAGAAGACGTTGGTGTCCTGGGTTTATTACTATGCTATGAAGGCAAGTGTCTCCGGAGAGTAGAAAGATAAGAATGGATCTTTAACATCATGGTACGGCTCTGGAAGTCTGTTTCTAAATTTCTCCAATAGGATACACCAATTCTAGTTTTAAGGATATCTTGTGTTTAATCACATCCCTTGCTCAAAAGGCCCAGATCATGCAAGAACACCAGACTCTGCGGAGGATTTGCCTCCCAGCACTGATATGCCCATTTTAATAATTCTCCATGTGATTCAAAGTCAAATTATTAAGATCTTCAAATATAAGTAAAACATTAAGTGGAGGAAGTGCTTTATCTCTAGTAAATATACATGTTTAAAGATATCCAGCTGTGTCTTCTTTGACCATCATAATTAGTAATTGAATATATATGTTAAATGGTATATATCAGATTTTCTCTAGCTACATTCTGTGTAATAAAATTAAGAGTGAATCCCATATTGTAGTTTTCACTATGTGGCAGTGAAAAGAAAGAAGAGTGGTATAAGTTAACAATGACTTCAATCAAAGCTCAGAATATTTGAATTTTACAGGAACGTTTTTTACCTGGATGATTATTAAATTTTCTAATCTTTAGTTAACTTTTCTGGAAAATTACTTAATAATATATAAGGGAATTCCATTTTGGTGATTCAGTTATGAAGCATCAATTAGAAAATAGTTACTTAAAAAGTGTATTTTCAAATTCATGTACACCAAAAATTATTTAAAATTTTTTAAATATATCCATGCTTATTTTTAGGTAATGCCTCATCTCTCCTAATATGTGAAATCAAAAATAAGTAATTTCTAATATTTGCAACCCAGAATGAAAATCTTTTCAAGCATTGTAAAGTGGTGTCTTATGTCTACTTTTATATTGTCAAAAATGGAACCTTGTCATATTGGATTTACTCTCAGTATCTCAGTTATTTTGTCTCTATGATAACTAAAGTATTGCTTCGTCTCAGAATTTTATCACTCCCTACAAAAAAGCTCCTAAGGTTCCTATATTTTTATGAAGTCAATAAATATTGTATCTCTCATTTTAATTTAGCAGATTCAGATTTTTATTATTTTGGATGCATAGTTTTTATTCCCTTTAAAAAGCAGATATTGTGGTTGCCACTGCAAAAAACTTTGAGCAACTGAACAAAAGCTCCAGTAAAATAACAGAAGAATCCAGTGGCTTTTCACATTTAAATATACTCTTTATTCCACACACTGAAATGGCATCTCATTTTTCAGTGAGTCCCAGAACAGGCATATACAACTCCATCAAAGCACATGAATCAATAGACTAAACAAGTTACACTGTAGCAGTTTATACATCAAAAGCACTTGTCTATTTCTGTGAGCAATATCATCAAAATCAATATATCCCCCAACCCGCAGCTATTCCCCAAACTACTGTTTCATATTACATATTCAAACAGCTGTAAACAAATTAATAAATTGCTCTGGACTTTTGTTTTCTCTCCTCCTGAATTTTAATTGATTCATACTACTGGAAAATCCATGCAGGCTTGTTATCTTGGCTTTTTTTCCTTTTCCTGGCGTGAAGATGGATTCAGTGAATAAGAGCTTCAACCTCACACTTCAGTAACCACTTGTAGTTTTGATGTTGAACTCAAAGAAAGTTCTTCTGTTCAACATTTAGTATGTAATTTTCTTCTATCATTGAAACACAAAATGAAAGAGTTTTCATATCCAGACCATACTGATGAGTCCTGTAACACCAGTGAAGCACAAAATGTACAGATATGCCCTTAGAAGACATCTAATCTATGCCAGCTAATGAAGTAGTGACTCGATAACTTACATCTGCATGAGCTAGAATCTGCAAGAAGAGTTAATTACTAAATCACTTACTTGCATGCTATATTAAGGAAATTACCCTGCTGAATTCTTTCTTCTTTTGCATTTTACAAATTTTTGATGATGTTATGTTTTCTTAAATTGAAATGGCATTATTTAGGTTTGCAATATTATACCTAGAGAATAAACTTGAACCAACCCAAGGATTTAACTCTTAATCTCTTCTTGTTGTTAAAAATGATTAACAACAGATGAGGCTTCCATTAGGAGAAATCCTAGATATGAGATTATAGACATTGTGTGATGGCATACAAAAAAACATTAAGAAAGTAAGGATTGCAAGCTAGATGCAACAGAGATATTAACCCGGGCACGCTACGTGACTGATACTAGCCACAGGTAATTCAATTGTTAAGTGTTGATAATGATGCACACCTCTTATGGTTATTTTCAAGGTTAAAGAAGAAGCATTTTAGAGTATTTAGACCAGTATTCAATAAAGTATTTTTCTATATACCTTCACTCCACGCATTCATTTGCTCATGCCACTGAAGGAGTTGTAGCTCTTTTGTGATAACTATAGAGTGGACAGTAATCCCGGCAAATTTTTCAGACAAGCTCACACAATGTCCTACCAAAACAACTTTAGTAATTTCTCTATTCGTGATATGTCAGAAATATAATACAGATACTATGTCTCATGACAAGAGTGCAAGTGAAAATGCTGGTTTGCTTATCACTGCAATAATTTCCCTCTTTAGGTTTTACATTTGGGAGGGAATTTCAGGATCACAAACAAGTAACCCAGATACCCAAAGAAAATATCAATAATTACACCTCCATTGTTTAAATCACTAATATGATTTAAAGCCAGGTCCCATAGGCTACCAATGTTCAGTCTCATGCTTTCTATTAGCTCCAGTCTTTGCCTGTGGGCTTGCAAGCCAATAAGGCCACAGTGGTGTATAAAGTTTCTCTCATGACTGGAATTTCTATGACTTCTGCTTCAGGTCTCTGACTCTAGCTGGAGAAAGTTTGTGTTTTTAAGGGCTCAAGAGAGTACATTGGATTTACCCACTTAAACTAGGATAATCTCCTCATTTTAAGATTCGTCTTCTTAATTACATCTTCAATGTCTCTTTTGCTATATAACATATTCACAGGTTCTGGAGATCAGAGTGTGAATGTCTTTGCGCCTTTGGGGGATTTATTCAGCCTATCTCAGTAACCACATTTCAGAGAGGCTTTAAGTCCTCCACAGTATCAGAACAACAACACTTCCCTGTTATATCAATATATCAGGCATGGTTCAAATCTAACCTTGCCATTTGCCAGCTGGGTGAATAAGTAGGCACTGGCTTGTCTCTGAACCTTGAATGCAACTTTCTGATATAACAAGTAACTGGCCAGGACAGCCTGGACTTTATTCCCATCCCTCCTAGAACAGGATGTCCTGCCAGTGACTTGCGTTTCTCCAGAGTATAAAACATAGAAAGGGCTGCTTTTTGAGGTTCCCTCACTGCAGTGCAAGCGGGTGGTGCGGTGGAAGACTGCATGTGCCCTGGGCAGCTGTCCTGAGCCTTGGGGGACTGGTTTGCCCATGAATCCGAGCCTTCTATTGTTTCTTGTTACTATCTGTAAGTAATAAATCTGCTACATGGAACTTGCTGTGTGTCAGTGTTCTGCCTCACTGGACTCATGCAAGTGACAGAAATTGGCATAGCTCAAGATGCAGAGGGCAAAGGTGTTTAGAGTCCTCCCCTGGGACTGGTAACTGGTACAGTGAACCCGCTTTGCACCATCTCTCTACCTTTTTGGTTTAGAAGTAATAAACCCTTGTTAAATTCACAAATTTGCAAAGTAAATAGTATTTCCGCTCTGCCCATTTTTGAGGGTCATCCTACTAATGAAGAGTAGAGCAAAGGTTACTGGCTGTAAAATCTGTGCTGTGAAACCATGAAGTATTTCACTGCCTTGAATGGAAAGCAGCTGAGTGGTTTGACTGATGATGTAAATTTTCTGATTTCTGCAAATGGATCTCATATGATTCTCAGACATAGGGAAAAATGTAATATTTCTCAGCCTTGCACTGTCTCAAAATTGACCAATAACTTTGTGACCACTGTCTTCCCCTGTCTTCTGGGACGCCACACACTCATATGTATCAGTGATTCTATAATAAGTACCTCATTCCTCTTCCTTACTCCTGAGTTTTACAACCACATGGCTAATTTTATATTATATATTGGTTCATTAATTTATTCATGCAACACATATTATTCAGTGTCTACTGTGTAGCCATGTCTTGCTCTAAACGCTGGTGCCCTCTCCATCCATTCTGTGCACCCATCTGCCCTTTTTTGTGCTCAAGGTGGCTGCCCGACGTGCACTGAATCCCTCACGTCCCCATTCAGCTGACGTTCTACTGGGATTTAGCTAAGGGCAGTCACCAGCAAGACACTGGAGGATGTGAAAAGTGAGCTTATGGTATTTCTTTCCTGCCTCTTCCCACTTTGGTACCTTTTTTAGCCCCACTGGTCTATACTACAGCTCCAGTGAATAGCCCTGTTGCACTGCTTCAGCTCTTATGAGACTATGGCTACGAATCAGGAAGTATGCAATGCTTCTTGTCATGGGAGGAGACATTTTCTCATCCCCTAGCATTGCTCACTTCAAACACAAGGCTGAAGAATGGCCCGTGTGGAAAGCAGTCAGAGATTTGAGCTCCTGCTGTATCCACCAAGACACGAAGACGCATGAAAGACCAGATGGAGGGATGAATATGGCTCACAACAGTGACCCCAGGACAGTCCTCTCCATTCCCCATTTTTCTTCCCTTTGTATGATAACATTGGTGCAGGTTAGCAAATCCTCACTTTGATTCAGTGGCATTCCAGGTGGGAACGGAGATGTCAGTTTTCTCTTGATGTCAGAGGAACTAATTGAAATTTCCTCTCTTTCCTTTCCTATGAGGGGCTTAAGTGTGAGGGTGATTTATCTTCAAATTTCATTCTCTATAGGACAACCCCTCAATCCTTTTCTTGTAGTTTTCTCTATAGTATAGAAGGGTGTATTAGTCCTTTTTCACATTGCTATAAAGAGATACCTGAAACTTGGTAACTTATAAAGAAAATAGGTGTAATTGGTTCACAGTTCCACAAGCTGTGCAGAAAGCATGACTAAGAGGCCTCAGGAAACTTTGAATCACGGCGGGAGGCGAAGGGGAAGCAAGCATGCTTTATGTGGCTGCAGCAGGAGGAAGAGAGAGAAGGGGGAGGTACTATACACTTTCAAACAACCAGATCTTGTGAGAGATCAGTCAGTATCGGGAGAACAACAAGGGGAAATCTGTCCCCATGATCTAATCACCTCCCACCAGGTCCCCCCTTCAACACTAAGGATTACAATTTGACATGAGATTTGGATGGGGACACAGATCCAAATCATATCAGAAGGGGAAAATGTGTAAGACCTGTTTGTTAATGCTAAGAGTCTCCCTCTAAACAAGTCCTGCATCTTGTAGTTTGGTGATTTAGTTAATTCAGTATGTGAACTATTTAATTATAGACATATGCCTTATAACGACATTTCATTGGATGATGAACCACACATATGATGGTGGTCCCATAAGATTATATTTCCTATTTTTACTGAACATTTTCTATGTTTGGATACATACACACTTACCATTGCATTCCAGTTGGCTACAGTATTCAGTACACTAACCTGCCATACAGGTCTGTAGCCTAGGAGCAATAGGTTGTACCATATGACCTAGGTGTGTAGTAGTAGGCTGTACCATCCTAGGTTCATGTAAGTACACTCTGATTTTCACACAATGAGGAAATGGCCTAAGTATGCATTTCTCAGAACCTATCTTCATCCTTAAACAATGTGTGACTATGCTTTCTCCTTCCCTCAGGATATATTTATCAATTCCTGGAAAAAATAGTGGAGACAACACTGAGAAACTTACTCAACATTTCCACAAGCTACTCGTTCATGGAAGTCGCATAACAGCTTAGGGTACGTATTCTGGTACCTTGTCTTTTGGTAAATTCCTGTAGCGTTAAGTTCTTCTACATTACTTCCAAAACTCATGTGGTCCAGAACCATGATTTGACTGTTTTGTTACTGTACCTTGAACATCTACCACATTAGTTGGCACATAGTAAATATTCATATATATTATCTATCATATGTTTGCTAAATATTAAAGACCCTGTATTAGTCCATTCTCATGCCACTAATAAAGACATACCTGAAACTGGGTAATTTATAAAGGAAAGAGACTTAATGGACTCAGTTCAGCAGAGCTGAGAGGCCTCAGGAAATTTACAATCATGGCAGAAGGGGAAGCAAACACATCCTTCTTCACATGGCAGCAGCAAGAAGAAGTGCTGCGCAACAAGGGGAAAAGTCCCTTATAAAAACCATCATATCTCGTGAGAACTCACTTGCTATCACGAGAACAGCATGAGGGTAATCGTCCCCATGATTCAATTATCTTCCACTGGGTCCCTTCCATGACACGTGGGGATTATGGGAATTACAATTCAAGATGAGATTTGGTTGGGGACACAGCCAAACCATAGCAGACATAAATTTGATTGTTTATTTGAAAAATGTCTCTCCCAGACTATCTTTGCAGACTAGCTTACATCATATAAAAATATTCTCAGTCCTATAAGATGTATCAGTTAAGTCTTCATGGCAGACATTTAAACATAAAGAAATGGAATTTCATTTATCTTAAGGTGATCAGATAAGTGAATGGCATGAATTATCTGTACCTGTTTCTCCTTCACCCATTATTTCATAAAAATATATTTTATAGACTAGCCATCTATCCTTTCCTTCAGGATGGATTTGACTTCTGTGGATGTTGTAATAGTTATGCTTTATTGCGTCATAGACATAAATTGTTTTTATTTTTCCCCCAAGAAGATCCAAAGTAATAAGGTATGATCTCGATTTAAATAAATAGATTTGTTGTTCAATACAGTCTATGGCAAGAGTTAAGACCTTCTACAGAACTTGCCCTTGCACCACTTCTATAAATTCACCAGCACTCCTCTAGCAAAATATGAAGAATTCTGTTAACTGATCCTTTTCCCCACAGCTCCTTACATCACAAGAGGCTGATCTCTAACTGGCTGTTTTCCCCCAAACCCAGTTCAAGGCTTGAAGATGAAAATTACTTTTTGTTCAAACATTTTATCTTACTTAGGGAGACAGGTATAATAAATCAAAAGTTCTTCTCACTAAGTTATGATAATCAGTGTAAAATTACCTAGGCTTCATAAAGTGCTTTATCCTCAAACTCACTCCCTATCTATACTATAAATATGACAAATATTTTCTGTTTTGCTTTTCAAATCATATAACTTAAAATATTATATGTATAACATTTTTTCATAGGAGACTGACATTTTCTTTAACTATTGCAGTCTGTCTGTTGAGTTCATCACAACAAAAACCTCTTCAAAATATCAAAACGAATTAGCACTGAGAAATTCAGTTTGGATGCCAGATAAAGGGAAAAGAATATTTATTTAATGAATACTTTATTTGATTATATACTTTCTCATCTAAATCTCAAAAAAAGTTCATGAGGAAGGTGTAATTATTGTTATTATTATTATCAGTAGTAGTACTATTAATAATAAATGAAATGGTAAAATTGAATAACAGTGACTAAGCCACTCATTTAAGATTCTACATCTGTTGAGTGATGGGACCTAAATTCCATAATTCTGTTATACTCCAAAGTCCATGCTTTTGACTTACACAAACCTGAGACCTTAGAAGTCCATTTGCTACTGCTTTTTATAACCTTTTTAATTCACATATAACCACTTAATTAATTTTAGCATTTTTATCTTCATTATGTTGGAAAAATTCCCATTTCATTTTATTAGTTTGTTTCTTTTTAATAAGCTCATTCTTAATTGATCATGGTGTACTTATTTAAGGGAGGAAAATTGGCTTCCTCACAGGTGGATACTTTAAAATGAATGTAATGAAGGTATCTTATGCCAATATTATCAGAGAATTTTGACAACATTTGGTTGAAACTGGTAATTTAGATTACAGGTCACCTTTTTAAAAAACATTAAAGGCAATATAATTAGAGTCAAAATTAAATATAAATAGATAGTAGCCCTCTTCTCAATGAGAATCCTATGTATCTTAAACAATTAAAGACATTGAATTCTCCCTGATTATGCTAGACTCCGTGTTCCACAATATTAATGTTTTGAATAAGAGAAAACAATTCAGAAGGGTCTCCTGAAATATTTTGCCTATCTTTCTAAAATAGTTTCTAGAAAGTTTTTTTTTTTTTTAGTTTTTAGCAAGTTTTTTTTTTTTTTTCTGTGACTCCAGAGATGTTTCAAAGTAAATTGATCAACTTTCAGGTACACTTTCATGCCTGTAGTATCTTTCACTTTATACTACTTTACACCTAATCTGACCACCACTCAGTTTTCACTGAAACACTCTGTTCATGCATTCAAACTCTATTCCATGTACCCTCCTCCTGCTTAGTCTGAGAGTACTTTCATTGACATGTTTTCCCTCGAAGTATTTTTTCTAATATTTATGCTAATGTCCCAATATTTTATATTAACCTTCCACCTCTCCAGTCTGTCTCTGCACCTGGCTTATTCATTACTGAGCCCTTTATCTTCACACAGCTGTTCTCCTTTCCATAAATTATTCCATTACAATGAGATGCTCTGTACCACAGTCTAGATGAGTTAGATCTAGACCAACTGGGCAAAATACATAGAAAAATGTTGTAGCTAGAACTATGAAATGACACACAGGACAATACAACACAGTAAGAAAGAATTTTAATTCTGGGCTCAGAATGCTTTAATTTATAGCCTGGCAATGCTACATAATTAAAACTCTCTTGGGAAAGTTACTTAATATTCTTGTGTGTCAGTTTCTAGAAAATATGAATAATAATGCACACTCAAATGTTGTGAAGATTAAATGAGATAATATATGTAGACTGCTTAGCTCATGGCCAACTATCATTTTATGTTCAATACCTGTTAAAATTTTAAGTCTCATTCATTGAAATCATGCAGATTCATGTGTGCTACTTTCAACAACTAAAATTCTTTTTCTAGAGAAAGGCAAAAAGAAGGAAAAATTTTGGAATTTATGCTCAATGCAATAGGAATATACTGAATAACACTGAAAAATTGTTGTGACGTGATCAGATTTACATTTTCATCACAGTATATCAGGTACAAACCTGTGTGCCTCTTCAGAGTCCTTCAATTACATCTCTCTCT
Source organism: Homo sapiens (assembly GCF_000001405.40). Taxonomy (NCBI): domain Eukaryota; kingdom Metazoa; phylum Chordata; class Mammalia; order Primates; family Hominidae; genus Homo; species Homo sapiens. The sequence goes on along the minus strand of NC_000004.12, from coordinate 178,608,840 downwards.
CTCTTTGCTATTATGCATTTTTCTGCCATTTTATTACCATCCCTTCACTTCTGAACTTAGATGAAACAGTAAACCATGAGAATTTCAGAGCACAATGACACAACCTGAAAGTAGAGGGATGTCCTTTCTTCACAGTGGTAACTTTGACTAATGAAAAACAGAAAATGGAAAGGCTTCATACTGATGACCCCCTCCACCCCACTGTTTTCTTTCTCCAAAACGATGCCATGTTTTGTTTCTTTCTTAAAACTCTCCTGACCCCAGCACTTTGGGAGGCTGAGGCGGGTGGATCATGAGGTCAGGAGATCGAGACAATCCTGGCTAACATGGTGAAACCCCGTCTCTACTAAAAAAATAAAAAAAAGTAGCCGGGCGTGGTGGCGGGCACCTGTAGTCCCAGCTACTCTGGAGGCTGAGGAAGGAGAATGGTGTGAACCCGGGAGGCGGAGTTTGCAGTGAGCCGAGATCGCACCACTGCACTCCACCTTGGGCAACAGAACGAGACTCTATCTCAAAAAAATAAAGGCCTCCTGAAAGAGTTTCTGTCTCTGAGAAAAACATACTGTGCTCCTCTGAGCTCTCTGAGAAACAGGGGCCAACACTATAAATTATTGCATTTAATTTTCCCCGTTTGTTCACTTCTGTTTATTCTTCAGCCTTGCAACTCAGAGGGCTTGCAATTCACAAATAAAATGTCAGCATTTTGATCCATATGTCAGATTCTACCATTTATGTACACGGATAACTTGTACATTCTACAAATGCCTGAAAATTGTGTTTCCTGGTGAGCTCTGCCACACTGTCTTCAGACTTTCTGCACCTTGAAAATTGGGCTGCAGACATTCTGTTGATCTTTTTTGTACTTGACTACGCTAAGTTTTTCCTTGCCCCAGTCCTAGAGCAAAAGTTACCCTTTTTGCTCAGGTGCCCTTTCTTCACATGCCTTGCTCCTTATCTGCCTATGGGCTTAAATGTCACTTTTTGGAAGAAACTGACTTACTGTGTAATTAGATTGTTGACTCTGCTATTGTTTTCTACAGCATCCTGTACATTTCTTTAATTAGATTTTTGACTATGTTGAGCAAATCTGCAGCATCTTGTGTATTTCTTTATGCATCTTTTCACCTTTTTAATTATAAATTTATTTCCTTATAAAGCATTTTTAATCCTTACCAAACTGTAAGATCTATGAGACAAGCAGAAACTATGTTTATTTTATATACAGAGAGCCTGGCCCAGACTGTGGCATTCATTAGGCACAACTATTTTTTTAAATTAAGTAGGCTCTGATTTACTGTGTACACAGAGAAGAAATATATTATTCCATGTTCTCAGGCAAATCACAAATAATGCTGACCAGAAATCTTAAGAATCCACCAGCTTCATAGTATATTAGAAAAAAGTAACATTTAAAAAAATAACAAAAAAGAAATGTGGTTAAGTGCTCTTTATTATAACAAAGTTTATGCCATTTTATAGATACTCATAACTGGACTTGCACTTACATCTAATCAAAATCCAATATTATTGACTACTTACAATTATCAAACTTTTAGATAATTATTTAAGCAAGATTTAATGTGATCCTTACTCCCTTAAATCCCATCCACTCAATAATATTTTTTCTGTATCTTATCATTTGCATAACTGAAAAGTTAAATGTGGTGAATAATGAGATAACATAATGTATCTAATCTACATAGCAATAAGTAAACTTGATAAATTTCAAATTGAAGAGACAAAGAAATACTTCTAAAGGTTTATTAATAAAAAATTACTTACAAGATAAATGAAACAGTCTAGCCTCAGATTTAACTGTGATATGAAATTTGAGGAGATAATGAAGTAGTCTCTGTTGAATACAGAAGAGAAAATACTGTAATTCAAAAAAAGAACAACAAAAACAAAGGCCACCAGCTGTCATTCAATCATAACACTGCAATAGCTAAGGCCTAGAAAACATACCATCAAGACAATCTTCCAGAAAAAATACATGTGTGTGGGGTGTGTGTGTGTGTGTGTGTGTGTGTATAATCCTATATACGTTTGTGTATGTGTACATAAATATTCAAACGTTCTCAAAAATAAACATTTTTTTGAGTAATGGGAAGTCATGGAATTTAAAAAAAAGGTTACTTAATAACATTTCTCTGTTGTGTTTTTCAAAGTTACTTTGATTGCCTAGGTGACAAAACCTCAACTCAAGCTAACTAAAGCAAAACACAAAAACAAAAACCAACAGAGGGGACTGACAGATTTAACAGTGATGTTTAGAAAAGTCTAGGTAAGACCTAGCTTCAGGTATACCTGAAATTCAGGCACCTTCAATTTCAAATAGGTTTCTGGGATATTCCTTTCTGACTCCCAGCATTTCGCCTTTATGTGTTGATTACTTTCAGTCACACTCTCTCCTTATAGTGGCAAAACATTTTCCAGAAAACTTATGCTTAAAACTTGTCAACACCAGTGAAGGTATCAAAATGCACTATTGATTCTATTAACAATTAATTAATTAGCTAATTATCTAAATAATAAATAGATACATATACCCAACCCAGTAATTTGCTCATGCAGACCATAGAAGCCACTGTGTCTAGGTATTTAATGATAAAGAGAATTTCCTTCTAACCAGCCCAATCTGTTTATCTAGTCAGTAGCTATTTGTCTACGCAAGTCTTATTAAGACTTCAAGAAATATATTCAAGGAAATATTATCCTTGGATAAAATAGAGATGATATATATAGTACAATACAACAAGAGGCTTTGCTAATCAAGTTTGTGTTATGAAAATTAAATAAACTTTAAACAATTGTTCTCAATCAAGATTTCTCAGAACATTTACTGGGCATATATGAATTGTGAATTTCCAAGAAAGAGTAATATGCAAAATTACTCACATTTTTGACCCCAGGGCTTGCTTTTCCTGAAATATGTATTAGTATCACTCTGTACAGGAGTGTCCCACGGAATACAGCCAGGGCCGTTTTGCTCTGGAACCATTATTCCCAAACATTTTTCTTGTATTTTTGCAACCTTATTATAGGATCTGAACAGGATTGGGAGAGAGAAAAATAGAAAGGGTGCTTCTTAGGTGTCCCCAAATCTGTGGCTCCCTAGTGTTTAGGATAGAAGGTATAGAAATATATTTTGTAAAAGTCTCACAATGAAAGGATTGATCATACTTAATTTGTTGTGAAACCCAGAGCTACAAAGTAATGTAATTTTAGACACAATTTTTATCTATGCAAAGCAGACAGACTGACTTCATCCGAAATCAGTTTTAAATATTTCTGCAACTTAGTTACATTGACATGTATTAAAATATACAGTATTGATCTTTACAACATATCTGAGACACAAACTAATGAAAAATAAATATTTAATGTTTTCAAAACTTACATTTTATCAATGTAAATGAGAAGTGTAACAGGAATAACTGATGTGAGTTAAATACACTGTGAACTCCTTACTGCTCTCCATCTTCACAATAAAATAACCCTGTGATCTCATTCTGAGAGTAACCGTATGGAACTGACAAATCAGCTGACTCTTAACATATTTTGAAATTTCCAGGAAGCTTAGTTAATCAGTGGCATGATTTTCAAATTGCTCTTATAAGCTGGCTGGTCAAACCCCACGAGGTTAGAAAGACATTTTGGCAACAGTGTACTTTTAGGTAAATGAAATTGTTATACTACTTAAATCTCTGAACAGAATATGAAATGTTAAAATGAATTAAATATTACCCCATCACTCAAATGTCCTAATTATTTACACTAAATTCTTGGTTTGGTTTGTCTTAATACCAACATCTCTAGAAATATGTCAGAATTCTCTCTCTATTCAGGAGGAATTTGTCTTAAAATCTTGTTCCTCAATGTTCCATTCAAATGTCTCTTCTTTTATTATTCTAGTCTTGCAGGTATAGACATTTGTTTCTTCTGTTGCCCATAGAACCTGCCTTTATGTCAAACTGCTATCTATCTTTTTACGTGACTATGCATTGATCAATTAGGCTAATATTTAAAGGTATTAGGTAATGCATATATTAGAGTACTTTTGAATAAATCTTACCAATTGATTAACACCAACATTTACCTTCATAGCCAATGAGCTTGCTTGAGCTAACCGTATAACACTGTGGAATCTTTTAAATTTAGCTTTAGTACAGTAGGTCAAAGACTGAGGAAGAAGATTGTAATGCTACCAATTTTACCTCTGCTTGTCATATGGTCAGGCTTGCCCAATAAAATGAAATAAATCTATACCTTGAAAATGCAGCTAATTAGGTATGTTTAGTTGATCGGGTATATTTTGACTGGAATGTTGATAACAAATACATATGTATGTGATGTAAATGCTTAGCTATGTAAATACTTAGCACTGGAAGGGCATAGAGTTTGGAGCCAAATTGTCTTGTTTGGAATTGTTCCATGCCTCCGTTATCTCAAAGTAATCAGTTTCTTATTCGTAGGACTGTTATACTGAATGAACATTTTTTTAAATACTCAAAAAAATGTATTCTAAAGTTTCTTTTGCCTTATAGAGAAGACATTAACAGCTTCAATTCCTAGATTCCAAAGGCACTTTCAAAATTAGAAGGTAAAAAAGCAGTCATGATGATTTATTTTTAGACATATTTGCAGGATGATGGCTAGATGTGAGAAGTAAGAGGTATTTTCCAAGACAACCTTTGAGAACCATCCACTTTTTCTTGCAAACTGAGGTAGTTGGAGGAAGATGCCTTCACTGAGGTTCAATGCCTTTGGTGTGAGATGGTGAGGATTGCTTGCACTAGAGATCCCTGTATACAGCTCCCTGAACTTCACTGCCCTAGACTTGCAATGGTGATGTGAGCCTCTTATTCTCTATATTAAATGTGTGACATTGGGAATACATAACTGATGCCCCATGTTAAGTTAATAATTTATAAAACGTTTTCCATTGCTTCAGTCTAGTGATGCAGTGTTTCCTGTATGAGATTTAACATTCATTCTTCCATTCAATTTTAGTTTTTTTCTACAATACCTGAGAGCATGTAGTGCTTTACAATGCTTCAAAGTGCATTTTAAAACTTTTTTGTTCTGTCTAGTCTTAGTCTTGAAATATACTTTGAATCTTGTTGTTTCCCTCCTTCCCAACCAGACACACTCCTTGACCTGTGCTAGTTTATCTAATTATGTTCTTGCTTAAAACTTCGGGGGCTAAACTTAAAATGACGCAGGTGCAGAGACCCAACTGTGGAATTTTCCCCATCTAAAGATTACCCCAAGGTAGTTAAACTGCAACCTGGCCATTGCTGAAATGCCTTTAACCCGTGTTCAAGGTAGATAATAGCGCAAGATAGCCATTGGAACAAGACACATAGGCCTTCTACCCTGCCTCATTCCCACATGTTTCTCATACCAAGTTTCCCTTCTTAAAACTCTTACCCAGCCTCAAATAAGAAATTGGTGGCATGAGCCTTTTGGAGGCATGAGCGGGACCATTTCCCGGTTGCTAGAATTTGATTAATAAAACTGCTTTCCTTTCACCTCATCTCAATTCTTGTGTTTGGCTTCTGTGTGAAAAGCAGTCGGACTTGTGTTTGGTTACAATAACAAATAGGCATTGAGTCAAGAAAAGATCTAAGTTATAAGGAATCAGAATGAAGATGGCATCAATATTTCACTCATAATTCCTATCTCTGAGAGAACAGAGTAGGCTTTTGACTGAAATATAAAAGATATTCTGCAAACTCAACTAACAATCTCACTTCAGGCAGGCCATGAGAAAGTTGATGAATCCTCTACAAGGTGATGAAATATCACACACCAATTGTGCAATTTCATTCCAGAGGGGTTAATTCATGGAAAGAGAAAATAATAAAGAATACCAATATGTGAATATAATTTAAAAGATGAGACCAAGTTTATCATTATGTTCAGGCGATATAATGAATGTCTGAAAAAATTCAGGAGTCAACCAGAAACTAACGAAACTAACTGGATCAACTAACTGAGCAAAGTGCTTATTATAAAATAAATAGTAAATAATTGATATCTTAAATAATTATAACAAGTTAGAAATTATAATTGAGTGAAAATCTCATTCATGTGTAATATATATTTACTGAGACTTGGTCTCCAACTTTACTGCAGAAGCTAAGTATAAACACACACACACACACACACACACACACACACACACTCTAAGTATGTACACTATTCTGCATCCAGTATCCATTATCCATTGAAAAGTTATATGACATAATTTCATAATTTGAGTGAATTGGACTCATTTTTTTCTGGGATTTTATTATCAACACAAAAAGTTTAGAAATTACAATGAAACATTGAGAAACCTAGGAGCAGCTATGTTTTTATTGTTTTTGTTATTGTTGTTGTAGTTTTGAGACAGAGTCTTGCTCTGTTGCACAGGCTGGAGTGCAATGGCATCAAGAAAGCTCACTGCAGCCTCAACCTCCTGTGCTCAAGCTATCCTCCCACCTCAGCTTCCTGCATAGCTGAGACTACAGGCATGTACCACTATGCCCAGTTAATTTTTTTTTTTTTTTTTTTTTTGTAGAGACAGAGTCTCACTATGTTGCCCAGGCTGGTCTTGAACTCCTGGGCTCAAGCAATCCTCTAGCCTAGGCCTCTCAAAGTGCTAGGATTACAGGCATGAGCCACCGCAGTCAGCCCAGCTGTATTATTTTTATCAGAGGCGGTATCCTGACCAAGTTGTTTTTATTGCAGGGTATGATTTCCAAGCTTTCTTTGGTTCAAGTCAGCTTTCCAAAGCTAGTATTTCAGGTTCGTTGTTAATCTTTGGGCTATAAAATATCTTTCTGAAAAATTCCCTTTTTAAATATGTTAGAGTTGGTTTCAACTGAACATAGGTAAGGGTCCTGGCTGACAACCAACACAAATACATACTAAAGGTAAATGTGTGTGTCTGTGTGTGTGTGTGTGTGTGTGTGTGTGTGTGTGTGTGTGTGTATGTGTGGTGTGGTATGTCTATTCCAAATAAAGATGCACCCATCAATTTTCATTCTACAGAGTTTGCTTTAACCAGAGTATGTGTGCATAAAAAATACATCTTCCTGAGGTAGTTGGCAGCGTAATGGCAGCATAAAGGCAAGCTGGATTCTCTCTCTGCTGACTCACACAAGAAACAAAAATAAATATACAACATGGAGATCTTCAGCAACAGTCCAGAGCTCAAGTATGAAGATGAAACAATTCCTGGGGCCACAAAGATGTGGAAGCAGATGGTAGGGGAACCAGACTTCCAATTCTATAATGCCTCTCCCCTTATATTCTGCTCAAGCAGCAACCATGTGTTTCTCTACCTTCTTGGGTTCCCTGTCAGAAGACCTGTCCTTGCCTTAACTCATAGGTAGAATCAAGACTGCCTGCAGGGAGAAATATTCCTGAGGACAGGGAGAGACAAATGGAGCAAGTGGAACTACCATACTCAGCTTGGAAACTCTATTCTGTAACTCAGCCAAAGGAGACATCAAATCAGAGTGGCAGCAGGAGGTATGTTCACCATGTACCCTGGGCAAAAACTCTTAGTGAGCCTTCCTACACTGGGAGTTAATCTTTTTAGGACTGAAACCGTCCTTGCAAAAACTATTAAAGTGAGAGAGTTATGGCAGGGAAAGAGAAATGATTTCACTAGCCCCATCTTGCCTTTTACTTCCAAACTGCCCTTGGTCATTCCTGGGCATGGGTGAAGCCAATTTTGGGAGAAATTTAGTAAATAGTTCAAAATGATAAACTATATAAAAGTGTAATGATAAACTATCTGCCCTTCCTAAAAACTACCCTGCCTTTGTAAAACTAATGAAAGGCCACCAGGTTAGGAGGATGAAAGTGGCCTGAATTCTGCTAAGATGTAGATATAGTTAAATAATTGCCAGCCATTATTTTAGAGGTCACAAGATTTGCAATTACCCAACAATTATAGAAACTATGACTTTTTGAAATGCCCTTTCAGGCATTTGCAATTCTAATGACCTGATGATGACTGGGTGGTCCCACCCAGACCCGTGACTCTTAGCTCAATTGGTCCAGTGGTCCCAACCCAGAAGCAGACTCAGCAAACTAGGACCATTTATTAAACACCTCTGATTGCATTCCTTACCAAGCAGCAGCACCCATTCCCTTAGCTCTTAGTCCCCCAGACTATCCTTGAAAAATCCTAGCCTCTGAATATCTGGGGAGGCTTATTTGAGTAATAATAAAACCCCAGTCTCCTGTTTAGCCAGCTCTATGTATATTAAACTGTTTCTCTATTGCAATATCCCCGTCTTGATAAATCAGCATTGTCTGGGCAGCAGGCAAAATGAAGCAATTAGGTGGTTACAGAGCCACTGCCATTTGGAACAGGGGCACTCTGACCATTTACTAGAGCTGAAGTGAACCTGTTACAGTAGGTACCTAGTTAAGCAAGAACAGTGCTAGGGAGGGCTCCCTGCCCCTCTCCAGGAATGTCAGGCAATCATCAGGTGATGGTCAGGGAGTTGTTAACTGTTTCTCTAAAATAGTAACTGGTCACAGCACCAGGTAAAGACAGTCTCCTAATCGGTAGAAAAAACCTGAAACTGGTGATGCACAGCTTCCCAATAATATCTCAGGAGTTGGGCAAGTCATCTCAAGTATGTGCATTAAGAGGTGAAGTGGTGAAGTTTAATTGATATATGACCTTCCAGGGACATTTAACTGGTAAGGAAAGAATACCTCAAGTGAACATGTGTACCACTCCAGTATACACACTCTGCATGCTCCCCTCCCAAGTGCTAGCAGGCCACTGCACATGTGGACAACCCACCCCAAAGAAAGAATCAGGGAGAAGGGACCCAAGACCCTGAAAGTATGCCAACATATAAAATCCCAAGTCCAAGGTCAAACAGGATATTTGATCTCTCAATTCACCAGCTTGGCCCTCCTCTAACTGTGCTTTCCTTCCTTTTACTCCTGCTCTAAAACTTGCCTCAGTCTCTAAAACTTGCCTCAGTCTCCTCTTCTGCCTTATGCCCCTCAGTTGAATTATTTCTCCTGAGGAGGCAAGAACTGAGGTTGCTGCAGACCCATATGAATTTGCTGCCAGTAATAAGCCTAGGTTTAAGGTGCCACCTAGAGCCAAAAGGCAGGCAGTGACTTAGCACTGAAAATTCCCTAAACAAATATATTCAACAATAACCACAACAAGCTGGACAGAGAAAACCAATAAATAACTAATTTTTCAATGCAAAGACATAGACATATACCCACAGTAAACAACAAAAGAAAAGGGAACCATAATCTCTCCAAAGAACAAAACAAAAATGCAGTGACTGACTCTTATGATGTGGTGATTTGTGAGCTCTGACCAACAATGCAAAACAGCAGTTTTAAGGAAACTCAGTGACTTCTAAAATAACACAGAAAAGCAATTCAGAAATATATCAGAGAAATTCAGCAAAAAGATTGAAATAATAAGCAGCAATCAAACAGAAGTCAGGGAACTGAGAAATATATTTGCTGAACTGAAAAACTCTTTAGATGCTCTTAAGAGCAGAATGACTCAAGCAGAGGAAAGAATCAGTGGGCTTGAAGACCAGTTGCTTGAAAATACACAGTCAGAGGAGAAAAAAAAAAAAAGAACAAAAAAGAATGAAGACCACCCATGGGATATGGAAAATTATTTCAAAAAACCAAATCTAAGAATTATGGGTGTTCAAGAGGGAGTTGAGCAAGAACAAAGAGTAGAAAGCCCATTCAAGGAAATCATAACAGAAGACTTTCAAAACTTGAGAAAGACATAAATATTCTGATACTGGAAGGTTTTGGAATACCAAGCAGACTCAAGCCAAATATGACTACCCCCTGGCACTTAATTATCAAACTCTCAAAGGCCAAGGACAAAGAGAAGATCCTAAAAGCAGCAAAGCAGTGAAAGATAGGAAAAAATAACATATACAGGAACTCTTATTCATTGGACGACAGACTTCACAATGGAAACTATGCATATCAGGAGGGAGTGGAATAAAATTTTCAAAAGGCTCTAAGAAAAATACTGCAACCCAGGAATATTGTATCCAACAAAACTGTCATTCAAATTTGAAGGAGAAATAAAATCTTTCCCAGACAAGTTTAAGCTTAGAGAATTTACCACCACTAGATCCATCTCTCAAGAAATACTAAAGAGTTATCCAATCTGAAGGAAAAAAAATGCTAATGTGCAAAACAAAACTTTTTGAGGTTTAAAACCCATTAGTAAAATTAAGTACATGGAAGAACCCAGAATACTCTATTACTGTATTTGTGGTATATAAATCCACCCATAACTCTAGTATGAGACCCAAAAGACAAATCTATCAAATACATCTTTCTTGTCTTCCCATAACAGTACCCTCTTTCTCTTGATGAGTTATGTTTTAATATACTGCTATATGATTTTCTAATTCTTTATTTTTTTGCATTATTTTATGACCAATGTTGGACTACAGTTATTTTTAAAGAAATTATTTTAGAAAGCAAAAGAAGTGATAATTTCATTTTTGTATTGTACCAAATATATTTGGTAATTTTTTTTTTGAAATTAACAATATTTGAATTATAATTATTAGAATATCATTAGGTGAAAAGAGCGTGACGTTTACTAAAATCTTGAAAAAAATTTCAAGATATGTCTTCTTCTAAACTGATATTTTACTTATTTATGAATTATATAGTTCTTATACTTTATGTATTTCTCACAATTTTTATGTAATTCTTTTTTATGTATTTCTCATATACTTTTTTTTAAAGATTCAAGGCAATTTTCCGGGAGTATTCAATTAAGTGAAAGAAGCGAATTGCAGAAATGATATAGAATATAATTACTTTTTCTCATTACAATAACACACACACACATTTGGAGGATCATCTTGAAAAATAAATTCAAGCATTTAGCATTATTTTTGAACAGAAAGTTTTTTTATTTTATAAAATTACTGGTATAGTGTTGAGATATGAAAATAAGTTAAGTTATGCATGAAAAAAAGGCAGTACTATTGTGTGTGTTTATTATAACTGTAATCCTAAAAACATTCAGTTTAAAAGTACATCATTACCTTCCAATGAGTACCTGTATCAGGTAGAGGGATTATGAAACTTATTCCTTGCCAGAGAATTTTAATTAGTCATTATATTTGTTATGTAAATATATTATTTAAAGAATTCCTGTCATATGTTGGACCAATTTTGGAATAAAAAGTTTTTATATAAAATAATTTTTACATGATCAATATGTCATTGATGCTTTTTGAGGAACCATTTCCTTCCTTCAAGTGAGCACGTTATTTCTCGGGAAGCATTTACTATCACTTTTAAAGCATTTGGGTTAACCCATAAAACTATACAATACGCTAATACAAACATATTGAACAGCAATTAATGCAAAACTTAGTAGCATTATAATTTGTAGGATTATATCTAGTGACATCACTGAAATGTTTATGCAAGCATGGATGGCAAAACTCCATGTTACTTGTTCTAGTTACTGCATTGATTGTTTCAGACTCTGTCTTAAAGAAATTGTTCACATAATGACTTGCACTCACATAGCTTTGCTGGAATTCATTCAAGCAGCTACAAAATGAGGAACTGTAACAATGGGCTTTAAAAGTAATGTTGAACACTCGTGTAAAATTTAACTTATGGTTATTTAGTTCAAATTTAAATGAGGCAAATCTTTAGACATAACTCTGAAAAAATTATGTCTTGTCAAAAATTTAAAATGAAGTGGCATTAACTTAATATTTTGTGTATGTAGTTTGTATTCCACCAGTGAACCCTTAGCTAATGATTATGCAATAAACTCTTACATGATGTTCTGCACCATAAAGAGTTTTGAAGTTGTTTTTGCCTTGCTTCATTTTCCCTAATTTGTTTTAATAGTTGTATCATTAATACATGGAAAGGAAGATGAATAGTAATGATTTTTTTTTTTGCTACAATACTAATGTTTTAAAATTCTGTCATTGTTTTTAGAGACAGGGTCTTGCTCTGTCACCCAGGCTGGAGTGCAGTGGTACAATCAAGACTTACTGCAGCCTCAGTCTCTGGAGCTCAAGGGATCCTTCTACCTCAGTCTCCTGAGGCATGCACCACCATGTCTAGCTAATTTTTATGTTTTCTAGAAATGGGGTCTCACTTTGTTGCCCAGGCTGATCTTGACCTCCTGGTCTCAAGCAAATCTGCTGCCTTGTCCTTCCAAAGTGCTGGGATTATAGGGGTGAGACATTGTGTCAGGCCTACAATCCTAATTTTAATGAAAATAATCTTGAAATAGTCTGACAATCAAAATTTGGTATTCAGTTTGCTCAGCGTTCTTGGAGTGTTATATGGAATGTGTAAATACAGTTTTTTTCTATTTGATGTAAAAACTACAAAATGTATCTCTTCTTTCATAAACATTCTAAACTCTTTGAAGACAGGACTATTTATTTTGATTTAACGAATCTACAGTGAAAGAGTTTCCCTAATGAATCTTGGAAAAATCATGGCAATATTGAAGAAACCACACACTTTCAAATTCTACATGTTTAAGTTCTCATATTGGATTTTTTTCCCCTATTATATTGATTTAAAATGTCTTCACTACATGACCTGATAACCAACACTCTTTTTTTTTGTTTGTTTGTTTTGTTTCTGTTTTGTATTTTTTAGGCCACTTTATGAAGCAGTATTGTAAATTCACTCTCCATATGATATTTCTTGGAAAGACAGTGTCAACTAACGCTGACACATTGGGCTGGTGAAGAAGCAACAAACTCCTTTCAAATGCAGATAATTTATTACTTACATAGACAGTGAAAGCAAGAATAGCAAAGATGTCATCTCCCGATGCCCTTATCCTACACAATGACAATAGAACAAAAAGCTTCATATGATAGACAATAGTGGCCAAGCTATTGCTATAGAGCTGATTTCACGCTGCAGCTATGCAGTTTGAAAGTCTATAGATGTACCTTAAGAAGGAAAAGCACAAAACCTCAGACTTCATCAGAAGCCGGAAACTGATGAGAAACTCTCTTGACAGCCTCCATAATAAATACGGAAGTAAATGAGAAATTGACCTGCTAACATAAGCCTTTCATGCTGACTCACTTCGCTCACAGGACATTCTGCAGTAACTTAGGTCAACTGTCATTAAGCCTTGCCTGTGGATCCTATATGGTTACTTGCAAGGCATCAAGGGCCACAGCACAGCTGTTGCTCTATGGGAAGACTAATGTTAATGGTTTAGAACATGTTATTAAGTTTTCTTAAAACTTATACATACACATACACATACACCCACACTCACTACAGAGAACAATATGCCCAACATCTTATACTGAAGTAAATGTTGAAAATAAACATTAATTAGGTAGCTTAATAAACTCATCTCTTTCTGAAAAATGAAAGAAAATAAACCATCATTTAAATGCTCCTTTGAACATCACACTCTGGGGACTGTTGTGGGGTGGGGGGGAGCGGGGAGGGATAGCATTAGGAGATAAACCTAATGCTAAATGACGAGTTAATGGGTGCAGCACACCAACATGTCACATGTATACATATGTAACAAACCTGCACATTGTGCACATGTACCCTAAAACTTAAAGTATAATAATAATAAAAAAAATTAGAAAGAGATAATAATTTAAAATATCTATTCAGATTCTTGTTGGCTCTGATGATGTCTGTTGTAATTCTTGCTTATGTTTTCTTTCAATATAGTGAACCGATGGCTTGGGATTTCTTATAAAGAAATAAAATTGAAAACTTTGTTCCCATTGTATTTCAAGTTGTTGGTAAACTTGTATCATTACTTTTGCTGTAAGTTGAAGTTGAACCTTCAGTAAAAACTTAGAGCAGTTTTCAAAATAAACAGAACAATTTTCCATTCAACAATACAAGCTGTAACAGTAGGGGGTGTTGTTGAAATTGAAAGTGTTTAATGGTTGGTTGAGATAAGATTGGAAACTAATAGAAAATTCTTACTTGGGTAAGGCATTTGATTAGAGTGTCAACATTTTTCTTTCACATCTCCTGTGTTTCTCCTAATGGAGGCAGTGAATTCCATTGGAAAGCCCTTTAGACAAATAATAGCGTGTACCATATTCTGTATCAGTTCTACAACTGACTGGCTGTGTTTAAAGGTTCTTACTATTTTGGCAATTTAAATTGTAGCATCTCTGCTTGAAAACGTAAAAACAAATAGAATGTATTGTAAGATAAAATACTCAAATGCATCTAGAGTATTGAGAGGTTTGGGAGGAAGAAAGAAAAACAATTTTTCCTTCTTAGAATCCAGTAGCTTGTGTGAAAGAATGCCCATCACCCTAATATTAAATTAATTTATAGATAATTATTTTATCTTAAAATTGTTCAGAACAATCATGAAAGGGTCTTAAATGATTTGCTTTATAAAAAGAATATATTTTCTATATTATCCTATTATAATAACATATAAATATTTTCTGTCGTTAAATTATTAACCAATTAATGAAATATTAGCTGGAAGTTTATGATGTAAAACACCACAGTTAAATTCACTTTTCTTTAATTATGTTTGCTTATACCTATCTTTTTAAAGAGTATGGATGAAATAAAAACATTATAATTAAGGACGTGATTACCCTTTTTTAATGAGACAAAATTTTAGAAAGCTGATCAGTGATTATAATAACGAATTCATTTTCATAAGCAGTTACATTTTTATGATTGCTAGAAATATGTAACTCAAGGTCAGTTCACATATTTTCATTAACATGTTATTTTTTATTTATTTATTTATTTATTTATTGAGATGGAGTCTTGCTCTGTCGCCCAGGCTGGAGTGCAGTGGCGCGATCTCAGCTCGCTGCAAGCTCCGCCTTCTGGGTTCACGCCATTCTCCTGCCTCAGCCTCCCGAGTAGCTGGGACTACAGGCACGTGCCACCACGCCCAGTTAATTTTTTTTTTTTTTTTTTTTTTTTGTATTTTTAGTAGAGACGGGGTTTCACCCTGTTAGCCAGGATGGTCTCAATCTCCTGACTCGCCTTGGCCTCCCGAAGTGCTGGGATTACAGGCGTGAGCCACCGAGCCCGGCAATATGTTTTCTAATGAAGAGATGAGGGTTTGTTTCTTGTTTTTTATTAGAATAAAATAATTTTTCCCTCACATTATAATGAGCTATGCAATATTACTATACCTTGAATGGTGTAAACATCTTATTATTAATCAGTGTCTTCTTATGATCAGAGAAATATACCTAAAATGAGTATGACTGTACTTAAATACAAGAAATTTACACTCTCCATGTTGAAAAAGCAGCAGGTATAATTTTCAGGTGACAACACTCCTGGGTGTTTGAAGGCATGTGACTGTATCTGGCACATAGTTTCTCTTCAAGGGTGACATTATCTTATGGTAACTACCATATTTTAATGGCCTATCCCTTAAGCTTATTCATATTCCATAAAAGCTGCTACTGAAAAGTCCATGTTATCACAAGCTGTAATATCACTGTCTTAATGACATACAGTCTTTTCTTATTTGATTATATCAAAAGAAATACTCAAAAGAAACGAAAGCATATGTTAACCAAATCATGTGTGAGGATATTCATACCAGTATTGTTTGTAGGAACGGCAATCTTCTCAATATACGGTGGATGCAAACATTGTAGTATATCCATACAGGGTGATCGTGGGCAACGAGCAGACTAAGAAAAATTTGACAAAAAGGATAAACTTCATAAACGATTTTCAGCAAAAGAGGCTTTATTTGTGAAACTGTATTGTGTAATTTTCTTATGATTTATACATTTATCTCCAACTATGATATATAAAACACTGATCTTTTTTAAAGGATAACATTGATCAGTGAGGTTGGTGGTAACTGCTCCAACATCATAGATGTCTTCACTCAGATTTTCCTATTAGAAGTTCCCAGGTTTGCCATACAATGTACTTAATATCCATAGATATTTCAAGCAAAATTGTTTCTGCTGCATCATAAAGACTAATTGATGAAATGACTTCAGCCACAACCTAAACTCCTGCAGCATTTTTTTTTCCAAGTCCCTCAAAAAACAAGCAGCCTCATGTGTTCCTGTGGATATGCAGCAGAGTAACATACAAAGTATAACCTAAAAAACCCAAAAGAACTTCGTGCCTTCTCTTCTTGTGGTGTCCAAGGCAAGGTAGAATAACCTATTTTTAATATTACATGGGACTTCCTGATATGCCACAAGCCACAACTTAGAAATATTACTATGTTTCTTAAAATTTTATATTTTTTAAAAAATGTAATCTAGTAAATAAATGCCTGTGATATCTTGAGTTCTCTATGCTGCATGATCCATAGGTCCAAACAGAATCATATGGTGTATTATATTATGAGAGAGAACAGGATAATTTACTTAGATATGAGGTAAGATTGATAAGGTGTACTGCTGTTACTGTCAGGTAAATGCATATATAGTTTTTGCACTTTCCTTAGTAATTTGTGTGATTTTTTAAGAAGGTATATGGAAGATCAATAGCTGCTTGTCAGGTGCTGAGCTGTGCTGATAATCATTATCCAGCAAGGATGTCACAGCTGGAACAGCTTCAATCTCAATCCCATATGATTTAGTCATACTAAACCCCAGTCATTATTCTCAATTTATTTGGCTTTTGTACAGACCAGACAAGAGAGTTAATTACGATGTGATAGAAACCACCAGCTCTCTCTCTATATATATATAAGCATTTGGTGACTTCACTGTTCTACAACTCCCTCACAAAATCAATGTTACATTTAGTTTAATATTTTGGTGTGTAGATGAAATTACCAAGGCTTCTATTTAGCTTTTCCTGCAATAATAGCCATAGTCCATAGGTTACTGAGCCAATATGGAGAATCTAAAAAAGGCTGTCTATTCTTAAAATGCATTCAGAAACTGAAGAAATAGCCAGACTCTTGAGATAAGACACATTGAAAAATTGTGAGGCTTGTTTGAGACAAAATTCCATTATGTCACCTGAACTCCATAATCCTCTTGTCTATCTAGTTGAAAATGGATCAGAACTAAGGTCATGTCTCATAATTACTAAAATGTTTGCAAATTTTCCTACTCCCATGCACACGCATCTTGGTAAATCAATGCAGAGCGCATTGGCTGTTTGCCGAGGAGGATTTACACATATATGTGTGGCAGTGTTTCAGTTTCCTTTTGAAAAGAGACCCAATATTCTTTCCGTCAAAAGTTTTCCAGAATGTAAATTAAATTATGCCTGAAAACAAGATGAAAAACTGATTTTCAATTATGAAAATGTTAGTCAAGTTTTTGGATTATACGTCTATATTTTTTTCTAATTGTGGTAATTAATAAATATATTTAGTTGCCGTCTATTTCATTCCTAGGACTACTGAGAAGAATTGCCCATTGCAATAGATTTCTTCTGACCTCTACTTTATTTTAAAACAACACCCTTTTACTTTGAAATGTTTTTAATCTTATGTTTCTGGAATTTGGGGTTTGT
Source organism: Homo sapiens (assembly GCF_000001405.40). NCBI lineage: Eukaryota > Metazoa > Chordata > Mammalia > Primates > Hominidae > Homo > Homo sapiens. The sequence goes on along the minus strand of NC_000004.12, from coordinate 178,591,329 downwards.
AAAAAGCATATGCATGCGTATGTTCATTGCTGCACTATTCACAATAGCAAAGACATCGAATCAACATAAATGTCCACCGGTGATAGACAGGATAAAGAAAATGTGGTACATATACACCAGGGAATACTATGCAGTCATAAAAAATGAGATCATGTCCTTTGCAGAGACATGGATCTGGAGGCCATTATCTTTAGCAAACTAACACAGGAGCAGAAAACCAAATACTCAATGTTCTCACTTATAAGTGGGAGCTAAATGATGAGAACATGTGGACACACAGAGGGGAACAACACACACTGGGGCCTTTCGGAGGGTGGAGGCTGGAAGGAGGAAGAGGATAAGGTAAAACAACTAATGGGTACTAGGCTTAATACCTGGGTGATGAAATAATCTGTACAACAAACCCCCACGACACAAGTTTACCTGTGTCATAAACCTTCACTTGTACCCTGAACTTAACATAAAAGTTAAAAAAAATTCTAGATACATACAATTATTTTTTGCTAACTGGATATGTAAACCCATTTATATTGATTTTAATGACTGATATGCTTTCAAAAACTTTTACTATCTTAATAATTATTTCAATTTGTCATATTTATTTTCTTTTTTATCCTTAATTATTGTATTCATTGATCTATTTAAACAGTTTCCGTCTGTCCTAACTTGCAGTTATAATTTCTATTAATATTCTTCTAAAGTTAACCTAAGCAATTTAAGCTTATGTATACTTTAACAATACCAAAAGTTGACTAATACAGTCTTTTACATAAAACTAAAAACTAAGAAAAATTAAGTAAAGGTAATTTAGAAAACAGCTTCTTCCAACCAAACGCTATTGATACATATAGATGCAGAATCGTATTGACTTTATTCCTCTTTTTATGTCTTCTATGTTTGTTTAGTTTTGCTGTTAAATTTCACCATTTCTTTGGGAATCATTTATTTTTGCATCTCAAGCTTTCCTGTGATAATTTTTCTTCCTCTTCAATTCTCTGTTTATCTGAAAATGTATTTTGTCCTAATTCTTGAAAGATATTTTAGACTATAGAATTTTGGATTTGGAGTTATTTCATTTCTTATGATACCATTCCACTTTTCAGTTACATTTTTGAAAATATGCTATCTTCAGCTTCTGGAATTGCTATTGAGAATGTACCTTTCAATTTAATTGTCATTTCTTTCTTTGTTATATTCACTGGTTGCTTTAATATATTTTCTTTTACTGTGGCATTCTGAATTTTTACTATAACAAATTTTTACCTCATATCAACTTATTTAGCTTTATTTATTTGTGTCTATTTACAAATTGTTGTATTCTTACATCTGATGTTTCATGTCTTTTACAAAATGTGAAAAACTTTCTGGCATTATATTCTTGAATATTATCTGTCCAGATTCTCAATATTCTAGCAATATGAATAGATATATGGTGACATACCTTCTCATTCTGTTCTTATGTTTCTTCCCCAACTGCCACCCACCCCCCACCCTGCCCCCGGCTATATATCTTCTCGTATATGTCTCTGGCATTTGGTGTATTTTTTTTTTTCAGAACTATCTTAAAGGTAACTAACTTTCTCTTCTGATTATCTTTCTTTTTGTTCTATGGCCTCTCCATTACTTTTTTATAAAACAATTTTCTTAATATTTTTCATTACACTGCATATTTTTGGTAGTAGAGCTACCTTAAAGGAAAGGTTAGAGACTGTTATTGGCATATAAAACAAGAGAACTGAACTATGTAAGATTATGTGCCTCTGCTACCTGGGTCTGTTTACAGGGATTCCACAAATACGTATCACTAACATGCTCTTGTTATAACTTATTGAGTAACAGTCGTTCTTATCTATCCAAAGCTTTGGCTTTTTTTGGTGTATATTCCTATTCCCTATTTGGTTATTCAAATCATTACATACTTGCTGATCTGTTTGAAAAACTTTTCAGAAGGTAGATTCTGATGAGTACTAGTTCTTTCTGATATCAATTGTTTCGGGGCCTGATTTTTCTTTCTTTTGTTTTGTTTTGTTTGAGAGCAAGATAATAATTTTGTGGCTGTGATGCAGTATTTTCCAAACTTCTTATTCAATGAAAATTTTTTTTTGTTTTATACAAAATCTTGTAGGGCTAATATTCCATGTTATACACTTTGGGAAATCTGTTTTTAAGGAATTTACTAGTGAAACTAGAGAGATAATAAACAAATAAACAGAAAGTATATACAATCTCAAGTGCTTTAGAGTCATGCAGAAAATATAGGATAAGGGATAAGAATGACTTTTTTATATGAAAAATAACACTTGTAATATTTATATTGCAACTATATCTACAATTATATAATTACACATTGTTATAAATTTTGATCACCTACAATTTCTAAATTGGTATGTCTTATATTTCTAAATATAACTATTTTTCTAAAGTTTTTATCTCTCTCTGTTGCTTCCTATGTCAACAAGTTAAAATTTCATACTTTATAACATCCACTTATTTGTTCATTTGTATTATCTTTTGCCAAACAGTAAAGTAAAATGAATAAAAGTGCAAACTCAGGAGTCACAATTCATTTGTTCAATTCCTGGCTTACTAGCTATGTGACTGTAGATAAGTTAGTTCACCTCATCCCCCTTTTTTCCCTCTCAGCTTCCTTATCTGTGAAATGGGGATAATAATAGCACAAACCTTGTAGAGTTATTTCAAAGTAGGAAATGACAAAAAGCACATAAAACACCTGGCGTAATATCTGGCATAAAATGATTCCAACTATTTATATGATTGATAGGTACCAATGCAATGTGAAAACTCTCCATTGAATTTTTTATTTTAATTATTTCATCTTTATTTCAATTTGGTAAATATTTGTCTCATCTTTGGTCATTATACTTTTCATCTACATTAATTTTTTTGAAACTAATGTTATATTTACTTTCCTGATAAGTTCAAAATCTTCATTTTCTACAGGCTTCATTCTGAAGTTTATGTTTTTCTTTCTTTTCTTTCCACTGACTCTTCTTCTTCTTCTTCTTTTTTTTCTTTAGAGAAGGAGGTCTCACTTTGTTGCCCACGTTGAAGTGCCATGGCATGATCATGGTGCTCACTGCCACCTTGATCTCTGGGCTGAAGCAGTCCTCCCACTTCAGCCTCCTGAGTAGCTGGAACTACAGGTGTGAGCCACCACACCCAGCTAATTTTGTTTTTCTTTTTCTTTTCTTTTTTTTGAGATAGAGTCTGTTTCTTTCACCCAGGTTGGAGTGCAGTGGTGCAGTGTCAGCTGACTGCAACCTCTGCCTCCCAGGTTCAAGTGATTCTCCTGCCTCAGCCTCCTGAGTAGCTGAGATTACCGGTGCCCACCACCACACCAGCTAATTTTTTTTAATTTCTAGTAGAGACAGGGTTTCACCATGTTGGCCAGGCTGGTTTCGAACTCCTGACCTCAAGTGATCCACCCACCTCGGCTTCCCAAAGTGCTGGGATTACAGGCGTGAGCCACCACGCCCGGCCCCCAGCTAATTTTTAAATTTTCTATAGAGGAAGGTTCTCATCATCTTGTCCAGGATGGCCTCGAACTCCCATCTCAAGCAATCCTCCCATCTCCAGCCTCCCAAAATGCTGGGATTATAGGCGTGAGCCACTGTGCCCAGCCACTCTTCCTAATTGAGCTCTGTTTTTCCCGTTTGTTAGTATTTTTACTAAGTCCTGTTTGTATGGTAATTCTATTTGTGGTATTATCTTAAGTCTGTTTTTTCATAAATAATTTTCATTCTGATAGTTGCAGAGGGGACAGGACCCAAAGGGCAAAATTTTAAACACATTTTTAAACATTGGTTTTAAAAACTAATTACTGTGATTGTTTTCCAAGCATAGGAGGAGAGAATGCGAAGAGTGTGAGAAAAGGTATTTTAGTGAAAACAGTGTGAATTTGAACTCCAGGTCAACATGAGCTCAAATTTATGATTAGTTACTTGCAGGGAAGATTTTTTTTCCTGCCCTATTCAGAACTACAGCAGGAAGAAGGAGACAGGCCACCATTTCCTAAAGTGAGACAGTCTCTCCACCCTGCCTCGATCTGCGGAAGCTGTTGTCTTCTAGATGCCTCCATTTTATAGGAAGACCTCCCTTCTAACTTAGCCTCTATGCAACAACACATCATATGCTCCTACCTTGCCCCTCAGTGATCCAAATGGTGCGGCCACACCCAAAAGATACACATAGCTTTGTTCTTGAAGCACCACCTTGATTCTGCTTTGCAGCTTTCAGCTATCTATCAAGAACACTGTACTTCTCTTTATTTTGAACTATTTTAACTTTTCTTTCATCCAGGTTTTACAGCCCTGTTTTTCTGTACCGTTTTAAAAACAGCTTTATTGAAATATAATTCACATGCCACAAAACTCACCAAATTAAAGTGAACAATTCAACAGTTTTAGCATATTCATGCGTTGTGTAATCATCATCAATCTAATTTTAGAAAGTCATCCCCCCAAAAGAAACCCTAAATCCATTAGCAGTTACTCCCCATTCCTTCTCACCAAAGATAGTAAGCTGGTAATCTACTTTATCTACAGATTTGACCATCCTGGACATTTCAAATAAATGGAATCATACAATATATGGTATTTTGTGATTGTCTTCTTTTACTTAGCTTACTGTTTTTTGAGATTCGTCTCTGTATCAGTACTTCATTGTTTTTACTGCTAAATAATATTCCATTGTATAGATACATCATAGTTGATTGACATTTATATTATTTCCACTTTTTGACTATGATAAATAATGCTATTATTAACATTTCACTTAATAGCTAAGAAATCATTTCCTAAGCCCAAAATCATAAAGAAATATCATTACTTAATTACTTAAAGTCACAAAGACTTACTCCTAAATTTGCTTCTAAGAGTTACCATACTTTTTTATTTCATACTAACTAAGAAGTAGCTACTCTGAGCAATCATTGGGTAAAGACTTCTTTTCTTTATAAAATGTTTGTCTATTTGCTTAGAAGAATCTAAGGGCTAATCAAATAACACAAACAAAAATGTCACAAAATCACTTTTTCTAGAAAGAGAATTTTACATAGTACTCCAAAGTAGAAATTTAATATAGAGTAACCAGTTTTGAACGAACAAAATCAATACTAATAAACAGGCTTTCAACAGGATTATTAGTATTCATAGGTTCTATCATGCAAATGTTATTAGAATTCAGAAAATTTGAATAATTCGGCAAAGTTTAATAAAAATAATCCTTCGTTTGATTTTTATGGTTTGTTACACATATGGATGATGAGATTAAATTTCAATATACTCTTTATAAGTAAAGCAAGCCTATTTTCCCATGAAACAGGATACAAACGTAAGTTTCTATGTTCAAAGTTTAAACAAAAATGATGATTGGACTTGAGTAATGTTGCTTTTACCTTTATTACTACCAAACCCTCTGTGTACCCTTCAAATAAAATGCAGTTAGAGATTTTACCTTAAATGGGGACAGAATCAGACTCACTCTCTTTTCCTCAATTTTAAACTGGGGAAAAATCAAACCAGACTTAAACTGTCTAATTTATTACGTTGCATTTACTTGGTATGTAATTTAGCTATTCCCTGGATTATTTCTCTCTGAATTGTCAGTTCTACTCAAGCTTTCAATGCAACAAGTCTGAGCCCCACATTCCCTGCTGCTGCATGTGGTGGACATAAAAAAATATAATGTCTTCTCATTTCTACATAAAGATGTATTGGGAAAATTCAAAGTAGGAAATAACAGAAAATTAGAATACTATCAAATACAATCACTACAATGAATTTTTCCAAAGTTAATATAATGTATAAATTTTATGATCAGTGATGCATAATAAGAATACATATTTTGAAAAAGAATTTTAGTAGAACATATATCGTGGAATAGTAAGAATGAAATGACTATGACATCTATGTTCACCCTTATAGCATCCAGTATTGCTCTTCTTTTTTAGTTGTCTCAGACTAATGTGGTAGATGTACAATTTTCTTTAAAAGATTGGCCAGAATAGGCCAAGCGCGGTGGCTCACGCCTGTGGTCCCAGCACTTTGGGAGGCCGAGGTGGGCGGATCACGAGGTCAGGAGATCCAGACCATCCTGGCTAACACGGTGAAACCCCGTCTCTACTAAAAATACAAAAACAAAACAAAACAAAACAAAAACAAACAAACAAAAAAGAAAAACAAAGATTGGCCAGAATACGAAAAGTAAATAAATACTTAACATAAAATTTTGAGAACTCAGGCTTCTATAATACATCTGTTTCAGTGTGAGACATTCCTAATGAATGATAATTGTCTGACTTCAGTTTGTGGGCTCTTATTTTGAACTACACACCACTTAACATTCCGCTAGTCAATTTTGGGAATATAGACTGTTATTAATTTTGGAGAGAAATAGTGATTTTAATTGACATATGTTTTTCAAATACGATTTTCGTACCCATATGACATCACTTTTCAAAATAATCCTGGCAAGGAAACATTTTGACAGCTCTAAGGAGCTGCTTCTCTTTTGCATAACAAACAAAACAAAAACTAAACCAACCAAAAATCACTTATAGTTTATAATAATAAATAGGAAAGGAAAAAGTTAATATAGAAAATATGTTTAATAGGCCAGAAGGGGCATGTGTGTTTAATTCTTGAGAGGATGCTATCGGGCAAATGCACATAAATTTCGCATTTCTTACAGTGCAGTGGAAATTTCCTCTATGCTCCATATGATTAGATGACAAGACAGTGTTCTACTAAATGCCTGTTCTACTAAATTTTATAACATCTCTCACTGCATATAACTCAGCTGAGTCATAGAAAGCACCTATTATCATCATTATTATTAACTTCCAAAACTGCGTGTTTCATTGGAAATACTTTTGGAAAATTTAAACTACTTTACTGTCAGTATTAATTTTGAATTTATAAAACCTTTTTAAACTTATATAAGGAAATGATTTTTTTATCTCTAGGGAACAAAACGAATTCAATATTTTAAGATTTCTTCAATGAAAATTTAAACGTCTGTCAGTGACTGTATAATCAAGATATTTTAAAAAGTGACGAATAATATGTATATTGACATGTAAATAAATATCCTTAGATTCCTAAATATGAATTCAGTAGCAAATAAGGACGAGAAAGAGAATTGGAAATGATGTACCATAAAGGTTGTAATATTTTATAAATTGTTACAAAAAATGCTGGAAATTATAAAAAGATGTCTAGGGAAATGCATACTTTTCACTTTGAAAGGAACTAGCATCAGAAATATGAGACTCTAGTTCTGCAACATATAATTAGATTTTCACATTTGAATAATTTAGAAAAAGCTTTTCAAAAACCAGAACAGACATTTATAATTAGTGGATAGAATTCCAATTTTTTTTCTACATTACACATAAATGTACATTAGATTCCTTTAGGCTTTTTGCTATTGTATATTTTAAATCTTTAAAAAACCCTGCAAACTATTTTAAAAATACAAAATGAGTAAAAATAAGTACTATTATTATGATTATTATGACAACGTAAGTTACATTGTTTAGTGTTTGAAAAAACATTACCAATGTTGTATTTAATACTAAAATTGTATTTTTTTCTACGTATTTTATTTGTCAAATCAAACTTTTGCTTTTGAGAGTAAAGAATCATCAATTTAATAATTATCATTGTCATTATAAGCACTTTTTCCTTTATATGAGAAACTTGTAAGCACTAGACTATTAATTGATGAAACAATTAACTTAGTGGAATGTCTCCAAATGCAAAAGTAAAAACAAAATATTGCTTATTTAAAAACTCTTCTCTAAATTAATAAAGCATTTCTAATGACAGGGAGAACATAAAATCTACTCAAGAAACAACTATAATATTGAAAATTATTTCTATGATGGTAAAACTATTATAAAACCTTTTTTATGCAGTGTTTGATGATATTAGATCGCTACATTTAATTAAAATATTATTTACATATTAAGCGTACTCTATTTTCCCATAAACCATTAAAATTAAAATGATAAATTACCAGATTATTTTCCTGATATCAAATAGAAATGTCAGTGTATTAAATTCCTTAAATAATCACAGCCTGAATCTACAGAAATCTTTTTCAACTGCAATTACTACTACAAATAAGAAACATCAATTGAAAAATAGATTTTTATGGAATATAGTGATAGGTGAAAATATAGGCTCTGAAATCATGTAGTAATACACTGTTTTAATGTAGTCATCTAGATTATTTCAAATGTGATTATTGTTTTAGAATAGCAAGGATGAAATAAAAACAAATATTCTCAAACACACTTCACGAATAGCAAAAATATATTCATGAACTTTCATTTAAGAACCATAAAATATGATGAATGTTTGCATGCCTACCAAATATTTGTCTAAAATTACTTAGATATCAATCATCACTCTGGTTGAAAATTTTTAGAATGGTAAATGACACTGAGGAGAGCAAAATCTCTATATACACAGACAACCTAGAAACTGTAAACTAGGGAAATTCTCAAATATTTCAAGGTTGACTGTGAAAAGCAGCTATGCAAAAAAATGGGGCCTATAAAAGCAGCAGTAAAGAAGAAAATAATTGTTCTAAACATGCTATGGATAAAAGGCCACTGGTGAAAAATATTTTCAATGGGAAATATTAAAAGAGTTTGTTAGTTGAAAGCAAAATTTTAATATATTATTTGAAAGAGTTTATTTTCTTCAATTTCCTAGTTCATCTGAAGTCAATTGCAGTATATGACTGGTAAGTTAATAACTCATTATTATTATTATAGATGCTTAATACTTTAAAATAATCCATCACTTGCTAGTTGATTTGCCTTGTCTAATTTATTATACATATTATATAAATTAGGCTCAATATTTTAAAAAATTTCTTCCATTTTTCCATGTCAATTATGTCTCTTTACAACACTGTTGTAGAAGATTTAAAATTTTAGAGAATAAAGAAATTTTAAAAGCAGTTTGTGGTAGAAATATATTTTTTAAAAATGTATCATTATAAGTTGCAAATTTAATTAAAATGGTATTCCGGTTTAAATTTAAAAAAATTACTTTTTAAGCAAAATAAAACTGTAATATTCAGTGAGACTCTGATAGGGATTCAGTGAATCTAGGAATTTTAATATTTCAAACACTGATAGTCATATTTTATATTGTTTGACACATTATGATCTTTTCAAAATTATTAAGATTTCCTAACTTCGACACTCTTATTTTATTATAAGGAATGAATCCTACAGACATCATCATTGTTGTGACATCATTGTTGATAAAAACAAAGATTTCTTTTTCTGGAGACAAAAAGTATACCAGTTTTATCAGGGCACAAGACCCAAGCCAATGGCATCAGAGATTTATTCTGGGAATTTGACCTTGCACCATGCAGGAGCTGGCGACCACACCATGCACGCTGTTGTCTCTGCATCCGATGGTGTATCTAGAATCATTATGTGTCATCAGTATCTGCACTTAAGAAGAAAAACTGGACATGAAATGATGGGTAGCTCAGTATACAGTGGAACCCTTGAGGATAACCTTGGCAGTGATATCATCTCATCCAACTCGAATCTACAGTCACCTGCTTGACCATTTCACCATAGGGCAATACGTGTACCTGGTTCAAGATGTATAGAGGTTACAGGAGAGCATTTAGTGAGAGAAGAAGTAGCTATGGGCCTGGAGAACCCAGTCCCCACCCTGACTCATACCCTAAGAAGGTAAAGAAGCAGATTACTGAAGATACGTGCAAACTGCAGCAGCACCTGACCCCTTCTCCAACCTTCAGAACTTAACTTCTGTTGAACAATCTCACATACATTTTTCTCGTGGCTAATCCAACCCCAGAACAATGCAGGACGAAGAATGGTGGGAAATGTAGTAAGAATTTACTTGGGGTAACACAGCTCAAAACCAACATAGAGTAATGACTTTTATAATTGATAAACCATTAAGTATAGTATGCCTTAAACATATGATAGAGTAATGTACAACTGTTTAAATTGTTTTCAAAGATTATTTTTAATAGGAAAATATTTGCCATACATTCACTAGTGAAAAAAAGATCATATAATTAAAGATGTAATGTAATGAAGAGAATTTAGTTGAGTAGAAGATGAAAATACTGTCATGGTAAAAGCATTTATTACGACATGATAGAATGGGGCAGGGTGCGGTGGCTCACACCTGTAATCTGAGCACTTTGTGAGGCTGAGGCAGGAGGATCACTTGAGGTCAGGAGTTCGAGACTACCCTGGCCAACATGGTGAAACCCCATCTCTACTAAAAATACAAAAATTAGCCAGGCGTGTTGGCAGATGCCTGTAATCCCAGCTACTTGGGAGGCTGAGGCAGGAGCATTACTTGAACCTGGGAAGCAGAGGTTGCGGTGAGCCGAGATGGTGCCACTGCACTCCAGCTTGGGCAATAAGAGCAAAACTCTGTCTCAAAAAAAAAAAAAAAAAAAAAAAAAAAAAAAAAAAAAAAAAAAAAAAAGACGACAGAATGAGAAATAATTTTTAAATGTTTTCTTTTAATTATTTTATATTTGCAAGTAAGCATATTGAAAATGTATTAGGTAGAAAGAGTAAAAACCAAATCAATGATATTTTATACTTTATTTTAAAATTTACTTCAAATCTCCATTTCATTGATGGAGACCATTTTGGTATGAGGATGACCAATTTGGTATAAAGATATTTCTTTCCTAGTATAAATGTCATATGTACAATTTTCTAAACTGTTTAACCTTTCTTTTGGCTACTTTTATATATTTCATTTACTATCAGTTTCTACATTTGTCCAAACATCTATTTCTAGGAAACATGTCTGAGGTTGCAAAAACAGACCCATTCTCAACTTTGAAGGTTTATTGCACTGAAACTCTTACAACCATGGCAGTATTCATCAATGCAAGTATTTCCATTCAAAATTCAGCTTGGCTTCTCTATTTCAACTGTAGAGTTACTTTTTTTTTTTTATTCTGAAGAAGCCTAATCTATGTCTGCTTCTCCTTTATGCATTCTTCAAATGTATTTGCTAATTTCAAAATGTAACAATACCTTATAATATTTACTGTTATGACTAACATAATGTATACAGGTTAGAATACTTTTCGAATCACTTAAATAATATTTATTATGCATTTTTAGGCCAATGTTATAACAATAGAAACAAATTGAGCCAAAGTTTTACCTTCCATCTAATCTACGATTACTTTAGAAATGTGGTATATTTTATACTGTATATTTAAGGCTTATTATTAATTTTTGTCTGCTTACTATTATGGTAGATAAATAAATGAATAAATGCCAAAAGAAAGAATGAGCATTATATTCTCTCTCTGAAGATCAGTTCTTATCTAACCTTTCATTGTTTTGTGGGTATTTTAGTTATAATCTATACGCTATAACATATATGAATTGAATTTTAAATAATATGTAAGTGCACTTTATTTTGCATCCATTACCTAGGAACTTACCTTTTTTACATTTAATAAAATAACTTGAATTTTGGTAGATGCTGATTAAGCTCATTTTTTACCTCTTCGTTGTGGTTGCCTGCATATTATTTATATGGACTGGGCATTGTTCTCAAAGCTTTGCATGTATTAAGTCACTTAAAACTAAAAAATTCTTATTTCTTAAATCTAGTTCTATTATAACATGTATGTGTTAATGGTCCAGGGAAGAAAGGAATGCAGACACGTTTGTGTATAACCTAGGACCGCGGTCTTGTGCTTTACACAAGGAAGTAAAGCAATTTGCTTGGTCATACCTAATGCTTCCAGAGGATACCCACGGAACTAGTTTGGCTCAGAGAAGTCTGTTGGGGGAAAATTAGCTAAGGCATTAATCACCCGGCTCCTTTCTTACTAGTGTCTGCCATTGGTTAAAGTTCAATCAAAAGCTGTTACCTCTCTGCAGTTCCTAATTGAGCAGCCCAACCCCTCCAGACGTGCGCGTGCTGTGGGACACATTTCTCCACGGCTTCGGTGGGATTGGTCCTGGGCACAGGAGCTGCTGCACATTCCACTGGAGCAGGTGCAACAGAGCCACGTTAACCTCAACTACTGCCCTAGGAGTTATGATGTTAAGAGGTGAGGCTACATCCATGGTGGTCAAGGCTCTCCAAGTAGCATGTGCTACAACCCCACAGGTAGCCAAGATCAAGAATTTGGGTGAAGGAAGTACAAACACTGTGAGATACACCCTATGACTTATGCCTCTCTGATACACTTGTATCCTCTAATAATATCCAGATGTTCTTACCTATTTCCAATGGGGGAAAGACCCATGTGTAACCTTTCAAAAATAGCCACTTGCAGTCCCCCAAAAAGATTGCCTAACCGAGTTATGGCTTCTGTTTCTGTACTCAGTGAAAGAGTAATTAATATGGATCGTCTCCCACCATCACCACCTACTATAGATCTCCCTCACCCGGGCCAACATTTTCCTTCGTCTTGCCTAGGAAATTTTCAGAAATCCTGGTAATGTCAGAGCACTTATTTGCTGGGCCATGGTTACATCAACTTCACATTCCTCCTAGAATCCTCTAAGGTCTTTGATGGTTTTTCTACCCTTCCTCCATCGTGCAGTATCAACCCTAATTCCTTAGTGTAAGCAAGGTCAATTAACCTAACAGTACAGGGAAACCCAGTTCACAACTGTAGATTCCTGGTATCATTAGCAAGTGTCAGCCCTGTACCTCACATTGCTCAAAAAGATCTGGTTACTCCTTTTTCTCCAGAGAACTGTTAACCTGGCATATGGACACAGGTCTTTTGGATAAGGAATGGAACAATATTAACCACGTATATTGAGATGACATTTTACGACCCTTTCATAATAATTTCAGTCTCCTTTCAATCAGTGAGCTCTGTGTCTATGATTGTCCTAGGTATGGAAAAATGTATGAGGATCTGTGACCACCCTTAGTGGAGACTGAGCTCAATCTTCTCTTTGAAGTAATCATTTTTTTACATTATGCAACTAGAGAAAAACTCTAGTCAGTTATCTTTCTTGTCTTTCAGAACACTACACTCAAGATCTATTTATTAGCCTTTGCCATATATTTCTATAGACTAATGAACTCTGAGTATACTTTGACTTCGCTTCACATTAAGATAATTGCATCCACTATGTCAGTGCCAATCAAGTGCTGCCACCTGGCTTCTGTCATTGTACAAGCAATATTAAGGAGCCCAATCCTACGTAGCATCGCCAACTACGAGAGAGAAGGCACGAAAACACTTTTCACAGATAATAGCATCTTTGCCTTCATCGCAGATCATAGTGCTTTAGTGAAGAGACTGCTCATTGTATTCTCCTAGAGAACATATTCAAGTGGTGAATATTCAGCATTCGATTCTGGGGTTGCCATTTCTCTGAGTGTTAGGATCCCTCTTCTCAACCTGATGTACTGCGCTCATAAAAGTTTTAGAATCTCCACAACATTAAATGAAGGTTAATTCTTTGTACCTGGTCTCAAAAAGCAGCAAAATATGACCAGCTGCTCAATTCCAGAGTTTCCCACCAGAACATTGATACCATGTCCTAAGTTAGTGCCAGCTTATCAAGGAATTCTCCCCTATCTGCCTTATTTTCTGTCCCTATCATCTAACACTCTCAAGAACTATTCCCCAAAATGTTTTCTTACTTTCTTCAATTATTTGGTCCTTAAACTATTTCTTTCCAAAGCAGACTTTGTACTGCCAAGCTCTGGCTGTGCAGAGAATTGAACCTGTTATTTTCCTGAAGACAGAAAAGGGTAGTAAGTGTGGATATTGAGGTGAATTAGTATTGCCCTGTGAGGTAAATGCTCTGGTTGTGATGGTCACAGAGTCTTATAGACAAGGGAAGCTGTTCTCCTCTTGACAGGGGGATTGGGATGCTTCTGCAAGCCAGGAAATTTCGAGGATTGGGGGAGTTAAATATTCCCAAACTCATCCACTCATATCCCAGCTTACAGGCTCCCGCTCTTTGTACTACAGTCTTAAATTTTGCAGAAAGCATTACACTTTACCTGAGTTGTTCTGCTACATCCTGGGCTTGATTTCAACACCGAATTGCCCGTAGTTTGGGGATACAATAATCTCTTTGAAACTCCTTTAAAAATCTCTGACTTTTAGGACATGTCTTAAATTGAAGATTAAGTTCCCTGAGCATATTATTTTCTGATTTTTCAAGATCTGTAATGTCATAAAAAACAATCACCCACACCAAAATTCATCTACGTTTCATAACCTTTAAATCCACAAAAGCAACATCCACTTGATCATCTAATAACTTGTCTTTTACCTGTACCTCATAACAATTTAAAAAGTTGAAAGCTTTAATAATGGGTTATGTTATAGCATGCCACAATTTTAGGCCTCATTTATAGAAAGCAAGGGGATTCTTGTTACATCCAGATAGGTAAACTATCCAGTCCTAAAGCCCTTTGTGAGTGCTTTGCTTTCAGGGCCATTCCTGGTACTGTTTTACTTTGGGTTCCCTAAAAGAAAAGAGCAAGAGAAAAATCCATACTTTATGTCTTTGAATACAATCCCAGGTCAACCAAGGAGGGGAAAAGAAGAATGCACCAGGGAAGAAAAAAAAAAGCAAATTCAAATAAGTGCCTTACTAAAGCACCCAGCCTCTTAAAATATGGCTAGTTATTTGAACACATGCAGAGGATTTATGGAAAGAACTAGGGCACCTCATCCTTAGCTGTTACAGAGAAGAAATGTACATATGGCACTCTGGATTCTCCCTGTTCCCCTTCATTTAACTGACAAAGTTCATTCCGTCATGCACCAACTTTCCCTCTCATCTATATTGAGTTACAATGCTGCTCTGGGCAGTAGTGGCAGAAACAAGCGGTTCTGTGGTTTGATATTGCTGGACCTGACGGCTGGAAATGCCAGGGCTCCTGCCAATATGGGCAGAAAAGAAGTTGTGCCAAAGCCCAGCCCTTACTCCATGGGGGACGCTAAAACAGCCAGCAGTGTTAAATAGAATACCATGTAATCAAACTTTCAAATGTGGGCACCTCTGAGCTTAAAAAGGGTTACTGTTAATTATGATAAGTATAATAGTTATACTAAGGATGCTGTAATAATCCGTGACTGTTCTGGTTAAATTGGGACACCTGATCATCCTTAGAAAATGAGGCAACTGGCTGGGCGTGGTGGCTCACGCCTGTAATCCCAGCACTTCGGGAGGCCGAGGCAGGTGGATCACAAAGCCAAGAGATCGAGACCATCCTGTCCAACATGGTGAAATCCCATCTCTACTAAAAATACAAAAAATTAGCTGGGCATGGTGGTGCACACCTGTAACCCCAGCTACTTGGGAAGCTGAGAAAGGAGGATCACTTGAACTCAGGAGGTGGAGGTTGCAGTGAGCAGAGATCGTGCCATTGCACTCCATCCTGGCAACAGAATGAGACTCCATCTCAAAAAACAAAAAGAAATAAAGAAAGAAAAAGAAAATGAGGCAACTACCTGTGTAGTCAGGTATCTTATTAATGACATAGCTAGAACTCAGAGGCAAATGGAGTCAACTAAATCTTGTAAGTGTATACATGGGTTTAGCACACAATGTGAAGTAGGTACTATTAATACCCACTTTTGTAAATAGGAAAATTAATTCTAGTATTGTATTATAGATTATGGAATTTGTTGGAAGCACCATAAATCTTACCCTTCTCATCCTATTTCAAAATCAATTGGCTGATAAGAGTAAAAGAACAAGCAGATGAAGAATAAGACTATAATATGGATAGAAGGTGATACTCGAGAATTTCGCTTAAGTGTATAACACTTTTGTATTTTAAGTACTTTGTGTCAGAATTAGATTTCACTAAGTACAAGTCCCATAGATGCAGAGCCCTCGTCACTAACATGATAGCATGCTTGAGAGCAGTTGAAAGTGTTTTGCTTTTCTTAGAGATGATCCCAAAGGAGAATGGTTGATCGATAAGACTGATAAATCTTGCCAGCTTCTTCATCCCAAAGCCACCAATCAGATAAATCACTCTGTGTTGCCCAGGGAGAGAAGTGTGTGAGCAGACTGATAGTATCCAAGACTGTATTCCAAGGAAGCTCTCTATACATGGAAGATAACATCGGGAATGAGATCCTCCAGAAAGATGTGTTCACACATGTTTAATAAAATTTCCTTATTACAAAAATTGCTATGAGATTCAATACATAAGTACTTTCTACATATTACAGAAGTAATAACGTTTTTATCAGTGGAATTTTTGGACAGAAGTGGATGCATATTTTTAATGAGAATACATAATGCTAAGTGTATTATAAAAAGGTTGTGCCAATTCATACTCTTCACAAAAGAGAGACACTTAAAATATTTTACAATTACTAGGATATAGGCACTGCCCAATCAGAACAGATGCTGTTATCAATTGGAAAATATGGCCAAACTGGTATATTCTATCCAAATATCAGCCTTGTACCAAGAGTACACAAAAACGACAATTTCCTCCACTCAACCGTCAATGCAGGATATTATCTAACATTTTGATTTGTTGGCATTATAACAGAGGGAAAATGTTATCATTGTTATTTGCTTTGCATATCTTTAAGTGGGAATAAGTGGGCATATTTTGGAATTTCACTTGGTATTTATTTTTAATTCTCCAACATGTACCTCATTTGTCCATTATTTTCTTTTGTATATATTTGTATTTTAAACATTAATTTATGAACTCCTGGGAAATTAAGGGACTCAGACTAATGTCCTTCATACATGTTAATATCTTTTTTCATATAAATATTTACTTTTAAATGTTTTATAAAGAGTTCTTGCCGGAGAAGATTTTCAAACTTTTTCCTTTTATTTCACTTAGTCACATTTTAAATATATTCCTTACTGCTTCTTGGCTTTCTGTAGAGGGTTTTCTCAACTCTATGATTAAAAATAAACTCAAATATCTTATTGTGTGTATATATATATATATATATATATATACACACACACACGTGCATATACATATTTATAAGCTTATACATGTGTATGTATGTGTGTGTATAAGCTGATCCATGTGAAATACATTCTGTTGTAAAGACTGAATTAGCGATCCAACACTTTATTCAAAGAGCTTGTAACATGTCCCATAACGATTCACTGAATATTTCATCTTTTTCACTAATTTGAAGTACTTACTGAATTTATTATTCACAAAATATTCATAAATAGCTTTATTTATAGAGTCATATTTTATTTCTGCTCTATTTACCAAATTCCTACAGTGGTAGTCATAGTTCCCAGAAATATTCATGTATTTGCTCTTTGATCTACCCCACAACAAAAAAGAACGTTTTAAATTGCTATACCCATACCACCATTCACAACACGTATATTAAATACATCTCAAGATTTTTTTGCAATTATTTTTACATATCCTACTAAGGGTGAGTAATTGTAGTGCTGTGTTTTTAAGTTACCTACATTAACTCCCTGTATTTGTAGTTAGGTTATCAGTTTGACATAGAGTTAGGTATTTTTCTGTTTTTAAAGTATTTAATCTCCTTTTAACTTTAGTTTACATTTTAAATAATTAATTTTTGAACACGGGCATCATTAGCAGATGTTAAATCAGAACTACCTTCTGCTCAATTTTCACCTACATTCTTAATAAGCATTCTTGTTAGTTTCACATTAGGCTTTCTCTTTCTCTGCTATTTTTATCTCTCTTTTTTTGTTGTTGTTGTTGCAAAAGCAAATGAATGCATTTAACTATATTTGATTGCTTAATAATATTCTGCACCTTGCTATTTTTCACTCCACATTAGCTGATTATACTGATTAGAGCTTCCTAATTTTTTTTTTACTGCTGCACAGTACTCCATTGTGTGCATCTGAACCTAGGGTCTTCTCTGCATGGGGGTCCAGGTGTTTTCCAATATACTGACATTACAAATTCTGCAACAATAAATAGGTACTTGTGGGTGTTCCCCCAATATTACAAAATAGAAGCTTGGAATTTTACCTATATGTGAAGTGTCTGTGTCAAAGGTCAAATGTATATGTCTTTGTGCTGGTTGGGGCCACATTTTCTTCTGTGAAAGTATTCCATTTAGCATTCCTATAAGTCTTGCATAGGAATGAGAGAACCTCATTTCCATAGCTGTCTCCACAACTCTTCAATTTCTTGTGAAGCTGTAAACACTTTTGCAATATAGTAGGTAAAAACTTTTATATTAATGTAGTTTTATTATTTTGCACTTTTCTTATAATGCTCGAAATTATGCTAAGGGCTATTTGTATGAAATGTCTATTCATGTTCTTTACTCGTTTGCTACATTTTTTTTTCTTGATTCTAAAAAAGAAATATTTATGTTAGGAAGGTTTGTTTTGTTTTGTTTCTGACTTCTTATATCCAGTGTTGCTGTTGAGTTGCCTGATGCTTTTTTGAATCATGTCACTTTTTGGGTGGTTTGTTCTTTTTCTCTGAAAGTTTTACAAATGTGTTAATGTTCTTAAATTTAACTAAAATTTGTTTGCTTGTGTGATTTTTCTTCTCTTCTTTTTGGCATTCTATGAGTCTTTTAAATGGAAATTTAATTTTTCTTAAATTATGGATAACTTATTACCATATTTCTTGAAGTACCTCCTTATCTGTATGTATCATATTTTTCTTCAAAATTCTTATTTTCTGGTTTCATTTATTTAAACTATATTAATATTCTTTATTCTCTCTTATTGCCTTCGAAAGTGTTCCTTTTTCCAGTTTAACAGTTAATTTTGCAGCAAAATCTGTTCCACGATTTTCTCATCTATTTTGTCTTTCACTTCAACAAATACATTTCCTCTCTAATATTTCCATAAGCCTTCTTGTTCTCGATTATACTGCTAATGTCTTCCCTTATTTCTCTAGGTACATTTATTCTACTATTTTAAATTCTTAGTTCACATGTTTCAGTAATTTTGTGTCAGATGATACCAATTGTTTTAGTCTGTGTTCTATTTTTCCAAGAGTTTTACTTCTCAGGCAGGGGGTCTCTTTATAGCCCATGAGCTTCTCCTCTCCTAGACATGGCAGCTCTGGTTTCTACGAAGGTATTATATTTCAGAAAATGTGAAGCCAGAACTACCGTTTATGTTGAGTTTAAAAATAAGGGTATGTTTATGGGGAAAAGCGGGAAAGAGTCCCACTGAAGAATTTCCCAGACACTAGAGAAGACTGCTCATCTCTCCCTTCTGCAGCCACCTCACCAGTGTATTTCCTCTGGTCCCAGGTTTCACCTTAAAAACTCTCAGGGAGAACAGCTGTCAGATGAAGAATAAAGGGATGATGGTCCCTGCTTGTCTCCTCTGTCCCTCTCTGTTGTCATCCACTCCTGGCCCCAATGTAGACTGTGTACACCTCTGCCTGTGAAACATTGCCTCTGTAGCCTGAGCTGTTGCCATCCATTTCTGCAGCACTGAGAAGAGGCAGTGGCACAACCTGAAAAGCTTTCTCTTGCATTTTCTCACTGCTTCCTCCAGCTCACACTGCCCTGTGCGGCAGCCAACCACCCCACACTCACCCCAATGCGATACCACTTTCAAGTTTATGGGAAGGGGGGGCCCTCCAAAACTCATATTGAAATTTCATCTCCAATGTGGTGGTGTTGATAGGTGCAGCCTGTAAAAGGCAACCGGATTGTGAGGGCAGAGTCACTCATGGACCAATGAAATAATGAGTTATCATGGGAGGCAAACTGGTGGCTTCATGAGAAGAGAGACCTGAGCTAGCACAGGTCATGCTCAGCCCCTCTCCATGTGATGCCCTGCGCTGCCTGGAGATGACCCAGAGAGACCCTGCCATGAGGAAGACTCTCACCAGATGCACTCGCTTGACCCTGTACTTCACAGCCTCCATAACTATAAGAAATAAAGTATTTTTCTTTATAAATTACCCAGTTTCAGGTGTTCTGTTGTAAGCCATAGATAATGGCTAATTTTGCTCATTATTGTGATTCAATTTCCTTCTTCCTTTGTCATTTCTGTATGTTGATTTTGAAGTAAAAGAACAGTAGCTCATGATGGCTTATCTTTTTAAAGAAGTAGAAGCCACTTCTTATATTTTTCTTTCTTGACTAATTGTTGTGGGTTGTGACTGGCTGGGGCTAGCATTGCGGACAGTTAAAGAATTTACCAAAACAGCACTGAGTTAAAGAAAGCAAATTTATTAGAAAAAAAGTAAGACGATATGTTGCAAGAGTGCAATGGGTCATACAGCAGAGAAGGGGCTGTCTGCAAAGAGGCAGGGGCTGGAGGGAAGTTTTATAGGGTCGTGCTGGAGCTGCTACATGCAGATAGGGTAATGCTGCTGGGATTACTTGGCAGAGTGAGGTATTTGAGAACAGAATGTTGTGCAAACAGGTTGTTCATAGTTAGCCTTCTGTCAGAACAATTGTTCTCCTCCACCCTGGGGCCCCCTCCTCATTCTCACTACCTTGTCTTATCAAGACTCCACATTTCTCCTCAACCAACAACGGAACAAAAATGATGAATTTTTGGCACTGGGGCAAAGTTCTCATCTCCAGTGGCTGCCTTCTGGCCTGGAGCATAGAGTTGACCCTACCTGTGGTTGTTGGTCTGTCAGGAGACCCTGTGGGTCATTGTCCTGAATTGTAGAACTTAGGATATTGGATCTTGCTGGAGGAAGGGACTCAAGGGTGAGTGGGTGGGGGATTTCAAGGTGAAACTGGTGTTCAGCTGAATCCAGGGGAAATTCATAAAGGTAGCGGACATCATTGAGGAGAGACTGATATCCTATTCACAGCATCATTTGAAGGTTAAACTGCTGAATTCTAGAAGAGACAAATTTGACAAGTAAGTTGAAGACGCACAGGCCAAAATGGGATCATAGGTGGCCCCTGACCTAGTATGTGAAGGGGAGAAGGGCCTCTGATACAGACAAGACCCTGGAAAATGACATCCAGGGTTGGGATGTTGTGGGAAAGTGAGGGATAAGGAGCAGATAGAGTAGGTGTAATTGAATGTAAAGGTGGTTCGTCAGGGGAAGAAGGTGTGTCCTCAACTGGCCCAGCCAGTTGGGGAGAATGAGAGAGAATGAAAGAAGGGTTGTCTAAAATGGCAGAAGAGTCAGTGGGGCCAGAGAACTTGGCCAAGCACGTTTGACAGGTTTGGTGGAGATCAGGATCCCAAGAAAAAGTCATGAAAGGCTGGACATAAGAAACTTCAGACGATTCAGAAGAGTTGCAACAGAAGAAGTTAAGCTAAAGAATATTGTTGGTGGTGTGGTTCCTACCTGGAGACCAGGATTGCTGATGCAGAAGTTTATAAAGTGGCTGTGCTGTATTGCACAAGAAAATTAGATGTTTCTTTTTGAGAGTCTGAGGGTCAAATTTATCCCAGTGTTTTAAAATGCAACCCAGAGCCAAGTCTGAGAAAATGGAGGGGATTTGTCCCATGGTGTGGTGGGAAAGAATGTCTGCTGGGGACTCTAACCATGATTTCTCTTGGGGCATCCCACTGAGGAAAGGGGGCTCCACTTATGTCCGCTGAGGGACTCTGAGATGCACTTTCCAAGGGGGTATCCCACCTATGGAAAAGGATCTCCCAGATCTAGGACCTTATGATGAGCGAACAATGGGTGAGCAACCCCAGACCAGTGCAGGTAAGAATTACTCAGGATGACCAGTTCAGGTACAAGGGGAAAAGACTGAGCAAAGACTTATGGTCCTGGTGCTGTTTGAGACTGCCTGGCTTAAAATATCCGAAACAGGTTGGCTGACTGTCTTTATGGGAGAATTTAGAGTGAGAAGAGGGGATGTGAGTTTTCCCAAATGTGTGTAGGTTTGCGCTTGTCAAGCTACCACTGCCAACTGTGCCACACATAGGGAAGGGGGACTTTTGACAAGAAAGAATAGGAGAGAATCTTCCTCCTTTCCAGAGAAGGAAGCCAAAGCTGTTCACCCTCTGGCCTTTAGGCTACACCAAAGAATGGCCCTGGCCCATTACCATTAGTTGACTGAAAGATATTGGAGATTGCCAGGCGCAGTGGCTCGCGCCTGTAATCCCAGCACTTTGGGAGGCCAAGGCGGGTGGATTACAAGGTCAGGAGATCGAGACCATCCTGGCTAACACAGTGAAACCCCGTCTCTACTAAACATATAAAAAATTAGCCGGGCATGGTGTCAGGTGCCTGTAGTCCCAGCTACTCAGGAGACTGAGGCAGGAGAATGGCGTGAACCCAGGAGGCAGAGGTCGCAGGTCGCAGTGAGCCGAGATTGCGCCACTGCACTCTAGCCTGGGAGACAGAACGAGACTCCGTCTCAAAAAAAAAAAAAAAAAAAAAAAAAAAGATATTGGAGATCATCCACTAGAAGAGTGGAAAGGAAAGTAAGTTTTAAACTCTCACCCAATCAGGCCACAGTGGTCAGATATCTTTCTACCAGGACCTCCAGGTCCATCAAGGAGTAGCCCCAGACAGGGACCATCTGTTGTCTCTGGGCTTGGAGGCTCAGGCAGGGACAATCAGTTGTTTCTGGGTTTGGATCCTGTGCCCCGGAAAGAGGAGAAAAGGGGAGAGTAGGGGAGAGGTCCCTGTATGGGCCACCAAGATGTCATGGGTTATGACTGGCTGGGACTGGTGTCAGTGCCATGGGCAGTAAAAGAATGTACCAAAACAGTAGTGAGTTAAAGAAAGTAAGTATATTAGAGAGAAATTAGGAAAATACATTGAAAAAGTACAACAGGCAGTACAGCAGAGAGGGTGCTATCTGCCAAGAGGCAGGGTCAGGAGGGAAGTTTTATAGGTCATGCTAGAGAGGCTGTATGCAGATAGGGTTGTGTTGCTGGGGCGACGTGGAGGAGCAAGGTATTTGGGAACAAAATGTTGTGCCAGTGAGTTGATTGTGGTTAGCCATCTCTCAGAACAATTGTTCTCCTCCACCTTGGAGCCCCCTCTTCCTTGTTGCTAACTTACCTTATCAGGACTCCTTAGTTCTCCCTATTTCTGAGTGCTACCCAAATCCTATCCTTCCTTCAAATTCTTAATTTTTTTTGGAAAAGTCACCAGCTATGTCTGACTCCATCTCCTCCATATGTCAGACCCTTAAATAGTGATTATTACAACAATGATGTTCAAACCTAGAGGATTAGTGATATACCCAGGGAGGTTTTAAATGAAGATCCTCAGATATTAATCCCAGGTGTATTCAGTCTGAATCACTGGGACTATAGTTGGGAACATGTCTGAAATCTTGTCAGGTGACTATGATAATCATCTCTATTTGGTAAGCACTTATCTAAATGATAAAATTGAGTATCACTATACAGATCTGTTCTTCCATTATAAAGTAAGTTGTTGCAAATTTGAGAGAAATGACTGTGACACACACATACATACACATGCAATCACAAATACAGCATGGATTTATAACACAAATGTGCTGAAACAAGGATTAATTTTACAGTTCAAGTCTATTATAGAATGGTCTGCTTTTTAAAATTTTTTCAACCCTAAGCATTTAGTTTTGGTTTTTGCTCATAAAGCATTGCTGTCTGAATTCCATACTCTTCGTTTCTTTTGTTTGGTCAACCAATAGGTAGCACTGACTATATCTTAGTCATTGTTTTGAGTGCTAGAATGCAACAGTAAACTCTACAAACACATTAGTCTCCTGAAACTTCCATTTTGCATGGAAAGGGAGATATGTTATAAACAAACACACTGATTTAAACTATGTCAGGTAGTGGTAAGTACTATGAAGAAAAAAAATAGACAGTATGGGGGATGCTATCCTAGGTAAGAAAATACTTCATAAGGAGGTGGCATTTTATAAGGAACTAAAAAGAAATGGCTAAGTCACGTGTGTAGGGTGGGAAGATCAGGAAGATCAGATGGTTCTATAACTTTTCTTCTCTGTTCTCTAGGACTAGCAGGGAGGCCAGCCTGGCTCACAAGAATGAGAAACAGAAAAAATCAGAGAGAGTGTGATTATAGAGGCACATGATAGCTAGATCATGCAGACTACATTGTCTCTCGCTCTTTCCACACACAGAATGACACACATGCAAAGGTGGCCCACTAGAATAAAGGGAGAGGGTGCAGTCCAGGACCTCAGGATCTATTCGGGTCCCCGAGAACAAGAAGGGGAGGATCAATAGCTGAGGATTTGTGGTGCTCATTTCTAACACCAGCTTGGAAAGCTCTATTCTAGGTCCTTGCAGCAAAGTAAATTTATAGGATTTCTTCTGACCAGAAGGGAAAATGCCAGAATTTTTCTTTAAGACTTTAGTTGAAAAGATCTAACCAAGGTTACAAGGAAACTCTTAGGGCCAGAACAAGTATTTTTTTGGATCCTTTCTTTTTTCATTTCTTCACACTTCATACTACTTTTGGCTAACTTTTGTTTTTAAAAGCTTTCTTCTCCTATGGAATTATTCATTTTGTTTCTCCTTTAAGTCCCCATGATTTGGGGCTACTTTTTGTTTGGGATTTTTTTTTTTTTTTACTACTCCTTTATCTTTGATGCTCCCCATAGCTCTGTCTCTAGAGTTCTCTTCTCAGGCTATATTATTATCCCTGATGTACCCTATCCAAATAGATGAATTCAAATACCACCAGATACACTAATGACTTTCTCATTTTGTTCTTCAGTTCAGACCTCTTGAGTTTAAAAAAATCAATCTGCATAGAAGTTTTATTTAAAAATAACATATTTACGTTAAGATCAGTAGATCATTACAATTCTTTCCAGCAATAAAGGTGCCCCTCTTCGTATGTCTCCATACTCATGAATGGCAGCTTTGACCAACAATTTGCCCATGCCACAAACATCTCTGACTAGCGCCTCTCTTATCTTTCATACAAATCAATTGCTTCACTGTCTTATCTATTCAATCGCTAAAATATTCCTCATCATTGTCCCATTTTCTGTACCTCTATTGGAACAGCCATGTTGAAGTCATCATAAATCCTTTGTATAAAATAGTTGCAAAACAATGGATTCACATAAGATGAACACTGTGTATTAAAATTAAACTCATTATGTGGAGAGAGAAGGAGAAATTGAAAGGGAGGAAAAGAGAAAGGAAAGGGTCACACATTACATGTATCTCTCCATTTCACTCGGTGGGTTGATACCCTTCTCTCAGTGAGCATAATACCAGGATTTGATTTTTTGTTTTTTGGTTTTCAGTGTTAGATCCCAAATGTCTCCCACTATGTAAATATTTTGTCATTGAACATCTTCCTGAGCTATGAAAAAATGTATTCTATATACAGTATGAACCTTGACAGTAAGCTAGCTACTGCAACTACTGCTAAGCAGAAAAATAAACAAACAGATTTATTTTCTTTCTCTACCAACACAAGAAGACAACTTGTCTACTGTTAACTAATTCTTCAACCAATATTTACTAGGCATGAGGCGTGTGCCAGGCATCACCATCATAGGTCCTAGGAACTCAGTAGTGAATAACAAAGGTAAAATCCTAACTAGCAGAAGCTTGAATTTTATAGTTCTGGAGAAATGTTATTTTGGCTTCTAAAATCTCATATTTCTAACTAATTTTCATGGGAAATATTGACTATAGGTTTTTTATACCTGAGGTTATAAATTTAGACTCAAATCCTTGTGTGGAAATGACTCCACTGTAACCTACCAGCTTAGGATCCCGGCTGCCCCAGCCTCTCATTGGCTCCACTCCCTCAATCTAATTAATGCTTCCCATAAATGCAGAAGAGCTATTTTTAACAAATCATATATTGCCTTCCACATTTTCCCTGGGACTCCTCATTTATTCTGAAAACAAAGTCCAGACATATTACCGCTTGCAGGCTTGCTTAAGTTTCCATCATATTTTTTGACCATATCCCCCTTTTACAGTTTAAGCTCTAGATACACTCATGGGCTCAGGGCCCCCTGACCTCAACTTCATCTTTCAGTGTTAGGCAGGATTCACGTTCATCTCCTCATCTGAGCACCCGGCACTGCGAGTCTTCCTGCCAGAATACTACTATCCCGGCCGGGCACAGTGGCTCATGCCCATAATCCCAGCACTTTGGGAGGCCGAGGCAGGCGGATCAGTTCAGGTCAGGAGTTCAAGACCAGCCTGGCCAACAAGGTAAAACCCCATCTCTACTAAAAATACAAAAATTAGCCGAGCGTGGTGGTGCACACCTGTAATCCCAGCTACTCGGGAGACTGAGGCAGAGAAACACTTGGACCCGGGAGGCAGAGGTTGCAGCTAGCAGAGATCACACCACTGCACTCCAGCCTGCAGCCTGGGTGACAAGAGCGAGACTCCGTTTCCCGCTCCCCGCCAAAAAAACCACACTATTTTCTGGCTTTCCATTCAAATATTTTATTCTTTTCTGCTCCCTACCTGTAACCCCATTCCTCCAGGAAGATGTAGAGCCTCCTCCTTCTCTTGTACTCTCAGACAATTTGGTACACTTCTCCAGTGTAATCTGTAAGTTTTTTTATTATAGTTCTAGGTATGTTTTTATGTTGTCTAGATTATTTGATTTTGATGACAAATAAACTTTCTTTTCATATACTTGCATTTCTATCATGAGATTAGTTCCTAGAAGACAGTATGTTATTTATATATATTATAAAATATGTATGCATTTCATAAATGATTAAACATTGGAATCTAATATATATAGATACATCCATAGATATTAATATTGAAGAAAAAACACTGTCTCTTTTTTAGTAAGTTAAAAAGTGCAAAATTTGCACCTAAACTCTCCTTGAATTGATATTTGGTAGAGCAACCGATAAACAGATACAAAAATATTTCATTTTTTAAACTTTAAAGGGAGATAAGAAACAGGATATAAATAAAGAGAAAAATACAGGAGATTAAGAAAGGAAGAAATGGCAAAAAGATTCCTGGGCTCTTTTCCTGTCATACAACTCCTAAAATTCTTAGTCTCTGAAGTTCTGTCTTTTTGTATGCTGATGTTGACATGGAGCTAGTCACTGGAAAGACAGAGGCTTGATTAGAGGGTTGGGACTTGCAGCCCCACCCCCTAAAACTCTTGAGAGGATAGAGCGGTTGAAGGTAAGTTGATCACCAATGGCCAGAGGTTTAATTACTCATGCTACATAATGAGGCCTCCATAAAAACATCACTGGCCTGGGTAAAAAAACTTCTGAGTAGCTGTATTGTCAATTCCTTGGTTATCATCTGTTATCATAAAATCACATAATATCATTGAAACATCTTCACATTTTGGTTCAAATAAAGTTGGAATACAGGTAAGTCATTTCTTATTCATTAGAAATAAAATTTCTAATTTTCTGACACTCATAACCTGACAGTGGGATATCAGAAGACAACATAGCATAAATGTGTTACATAAAATCTAACACACTCAATTAAGAGTATATATGATGCCAAATTTAATAAATAAATTGACCATCTCCAAGCAGGTTGCATTTGAGTACCAAAGTATCAGTTATTATCTCTGTGAGAACAAACACAAAACAATGAAAATTTTAAAACTTTTGTGAAAGTACAACATTTTTGACATTTGTAGTTTATTTTCACAGAGTTTATCTTCATTTCAAACCCTCATTTGCTTCAAACAAGTTTATGGAAGGCAGGAAAGCTTTTCTGAAATAATGCTTTGATAAATGTTTTCTGTTAATACAGAAGTCTAGTAATTTAACATTTTCTAAGGTTCTAAATTTTAATATGTATATATTAGCTTAAATGGAAATATGAAAGTAAACACTTACTTATAATTGGTTATCTGCACTTATTTTGTAAGAAACATTAGGGAAATATATTTTGTGTTATTTTAGTTGTTTAGTAGCAGCATGAGGTCAGTGCACTTACAGTTGGTAATTAGATAAAAGGTTCAAAACCATATTACCCAAATATCACGTTTTCCACTTTTAATTAAATTATACTTGCAGACACGGCAGGTATAGCTACTCAAATTAAGTTAAATTGTTCTCTATATGAAATTTTTTCATTGTTTGGCTATAATCCTTCATAATAAAAATATCTTGATCAGCAGTAGTATATTTATTTATATGTATCTAAATCTTTAGCTCTGGGTATGGACGTCAAGCATATTTTTAGCAAAATTCGAGGTAAAACTCAAGAACCAGTGCTATCACACATCAATTTACTTTCAATAGATATATTCTGATACTTTCTATCTAATGTAGAGAAAGAACACTAGCTATTTCAGTTCCTACAGAGCTAGAGGTAAATTGGTACACATTAGTATTCTTTTACTTAGCAGAGGAAGAAACAGAAGCTTAGATATTTCTATTGCTTACACAACATTCATGTTGAAATTGCATACAGTAATTAATACTTAATGGATAGGTACATTGTTAGGAAAACCCAAATCACTAGAAAGGGTTTGTTTAGTTTAATGAACATAAAACTTTAATAAAATAGTTTACTTAACTGTTCTTATTAGCCTGTTTCCTCATCATTGAAATAAGGTTAAGAGGGTCTATTGACTTCCTGGAGCCGATATCCTGGGACTGGGATTGCCTTATTGCCATGCAATTCTGTTTTTTTCTTTCTCCCCTCTCCCTCGCTCTCCTCTTCCTTTGTGTGTATGGTCCCTGTTATGTGTGTAGGTGTATATGTATATTAACATTTTGTAAATTAATTGCAATAGGAGTAAAACAGTAGTGATATGGTTTGGCTTTGCATCCCCACTCAAATCTCATCTTGAATTGTAATCCCCATAATCCCCACAGGTCAAGGGAGAGACCAAGTGGACATAATTGAATCATGGGAGTGGTTCCCCCATGCTGTTCCCGTGATAGTGAGTGAGTTCTCACAAGAGCTGATGGTTTTATAAGGGGCTCTTTCCCCTTTGCTTGGCACTCATTCTCCTGCTACCTGGAGAGGAGGTGCCTCCCCCGTAATTTGGCAGAATGGACTAATACATATCGTGACCAAACTTTTTCTAAGAGTAAAGAAATAAAAGTGTTTGCAAATCAGTTTATTAAAGAAAGTAATCTATATTTTGTTTAACAAAATGTAATATTTAACAAATTCTATTATTCCATTTCTTACTTATTCACTCCCATTTGTCTTAAATTTCAGAAAATGAATTATTGGCACGCACAGCAGTGTTTAATTTTACTCCTGGGCCTTTGAAACATCTAAACTTTCGGCAAAAGTTTATTTTGGGTTTATATCATTGACATTTTAAGATTATTAATTGTGAAATGGGTTTTGTCACACTACATTCCTTAATATGTTTTTTCTTCAAACAAGAAGTTTTACAATTAAGACAAAGAATATCACTATGACAAAAAATATTTCTCAGCTAATTTGGAAACCATGTTTTCTTTCTTGTCGTTGTTCTCTTTCAGCAGGAGACATAACAGGCATCATATATGAAGAAGAGCCTGTTTTCTTCTCCACTTTACTATTTTCTTTTCTCTTTTTGTTTCTAGATCGAGAATATTAACATGTGAAAATATGTGCCAAAATTGTAATTTATTGATTTTCTCACATTTGTCAGATCTGGCCAATAGAATACCAGCTTACACAATTAATATCAGGTGGCGGGAAGCACAGAGCACCCTCATTGAATCTAGTGGATAAAATGAGTAACGTTATAGAAATTAAGTATTGGATTGCACGGGGAAGCTGAAGAGTACAATTTTGCCATTAACCTTAAAGCTTTTAATTCTCAGTCTTAAAGACTTTTATTGGCAAGGTGCAGTGGCTCACGCCTGTAATCCCAGAATTTTGGGAGGCCGAGGCGGGTGGATCACCTAAGGCCAGGAGTTGGAGACCAGTCTGACCAATATGGTGAAACCCCGTCTCTACTAAAAATACAAAAATGAGTTGTGTGTGGTGGCGGGTGCCTGTATTCCCATCTACTCGGGAGGCTGAGGCGGGAGAATCACTTGAACCTGGGAGGCAGAGGTTGCAGTGAGCTGAGGTCGCACCACTGCACTCCAGCCTGGGCGACAGAGCAAGACTCCATCTCAAAAAATAAATAAATGAATAAATAAATACATAAATAAAAGACTTTTGTCTTTTCTGGTCTTTATTCTTTCCATTTAAACCTTCAACTATTCTTTTAAATAAACAGGTAATGAATCATGTAGGTTTGAAATTCGGAGCATGGTGTAGAAATCAAAGAAGTTGAATACATCCACCCGACTTTTTTTTCATTGTATGTTTAATTAAAGGGCTTGCTTGCTGGGTTGGAAGGGGGGAGGGAAAAGAGCAATGTTTTATTAAACCAAAACTTCAGTAATCTTTTTCAGTCACTGCTTCCTTTTCCCTAACTCCCACATCTTCTGCATGATTTCAAATGCGGTGACTATTCTTCTTCCATCTCTTGTTTTCCATCTCATCCTGCAACAAAAAGACTACTAAAGAAGAAGAGCCAACTCAGAGCTTTCTTCTTAGTAAAAGATGAACATGAAATTGATCTTTAGGAAAAGAAAGACCACTTGATAGCCTCAGAAATAAGATAAAGAGAAGATGAATAAACTTGTATGTTAAATTTTTTTAATGATTTTTTGCCTTAATGGAATAGTACCATGATTTTTTTTTTGCATCACTGTATTTTTTGTTTGTTTATTTATTTATTTATATTCCTTTTTTTATTGAGATGGAGTCTCGCTCTTTTCCGCAGGCTGGAGTGCAGTGGCACGACCCCAGCTCACTGCAAATTCTGCTGCCTGGGTTCAAGCAATTCTCCTGCCTCAGCCTCCTGAGTAGCTGGGATTACAGGCACACGCCTCTATGCCTGGCTAATTTTTTTTTTTTTTTTTTGTATATTTAGTTGGCCACACGGGTCTCGAACTCCTGACCTCAGGTGATCCACCGGCCTCGGCCTCCCAAAGTGCTGGGATTACCGGTGTGAGCCACCGCGCCCGGCCTTTTTTTGTTCATTTATATGTACCTATACCTATGTCTATTGTTGTGGTTATAGCTAGCAAGCGTCTACACTTTTATCTATCATCTATTTCTCATCTATTCATTTTGGAGAGAGTTCTTCAGGCAACTGCAGACTAAGCTGACATACTCAATAGACTATCTGAATGAACATTTAAAATAATTTTTTTTAAAGGTACAGGAAAGTTACTGAAACAACAAGGAAATGCTGGACTGAGATCAGAAGAAAAAAGAAGTGCAGATAAATAAGCTCATTGTTTTGTCTAAATTTACCACTTTCCTTATTGCAAAAATTAACTAAAGCTTTGCTTGAGAGCCTAAAAAACTGAACAGAGCTACCTTCCTCCCGTCCCCCTTAATCCTAGCGCACCCATTCTCCAAGGTCTGAAAAGCGTGCTGCTCAGCGCCTCAGCCATTGCCCCAGCATCTAGAAACCACTTTGAGCAAAAAAGCAGGTCCCCAAAGTAGGCACTGTCCTTCTTTTAACTTGGTAATTTCTGACTATTTTGCTAGCTCTTTAATGCAAATGCAGATGACTTTTGTATTTGTCCAGAACTTCTGCTTTTTTTTTTTTTTTTTTTTTTTTTTTTTTTTTTTGAGACAGGGTCTTGCTTTGTCACCCAGGCTGTAGTGCAGTGCTGTGATCATAGTTCACTGTAACCTAAAAATCCTGGGCTCAAGGGATCCTCCAACCTCATCTTGATTAGCTAGGACCTCAGGCACCATGCCTGACCAATTTTCAAAATTTTTTGTAGAGATGGGATCTCAATATGTTGCTCTAGCTGGTCTTCAACTGCCGGGCTCAAGCAATCCTCCTGCCTTGGCCTGCAGAGACCCTCTCACCTTGGCCTCCCAAAGCGATGGGATTACAGGCATGAGCCACCATGCTTTGCCTACTGCTTGTTTTTAATAGGGGAGTAAGTCTGGGCTATTTAGTTCAGTTAATAGAGGTCTCAAAAATGGACTTTTCTCTCTCGACTTATTTGCTGAAGTAACTTTACTAGGATCCACGCCATTAGTGTCTTCCTCATGCTTATTACGGGTGGTGTTATTAAGAGAACCTAAATTCTCAAACCCTATAGGGTGAATTACCCTTGACTTCTTCCATAGGTAAAAGGTCACATTTTAGTTCAAAAAAAGAATACAGATTACATGTTCCTGTCTGGCATTGTTCAGATTAAGAAAATTCTCTTTAAAATGGAAGAAAATAAATTTGTTTCCAAATTCATATGCTTTTAAACTTTGCACTAATGCTTTTACCAAAAAGCAAAGGCTAATAACTAATTAATAGTTTGTAATAAATTTGAATTTTTAAAATAAAAAAGTGCACAAAATTGTTTTAGAGAATGAGACAAAATTTTCCTATTTCTAAATGTGTCACTTTTATTTAAGAGGAGACCAAAAATTGTTTAAAGCGGGTACATTTGTAGCATTCATCTAATCACAGAACAAAATTAAAATGTCACTATTTCTTACGATGAGATGGAGATCTTGTTGGATTGTAGAACTCTGTAGTATATATCATCATCAAACAGTATGTAGATGAAGGTATGATTTCAAGCAGGAATTTTAGACCAGAAATATCTTTTCTCAGTAACAAGGATTACTTTACAGATTTGTTGTATGTTAGTAATAACAGACATATAAGCCTATTTCATGCTATATGTACATAATTTGTGAGATTGAAATTGGCATTTGTGTTTAAATGTGGATAAATCACAAACATCAAAATTTAGAAAAGACCTTAAAAGTATTGTGTTCTAGCTTTTCTCATTATTAAATTACAAGCCCATTGGCATTTGGGGAGCCCAGTGGATAATTACACTGTGTTTTCCCTGATCACGGATAAGCTGGATTAAAAATACAGGTATGGGATTCAGGTAAATGGAGATTATTACTAGGTTTTTTTTTTTGTTTTTTTTTTTCTTTTGAGACAAAATTTCACGGTTATTGCCCAGGCTGGAGTCCAGTGGCACAATCTCAGCTCACTGCAACCTTCACCTCCTGTGTTCAAGCGAGTCTCCTGCCTCAGCCTCCCAAGTAGCTGGGATTACGGGCATGTGCCACCATGCCCGACTAATTTTGTATTTTTAGTAGAGATGGGGTTTCACCATATTGGCCAGGCTGGTCTTGAACTCCTGACTTCAGGTGATCTTGCCTCAGCCTCCCAAAGTGCTGGGATTACAGGCGTGAGCCACTGCACCAGGCCAATTATTACTAATTTTATTGTTTGGCCATAAAATTACTGTCCAATTACTTTATTTATTTATTGTGTGTTTTTTTTATTTTGTTTTTGTTTTTTGGTTTTAAGGAGCAGAGTTTAATAAGCCAGAAAGAAAAGTGAAGGCAGAAAGAAGAAGCTCCCCTGTACAGAGACAGAAGGAGGGGGTCTCCAAAGCTGAAAAAGGAGATCCCTGTCCAATTACTCTATCACAGTACTTTGAACTTAACTTATACATGCCTTCTGGTCACAGGCTGTACTGAAGGTAGAGAACAACTATAGCCAACCTGCATGGGCCTGCCCACATATACAGCAGAGATGAACACGCTGCCATCAGGCAGAGGATCTTCATAAAGTGATACGACGTGGCTTCTCCAAACAAGCCCTTTGCTTGTGCCCAAGTCACCATCATATATGTGACTGCCTTTAGCACAGGGAGTGATTAAGAGACTGAGGCAAGAGATCAAGACTATTGCACATGAGGAAGTCCCTGTTACTGTTATTATATTTTTATTATCATTAACACATAACTGTTATATTGAATAATTATTATAATTATTTTACATTATCATTGGACATAAGACAGTATGAAAGTAGGTAAAGAGATTCTCCCAACCAAAAACATTCTATCCATTCTATCCCTTTCACTAAATCCTATAACACATAAGGCCACGTCCAAGAGCTTTTACCTAGAAAGTCTAACTTACATTTTCTCTTCCAAACCATTATCAATTAGTTCCTTCTTCGAACACTTCCATTTGCCCAAAATGCCCTTGTGGCTGCTTCATAACCACTAACATCTGTTCCTTCTCATTCTCTACTTTCACTTGCTTCCCCCTCCTTGTTCTCTTGTTTTGTGTAGATTTCATTAACCTACACTCGCTAAGGACATAGATTAAATCCCCCATGTCCTATTTCCTCTTAAAAGCCCAGAGTGCAATAATAGATATTTAATAATTGTAAAGTTAGTGTTGAATGAAGAAATGTCTCCTGGATAATTTTCTGGGGCACATAAGTAATTTTTAAGAGACTAGAGGCTTATCTCTTCACTATTATTTCTCAGAGATGATATAATTTCTGCCCTGGAGGAATAACTATGAAATACCTTTTTCATTATTAGTGGTGAGTCACCTGGCCTCTGAAAAGAAGTGTAGATTGATTTTTTCCTTAGTCATTTAAATCAATACCATGAACCTTATGAAGACAGGTGCTCATTGTTACCAAGTTAAACAAAACCTGAAGAATGTTCAACTGCCTGTCAGGTACAAATCAAACTAAGGCAGAGTCACAAATCACATAGAAACTTGCTCTTTGTAAACTAGTGTAATTTTGTGTGGGTATGAGTGTCTGCGCGAATATACCCAAACACATTTTGATAAGCTTTTGACAGTGTAGTGCATTGTTATTAAACTCTAACGTGGCTCAGCAAAAATATTTATTGAAATTTCAGAAAAATACATTTAAAATATCTTGTAAAGAAGTGATCCTGGGAGAAAATTATAAGCAAATTGCATCATAATAATTTAATGTGTTGGGTTTTGAAGGGGAATATTTATTATAGGTGAACAGAGAATTTATTATTTTTTCACAGTTGAGTTATATTTTTAAGAAATGTAATTACTCCATACACAAGAATTCAGAATACAACAACAGAGGAAAAAAAAAAAAAAAGAAAAACGAACTTATCCTACACTATAACAAGCTTACCGAGGCTTTAAATGAATATATATTTATAAAATTGCCTTTGACAATTCACACGATCTGATTATGTGGCAGGATGCTCTGACAAAGGATTTGATTACATGGTACATTGAGCTGTGGCTAGTAAATAATAACCTTCCCTGTTCATGATTCTACTTGTTATTGTCAGGAAAGAGACAAAATACTGAGAATTAGTTTGTATCATAAACAAATCAATTACTGATGCAAGACCTAAGGTGGCATGACATTTATGTTATACCACTGAATTTTATGAATGGATAATAAACTTTTCTAATGTGAGTGTTAATTTTGATTAGGTCAACTGTGCTTATGGTAACTGGTCCATGTTACAGATTTTCACCATCTGTGCTAAATGATTACACAGGCTTGTAAAGACATTCTTAGGTGAAGCTACATGAAGCATTAATCGTGCTTTTGTATAGCAAGAATTGCCTGACTCTGTATTCAAGTCCTGCACAAGAGTTAAACTAAGTGGCCGTTTAAATCTTGGGTAAAGAGTTTGAAATTGAAGGTGGAGAATCTCAGGAAAGAGTACAAATTAAGCTAGAGAAATCATAATTACATGCCATGTAATTATTTGATAATTTAATAAATTTTATAGGTATAGAAATTTATAGATTTTATAAAATAAATAAGTGTGCACGTGTGTATGTGCCTATATTTCCAAATGACAAAAGAAAAAGGAGATTCAAAAGATATACATATATACTCAGAAATCCAAAGTATTTATAATGGGAAAAGGAGTATTGGCAAATGTGAATTATGTATGTGAAATTAAGATTGTATAGCATATATTATTGGAAGAATCCAGTAAAATTTAAATTTATTTGGTTTTATTTATTACATATTTATTTATTGTTAAAGAGAAGGGCTCACTCTGTCACCCAACCTGGAGTGCAGTGGTGCAATTATATCTCACTGCCATCTCAAACTTCTGGGCTCAAGTGATTCCGTCATCTCGGAGACTCCTGTGTAGCTAAGACTACAGGCTAGTGCCACCCCACTTGATATAAAGAAAATTTTGGTAGAGAGCAGATCTCACTACGTTGCCCAAGCAGGTCTGGAACTCCTGGCTTCAAGTGATCCTCCTTCCTTGACCTCCCAAACTGATGGGATTATAGGCATGAGCCGCCATGACTGGCCTGAAGTTTATTTTTTGACTGCAAGTTTAGGAGGTACAGATATTTTGTTTACATTTGGTGCAGTGTGTTATGCAGAAAAGATATTCAATCTTCTTTTGATTTTAACTGTAAAATAGATAATTAAATTCATATTTTTGACATACATACAACTAATAATGCGACTTTTAATAATAAATATTAACATATTTTCTAGCAGTATCATTATGATGTGGTTGCTTTTGCTCTTGTTGCAAAGAGAGATTATGGCAGAAATGTTAGATAAGCCATCTGTTCCAATTTCGTTTCAGCCTGTCATCTGCAACTGCAGAAAAGATATATAGTACATTTCCTAAACCACCTTGCACTAGGATTTATTTTTTAAAAGCAACTTTATTGAAGTATAACTGATACACAAAGAACTGCACATATGTAAATGTGTACTATTCAATAAGCTTGGAATATGCATGCACCCGTGATACCCTCACTGCAACCAAGGTAATCGACATATGCAACACCTCCCAAGATTTCCTTGTATACCTTTGGGGGTTCTTTTTGCTTTTGTTTCGTGAGAACACTTAACACAAGATCCAAACTCTTAGCAAATAAAGTGCAAGATACCATATTGTTGACTGTAAGCTCTACATTGCACAGCAGAGCTCTAGAATTTATTCATCTAGCACAGTTGAAACTTATGCCCATTGAACAACAACTCTCTAGTGCCCCTGGCAACCATTGTTGTATTCTTTGCTACCAAGAGTTTGAATGGCTTAGACCGCTGATATAAATGGAATTATGCAATGTTTGTCATTCTTATGTTATTGACAGCTAGGATTCCAAACAGCATGTTCTGGAGCCAAGTGATCTGGAATCTGCTTCCTAATTCCCAGACTGAAGCATGTGTGTTTCTGAAGACAAAATTTATGAAAGTTGATTTTATCTACAGAATGTGGACAAAATGGTGCAGTCATGTATCTGGCAATTGGAACAAGTACCTAGTAGTAATTTTCTTGGTGGGCAAGTTTTGTGGTGACGAACAGAAAGGCATTTGCCCAGGCCAAAACCAGAGGCTGCCTCTATAGCCTTCTCGACAATTTTGTAAGCACCTAAATCTCTGTAATCAGTTTCTGCTTGAAGTGTATAAAGTTATTTTTATTCTCTGCATGTGAAGTGTAATTGCTACACAGATTAAGTATCGTGATAAAACCTTACATGATTTCCTGGACCTTCATTTTATTGTGCATTACCTTGCTTAAATTTAGTAGACCGGGATTTTTAAAGAGTTAAATATTGCAGGCTAGGTGTGGTGCCTCATGCCTGTAAACCCAGCACTTTGGGAGGCTGAGGTGGGAGGATGGTTTGAGACCAGGAGTTTGAGTCCAATCCTGCCAACATAGCAAAACCCTATCTCTATTAAAAATACAAAAATTAGCCTGACCTGGTGGCGCACACCTGTAAACCCAGCTCCTCCAGAGACTGAGGTGGAAGAATCACTTGAACCCGGAAGGCAGAGGTTTCAGTGAGCCAAGGTTGTGCCACTGCACCCCAGCCTGGGCAACAGAGGGAGACTCTGTCTCAAAAAAAAATAATGCCACAATACTTTCAAAGAGGTTTTGGTTAATTATGACAATAATACATTTTATCTTTAAGTCAATATATATTTATTCAGTGTGGGTTACATGACAGACACCAGAGTAAATACTGGGGATTTAGCAGAAAATTATATGAAGTTGCTACTCTCTAAAATACCACTGTATATTAAGGGAAAGAGATAAAGACATAAATTAATATACAATTCAATAATGCAATAGCAAAAAAAGTATGAGATTATAAAACAGTGTTTATTGGCATATTGGGCACACATATCTACAGAATAGAGACGTGTAGACAGCCAGGCAAATCCTGGGATAACAAGAAGAGGGATCCAGCAAGGCTTCTGGCTATGTGACACATTGTGCTATTGTCCTGCAACAATAAACCATTTTGTATTGCTAGATCATAAAACACTAAGGGTTGAGAAGCTGAGTAGAAGCTTACCAGTCAGACCAATTACATTGTGAATGACTTTGTGTGCTTTGATAGGCATCTTGGACACAGCTAATAGAAAAGTAGTAAACATTGGCATGATTTAAACCAGAAGACAACATGACCATATGTTAACTCAAATAATGATGTTTTTTCAACATTTTTAGGGAAGATAGGTCAAGGATATGAGATCTCAACTAAATAATTATAGAAATAGTGTAGGCAAGAAAAAGTCAGAGATGTTGTGAAGGTAATTTCAAAATATATGTTGGCTTTTACAGGTGTTTAAAAATTAATATTGTGGCTAAAATGATTATAAAGCTCTGGCCTGAACAAATAGAAACATGTTGACAGCATAGATTAGGATTAAAATCAAAGGACAGAAAATATAGGTGTGCAGCAGATTGGGATTAAAACATGGAAATTATAGTAAATTTTGTGTTGGTCCAAATTCAAGTTCCAATGGGTATTCATGTTATGTCAGTAGATACACTATGAATTCAACAGAGCTGGAAGCTAGAGACATTGTTATGTGTTAGGACACATTCATCCCTGGACAGTGTTTTAGATAGGCACTACCAGTGATTACCTCTAGAAATACTTCTTATGTAATTACTTTAGTTATTCATGTCATCTGATTAATGTTTCAGTTTGTATGTATCAATACATTCAATCAAGTTACAGCCAAGTTTTATCTGTTAATGATCCTTTCTCTTTTAAGGGTTATATTACATACCTCTTACTTGAACCTCTTTTTTGTTGATCTTACAGTTTGCCTCTGTGGAGGAAACTGTACTTCTTATATGGGTCACGTGAATATGGCTAAATAGTACTGACAAGCAAACTGATTTTTTCTCTCTCTCGTTTTATTAAATAAACCTAAAATTCTATTCTGTAAAGGTGAGGTATATTACACATTTTAATATGTTATCTTTTTTACATTACTGGAATGATTTTTTAAATTCAATCAAATTAAAGGTGTTGGAATTGTCAATATTGTTTCTTACAATATACATTTACATTTATTTTCCAAAACCGATCACATTTTGGAGACAATTGAGATTGAAAAATAATGTACTCAATCAATATGTATGTGTGTGTGTGTCCTATGGATATTTCAAACTTTTCAAACAATTGTAGCTTAACACACACAGAAGCTCAAGGTGTGTACACACATGTACATACACACACACATATACACATATATTGGCTCCATATAGGTTCATTGTCAAATTTCACCACATATAATGTTTTATGAGTGAAACTTTTAGAGAAGGCTAAGGACAGAGAACTGTGAAATTTTCTCTGTAGCAGTAGAAAGCTCCTTTTACACTCTAAAATATTCATAATTATTGACACAGCAGTACAACTTCACAGGATTTATTATTCAGAAACTACTGTAGGATGAAAAAGTATTTCTATAAAAGATGTTTATTGCATCACTATATGTAATATGAAAATTAGTAGCTACATAAAGATTCATCAAAAGAAAATGATTTAAAAAGTGTAAACATTTATATAATAGAATATTACACAATTTAAAAAGATAAGGTTAAGAAGAATAGTTAGAAATACATAATGCTTCTGACATGAATAATATGACAATAAAAATAAGTATCATAGAAAATCAATGTTAAAATAAAATAACTTTGGAATTTTTGGCTAATAAAGTTATAGGTAATTTTTACTTCCAAATATTTTCAAAATAAAAATACAGTCATGTCATAAAAACAAAGTGGAATTCTGGAAATTGTTCTTGAATCCATTAACTATTGTGCGAGACTCCTATTTCTTTAATTTTATTTTATTATAATTAAAAACAAACAAGCAAAAACTAATACTAGCAAAACTTACTTGCTCCACCCTTTACTTGATAATGTCAATGCCGAATCAAAATACATACCCAAAAAGCTTTGTTTTTTTTTCATAGCTTACTGTAGCCTGAAATTCTTGGGCTCAAGGGATCCTCCTGCTTCAGCCTCTCAAGTAGCTGGGACTACAGGTGTGCACCACCACATTCATAAAACCTTTTTTAAAATATAGCACATTATTATTAGTTGGCCAAATTAGAACCATTAGTGTAGTTTACATATCACTGACAGGTAAACTTCGTTCCAGTATCACTTTGTTTATTAGAAGGGAAGCTGTGAATGAATAACTTCATGTTGGCAAGAATACATCACTTTCCCTACGCATACATTGAGAATAAAAATAATTTAGTGCTGAACTTATTAATAAATCAATTCAAGTATTTCCGTGAGTTGGGAAGTCTCTGAAAATTTGATAATATTTGATCCTATGTATCTTGAAATAGGGGGTACTCTTCTCAGTAGCAGCAAAAGAGAAAAAAATCTTATCAAATTTGTACTGTCAGTTGAAAAGGCTAAACATGTTTTCTAAGTAGTTTTCTCATCAAATTTGAAAATAAAGAATAAGTAATTTTTGAGATAATAAAGTATATCTGTATTTACATAATAGTTATTTTATCCTCTAGTGTATTTATATATATCTAGAAATACAGACATAAGATAAAATTATAGTTACATTCAATTGCTAATTAATTATAGGAAAATTCTCAGTTTGAAATGGCAACCAGAGTGCCATGCATTGTGTTACATGTTGGACAGTGTACAACCAGAACTGCCATATGGATGATATATAGAGAATGATCGATACATAGGATAAGACGGTCACTTATTTATTTACTTATTTATTTATTCATTTATTTATTGAGACAGAATTTCACTCTTGTTGCCCAGGCTGGAATGCAGTGGTGCCATCTTGGCTCACTGCAACCTCCGCCTCCCGGGTTGAAGTGATTCTCCTGTCTCAGTCTCCTGAGTAGCTGGGATTGCAAGTGCCCGCCACCATGCCCAGCTAATTTTTGTATTTTTAGTAGAGACAGGGTTTTACCACGTGGGCCATGCTGGTCTCGAACTCCTGACCTCAAGTGGTCTGCCAGCCTTGGCCTCCCAAAGTGCTTGGATTATAGATGTGAGCCACCGTGCCCAGCCAACATGCTCACATTTTAAAAAATTACCCAGATATTTTTGGTCATAAAACAAAAAATACATTTCTGCTTAATCATTTAAGTATATCAGATATCAAATCCTGGGGCTGTGCTACCTGGGGCTATAGGTAACTTGTAAATGTAACCCTTGAAAATAGACAGGATATAGATAATAAAATCTTTAAGTGATGTGGTTTTAGAAATCATCAGTTTTGCTCGCGGAATATACATGTGAAGTAATATTCATGATCTACTGCCTGGTAGTCTTTTCGCTATACCACATTTTTTTCTCTCTCTCTCCCTTGTTTTTGTTGCTGTTGTTGTTTTGTTTGTTTGTTCA
The DNA here is from genome assembly GCF_000001405.40 of Homo sapiens. Classification (NCBI taxonomy): domain Eukaryota; kingdom Metazoa; phylum Chordata; class Mammalia; order Primates; family Hominidae; genus Homo; species Homo sapiens. The sequence goes on along the minus strand of NC_000004.12, from coordinate 178,549,986 downwards.
TTTGTTTTTTTAACTGAGTCTCACTCTGTCGCCCAGGCTGGAGTGCAGTGGTGTGATCTCGGCTCACTGCAACCTCCACCTTCTGGTTCAAGTGATTCTCTTGCCTCAGCCTCCCGAGTAGCTGAGATTATAGGCAAATGCCACCGCGCCTGACTAATTTTTGTATTTTTAGTAGAGACAGGGTTTCACCATGTTGGCCAGGCTGGTCTCAAACACATGACTTCAAGTGATATGCCCACCTGAGCCTCCCAAAGTGCTGGGATTACAGGTGTGAGCCACCACATCTGGCCTTCTCTCTGCCTTGTTTTGAATGACATTTATGTAAGAAGTCATGTGTATGTGTGAGTATGTACCACTTAAAACTTAAAACATTAAGACAAAATATCTGGACACTTTGAAATAAGGTACACTGAGTTTTACATACAAAAAAATGTGAGGAACACATGACAATATAAAGCCTAAGATCGGTTAATTGGAAAATGTTAAGAATCAAGAATCAACGAGAACAGTATCCTTTTCTAGAGAGAAAACTGCTAATGTGATTGTTCTAATATGGTCCATGTTTCCTTGGTAGGATCTGTTATCATTTAATAAGAAACTGAGCATACTGGTACTGAGAAATTACAGATGAACCCTGATGAGGCAGGGTTTGTTATTGTTGTTGTTTTTCCTCTTTCCCTGCTGTGTCACTGAATTAATTTTGTAAACTCAGTAGGTCATTGCTTCTTGCTTAAATGCCTAATAGGAATCATGGAACCACTTACACATGAATGTCTCGGGGAGTGTATAACTTAAGCCAAAGAAAATCACACATTTTATAGTATAATTTCTATTAAATCAAGTAAACTCCTGTGATCCCCTCCACTGAGCATACATTAATACACATAAGTTGCTAATTCATTATATTCCTTACAAAAATAAAATGATTGTTATTATGAAAATGTTACTTACAAATATTATTAATTATATGGAACATGTAATTTATTAGTTTGGCTACCATTTGAAAATATCATTATGGAGAAAAAGAAACTCTGGTAATTACACAGAAAGATGGATACAATGTGTTTATATGTTGCATGACTGCCATTCCTGCTGACAATATCCAGCAGTTGTGGGAAATTTTCAGCTTTGTCATCAATTCTGTGATAATTATCTAGTGAAAATTATATTAGGAAGGATATGATCATTATTATTAGGAAAATATTTTATATTAACAAGTTAAAATTTAAAATATACACAAACTTCCAAATTTTTTCAGCTAAAATCCACAAAATAACTGATTAAATCATTCTAATATATCTGTAACTATTTTAAACATAAATATATACACAAAATAATTTTTAAAAACTCAATAATACCTGTGTTAGAATAAATTATTATTAAATGTGAAGTATATTTTTTATTATTTTTGTCTTTTTTAGTAAACAGATCATATAATTTTCTTCACAAAATAAGACTTATTTAGGATAAGAGTTCCATATGAGTGGGGAAACTGCTATTTTCAAAAGTGACTTTAGCTTTTATCCTAAAATAAGATGCAGCATGCATTCAATTCAAGACTACAGAATGGTCACTGAATGACTGACTGTTTCTCCTGCATAGAAATATATTCCAAGTCTTTGACACAGGTTAATCTCTTCTATGTATATCTTGGTTAGTAGTTATTGCATAGCAGTAGTTATTGAATAGTAAGGAATTGGTAATGTAGTTGTTCCCTTAATCATCTTAGAGGTAAGTGGAGATTTGCAAATTTAAAGCACACAAGAGCACACAATAAAATATTATAACTTCAACAACAGAGTAACTATTGAATGTTACTCTAAACTAGAGATCTGAGAAATGAACAAATACCTTGGGAAGAAGTTTGATATTTACCAATCAGCATATTTTACTGAGTCAAATATTTTACTAGCCACATAGCTAGCTTGAATTATAAATATTGGCTCATTTTCAAGATTCATGATATTAAAAAGTCATAAAATTATCTGTTTCACTTTTTTAATGCAATTGTTTCAAGTATTTCAGTGTTGCTACAAGGAAAAGCAACAAAGAAGAATCCAATGGAAAAAAACATACAGCTAGATTGAGAATGATTGTGAAGGCGTATAGATTGGAAACATCACCCCAAATAATATCTCAGTATTAACCAATCAGTTATACATAATAAATGAGAAAAATACTTACTAAATTGAATTATCCCATTACTCCTGTCATGCCATCCATCTTTCCATGTTAGATATATATCTTGGCAAATTAATGCAGAAACAGAAAACCAAATACCACTTGTTGTTATAAGTGGGAGCGAAAGAAATACTCAGTACACATGAACATAAAGATGGGAACAATAGACTCTGAGGACTCTAAAAGGGAAGAGAGACAGACAGGGTAAGGGTTGAAAAACTACCTAATTGGTACTGTGTTCACTTCTTGAGCAACAGGATCATTAGAAGCCCAAACCTCAGCAGTTTGCACTATACCCATGTAACAAACCTGCACATGCACCCCCTGAATATAAAATAAGATAAAATAGAAACATATATACATATATTCAATTTTATTTCTGATCTCTCTTTTGCTTTTACTCTCACATACAACACCTACTTTTTGTCTTTAAGGGTATTACCAATTTTTGAATTTTTCTGCTTCAAAGCAGAGAAAGGTCGAATTTCTCCTACCTTTCTCTTGTAGAGGTTGTATCAGCTACATAAGGCTCTGACTATCCATGGATCTACCTCTGGTCCTTCAGGTTTTTCAGAGTAGAATATAACAAAACAAACAAAGCTTTTATTTAATCAAAAGATATCACTGGGTTTCCACCAAATCCCAGTATCTATTCTACATGCTGAAAACACAGAAATAAAAGAGCCAAGGCAAATCCCAATCCTCCCAGAATTTATACTTTTGTGGGGTGAAAGAGGAACTTAATATTAATAAATACACGAAGCAATTTTAGAAGGTATGAAGGAAATACAATAGAGCTCTAGAGGTAGAGACTGGTAAGAAAAGTCCTCTCTAAGCAGATATTTTTAACTGAGACCCAATTGAAGAGAAGAAAGCCATTAGAAGACCTAGAGAAAGAGAGTTACAGGCAGAAGAAATTGCAAATGCACAACAGTGATGAGGGAACAAGCTTGATGTGTTCAAGTAAAGCAAGAATAATAATGCAGAAATTAAATTCATTAAATAGAAATTCCTTGGGAATCTAATAGGAATGGTGACGGATGATTTTATGTGTCAACTTTACTGGACCAAGGGGTGCCCAGATTAAAGGCTATTTCTAGATATGTCAGGGAAGGTATTTCCAGATGATGTTGGCATTTGAATCTGTGGACTCAGTAAAATAATTTGCCCTGCCCAATGTGGATGGGCATCATCCAATCCATTGAAGGCCCACATAGAAACAAAGGCAGTGGAAGAATGAACTTGTCCTTTTTGTTACTGACTGAATGCTTGAGCTGAGATATCAATTTTCTCCTGCCCTTGGGCTGGAATTTACACAATCAGCTTCCCCAGTTCTCAGGCCGTCAGGCTCAAACTGAAATTACAGCACTTTCTTTCCTGGGTCTCCAGCTTGCCATTGGAGGATTGAGGACTTCTTAGTCTCCATAGTCACATGGGCTCAGTCTTCAAAATAAGCTTCTTCATACACACACATACACTCACACACGCACAATTTTGTTTCTGTCCTCCCTCTTGCTTTTACTCTCATATGCAATATCTAATCTATATTTTGTCTTTAAGGGTGTTGTTAATTTTTTGAATTTCTTTGCTCTCCTCCTACCTTTCTCTTGTGGAGGTTATTATCAGCTACATAAGGCTCTGACTAGCCATGGTTCTATCTCTGGTCTTACACAGAAATAGGTTTTATGTATATATAAATATATATGTTTTTCTGGAGAACCCTGACTAATAATACGGAAACAAAGGAAAATTTAAATTTTCAAGCCTTAGGATTTAAAGAAACCAGAGATGACCCAAGGATATTTATAGCATGAGTATTTGTAAATTGGGTGGTCTGTTTAATCTTTATAACATAATTCATAATTTATCCATGTTTCATACTTATCTATATCTAAATCTATATATGTGAATTTATTAAATATTATATAATAACTTTAAATAGTAAAGGCCAATACATATATTCTGTTAAACTAATTTTATTGTAAACTTAAAAATAAAACAAGTGTTTGTAAACATATTGATTCATACCATATGAAGACATTGTTTAAATAGTTTACCCAAGCGTTATTTTAGACAATGTAGTGTGTTTGACTCATTGTTTCCTATTGACTAATGAAGTTACAGAATGATTCTGAGTAGAAAAGATAACTCTAAAGATTATAGTTTTTGTCCTGCAGAATATTAAGCAATTTTACATCTCACATAGCAACCTCATTCTAACATTGCTTTATTAACTGCCCATAAATGCTCGGCTCATCACGTGCTCTTTGAACAAGCCTTACTATCTTTCTAGTTCCTTCACTAATCAGTAGGTTAAATGAAATTGCTGATATATATTTATTTTACATTTTTATTATATTTTATTGTATTTTATATATTTATTTTATATTTTTACAAGAGAAATGTCTTTAACTTTTTGATGAATATATATTAACAGACATACAAACATTTTCCAATTAACATATAGATGTAATGTAATAGGTAGTAAGACACAGAGCGAAAATATCATAATACTTTTTTGTTTGGAACTTTTCTTTCCTATCCTGCCAAGAATTACTGCATAAACATATGATTTGGCTAGCCTATACCAACCTTTATTATATTGCTTATAATAAGGTAAAATGACCAAGATTGTGTTTGTGACATGTTTGTGCATGAGTGCATAGTTTTCAAAGAGAAAAGCCATTTGATTTTAAAATTTTTCAGTTCTAGCTTATTTATTATTGCAGTGACAGCTAAGTCATGTACCTATCCTTGTTAATATTTTACTACAAATAAGAACGTAACTTTCCCTTGTGATTAAAGAAGTCATAACAGAAAACTACCGCTCAAAAAATGTATTCCTTTGTGAAAAATTCTAGCATATAAAAATTTACTTATGTTTACTTTACAAGAAGCAGAATTTTAGGTATGTAAATTGTCAGATAATCCAATGAGTGCGTGTTTTGCTTGCTTTGTTTTGTTTTGTTTTTTTAGTGTAGCTCTTATATTTTCCTCATGATATGCATGCAGGAAAAAATGGGTGAGATTTGTCATCAGCCACAACGCAGTACACATAGATTTCACAGAATTTGTGTAAGTGCCCGAATTTAATCTAAGACCCTCCTCTTCACACACATACCCCACTAGTCCATTTTCAGAATCTATTTTAGGATATAAAGGAAAAAGAAGAATTTGTTAGAAAAAAGATCATAATTATGTTTGCAAAAGGATTTATATACATACTTGAAAATGGAAGCAACATATTTGAAACATACGCATTTGAAAAGATTTAAATATGGATTTTCAAAATAGGGAAAATCACCATAAACAATGTGAAGTATAATATATCTGTAAAGTAATTTAGATATATTTGGAAGATAAGTGAGTCGAAATATTTGTTAAGAAGAACAAATGGAAAAGTGGCCTAGAGAACAGTTACTTTACATTTTTGCATATGTGGTATAAACTTGAGTTGGTTTGGAAAGGGCTGATCTTCCTCACCAGGGAGTAATGAGAAAAAGAAGGAATTGGTCAGTAATTATACAAATGGGAAAACAAATACATGCAGTCATGTCTTTAACTTTTTGATAAATATATATTGAGATATACAAACATTTTCTGTGATGTAATAGATAAAACACAAAAGGAAAATATAATAATTTTTTGTTTGGAATTTTAAGATATTTGCAATAAAATATTAGGAATAAATCTAAAGTTCATAGTCAACACATCCACACAGCCCCATATTGAGATGACATATCTGATTAGGGACTGATTGAAAATATATGTAAAATGAAAAGTTCTGGCTATATGTCCTCATGCGTAGAATAGTACTGTAACTATGGGTATTCGGTCTGATTAAGGGAAAACAACACTGTTTTTATCACCACCAAAATTACTCAGCATCTTTGAGACCATAACTGAAAGCAAGATTCAGAAGATGCTCAGGAGTTTCCAGCCAGGTAATTTAAATAAACAAAAGCATTAATGATCATTTGAAGGAGTATTAGACACATAAAAGATTGCCTTGTGTATGAAATAAACAAACAAATTTACCACTATCTCCTTGAGAGTAAATTGGTGTCTCACAAAGTTTTCAGTAAGACCAGGAAAGTGATAGGCAAATGGTTGCGGTGACCATTTATATAAATTTAACTTGCATAAAATGCCATCGTATTGTAAGATGACTTCTCGGAGTTACTCTTAATAGTAGATTCTCACCACAGTTATTTCTAGACCATCTTCATGATCCAAAAAAATTGTGTACTTTTTATCACAGAGACTAAATGCGGGAAAGATGGTAGTTGATGAGTACATGATCACTTTGAAAGGATAAACATGAAGCCAAACGTACATCTCTCCATTTTGCTGCTCATGCTCCAGGACAGAAGAATTTTCCCAATCTATTCATGCTTCTTATTAAGAGAGAAGTGCTTTGGGCAGATAGAACATTGGTAGCTTTACTGAATCTTGATTCCGATGCATGAGTTGTTCCCTGCGTTTCCAATCCCAGAGAGAGGTAGAAGAGAATATTGGATCCCATAGAATAATCCTAACAGGGTAGAAAGAACTCCAACTAATAAAGCTCCATTCTGTGACCAAGAATTACTTGGTTTATAGTGTCATCCACAATACATGCACACATATAAGCCCACTTTTGCATAGTGGGGAAAAATTCAGTTCGTAAGCCATTGTTCTAAAACCAAAGTGGCATTTGAGAAAGCTCTTGTAGAGAAGAACTTATTACTTACAGATTGTGAAAAATCAAAACAAAGGAGAGTAGAATCTAACTACTATGGATAAATCTTATTTAGAGACACAATTTTAACAAATCTTATCATACGATTGTGTTATGTTGCCCCCCAGAATGCTATATTTGATTCAGAATGTGTTTTAAGTTAAAATGTACTCATTTTAATTAAACTCTGAATGTTATTTGGGCCATAGATTATTCTCTTTCTCAAATAGAAAAAATTATCTACAAAAAATAATTCTAATAGACAGCCTAACATTGCTTTATTTAGCCCAAGGTAGCTAATTGCAAAAATAATTTGGAGATTTTTCTTTATAAAAATGTATTTTATATTTATTTCAGAGTGTCTAAAAATTATTATAAAGACTCTCAAGGATTTAAACCAAACTTAATCTTTTTTCTTCCCCCGAAACCTAACCGCCTGCCCTTAAGGAAAGAGTAAGGTGAAGTCTGTATTGTACATTCTAGGAAAAATTCATTATCTAAGAATTATGTCACATGCATATATCATATGAATAAAAATGCCAAGAAAATATAAGTTGATAAGAAGTCCATATTTATCCTCAATATAATAGAATTATGTATTAGTCAGGGTTCTCTAAAGGGACAGGACTAATAGGACAGATGTATATAGGAAAAGGGGTTTATTAAGAAGTATTGACTCATATGATCATAGGACGCAGTCCCACTATAGGTCGTCTGCAAGCTGAGTGGCAAGGAAGCCAGTCCGAGTCCCAAAACCTCAAAAGCAAGGAAGCCATCAGTGCAGCCTTCAGTCTGTGGCTGAAGGCCCAAGAACCTCTGACAAACCACTGGTGTAAGCCTAAGAATCCAAAAGCTGAAGAACTTGGAGTCCGATGTTTGAGGGCAGGAAGCATCCAGCACAGGAGAAAGATGAAGGCTGGAAGACTCACCGAGTCAAGTCTCATTCCGATTTCTTCTGCCTGCTTTAGGCTAGCCACAGTGGCCATTGATTAGATGATGCCCATCCAGATTGAGGGTGGGTCTGCCTCTCCTAGTTCACTGATTCAAATGTCAATCTCCTTTGGCAACACCCTCACAGATACACCCGGGAAGAAGACTTTGCATCCTTTAATCCAGTCAAGTTGACAGTATTAACCATCACAAGTTATCTACATAATTCTGGTAGAAAAAATATCTCTAAATGATTACATCAAAAATAGCAATGTATAAATAAATGAGCAGTCTCCCCACAGCTAAATGTCTCTGGAAACTTACTTTAGTGCATGACTAGTGTGTGACTTTAACAATTAAGGAAGAAATGAGTTTCATTCTGTTTTCAAACATTCTGTTTTATGCATTCAAGTAACCGAACTGGTGCCTGACAACTGGGAATCATATCACCTCTTTTTAATTGGATCAACTGATTCACACTGAAGGAAGTTGCCCCCTGACATCAATACTAAATTGCACTAAGTTTCACTGAGTTCTAAGCTGTGGCTACCATACACTGACAATTTTACCACCATGACTGCTTTTTCATAGCCGTCATGGCTTCTTGGGGACATGAGAGAAACCTCATGACTGGAAGGATCCTATAACATTTTATAAATCACTAATAATTCACCATTCTTCATGCTATGCTCAATTTATCTCCTGGATCCAAGAAACAGAACTTCATTAAAAATATGTAGGCTCCAATTCTACAGTACTTTCCATTTTCTCTCCAATAACAACAGAGTCACCGAGAGAGAAGAGAGATTTCTGCTGTTTTGTTTCTTTGTTTTTATCCACATGATTTGTTATTCTTTTTTTTTTTTCTTTTTAAACAGAGTCTCCCTCTGTTGCCCAGGCTAGAGTGCAGTGGCACAGTCTTGGCTCACTGCAACCTCTGCCTCCCGGGTTCAAGCGATTCTCCTGCCTCAGCCTCCCGAGTAGCTGGGATTACAAGCATGCGCCATGATGCCTGGCTAATTTTTGTATTTTTAGTACAGATGGTGTTTCACCATGTTGGACAAGTTAGTCTCGAACTCCTGACCTCAAGTGATCCACCCACCTCAGCCTCCCAAAGTGCTAGGATTACAAGCGTGAGCCACTGCGCCTGGCCTGTTATCAAGGTTTAATATCCTAAGATTTACAGCACTATCAATATGCTCAGCATTAATTATCCCAATATCCAACCTGTCATTGTATCTGTTAGTGAGGATTCAGAGTTCCCATAACAGAAATTTGAAACTAAGAAGATTTTTTTAAATTGGCGAATTTTGTTAAAACAAACACACACAACCAAATATGAAGAACAGTAGAAAAATCTGTAGGCAAAAGTATTTCCATTCAAGAGTGCTCTGTTTTGAGGAGATGTAGATTCTTAGCAGAGAATGAGAGAAGTAGATAGGGGATGACAATTTTGTTTGAATAACAAACTTTTATATAATCAATATTAATGCCAATAGCCTATGCAGCTAAAATATATAAATACCCTTCTACACCTCCCAGGTGGCACAGTGAAGCCGGGTAAGTCACTCTTCCTTCTCCGCCTTCTCCTCTTTTCACTCAAACCCAGTCCTATCCATTACTGAGTTTTAATGTGTTTTTCCTAATGCCTTTCCATTTGCAATACTTTCTTTGGAACTGTATCCAGATGGCTTTTGTCTAAACCTGACTTTGCCGACCCAATAGACTCATGTTTTTCTTGCGATTGCCAGAACACTAGGCTCTACTAACACATTTCACTTTAGTCGTGCCTTCCCTCATACTAGCTATGCTGGATGCCTCCATTCTATGCTTTCCGTACTTTTATTATTTTATCTTCATTCTTAAAAAGAATGTTTTGTATTTCATTTTATCGGAATCTTGTAATTTCATACTTTTTTTTTAGTAGCAAATGGAGTCTACACCAAGATAGTCTCTCTCAGGTTTTCTATAAACTCTAAGGACATATTTGAAGAGTGAAATTCTAGGAAAGGAAAGAGATGGTTGTTAAGATAGTTGGGTGAGACAAATATTGGGGCAGAAGAGGTTTATTGGAAATGTCTATGTAGCAGTTCCCATTGTCTAACAAATAAGAGATGCACAGATACACCCTTGGGCCACCTTGCAAGGAAGTCTTTGCAATTAGAAGTTTACGATAGGAAGCTAATAAAAAAGCAATTTATTCCACATAAATTGAATTTCACTTCTGTTGATACACTAAAATACCAAACCTGAGATTTGTTTCAGCCACCATTGATGAAAGCAACTAAGACCACATTTAGAGAGAAGTCCACAATCAAACAGACTGCAAATAATCTACTCAAGCAAGACTCTTTTATAAGCTTCTTTTGGTCAGTGTATATGCTCGTAGTTTGTATATTTTAATCTAAATGTAACTTTTTGATATCACGCATCCTAATAGAGTCACTTTGTTTCTATAATTTCAAATACTTTAAATTTTAATTTCAATGAGAAAATACTTTTTCAATATTCATCAGGTTTCTGTTTTCATTATTCATTAAATAATAAAATGATCATCTTTATAGATGCAAACTTGCCTTTATCCAGTGCATAGGGAGGGAGCAAAGGGAAAAGGAAAGAGTATCAGAAACTGTGCAGATGTTTTCTTGACCAGAATGTTAATATGTTAGTGTTTCCAAATGCTACTTTGTCAGAAAGAAAAAAATGGCACTGTATTTCAAGAGGCTGAAACACAATATGGAGTACACAGCCAGCCAAAGGGAGAAAGTGAAGAATTATGATTAGGAGAGTTTACATAGGAGTACAAGTAGCCTGTTATGGAGAGGGATTGCATGGCTTCTGGTATTTGATTTTAGGCTGGGTTAGTTTGGGAATGAATACTAAAGGTGTGCTGGATATTTTTCAGAATTTTACCCACCACAGTAACAAAACCATATAACATTTATCAAATCCCAGTATCTGCTAACAACAGAAAACTATATCTTGTTCATGTGACCAAAATAATAGAAAGTACAGAACAACTCAGAATTGTTTAATCTATAATGAAAAAAAAAAGGCTATGGAAGGTGTTATCACGTCCAAATTGAATTTATTTTTCTCCCAAGGTGTCCTCTGTAGCTCTGATCTTTAGGATTATACTCCAAAATTGGATATGCTGGAAGAAATCTTGAGTTTTTCACTTATAAAATGATACATATTGAGTTGGCAAATTCTACTTAGTCTATCTTCTAAGTCACTGTTGATATGACCTGCCATGTTTTCAATGCCATTACTTTTGTTCAAATCCATTTCTTTTATTCTTTTTGAGATGGAGTCTTGCTCTGTCACCCAGGCTGGAGTGCAATGGCACAATCTCGGCTCACTGCAACCTCTGCCTCCCGGATTCAAGCCATTCTGCTGCCTCAACCTCCCAAGTAGCTGGGATTACAGATGCCTGCCACCACGCCCAGATAATTTTTGTATTTTTAGTAGAGATGGGGTTTTGCCATGTTGGCCAGGCTGGTCTCGAACTCCTGACCTTAGGTGATCCACCCGCCTTGCCCTCCCAAAGTGCTGGGATTACAGGCATGAGCCACTGCGCCCAGACTTCAAGTCCATTTCTTGTTGTATCCTCCCTGTCTTTTATCAATTTGTTACTCTGGCCTCATATTCATACCATGCCATGCTTATCTCCATTTCCATCTCATGTTGTCTCACAATCTCAAGCTCTCGCTCTCTGTCATTGTCTCTCTTTCTCTCTCTCTCTCTCACACATACACACACTCAAAAATATGAATCAGTAACAAGGACTCAGTTTTCTTCTTACAAGATATTAATCACTTCCTCATACCTTTCTAACATGTTTAACTTTTGTTCCAAACTATTTTTTAAATTCAAACTTACTTTCTACAATAAAAGTTATATTGAAGTTTACAGTTTGTTCAGGTTTTAGAGACATTTGCAGCCCTTTGATTACCACCACCATCAAGATAGAGATTTTTTTACATCATCCTCGTAAGTTCCCTTCTGCTCATATGTGTTCTCTCCTCCCATCATCCTGACCCTTGGTGACTACTGATTAGATTTCCATCCACATAGGTGTTTTACTTTTAATTTTCTAGGACGCCAGATAAATTGGATTGTACATGATACAGCTTTTGTGTCTTTCTTCTGTCACTTAGCTTGATGATTTTGATGTTTAGACATATCCTGTGCTTCTATCAGAGCTTCATGCTTCCTATTGTTCAGTAGTGAGTGTTCCATTGTATGAGTGGGCCATAAATTGTCTGTCTGTTCGCTACTTAATAGGAGTAGGGGTTGTTTCCACTTTTGGACAATTTTGAATAAAGCTGTTGTAAACACCTGTGTACAGATGCTTGCAAGGACATATATTTCATTCCTATAAGATAATTACCTAAAAGCCCATCAGGCTGAGTAATGTGATTAGTAAGTAGTTAGCATTGTGACGAACTGTCATAATGTTTTACACAGTCACTGGACAATTTCGTATTCTCACCAGCAATTCATGAGAGTTCTATGGCTGGACGGTATCATCACAATTTTGTGATATCTCCGCCTCATCCTCCTCTTTTTCTTTTATTGCCATTCCAGTAAGTGCATAGCAGGATCTCATTATGGTTTTTATTTGCATTTCACTAAAAAGTAATGATGTTAAACATCTTTTCATATGCTTGTTTGGCATTCATATATATTCTCTGGTAATGCATCTTTTAAGGAATTTTTCTATTTTTCAAAGTAGGTTGTCTGTCTCATTATTATTGTGTTTGAAGTGCTATTTATATTGATTTGGTTTGGCTGTGTCCCCACCCAAATTTCACCTTGAATTGTAGCTCCCATAATTCCCACATGTTGTGGGAGGGACACTGTGAGAGGTAATTAAATAATGGGGAGAGTCATTCCTGTGCTATTCTCATGAAGGTGAATGAGTCTCAGGAGATCTGATAGTTTTATAAAGGGGAGTTCCTCCAAACAAGCTCTCTTGCCTGCCACCATGTAGGATGTGACTTTGACCCTCATTTGCCTTCCACCACGATGGTGAGGACTCCCCAGCTGTTTGGAACTGTAAGTCCATTAAACCTCTTTTTCTTTATAAATTACCCAGTCTCGGGTATCTTTATGTGAGATACCCAAGACTGGGTAATTTATCTTTATGTGAGATACCCGAGACAGGGTAATTTATGCAGTGTGAGAACAGACTAATACATATAGACTCTTAATAACAGACTTATCAGATATGTATTTTGCCCATATTTTTGCCCATATTTTCATCTAATTCATGGCACATAATTTTGATTTATTTAAAATGTCCTTTGAACAGCAGATATTTTTAATTTTGATAAAAGTACAACTTATAAATTAAATTTATTTTATTATGTGTGCTTTTTTGACTGAAAATTTTTCTGCCTAACCCAAGATCATGTATATATTATTCAACATTCTCTATAGTTTCATATTTTACATTTAAGTCTCAAATTGTTTTTGCATGACTATTCAAAGATTAAAGTCTCATTTTTTCCTAAGGTCATTATTTCTCCATTTCATTGCCTTCATCCCTTTGTTGAAATTCAATTGACCGTATCTGTTTCTAGATTCAGTATTTTGTTCAATTGACTTGTCTGTCACATCATGCTAATTCTGTATTGTTTTGATTACTGTAGTCTAATAATAATTTTTGCAATTAATTAGTGTGAGTCATCCACTTTGAATAATTAGAGTACATGAGCTCACCCAGGAAATGGGGATAGAGTAGAACAAATCAATAACCCATATGGTTGGGCCGTAAGAAATACTAATACTCACCTGGTCGATTTCATGTTACCAAAGCACAGGGCTCTCTATCTGTTGTTTATTACTATGTATTCAGTATTTAGAAGATGTCCAATACAAAGGATTCTCTCATGAGATATTTCTTGGTTGTCAAAAATACAAAATCAATTGGAATTTGTTTCTGTTTCTCTGTAACTTCAGAATTTAGCAATGTTTTGAAAGAGCTGCTTCTAAGTTAATGATTAAATAAAGTTTGAAACCCAATCACAATAGACACATCTCAGGCCAGGTCTGCACTTTTCTAGCTTGTGACCCTGGATATTTTGCTAACCCTTTTTATTATTAATATTTCTCATTACAAAATGTGATGAAAGTTACACCTACTTCGCTAGTTTGTTTAAAGGATGAAATCTATTAACACATCAAAATGTTTAGAAAATTAGACTGCCACATAGTTAATACTAAGTAAATAATAGCAATTTTTATCAACATCATCATTACCATTATCATACCCTTTAGCATCCGTCAATCTTCATGTAAGGATACCCTCCTTCTGTGGAAGAAAAATGAAGAATAACGGTAATGGCAAGTGTTAGTGCTTTAATGCGGAACTGCAGATGGTCCCTGACTTAATGATATCTCAACTAACAAGTTTTCGACTTTATGATGGTGTGAAAGTGATATGCATTCAGTAGAAATTGTACTTTGAATTTTGATTTTTTCCCGGGCCAGCAATATGCGACAGGATGCCCTTACATAGCATATTCAACATTTTCTAATAAAACAGTCTTTGTGTTAAATGATTTTGCCCAACTGTTGGCAAATGTAGGTGTTCTGAACATGTGTAAGGTAGTCTAGGCTCAGCAATGATGCTCAGTAGACTACATGTATTAAACGTATTTTTGACTTACAATATTTTCAACTTACAATGGGTTTATCAGGAAGCGACCCCCTTGTAGGTCAAGAAGCATGTGTGTTTTCTTCTATGGTGCTGAGTGAGCTGCTGTTTGTTTTCTACTCTTTCTCTGAAGCAGTACCAGTGTGTCAATCTGTTTTGTTTTCTGTTCTCTTCAAGACACCACCATTGAATTTATTACTAGTACTTTCCTGCCCGAGACTTGAGCAGAAGTAGTGTACACCGATTCTCCCTACTCTTTGCAGTCCTCATGACAAGCAAATGAAGCTCACTGTCAGTAGTGATTTGGGGGCTAATTGGACAATTCATGAGTGAGTTACAAACAAAGGTAACTTAAAAAGATTATAGAGTTATATGATGCTTGTCTGCAACTTTGACTTTCCTATCAAAATAATGAATAGAAAATAATGGAAATTTCAATAATTCACTTGCATTTCTGATGGTGACAGTCACCAAACTCCCTAAAACCACACTCAACCATTTTCATGGACAAACATCACTTTTTTGTGAGATAATTTGTGATTCTAACTTCTTTCTTGTTACAGATCATATCCAGAAAGCTGAATAAAATACGTTTTTGGCCTCAATAGGCCAAGTTACATTTCTGAAGTGTTAACAAATTAGTGATACCCATTTAATGGAAATTGTTTCTCATCATTAACCAATCACTTTTGGTTACACTTCCAGGCATCAATAGGTCACAGAGGTGGAAGGCATATGTTGAAAATAATGAGAACAGGTGAGAAGAGGAGGGATTTCTGACTTTGGCATATAACTAGTTGATATGTTGAATCTGTCTTTGTCAAACTATTAGAGGACAAAATTCATTCAGTCTTATGTGGAATATCTTTCTAACAGAATACTCATTTTATGGAATAGGAAATCAATTTAAGTGTTATCACTTCCTCTCATCTAGATCATTCCACAAGCAACTTTGAAACTTTTTTATGTTCCCAAAGGCCTCAGGCAGCTTCTGCAGCAACCATTGATGAATTTTCAAATCAGAGGAAAATAAGAGATAAAGAAATCTACACATACATTTTTTTCTTGATATTGTCACAATGTGGTGAGCAAAAAGATGACTATGGAGCAGCAAAGGAATAAGAACAAGTAAATAAATGTCAGAATAATTAGGAATAAAACAGCTTAAAAGCAACCCATGGAAAAACTGGTAATTACACGTTGAATATTTAAAGGCATTTTTACATAGAAAATTATGTATTACGTTATGTAAATATATGCAAGATATTACATGGGGAAATACAGCTTCATGGGTCAATATTTTTAAAATATTTTTCTTAATGTAGTCAGTGCTAATTTATATCATTTACATGGTACATTTTCATAACAAAGTTGAGAGCTGACAATGCAGTTTTCCTTTTCTCCTATAATACAAGCAAGAAAGCTTTTAGAATTATTCTTTCCTTTTCTTTCAAGTTCTATAGAAAGTTTTACAGAACAACAAAAAGCCCTCTTAGCTACCAGCAAGACTGACTTTCCTCTGCATTTAGTTACTTTTCTCTGTCTGCATGGCAGTAATTTAGAAGTAGAAAAATATTTTTGGCTCAACACTAAGTATTACTTGGAAATGTTTACCTCATACCCATCAATCCATAAAGTACTTTGAAAAGGGATGCTTTATGTCTTAAAACAGAAGTACTATATAATAATTTGTGAAATGAAATAAATCACTGGGTGACCAGCCTTCTCTTTTGTATTCAAAGAGAACCTGAATTGCACTTCATCAGTTACGGTAGTGCAGCCACTATTCTACCTCAAGTTAAATGAGAGCTAAACTTGAATTTCTTTCCCTCAGCCTCTTGTAATGTTATCAGTAATTTGAGTGCTGCTTTAAAAACAGGAGATGTTTAAAAAGTTAGTCATAATGGAAAAAAGAATGTAGCTAGTGTTTTCAGCATTTTTATTGGTGGCCCACACTTGAATTTGACATTAAATTCTCCGTTAAGAACCTTTATAAAAATCTTTCAGTAATGGCTCTTCTATGTAGGCTTAGAAGTATTTATTCATGAAAAATATTGTAGTACAATATACAATAAGTACCTGTACCCACCATAATAGGCCACTGAGTGTCTACCCTGACATTGCTGTCTTTCGTGGTTACTCTGCTGACGTCCCAGACCTTTTTAAAACATTTTATTCCTAGGATTATTTTGAGATGTTGGAAAGCATATAATTTTCAATACGTTTAGACATTAGGACTAAAGAGAGCTTTAATTATGGTGGCAAAGCTTCTTGTTTATGTATTTATGTTAATGTGAAACTGATAAAATACATCCACACAAATATTTTAAATGTCAAAATTTTTCTAGAATATATGAAGTTAAAAGTAAACAGAAATCTATAGATCTTATTCATGTTAGCTTCAGGGAATAGATATAAATCTTACTGCCATGAGGAAACTTAAATAAAACAACTCACATTTCTGTATACCCAGAAAAAAATCTATGTTTTTAAGTCTAGTAAAAGTAATACTTAGCACAGATTATATCATATAGCAATCTAATACATAACAAATTATGTCTGATTAAGCATTTATGAAAACTACCTCCTACAGCTTTCTATAAGTTAGGATAATACTGTATGTTAAAAATCTTACTTAGAAACAATTTGTAAATTTACAGATTAAATATCCAATAAATACATGTAGAATAAAATAAGTGAAAATTATAAAATTATACGATTTTGGCTTTCATTGATAATTATATGCCATACTTATTTCCAAAGGAGGCACTTGATATTTTTTAAAATTTTATGGTGAAAAGAAAAATGTGTTCTTGTACCATTTAAGTGCATTTTATAGGAAGAAAATAAAGAACACCATGGGAGTTAACATGTGGTAATCAAATATGTTCATCCCTATTTGTAATGTTAATTTACATTTAAAAGATGGATGGGGCTGGGCGCAGTGGCTCAGGCCTGTAATCCCAGCACTTTGGGAGGCTGAGGTGGGCAGATCACAAAGTCAGGAGTACGAGACCAGCCTGACAAACATGGTGAAACCTCGTCTCTACTAAAAATACAAAAATTAGCAGGGTGTGGTGGCATGTGCCCATAATCCCAGCTACTCAGGAGGCTGAGGCAGGAGAATCACTTGAACCCAGGAGTCGGAGGTTGCAGTGAGCTGAGATCGTACCACTGTACTCCAGCCTCAGCGACAGAACGAGACTCAGTCTCAAAAAAAAAAAAAAAAAGGTGGATGACTCATTCTCTCTCTCTGTCTCCCCTTCCCTCACCACTACACACACCCACCCACCCACACACACACCCCACACACCTTCTGATTTTACAAAAAAACAGTGATGCTTAGAAAAATTTCGTGTATCTTCTACAGTTAATTACTGGGAGAGAAAGTACTAGAATCTAGGTCCCCATACCTTTCCTAGGAAAGAAGGTTATAATTTGAACTGAATTTCCACATTCCTCTAGGTAACCTTGCAAATGAATACAGCAAGGTCTCAGCCTTGTTTTCCTCTGTTCCGACAAATATTTAAGCTCCAAGCTTATGTATCCTCGCCAGGATC
Organism: Homo sapiens; assembly: GCF_000001405.40. Lineage (NCBI taxonomy): Eukaryota > Metazoa > Chordata > Mammalia > Primates > Hominidae > Homo > Homo sapiens. The sequence continues at coordinate 178,531,931 of NC_000004.12, read as the reverse complement.
TTAACCCATAGGATCTCAACCCATCCAACATTTCACCCTTTCCAACTTCCCAAACTTCTGCTTTCTGAAGTCACGCTCTGATATCAGCAAATCACCGTCGTGTTTAGCTTGGAAGAGTCCCTTACGTTTCTCATTTAACTGAACCTTGTTTTCCACAGCTTTCGTGACTGATTTTGTTGCCCCTTGCAAGAAATGTTTTTTGAATCATTTGGTTTGGTTTGCTTTTTCCTTCCAAGGTACCCTAAAGCACAGGTTTGCTGGTGGGCTAGGTATTATCTTACTCCCCCACTGTGGCTGCTGCTTCCAAATTTTATCACTTTTCCTTCAAACACCTTCTGTTGTGATCACTTAAAGTATCTTCAGGCTAATTCTACTGTATTGTAAGTTTTCAGAAACAAGCCAAATAGTTTTCCCTGCATTGCTACTAGCATTCATGCTTAATGACAGATGGATGCAAGCGATTCGCCTGAAACTCTTGCTTATGATTTGAAATTTGAAATTTTCCCCTTAGTAATCTTTGACCTCATCACCCTCTTATCTCTTAACATATAGAATCAGATCCTAGATTTTGACACCATTCATTATTTCACCATCCCCAACATTTCCATTTTAAATAGGCTACTCTGCATATTGTTCCAGTTTATTTACTTTTTCTAGTGAGACCATCTCTGGGTTTTATTTATTTGTTTGTTTGTTTGTTTTTGGGACAGAGTCTCACTCTGTCACCCAGGCGGCTGGAGGTAGAGTAGCACCATCACCACTCACCACAACCTCTGCCTCTTGGGCTTAAGTGATTTTCCCATCTCAGCTTCCCAAATAGTGAGGACTACCAGTATGAGCCTTGGCGAGCTGCCCTAGTGAGACCATCTTAATAAACATTTGATTCATTTGAGTCCTGTCTTGGCCAAAACAATTTTCTCTAACCATCTCAAAATCTTTATAGATTTACGAAGTCTTTCCTCTCTAACTACCTTATTTAAAGTAAGGTAGTCATTATCAAAGTCAAAGTCACTGTCACTATTGAGTACAATTATCCCTTGAAACTTTATTTACAATATTCTTTATTAGTAGAAAATATGTCATACAATTATTTGTCTTTTCAGTGCTGCTTCTGGTTACTTTGATGCAAGCTCTCTGAAGACAGAGATTTTTCTATCATTTCCCATTCCATCTCCAGGGTTTGGCAAACAGTAGGCTATGTATTATTTATTCAATTATATATATAATTAAATAAATGAATGAATGATCCAGTTGTCATTTCCACTCTACTGTATGTATTAAGATTTTGATTCTATTCTACATTTATATTTTAGTTATACTTAAAACCATACATTACTGTTTTAATTATGGCTTAGTATATTACACATACATAATTATTTTGGAACAATATGTAGTTTATTTTGCTCTTAAACTTGATATTTTGTAATAATGATTTCCTTAATTACTATTTATCAACAATACTCATGTAAGCTAAAGATATTATAAGCATAGAAGCTAATATTGAAATTAAACATTATTCTTTGAAATTGCATCATATTCTCTTTAATAAATTTTGCTAATGCAAATTACGTACTCTGAAAAATTAAACACAATTTAATCTTGTCAGGCTAAGTAAGGGACTAATAAATGTGGTATGTAGCATTTATTTTTATGACCTCATTGCTTATTCTGAAGTATACATTTATACATATTTCTTTATAGGGTTACATATGCAATGTTACACAGGGTAAACTTAATGGGTGATTCAAGTGATTTTTAAAGTTTTTCTTTTTTTTTTAATCTAAGTGAATTTCACTTACTGCACAAGTTTCCTGTAAATGTAGACTCCATATACATGCAATTCTATTTTTTCTGAATTATAATAATTATGAGGCCAAGGATTTGGCAAAGCTTAAAGACAGATTGCTGTTTGCCTTATAAATTCAAATTTCCTTGAAGTAAAATGTGCTTGCTTTAGATGAAAAATAAAGACATAGCCCAAACTATTTGGATAGGATAATGTTGTACAGGTACCAGAAATTATTAAATAATAACTCTTGGAGTTACATTTATAATAATATTGTACATAAATACAACCAGTTTAGTGAGGTTATTTATATGGAGAACATTTATTCCATTTCAAATCTTTCCTATATCCTACAATAGTGAATGTAGTTGTATAGATGTTATTATCCAGGAAACATTGTTCATAGTTTCTATGCTGTCGTCATATTCTTTAGGTAACTCTCCTTATTTATCATCATAGTGTCTCCTACTCTTTTATATACTCTTTAATTCCTGTAGATAATATCAACTGTATCTACTTTCATATTGAGAACAAGTTAATTGTCTTTTCCTGTACTCCTCTGCTAGCCCATGTTCTATGGCACGATACATTTCACAACCAAATATTTACTTCAGGTATTTAATCTAATCAAGACAAAAGAGTTTAATTTCTAAGTGAATTCTGCCAACCTCCTAGACTTCCTCAGTAATCCTCTTCCATTATTTCAAAACTATAGTAATAGGCTATAATGATATGTACTAGAAGTTGAAATGAAATAACAGGAATAATCATAACAAAATTTATTTAATTTTTTTGTATTGCTGAATTTGTTCCAGGTAAGTTGTTTCTATCAGCTTATTTAATATTATCTAATAGCACTGGTTAAAATATAATTTAAATTATCTAGAAAGAATGTCCAGTCACAGAGAAAGTCTAGCTCCACACATCTCGTAATGCTTATGCTATACTGCCCCTTTCCATGTAGAAGCAGTGAGCTTGATTTAGTGGTACATTGGTACGGTGTTACAGTGAGAGTTAAGGGATGGTGCAATATTATTGATGCCTTTAATGGGGAGATAAAATGAAAGAAAGTAAAACTGTGGATAAATAAGACACAGAATGTAAAAAATGGGAAATTAGTAGAAATTATGTGCATATGAAATAATCCAGGTTTAATGTTTTTCTTTTAACACGTAACTTAAGCATTCGTTGAGTATTTGTAAAATATTCCAAAAAGTAAATACCTGGAGAAATAGTTATACTGTTTATAATTCCTATAGCACCTGCTTTTTAAAATCACAGAACACATTATTTTAAATAAAATATACATTAAAAGCAATAACATTCTCAATAAATAATGCCCATTATATTCCTGCAGTATGAAAAAATTTTTTTATCAATAGCTGCCTTCTTTTCAATCAGGAGCCCAAAACACAAGTTTTTATTCTACATTGTTATTTTATTTTGCTTTATTTTATTTTATTTTTTACTGTACTGCAAATATACATGGAGACACACAACTGCACACACACACACACACAGACACACACGCACACAAAAAAACTCAACTCAGTGACTTATGTCAATTGTCTTTGTACTATGTAGAACAGATTTGTAGTTGAAAGAACCCAATCCTGATGGCATCGTTTCATATTAAGTCCCTGTCACATTATATTGCAATAGATCTATTGACATGTTAATCCCCCACACTGAGTTTTTGAAAACAAGAGGAACGAAAAAAATAAATTTACCAGTAGCCACATTAGTATTATAATGACAACAAATATTTCATTTTATTTTCTTCTGCATAAGCTCATCCAATTTTAACTTTACATGGTTTCCTGAGTTAAGAACTAACCATCCTAGTTTTAGTCAATATACCACATTCTAGTGTTCTACCTAAAAAATTTCACCATAATATTCCCTCCCCCAGTTGAGAGCTCACATGTGAAACATACTCATCCCCAAGAAGCCTGTCTATTCATCTCTTGAGAGGTAATAGCTTCCATGTTGAATTTTCAAGAAATGCTCATAGAGGCACTCTCCGAGTGACTTGGCATCTATTTCTCATGGTCATTTCAGTTATACAGCAGGTTACCCTAGCAAAACAACAGAGTTACACAGGCTCTTCTCTCAGTTATTTTAACTTGGTATATAGTGCAGTACTCACAAAAAGGTATCAATAATTTTAATGATAATGACAACCTGTATTGTTTTTCTAAGCACAAATCGAGTATTTGGGAGTTGAGTATGATAACTTTTTTGCCTCTTCCATTCTTCCCCATGCAGTGTTACATTTAAACTCAGTGACTATTTTGTAATTTGGTAAATAAAATTGCTCTGAGCTTTAATTCTCTTGTTCAGTATCTATTGATTTTATATTTGTTTGTTTTGAGATGAAACACAACCAGAGGACAGATGACTTTCCTTAGAAGCCTTTGAGATGAAGTATTATTATTTTTAAATATGTAAATGATTTTCAACTTGTCTTGGTTTGCAAATGTTTATAAAATATTATTTTATACAGCAGTGCACACTTGAGACTTTTCAGCTTCACAAAGGATCAATAATCCAAATTTGTTTTCATTATCAACTCTCAAAAGAAATAAATGTCATCAATGTACTTAACATTAAAAATTACCCAATCCTAACTGTCTTTTAAGTGAAATCAGAGCGTATGGTAAATCCTACCTCCTATTTTTTCTGCTGTATATTTAAAATGTTTGTAAATTAAAAGAATTATCTAAGAAATGTTTTAATCAATGTTTCTGCATTATATTTTGTTTAAATAATATTTGTTGAGGCAAAAACAGTTAGTGTTAAAATGCATTAATAGAATCTAACACTTAAATACATTAATTCAAAAGTACCACAGATGATAAATACTAGTTTGTGCATATGTCAAGGGACGTTGAAAGTTAACGAATTAAAATATAAATAGGAAGAAAGGATATAAATTTCAAGATATTTATTTCTATGGTAATAAATTAAAAGGCAGAAAGTGAAATTTTATCTCAATATGACATATTATTTAATTTTCAATATGGTTGTCATCTTTTGAAGTGCTATTGATTATAGATTTGTTAAATTCAGCATTGTTGTTTAGTATGTGTATTTCCACAACTCAGTGTGTTTTTTAAAATGATTTTTTTCTTCACTTTCTCTTTCAGAACCACAAGAAATATATCTGAAATGCAATTCAAGGCTAATGTAACAACAAGGTTACAAATCTGAGCATATATGTCAGAACAGAAAAGTTACAGTTCTCATGGTAACATTATATCATCAGCATTATACTGCCTGCACAATAAAATACGTATTTAGAAACCTAACTGGTAATTTAAAATACCACATGTTATATATATTAAATGAGGATAAGTTAACATTCCTAGGAGAGCCTTAGTTTACCAAGTTTTGTTTATGCATGTCTTAAATTAATAACATTTTACTATTAGAAGTTTCCAATCTACAGTTATAGTCACCCAATTCTTTTTCCCCTTCCTATCTGTTCATGGATTCACTACTGTAAAACTGAGTACAAAGGATTGGGAATGTGTTGAGATGATTGGTTTTATACATTATAATATGAGCCTCAGCATTTTTCTAGGATATTGTTCTACTATTACCATATTTTATGATAGTATGGTAACTCTACATCTGTTAAAACAACAACAAATTAGATGGGAAGCCATACCACTAGTGTATCAAGATGTAAAGCTTCCATTCTTGCATTCTAAGTAAAACATTTATGAACTTATTTAAATAATAATGAGGTGGAATCCTCACAGTGCCATTATTTAAGAATTGTTCCACATACCTAATACTAGAGGGACTCCTCATTTTAGGAGACCTAAGTTTCCAGCTGAGAACCAGATTCTATGTCACACAGACCAATCTGGTTATTCAACTGCAGGAACACATTGACATAGATGCAGCTAGCTTTTGATTTATAAAAGTGTTTGTTACACAAAACCTTTTGATACACAACCTTACATGCAAGTAGGTATATAAACATATACATATATACTATACAATTAATATTTCAATACTTAGGTGATTTTTCCAAATCTCATGATATCAGAATTAATTTATGATATCATTTCTAACATACAGGTAATATATTTATAGTCTCACTCACATAAATCTGCATATGTAAGCTAAATTAAATTTGTAGAGAAATGTTTATTTTTGGAAAGCTTTGACTTAGAAATGCTTTGATTTTTAGGTTCTGAAGATGTTTTGAGTGCTCAATGAGGTGCATGATATTGGAGATAATAAAAGTCACATTTTTTATGGGATTAGGATTGAAACTCTTGGCTATTTTATTTTCTGGCCAACTTCAGTTATAGCCAACATAAATATGCCTACTGTTTTGTGTTCCTTGTTTTCCTTCTCTACAATGAATGATCAGGGCATAAAAGGTTATATGTATTCACTTAAAAATATAATGCATGCCATATGATTGGAGAAGGCCAAAAAATAGGATGCTCTTTTCATATGTCTCAGTTGCATTTTTTGGAAATACTCAATTATGCAAGAGCTGCCAGGTGTGGTGGCTCCCACCTGTAATGTCAACACTTTTGAAGTCTGTGACAAGAGGACCACTTCAGCCCATGAATTCAAGGCTGCAGTGAGCTATAATAGAGACACTGCACTCCAGCCAGGGTGACCTACTGAGACCCTGATTCAAGGCTGCTGTGAGCTATGATAGAGACACTGCATTCCAGTCAGGGTGATAGAGTGAGACCCTGTTTCTAAAAATGTGTGCATATATATATATTATATATATATTATATATATATATTATATATATAATATATATACACACACACACACACACACACACACTTGTGTGTATGTACATACACACACAAATGAGCATTTATTAAATACCGTTGCTGTCTTTGAACATTACTCATGATTCTGAGTGAGGACAGAAATACAAAAGAAACAATCAGTCTTTAGATGATATTTTATTTGGAAATTAAATTGTATAAACTACTGATTGAAAGTTAAATAAATTAGCAAAAACCAAACTGGCTCTTTCTTCTTCAAAAAAATTTAGAACCATAAATATCCCAGTGTCTGTGAAGCATTGGTGCAGTGTCAGCATGTCGTAAGTTACTGAAAAGCCATGTACCCCATGTGTACTTAGTAAATCCTGCTGTGTGAAAGTATTTTCTATAAAGATAATTAAGTACTGTTGTAATATTTGACACACTGCTGTATAAATGGATCGATGTGTAAAACGATAACCTTTAAAATGTTCAAAACTTGATAAAGATCTTTAACTATAATTATCTATACCATTGAACTTCTTAGATATTAAGTTTTGATGCCACCATGAAAACATTAGTGTAAAAGAGGCTTCTATGGCAACTATGCTCACAGTCATTTTAGATGGAGTATTAGTTTATTGATGCTGCTGTAATAAGTTACCACACATTTAGTGGTTTAAAACAATGAAAACGTATTACAATTTTAAAAATTGTCAGAAATCTCTAATAGGTTGGCAAGGCTGAGTTCCTTCTGAAAGTTCCATAGGACTATCTTCTTCCCTTCCTTTTCCAGCTTCTAGAGGTTTCCTGCATTCCTTGGCTGCGGGTCCCTTTCTCCATCCTAAAGGCTAGCAGTTGTGGCATCATCATATCTGACTGTCTTTTTCTGTGACCTGTTCCCATCTTCCAGTCTCCTTCTCTCCATCTGCTTCCATCATCAAGTTGCCTTTTTTGACTCTCACTCTCTTGCCTCCCTCTCAGAAGGATACTTGTGATTACACAGAATTTACCCAGATAATCTAGAATAATATTCCCTTCTCATAATCCTTCATATACTGGCAAAGCAAAATAGCGTATTCACGGGACCCGGGGATTATATTGGGTAATGTATTCACATATTCTGGGAATTAGGATGTGGGTATTTTTGGGGAACTACTAATTCAGCCTACTACAGATAGTAAATAATGTTCAAAAATAAAGCTCAAAAAGAAGGGCAGAGGAGATGGATTAATATTGGGTGTCTATTTGGTGGAATTCTTCATCTTACGAATGGTATTCTTATTTCTAAATTGAAAATTCTGAATTACAGAATTAGAAATTAGGTACATTGAAGAAGTTCCTCAATCTTGGCAAAACCATGTAAATCTAAGAGGATTAACTGAGAAGAAATTATGACTTACTGTGAATATCATTAAAATACAAAATTAATGTTTTTGGAAGTCTCATAATTTTGGCTGTCTCCTCACAGAACTAAATGATTATTTTCAAAAGAAAAAATATAAAATAATGATTCTCATTTGAATATAAAATGAACATGTATTAAAGATTTGAATTAACTCATTATTAATGAGGAAACTGGAAGATTGTTGTCCAACTCAATTGAGAACTCAAAGAACCACAAATTTATATGAAGTAAAAGAACATTAAATAAATTATAAATGAGCGTGGAACTAGTTTTGTAAACTGAATAGGAGGACGTCAATTGAACCTTCACTAGAAAGAATATGTTTGCCTATCTATAAACAATAATTATGTGCATTGCTCTTAGTTACAATTTACAGAACTGTTAAAATAGCTCAAAGCCAATAAAAATTGAGAATCAGATATTTTGGATGGGTGTGCTTTAAGCAATAAATGGTTTTTCATTATAGACAATGTATTCTTTTATTTCTTATTTTTTCTGTATTCCAAATTTCCTTATCAAACCAAAGTTCATTTTACCTCTTTTTGTAGACTCGTGTATAGTAAAACTCTGTTATCAGCATCTAATTTCTTCTTTACTCCTAGCATCATCAAAATTGATACGGGGCATTATTATTATTTTTTGGTAGACAACTGCTTAGTTAAACAGAATTGGTAAACTCATACTTCTGTTAAAAAGAAAATTTGTTTTATTTTATTTATTTATTAATTATTAATTAAGAATTATTAATTCTTAATAAATAATTAAATTATTTATTAAGAATTTTGGCAATTGCTTAGCTTGGCTTGTCTGTTTTGGCCATAAAAATAGTTTAGGGAATAAATAATAAATAATAATAATTTGCTTCCCTATTTTTGTGTAGGGAAACGAATCATTCTAATGAAGACATGTTCCAATAATGCTCATACTTTAATAAATATGATAATGACAAGCATACTTCTCCCTCAGTTTCCAGAAGAAAGAATATGTCTCTGGGCCTCTCAGGAGAGGCAATGAGAGGTGAGACTATGTCTGTACTCTTCGCTGCTAGAACCCACACATCGAGAAACCGTTGTTGAAGCTGCTCAACAAATATTTGTTGAATGGAGAAAATTTCTGGACACTGGTATTTTATTTTAAGAAATCTATATCAATGTCACTTTGGATTGTTCAAAACTAATTTAGGATTCTTTAAGATGGAATCATAACAACATATTCCACTGTAGACTGTAATTTGGGTTTTACACAGTTTTAAGCGGTTTATTAGTTTACTATTGCTGTATATAAAACAAATTACCACAAATTTAGCAGTTTAAAACAACAGCTGCTTATTGGCTCATAGTTTTGGAGGTCGGAAATTTGGAAAGTTGATGTGTTTTCTGCTCATGTACTCACAAGGTTGAAATCGGGTGTTGACCTGCTGCATTCCCAGTGGCAGCACAAGGTCCTCTTCCGAGCGGATTCAGATTGGTGAAAGAATACAGTTCCTCTCCGGCCACTGGCTGCAGGTCACTCTCAATGGCCTCACATGGCCTCCCACATCTTCAAACCAGCCTTGGAAACTCTCTGGGGCTTCAAGTCTTCTCAGGGTTTGTATCTCTTTCACCAGCAAGAATCAACGTGCTTCTTATTTCAAAGGCCTAACTTGATCAGATCAACACACCAGGGTAATCTCCATTTCTTAAAGTCTCCTGCGCTGTATAATAGAACTTAGTTATGCAGTGGGAGCGGCTACCGCGTCATACTTACAGTTCATACCCACAGTCAAGGAGAGTTGATTATACAGAGCATATACACCAGAGGGTGGGAATCTTGAGGGATATCTTTAAACCTTCTTGTTGCTAGTAGCTTAATACATTTCAAACATCTGAAACAGTTTTTATAATTTTGTTAATTATTATCATCCATTGCTGTGGAAGGTATTTTTGCATGATCACTTTTTTTTTTCAAATGTCATAGGAAATGTAGTAATCCGTCCTGGATGAGATTAGAGACTATTATTCTAAGTGAAGTAACTAAGGAATGGAAAACCAAACATCGTATATTCTCACTGATATGTGGGATCTAAGCTATGAGGATGCAAAGACAGAAAAATTATACAATGGACTTTCGGGACTTGGGGGGAAGTGCGGGAGGGAGGCAAGGGATAAAAGACTACAAATGGGGTGCAGTGTATACTGCTCGGGTGATGAGTGCACCAAAATCTCACAATCACCACTAAAGAACTTACTCGTGTAACCAAATACCACCAGTACCCCAATAACCTATGGAAAAATAAAAATTTAAATTTAAAAATTTAAAAATGAAATGTATTTCTGACTTCAGCAAAAAAAGAGACTGCTTTAGAAACAATAGTCAGAAAACATAATTTCTTCATTTATTTCCAACCTCAATTTTTAAAAATCTCAATTTGAGGGAATTGAAATATTGCTTGACAGAATTTTTTACATCGTTCGTAGTACCTTATAACTAAAAAGATTTTTGTAATTACATTTCTCTTTTAAATGTGTGCATCTGATCCAAGCTCACCTCCTCACTTATTTTTTGTCAGTTTCCTCATGTGTAAAAGAGAATACTAAACTGTATGATATCATAATTATATGTACATACTGGTAGCCAAATGAGACAGTGCTCATGCACAAACCATAAGAATCTTGCCTTGCTTTTCAAACACTTGTGAATATCTTATTGTGAAATGGCACAATACATAGCTTTTCTGAATATTTAAGCTACTATATTTCTTCATCCCCCAATCTATCATCAAGGGTATAATTTTTAATTCTAATTAAAATGTAAATTTAATTGGTAACAGAGTGAAGAAAATCCACTCTAAAGTAATGCTTCATCAATTGGCAAAATATGTCAAGCAGTATAATTTTCAAACCATGATTGCAAAATTATATTATTGAAGTCTGGGAACAAGTAAAATATAGTTTCTGTAAGATGCATAGGAACTATAATTGTAAATGTTAATTCATCGGCAAACTGACTCGAGAATTTGTAAATGAAACACAGGGATGTTTAGGGGATTTGACAGTGTAATATCGTCGTTTACATATCTTTGTTGTTAATGTGGGAAATATTGAAATATCTTGACAGGTCGAATATGGTATAATGTAAGATAAGGACACTGATGGAGAACAGGAGGGAATTGTCTGTCTTCTGGACTCTTATTGCAACAGCGTTTGGAATCCTATCTATTTTTGCCAACTGTCAGTTCTGTGCCTCAAACGCTTAGAAAAAGTCACACTATATTATCTTTAAATATCAGCCATCTTAGGTGACTGTTATCTTTAAATACTTCCTTTTCTTAGGTCATATAGGCACTTTTGGTTAACATTTTATATTTTGATACAGCTTTATTTTGGCATTTAGCATGGTTCAAAAATTACACAGGTGTCAAAGCAATGAATTTCTGGAGGCTATTTTTTTTCCTTTTCTTTTTTTTAAGAGCCTGGGTATTGTTAACATCAACAGGAAAAAGAATTACAGTGAAGCATAAACTGGAAGTGCAGTTTTTGTTCTTTATAGATGGCTGGCGGTAGTTCTCTTAATTTACTATTGTAATAAAACAGAAATGACAGTGCTTTTCCTAAAAAGGGAAAACATATTTTCTAATAGTGGATAGGCCAAAGTGGTAATATTTTTAATCACAAATCCCACTTAAACAGCATGATCCCAGATAAATGTATTGGAGTATTTTACTGTGTGAGTTATTGTCTAAGCTCTCAGTTGCCTACTGTAGTGAGAGCAGATGGTTTGAGTTTATATCTTTTATGCTTCTCGGTTATTGATGGGGATTATATGAGAAGATAATTGGCAGGGTTTTGCACATAATTGATATAAAATGCTGTTTAGGATCTTCTCTGATTGGTCAAGTTTCTAGGACATCTAGGAAAACAGTCTTCTGGACTACATATTAAAAGATATAACTTTCAATCATTTGCATGCTAGCAGCAAAGTGTTGTAATGCTTTATAATTCTTTGTGCATTTCAAAAAAAATAGGCTTGGTCTTGTAAAAAATGTTGAATCAGAGCTGAAAAACCACTGATTTAAAAAATAAGTGTATTTCCTTTGGGTTTTCCTACACAGAAGTGTAGGAAAATAGGTGAAAATATAAATCCAACTGAAAGAGAAAGAAAGAAAGTCGTATATTTTAAAGCTATGTTTGTGGCACCCTGAAATACCTTTCTTTAACACAGGATATTATAATGATTTCACATATATCATCATCTATCTTGAGGCTTGGAAAACACTGGTAGAAATTTGAATAATGACAGTCCTCATAACAACAACCAGAATTGACATTGCAACACTTCATTAAATAGGTGAAATGTGTATTTGGTTATCTCCTCTTTTCCATGGTGTCTGCTAATTCCCTCAATTACTCAACCCAAGAGTACTCTACACACAACACACTGTTATCATCCTATCTCACAAATTTCAAAATTCTATATGACACCTGACTGGGAATTTTTTCTCTCTTATTTTTCTGCCTATTTTCTAATACCATGTTAGATTTAGTAGCATCAAATAAAAGGGGTGTTGACTCTAGACAGATATTTGACAGATTTTAAATGTGCAGGTTTCAGGAAATTCAAATACACATACACACACACATACACAAGCAGATAAGTGGATAGATATTCCGATCCCAATGGCACAATTTCTTAAAACGAATATGCTTGATTAATTTTGAAGGGCCAGAAAATTAAATTCAGAAAGATTAATAGAAATAAATATGTGTTCACTAAACAAGTCATGACAGGCTGACTTAACGTTCAATTACTATGATTACTATAATAGTGTAGGTCAACTTTAGCCAAATTTTTTAAATGCCTTATAATACCATTATAGCTAATACTGAAAAATTCTGACATATATATGTTCTAGCTAGGAATATTTATGCCTTTCATCAATCATACTCAAAACATGATGATTCTTAATGTGTCAATTAGCAGCAGATCACAGCATTTTACCTTTGAAGATGCATTACCAAAATGCATATTAATTACTTGTACTCTTATTGTAAACATTTTCTGCTTTTTCCAGAAATATGTAGTTATTCTTCCTTTTCTTCCATGTTCATTCTCTAATTTCCCTATTTTATTTCCTGTGGCCGAGCCTTGTTTAAAGCAAATAAGTTAGCTAGATTTAAAAAATTATATTATCCATAGGTTACTTTCAATATCTCTTCTTCCTTTAGGTTCCAAAGGTCTCTGAAGAATTTAGGCTTCCTTTATCTACTTTTAAAAATTATTTATAGCTCTTCAACTCCTTTCAGTGTGTCTCCAACCAGAATCTCTACAGTGCAATATTCTTAATGTCTAGTATTAAATAAAAAATCCTTGGACACACAAAGAAGTGGAAAAATGTCACACAAAGTCTAAAAAACATGTAGCTAGTGAAATTAAAGCAAATAATCTGGATGGTAGTCTAACAGAAAATAATTTTCTCTGTATGCACTGATGTAATAAAATAATAAGGCAACATAAAAATACAGTTCTCATTTTGTGGATGCTCCAGGTTAGACAGCTCCACTGGGAAACTCCCTTCTAGGATGTTATCCAGTGATCGCAGGTCCTTTCATTTTTCTTTAGCACCTTTACCAGAAACTAGAAAAATGAAACAGTGAAGATAATGTGTGGAAGTCAGATACTGACTTTTTTCATTTCCATAAAACTCTCAATTATCCGGAAATCAGTAACACGACTAAATATAACTACCAGGAAGCTGGAAAATGTCTGCTGGTGGAGTGTTTGGGAAGAATAGAAATAAGCTTTCTGAGCATCCAGGTAATTCCTCGGATACTCTTCAGCCTCTCCTATGGATCCTTCTCTTTTTATTAAATACACAATAAAAGTTTTTCTGAGTTCATCTTCACAGTCTTCTCTTTTTTACACTCTTTCTTAGAAAGCTCATTCCTACTTATATCTTCAAATAGCACATCTATGCAGATAATGTAGATATGTTTAAAATTTACACTGGATAATTTTGAACATACCTGGAAGAACAGAAAGTAGTATAGTTTGCTTATTTTAACAGGACAAAATTAATCAGTTCACAAAATCTTGTGCAGATAACTTACAAATCATATGCATTGATGAGTATGATTTCTCTCAAAGCAGAAATCCCTCCATTCTCTTCTGTCTACTTTTGAGCCCTGTCCGATCTTTTCTCCATTTTCTGCCTGATCTTTTCTTCAACTATATGTTTCACCTCTTTGCCTGGAAACCTTGCAGGGAACTCAAGCTCAGTGTGTTCAGAATTAAACTCCACTCTTCCACAAACCTGTTCCCTGCACTTCGCTTCATAAACAAACTAATGACAAACTCCTCTAATTCAAACTAAAAATATAAACTTATATCCACTCTTTTCTTCTCTATTGTTCACTAAAATTAAAGTCATTATAATGCCAAATTGAATATGGTATCTTAAGGTTTACTTATAAATTTTACTTCCACACCTTTTAGTGTAGTGATGCTTACAACTTATTTTTAAAAATTTAGAATTGTGAATTTATTTGTGAAATCCTAAATGCTTACATATATGTTGAAAAGAAAATTAGGTGTTAAAATTAATGTTTTTACATGAAATTTTTAATTGATTACAAATCAGTTGTAATTGAAGGGTACTGCCTGATTGTCATTCAAGATACAGTTCCATTTTCAAATAAAGGAAATAATTAAATTGAACTCTGTATTCTTTACCTATGATGGAAAGGAAGTTGACAGGGTGAAGTGGGGCTAGGAAAGGGTCACCAAAAGCCAACAAAGCTAGAAAATAAAGTAGTAGCATAAGGAGTTCCAGAAGAAGCCCACATTATTTAACACGGCAAGAGAAGACAGGCATTTGTGATCGTTCTTTTTAAATATCTAAGAGCTGTGCTTTGCCAAAAAGAATATGTTTATTATGTGTAACAGAAAGCAGAACTAGAATATATGGTTATAAAATACTAGGAAGTTATAGTTTAGTCTGCTTTAACAAAGAATTTTCCAACAGAGGCATTTATAAATGAAATGCTGTTTTTACATTCTTCATCTGCAACTGAAACAATTCCCAGTACAGAAAGTGAATTAGAATAATTTATAAAGTCTCCTCTAAACTACAGTTCTATAATTATGTACATCTATACCAATTTAATAATGGATAAAGTGTATAAAGAAGTATTTGAAAATAAATACAGTTACTGTTTCACATTAGTGACTAGAAGGGCCCTAGGAACCCACATTACTAGGTGTTTAGCATGTAACTCTGTCTTCAGTGGAGGATGCATAGAGGAATTAGTACATTTCTGATAATTTGAGGACATTGTCTTATGTATTCCAATTTTCAGTAGGAGAACACTAAAGTAATAGTGGGAAACTAATATATAGATTCTTAGGAAGAGAATTTAATGCATTTTAATTCTAGGACTGATTGAAAGAAACCAGATCTGTAAAAGGACACATTTGCCCTACTCGAAGATATAGTTAAGTAATCTTTATTCAGGAAGAGTATTTTAACGGTGTAGGACTTTATCTGAGAAACACATGTTATTTTATATATGTTCTGTGAACAAGTGTTTAAAATAGAGAGTTTTACTATTTCACATTTTACACATGTGTAAGAATATAACATTGATCATTCTTGGCTATTTTCTACAAAACTCATTTTATACGATATCTGCTGATGAAAATATCTATCAATATTAATATGGACATTTCAAGTAACTTCTTCTAGATAACAATCATTAGATTCATTGCATAAAATTATCCTAGGAAATATTCTGTACTGTCTCAATCTGAGAAACTAAAACGTAATATGTATTTTGGAAAATTTTAAATTGATGCTTTAAAGACTTGAGGAATATATCCAGTTTACTTGTAAGTTGATGTTAGATATAGATTAACATTACTGCTGAAAATTAATTTATTCCTATTATGCATAGTAAATCCATTAAATATATGCAAATTTATAACTATTTGTATCATTAAATTTTACTATACAATTTTGAGATTTACTATCCTGTGTATAAGGTAAAATCATAGGTAATAATATCTTATATAATGAATTTTCAATACATTAGTTATCTATAGTCTTAGATAAGTGCACGAGGATTTCAACTTATACCAGAGTTTAAATTAATGGTAGTATAATTTATATTTCCAGAATAGTGCTTAAATTGTTCTTTAAAAGAAAAAAATATGTTTCCCAAATAACACATTTAATTAAAAAAATTTAATTTATGAATATCAATTGTAATGTTGCCATATAGTTTATATGTGAAAAATATATATCTATATTTTATATTTGCAAGTTTTCTCTATTAATCTATTTTTCTCATCTTTTATTTTAATGTCAGCATTTTTATTATTTCAATGTAATTTTCAAAACTATACCCCAAATTGTATACATCCACAGTTCATGTGTGTACATATAAGTGTGTATGTTTATGTAACCATATATACATATGAATATACACTAGCATAAAATGTAATTTCAAGATAATTATTAAAATGGAAGTGAAAAACATAACTAGCAAGGCAGGCTAACATTCAAATTCAGGAACTACAGAGAACGCCACAAAGATATTCCTCGAGAAGAGCAACTCCAAGACACATAATTGTCAGTTTCACCAAAGTTGAAATGAAGGAAAAAATGTTAAGGGCAGCCAGAGAGAAAGTCGGGTTACCCACAAAGGGAAGCCCACCAGACTAACAGCAGATCTCTCTGCAGAAACTGTACAAGCCAGAAGAGAGTCGTGGCCAATATTCAACATTCTTAAAGAAAAGAATTTTCAAACCAGAATTTCATAACCAGCCAAACTAAGCTTCATAAGTGAAGGAGAAAAAAAATCCTTTACAGACAAGCAAATGCTGAGAGATTTTCTCAACACCAGGCCTGCCCTACAAGAGCTCCTGAAGGAAGCACTGAACATGGAAAGGAACAACCGGTACCAGCCACTGCAAAAACATGCCAAATTGTAAAGACCATCGATGCTAGGAAGAAACTGCATCAACTAACAAGCAAAATAACCAGCTAACATCATAATGACAGGATCAAATTCACACATAACAATATTAACCTTAAATGTGAATGGGCTAAATGCTCCAATTAAAAGACACAGACTGGCAAATTGGATAAAGAGTCAAGACCCATCAGCGTGCTGTATTCAGGAAACCCATGTCACGTGCAGAGACAAACATAGGCTCAAAATAAAGGGATGGAGGAAGATCTACCAAGCAAATGGAAAACAAAAAAAAAGGCAGGGGTTACAATCCTAGTCACTGATAAAACGGATTTTAAACGAACAAAGATCAAAAGAGACAAAGAAGGCCATTACATAATGGTAAAGGGATCAATTCAACAAGAAGAGCTAACTACCCTAAATCTACATGCACCCAATACAGGAGCACCCAGATTCATAAAGCAAGTCCTTAGAGACTTACAAAGAGACTTAGACTCCCACACAATAATAATGGGAAACTTTACACCCCACTGTCAACACTGGACAGATCAATGAGACAGAAAGTTAACAAGGATATCCAGGAATTGAACTCAGCTCTGCAGCAAGCGGACCTAATAGACATCTACAGAACTCTCCACCCCAAATCAACAAAATATACATTCTTCTCAGCACTACACCACACTTATTCCAAAATTGACCACATAGTTGGAAGTAAAGCACTCCTCAGCAAATGTACAAGAACAGAAATTATAACAAACTGTCTCTCAGACCATAGTGCAATCAAACTAGAACTCAGGATTAAGAAACTCCCTCAAAACCACTCAACTACATGGAAACTGAACAACCTGCTCCTGAATGACTACTGGGTACATAACGAAATGAAGGCAGAAATAAAGGTGTTTTTTGAAACCAACGAGAACAAAGACACAACATACCAGAATCTCTGGGACCCATTCAAAGCAGTGTGTAGAGGGAAATTGATAGCACTAAATGCCCACAAGAGAAAGCAGGAAAGATCTAAAGTTGACACCCTAGAATCACAATTAAAAGAACTAGAGAAGGCAATAGCAAACACATTCAAAAGCTAGTAGAAGGCAAGAAATAACTAAGATTAGGCCAGAACTGAAGCAGAAAGAGACACAAAAAAACCCTTTAAAACATCAAGGAATCCAGGAGCTGGTTTTTTGAAAAGATCAACAAAATTGATAGACCACTAGCAAGACTAATAAGGAAGAAAAGAGAGAAGAATCAAATAGACGCAATAAAAAATGATAAAGGAGATATCACCACTGATCCCACAGAAATACAAACTACCATCAGAGAATATTATAAACACCTCTATTCAAATAAACTAGAAAATCAAGAGTAAATGGATAAATTCCTCAACACATACACCCTCCCAAGACTAAACCAGGAAGAAGTTAAGTCTCTGAATAGACCAATTACAGGCTCTGAAATTGAGGCAATAATTAATAGCTTACCAACCAAAAAAAGTCCAGGACCAGATGGATTCACAGCCCAATTCTACCAGAGGTAGAAGGAGGAGCTGGTACCATTCCTTCTGAAACTATTCCAATCAATAGAAAAAGAGGGAATCCTCCCTAACTCATTTTATGAGGCCAGCATCATCCTGATACCAAAGCCTGGCAGAGACACAACCAAAAAAGAGAATTTTAGACCAATATCCCTGCTGAATATCGATACAAAAATTCCCAATAAAATACTGGCAAACCGAATCTAGCAGCACATCAAAAAGCTTATCCACCATAATCAAGTGGGCTTCATCCCTGGGATGCAAGGCTCGTTCAACATATGCAAATCAATAAATGTAATCCAGCATATAAACAGAACCAAAGACAAAAACCACGTGATTATCTCAATAGATGCAGAAAAGGCCTTTGACAAAATTCAACAACCCTTCATGCTAAAAACTCTCAATAAATTAGGTATTGATGGGACGTATCTCAAAATAATAAGAGCTATCTATGACAAACCCACAGCCAATATCATACTGAATGGGCAAAAACTGGAAGCATTCCCTTTGAAAACTGGCACAAGACAGGGACGCCCTCTCTTACCACTCCTATTCAACATAGTGTTGGAAGTTCTGGCCAGGGCAATCAGGCAGGAGAAGGAAATAAAGGGTATTCAATTAGGAAAGAGGAAGTCAAATTGTCCCTGTTTGCAGACGACATGATTGTATATCTAGAAAACCCCATTGTCTCAGCCCAAAATCTCCTTAAGCTGATAAGCAACTTCAGCAAAGTCTCAGGATACAAAACCAATGTGCAGAAATCACAAGCATTCTTATACACCAATAACAGACAAACAGAGAGCCAAATCATGAGTGAACTCCCATTCACAGTTGCTCCAAAGAGAATAGAATACCTAGGAATCCAACTTACAAAGGATGTGAAGGACCTCTTCAAGGAGAATTACAAACCACTGCTCAACGAAATAAAAGAGGATACAAACAAATGGAAGAACATTCCATGCTCATGGATAGGAAGAATCAATATCATGAAAATGGCCATACTGCCCAAGGTAATTTACAGTTTCAATGCCATCCCCATCAAGCTACCAATGACTTTCTTCACAGAATTGGAAAAAACTACTTTAAAGTTCATATGGAACCAAAAAAAGAGCCTGCATTGTCAAGTCCATCCTAAGCCAAAAGAACAAAGCTGGAGGCATCATGCTACCTGACTTCAAACTCTACTACAGGGCTACAGTAACCAAAACAGCATGGTAATGTTACCAAAACAGAGATATAGACCAATGGAACAGAACAGATCCCTCAGAAATAATACCACACATCTACAACTATCTGATCTTTGACAAACCTGACAAAAACAAGAAATGGGGAAAGGATTCCCCATTTAACAAATGGTGCTGGGAAAACTGGCTAGCCATATGTAGAAAGCTGAACTTCCTTACACATTATACAAAAATTAATTCAAGATGGATTAAAGACTTAAATGTTATACCAAAAACCATAAAAACCCTAGAAGAAAACCTAGGCATTACCATTCAGGACATAGGCATGGGCAAGGACTTCATGTCTAAAACACCAAAAGCAATGGCAACAAAAGCCAAAATGGGATCTAACTAAACCAAAGAGCTTCTGCACAGCAAAAGAAACTGCCATCAGAGTGAACAGGCAACCTACAGAATGGGAGAAAAGTGTTGCAATCTACTCATCCGACAAAGGGCTAATATCCATAATCTAAAACAAATTCAAACAAATTTACAAGAAAAAAACAAACAACCCCATCAACAAGTGGGCGAAGGATATGAACAGACACTTCTCAAAAGAAGACATTTATGCAGCCAAAAGACACGTGAAAAAATGCTTATCATCACTGGCCATCAGAGAAATGCAAATTAAAACCACAGTGAGATACCATCTCACACCATTTAGAATGGCAATCATTAAAAAGGAAACAACAGGTGCTGGAGAGGATGTGGAGAAATAGGAACACTTTTACACTGTTGGTGGGACTGTAAACTAGTTCAACCATTGTGGAAGACAGTGTGGTGATTCCTCAGGGATCTAGAACTAGAAATAACATTTGACCCAGCCATCCCATTACTGGGTATATACCCAGAGGATTATAAATCATGCTGCTATAAAGGCACATGCACACGTATGTTTATTGCGGCATTATTCACAATAGCAAAGACTTGGAACCAACCCAAATGTCCAAGAATGATAGACTGGATTAAGAAAATGTGGCACATATACACCATCGAATACTATACAGTCATAAAAAATAATGAGTTCATGTCCTTTATAGGGACATGGATGAAGCTAGAAACCATCATTCTCAGCAAACTATCACAAGGATAAAAAACCAAACACCGCATGTTCTCACTCATAGGTGGGAATTGAACAATGAGAACACCTGGACACAGGAAGGGGAACATCGCACACCAGGGTCTGTTGTGGGGTTGGGGGAGGGGGGTGGGATAGCATTAGGAGATATACCTAATGTAAATGACTAGTTAATGGGTGCAGCTCACCAACATGGCACATGTATACATATGTAACAAATCTGCACGTTGTGCACATGTACCCTAGAACTTAAAATATAATAAATATATATATGTATAAATTTAAAAAAAGAAAAGAAAAACATAATTACATGACTTTAATGTTGATGCTAGCAGGTGCCTCTAAAATACTGTCATCTCCCTGGGAAGCCAGAGTAACGTAGAGGTTAAGAGACATTTGAGTATTTTAGTTCATCTGAGTTAGTATTGGATATAACACAGGCCAGCCTATCTTTTGTGCTCTGTCCTGTTTCCTGATAGATTTAATATCAAAAGTTAAAGAAAACCTTGTACACTTTGCCTTCTCTCTCCCATAATGTGTAAAACTTTCAAGTCATAAAAGCAATGACTCCTAGATCACTGGTTGAGCCATTGTGAGGCTTAGGTTAATAGAATAATATACTGTATTTTGTTGTGTGTGTGTGTGTGTGTGTGTGTGAAGATAAAAATTACTTGAAAAGCTTGTGGTATCTATGAAATATTCAAGTGAGACTAGTAGTATAGAAATTATTTCAATTAATATTGAATGGTTATCAATGCTGACCATTGTCTTCTCATAAAAGTTGTTCTATTCTTAAACTCATAAATGTAAACTCTTAAATTTTATTTTAGGTTACTTGGATTATATTTTCTAGGAAAACATTTCAAGATGTGGGTATATAATTCTGGAAGGCTTGGATACCTGAAAATTTCTTTATGACTACTTTAGATGTGAAAAATAACTTGGATGGAAATAGTATTACTGTAAAATGTCATTATGCCTTCAAAACTCAGCTTCATTGTCCTCTTTAAATGTTTTTTAAAACTATTTAAATATATGTTTAAATGACAAAGTAATATTCACTTGTTTTAGCAAAGTCAAATTTATAAGAAAATGAAAAGAAAAATGACTCTATTCCTCCTTTCCAATTCCCTCTATCAGAGGTATTTACTGTTAATCTGGTGCATATCCTTCCAGTCTTTTCTTTATTCTATACTATATATACTATGAATTAATATTTTGATTGATTATATACATTGTTGTTTCATTTAAAAAAGTGTATTTTTCTATGGAAAACCCTTCCCTGGGAGGAGGGCAGCCAGACAACAAATTTAGAAAGGCAGGCTTCTATATTCACTTGCTTGTTTGGCAGCACCCTGAGCTGGATTTTGGGTATTGGGGCTCTTCTTCCTGATCTGTCACTGACTGGATATAAGAATGTGTGTAAATCACCAGTTGTTCTGGCTCTGTCTTCTTACAGTGGAATTTGTATTGTATTTATGCAGCTAGCTGTGAGCCTGCCTACAAATATTTGTGTTTCACTCCCAGCTCTTGGGACTTGTGTCCTATTTGTCAAGCTGGTGACTGGGCAGGAAGTTGTAGGTTCCATTCTGTGTAAGTTCTAAGCCTACTTATATATTTTTAAACATCTTAAATAATTTCATTGAGATATAGCTCACATACCAGGCAATTCACACATGTAAAGTGGGGAACTCAACAGTTTTTATCATACTGACAGATGTATGCAACCTCCACCATATTTAATTTTAGAACATTTTCATTACCTCAAGAAGAAGCCTCATATCTTTCAGATATTACCCCCCTAATTTCCCAATCAACCCTAAGCAACCACTAATCTAATTTCTGTCTCTATGGATTTGCCATTCGGAATATTTAATATAAATGGAAAAATGTAGTAAGGTCTTTTGTGACTGGCTTCTTTCCCTTAGCATAATGTTTTTAAAGTTCATTCATGTTAGAGCATATACTGGTACTTCATTCTTTTATAAGGCTAAATGATATTTCATTGTATATAAATCCCTCATTTTGTTCATCCATTATTCAGTTGATAGACATTTGTGTTGTTTCTAACTTTTGGACATTATAAATAATGCTGCTATGAGCATTCATATACAAGTTTTGCATGAAGATATATGTATGATTATTGTATTACTCTTGGGTATATAACAAAGAGTAGATTGCTGAGTCATATGGTAAGTATATCTGTAGCCATTTGAGGAACTGCCAGACTGTTTTCTAAAGCGGCTGTACAATGGTACTTGCTTAACAAATATTTGTGTATTGTCTTCGAAAAAATGTCTACTCAGGTCGTTTGCTAAATTTTCATTTGCAATTTTTGTCTTTTTACTTTTGAATTTTAACAGTGCTTTATATATTCTATATAAAATCCCTTATCAGATATATGATTCACAAATGTTTTCATCCATTTTATGGGTTGTCTTTTTTTTTTAATTGACAGCATCCTTTGAAACACAGAGGTCATTCTTTATTGTTTTAATCATGTTGATGTCAAATTTGTGTAATTTGTTTTTGTTGCTGTTCATACTTTTGGCATCATTTCTAAGAATCCATTACCAAAATCCAAGGTTATAAAGATTTACTTCCAATAGCTTTATAGTTGTGAAGGTTAGCCAATGGCAAAGTTAAGGAAAAGTCTACTGATTGCCCTTAGTTCTGAAACCAATTTTAAGTTTGGGTGGTTCCAAAAATTATGCTCAAGACCTCACAGGATGCACTGAAAGCTGTTATAATCATGGTTATGGTTCATTATAACTACATGATACAGATTAAAATCAACCAAGAGGAGAAGGAATTAGGGCAAAGTCCAGGAAGGCCTGAAACGTAGAGCTTCAAATTGTTCTATCACAGTGGAGTCAGGACAGCATTACTGTCCTGTTATCAACAAGTAACAATATATACAGAATATTTCCAAACAGGGAAGCTCACCCAATCTCTGATATTCAGAGTATACCTTGGGCACAGTTGTCTGCCTCCATGACCAATCTTAGCTCTAGCCCTTTAGGAGGTTAAGCTAATATCATATGACTCACCTAAAGCCCCATCCAGAGTCACATTGGTACTATGTGGCTAGCTCAAGGACCTCAGGTAAGCAAAAGTGCTCCTATCTTGACATTCCAAGAATGTGAAGATTACCTCCTAGTGTCCTAGGGCAACGGCTGGAGCACTTTTTGAGCAGGGTTGAATTATTTACTATACAATATTTTCGAATCTTACATTGATATTCTTTTCTTTTTTTTTTCTTATCTTATTTTCTTACTTTTCCTTGCTAGAACTCACAGTGAAATTTTAAATAGAATTGGTGCGAATGGACACGTTGTCTTGTTCCTAATCTTCAGGCGAAAAGCATTCAGTATTTTACCTTTAAGTCTGATGCTAGTTGTGGGTTTTCCATAGATGCGCTTTATCAGACTGATAAATTTCTCTTCCATCCTAATTTGTTGAGTGTTTTTATCACATAAATGTGTTGAATTTTTCAAATGTTTTTTATATGTATAGTGAGATAATCATGTAGTTTGTTTTATTCTATTGATAGAGTAATACTGACATCATAGAATGAATTGAGAAGAGTTCTTTCCTTTATATTTTGGAAGATTTTGTGAAGAATTGGTATTAATTTTTCTTTAAATGTTTGGTAGAATTCAGCAGTGAAGCCATCTGGGCCTGAGGGCTTTTTTTTCCTTTTTCTTTTTCTTTTTTTTTTTTTTTGTGTGTGTGCGTGGATAGTATTTTTAATTCTATTTCCATCTCTTCACTTGTTTTTTGTCTATTCGAATTGGCAGTTTCTTCCTGAGTTCATTTCACTGGTTTACATATTCATAGGAATTTTTTCACTTTAAGTTATCTAACTTTATGGTGTACAACTATTCGTAATATGCTTATATAAAGCTTTATTTATGTAGGGTCACTCTCCATGTCCACTTTTATAAGAAGATTGTGTGAAGACACATAGACACACAAGGAAAAGGCCTATTTGAAGACAGTGGCAGAGACTGGAGTCATGCTGCCATGGGCCAAATAAGGCCAATGATAGCTAACTACCACCAGAAGATAAGAGAAGCAAAGAAGGGTCCTTCCCTCATGCCTTTAAAGGAGGCAGGGCTCTGCCAACACCTTGACTTCAGACCTCTATCTTCCAGAAATGTGAGAAAATAATTGTCTGTTTTTTAAGTCATCCAACTTTGGGGTAATTTGTTACAGTACTGCTAGAAAACTGAGATAGATTTTGGTGCTGGGAAATGGGGTGCTCTTTTAACAAATAACTACACATTAAAATAGGCTTTGGAATTGGATGATAAATAGAGGCTAGTATTATTCCGAGATGCACAAGAGAAAAAAAATCAAGATTTTCTTGAAGAGATTGTTGGTAGAAACATACATGTTAAAGGCGATTCTCTTGTGGGCTCAGAAAGAAGTGAGGAGAGCATAGAGAAGGGTTCTATCTTCTAAGATGATTCATATATCAACATGAAGAGAATGTTGCTACAACATGAACATTTAAGGTGCTTCTGTGGAGGTCTTAGATGGAAGTGAGGAACGTGTTGCTGAACACCGAAGGAAAGGCAATCCTTTCTATAAAGGCAAAACACCAGGCTGGATTATATTCTGTTATTAGATGGAAAGTAGAAGTTGTAAGTGACAAACTTGAATATTTAGCGAGAAGATTTCTAAGCAAAATGCAAAAGGTGTGATCCGGGTTTCCTTGCCACTTATGGTAAAATGTAAAAAAAAGAAAAAAAAAAGATAAATTGGTGAAGGAACTGCTAAGCACAAAGGAAGCAGCACTAGTTGATTTAGAAAATTATCAGCCTATCCTAAAGGTGTGCTTGTAAACAGGGCCACGAGTATAGTTGGAAAATACTTTTGCTGAGTAGATTGAATGTGTGATTTATGAGTCCAGTGAATTATCTAGGCAGAAGCCAATAATAGCGATGGGTTATTCAAGAAGGATCTGTGGAAAACCTTCTTTTGTCATGTCATGGATCTCCTTGACTTCCACAGAAGACTGACAAGAGTTTTGAGAACATTGTATCAGCAAAAACACTGCCATCTTAGATTGAAGAGGGTAGACAGAATAAAATTAAGAAAAGCTATCAGACTTCTAGGATTCTATATGCAGGAAACTGAGAGCAGGACCACTACATCCACAGGTCAAGGCAATGAGACCTTCACGGGCTGAGATACTGGGGCTCATGTGGCCTGTGTAGGACCAGAGTGTGCCACCTCCAACCAACGAGTGTTATTTGAAGGCATTAAAATCTAATGGAATTTTACCTTTTTGATTTTGGACTTTCTTGATCTGTAACCCCTTTTTTTCCTTCCAGTTTCTGCATTGTGGAATGGGAATGTCTATTCTGCACCTGTCTCACCATTATATTTTGGAATCATGTAATTTGTTTTTTAGTTTGGCTTATCCACAGATGAAAAGAAATTTTTCTCAGGATAGATTGTACCCAAAGTCTTGCCCCTATTTGATTTAGATAATTTGGATGATGAGATTTGGAAGTTTTTGAGTCTGAATCTAGATAAAATATGGGACTTAGAATTAATGATGCCATGAGTTAAGACTTTGGAGAATGTTAGGATTGCATGAAAGCATTCTACACATAGGTATAAATTTGGTAGAGGGTGGGCAGAGAATACACTCTATTCAGTTGAGTAGTGTCCCTTCAAAATTCATGAATGCCCATAACCCCCTAATTTTACCTAACTTATAAATAGCATCCTTGCAGTTGTAATTTAAGAAGATGAGGTCTTACTGAAATAGAATGAAACCTAAATCCAGTGACTAGTGATCTATAAGAAGACCACGTGAAGACAAACAGGCAGACACAAGGGAGGAAAGACCATGTGAAGATAGAGATTGGATGCCAGGAATTCCCCCAAATCACCAGAAACTAGAGTAGGCAAGGAAGTTAAACCATCAGAGTTTGAGGTAATTTTAGGGCAATCCTAAGAAACTAATACAAAAGTCTCTACTTATCACTGATTAATTATTTATTTCTCCCTTTATTACTATAAGTGTTTGCTCTCCATATATTTGGTGCCTGTTTTTGCTCTCTCTATATTTGGCACATGTGTGCTTAAATTATAAATTGTTTTGTCTTCTGTCTCTCTCTCTGCTGTTTTTTTAGGTCTATTTTATCTGATATTTGTATGTTCACTGCAGCTAATATCTCTACGTCATTATTAGTCCATTTCTTATTACTATCATTGCCTCTAACCTGACCCTCTGTAGCCTTAACAGTCTATTCTCAACAGTGCATTTACAGAGATCATTATAAATGTAAGACAAACATTGTTAGTATTCCATTCAAAAGTTTATAATGCTGTGATGGTTAATTTTATGTGTCAGCTTGGGTGGTCTAAGGGATATCCAGGCACCTGGTGAAACATTATTCTATGTATGCCTGTGAGAGTGTTTGTTTCCAGAAGAGATTAGCATTTGAACCAGTAGACTCAATAAAGAATATCTGCTCTCATCAATGTAGGTGGCCATTATCCAATCCATTCAGGGCACAAAAGAACAAAAAAAGTGGAGGAAAAGAAAACTTTCTCTTTTCTTGAGATAGACATCTATCTTTTTCTGCCCTTGGATGTTGGAGCTCCTGGTTTGGGAGCATTTGGACTCTGGGACTTATACTAGCCACCCACCACCTCCAGTTCTCAGGCCTTTTGGACTCAGCCTGGTTGCACCACAAGCTTTCCTTGCTCTTCAACTTGAAGATTATGGGACTTCCAACCTCCATAACTGTGTGAGCCAATTCTCATAATAAATCTCCTCTTATGTGGCAATATATACTCTATTGGTTCTGTTTCTCTGGATAACACTGACTAATACAAATGCCTTGCCTTTTTTTTTTCCTTTTTTTTTTTTTTTACCAAATAAAGAATCAATGTCCCTAAATAGCCTCCAAGACATCCTTATTTGGTCCGATCTTACTCTTCTGATATCCTTTTCTAACATTTTTCCCTATTCACTCTGCTCTGCTACATTTGCCTGCTTGTTGCTACTGAAACACAGTAGGAACACACATAACATAGAGTCTTTGTTGTAGTTGTTCCTTCTGTCTAGAATAATACTCTTCTACCATTAATTCCTATGGCTATATTCCCCAACTGTGACACATTTCATTTTTTCGATATTGTCTACTCTGACCTCTACGATTATGATAGCTCAACTGATTCTCTTTGCTTATTTACTTTTTCATTTCCATTACTGCCTTTTCTAATGCACTATATAATTTAGTTTTTGTAAAGGTGAATTATTTATTGCCTGTCTTCCAAATATGCCCCAAGGAGGTAGAGATCTTTTTTTTTAATTGATGTATTCCAAGTGCCTGGAGTACTGCCTGCACACAGTAAATCTCAATTAATAAGTATTAAGCGAATGGAATAATTATCTGCTATAGTTTCTTCTTCTCTATGTTTTCCATGTTTATATACATTGCTCTATTAATCTAACTTTATTAATCTAACTTTTTTTTAGATACAACCTTTCACTACCATCGTCAGTTTTAGACCACTCTTTCCTGGTAATTTATACTTAGATTTGGATGGAGAAAAATAGCAGAATTAATGGGTGAATATTTTTTTGAGAAGTGCTGCACCTCATGTCACTCTACACTGTTAAGACCAAAAAGAAGGAAGACAGATACAGAGAGAGAAAGAAGGAGACAGGAGAGAAAGGGAGAAAGCATTTTAATACAGAAGTGAAAGGCAGCTATTTCCAAAAGGTACACAACCATTTAGAGTCAGGAGACATATTCTGAGGAATGCAAGAATCACTGTCTTACCTGTTTTGATTTTCTGCTTTAGGAATCCCCTTTCATGAGAGGAAGCCTGGGAATTTCATATCAGAAAGCCCAAATAGGTTACTCTTAATCTAATTTTACTAGATAGGAAGTTAGCAAAGATTCCCATGAGGCCATATAATTTATTTCCCCAAAGGTGCTAGAGTTTCATAATTATTTTCTAACATTTTATTTATTTTCATTTTATAGATATCATAGTTGGAAGTTGGAGGAAGCCATATCAGGTATTGCTGACCACATGGCAAAAAAGGCCTAAACAAACGTTTTTAGATAACTGCAATCAATGCACATTCACTTTTCTTCTGATTTTATACCACATTTGCAGTTAAAAATTAAAAACCCAGTGAGCCAAAAGTGGACAGTTTCAACCAGACCTGCTGCTATTAGGAGACATTTGAAAGAATCACAAAGAAGTAATTGCAGTCTAAAGGGCATTGCAGGATTTGAAGAGACACTGTCTGGAGAACTCTGATCAGGAGTTTTTATTTTTCTTTAAATGTCAGAAAAATTGATAAAATTCCTCCCGATGCAGCAATTCAGATGGAGAAAAGAGACTTTGAGGCTTTGAAAGCCATTGTTTTGCCTATTAAAGAACTTCCTATCTTCAGGGTCCTACATACGCAGGGATCTATACACCAATAATTAAAAACAAACCAACTAAAACTAGAGCAATTCAATTGATGTGCTTGTTTCTTTAAAATCTTAACTTTAAAAAAGAGCAGACTGGGACAGATGCTTCTCTGCAATTAGTACCAATCAGTCCTGACACAGAAAGTGACCTATTCAATGTCAAAGTGGTTTAGATCGATCAGCGGGGTCTTTTGCTGAGGTGGGATGCTGTAAAAGATTAGGAAGTAGTACAGAAAAATGTTGTGTAAAAAGATTAGAAAAGGCCAGGAAAAAAAAAAGTTTCCTGCACCTGGGTAAATGTCTTAGTAGTTTCTTTCAGCAGAAAAATTGATAATTAACAGACAAAATATACTGTAGTTTGTAGTTTGATATGAGTGCACTACATGTCATGTTAAATAATTTTCATCCTAATATTCTTGATTCCATAGCATGGGTTCAATTCTCATTAAACAACTGGTGAGCAGCTAATGCTGCTCTTGTTGTAGGGTATTAAAATAATCTTTCCTATTACTAATAAAGAAACCCAAACTGAGTGATCTTAACTGACGGTACCCTTGAAATTTTAATATCCAGAATAGGTAGCAAAGAAAGCCTTACTGAATGGTGCTTGCACAGGGCTAATTTCCACTTCAGAATATGTAACATGTCATCTTTAATAACATCATTTAACATTACATTTCAAGATATTTCCCTGTGTATTGACTTGATACTGATACAAATTCATTTCATTCAGTTAATCATAGGATATATTCTTATTTCTGGTTGTGTTCAAAATAGTGTAGCTTTGAATAATTACATGCAAACTTCATTTTTCATTGAAAAATAATTATAAATACATAATCAAAATTATTCTTAAGATGGCCACCAATAGATAGGTACTCATAAGACTGCTGTGTTTTGCCTTCTAATTTTTGTCCTTTATATTTCTTTACAAAATTATAATTATATTAGTTATGAATATGTTCTTTTCTCATTAATTCCAATATCATGTATTTTGTATATCTTGAAATGCTTATAATACATGACTTTAGGCTTGTATGCAAACATATTTAAAGATAGATTAACATTTATACAACCATTTTGCATATTTTGGGACAATAATCATGTTCTGTGTTTTAAGCTACAAGTTATTTTTCATTATAACCTCACAGACAGTAATTTTCTTAAGATGTATTTTGAGAGCTTAAATACATGAACATTTAAAATAACTTGTTAGTTATATCCAAACTGCCCCAATAAAGGGGTTTTCAATGTTCATATTCCATTTATGAGAGTAGTTATCTCAGTCCACCCTGAACAATATTGAGTATTATAATAATAAATTATTTTCTAATTTGATAGGAGCACATATAGAATCTCATTTCTTCTTTAATTTGAATATCCTATTTCTGGTAAGTTAAATTTATTTTTAAATCTACTAACTAGTAGCTTTTCTATTTGGTGAATAATCTGCAATTATCTTTTTTTCATTGCTTTACCAGATTATTATTAATATTTGTCATGTTATTTATTTGCAGGTGCTTTTTTGAGCTAGGATAATTGAATATTAGCTTAATATTTTTGCAAGTCAGTCATTATCCTTTCAGACATACAGTCCTTTACTTCTCATATGAAAGAGTTTTAGAAGCCTTTATTTTTTTTCTTTTTCCATTTTTACAGTCTTCTGCTTGGAATGTTTAACCTCCCAATTTGATAAAAAGTCATTAATTGCCTGTTTTTATTCTAATTGTTTTATGATTATATTATTTAAATTTAATTTTTAACATGTTTGGTAATTAGTTTGGTTTAGGGTTGGAGGTACATTACTCATTTTAATTTTTCTTTTAGCTTCTGGTTTTTTATTTAACTTCTTTATATGACACTGATTTGAATTTGTTACATTTATACTTTATTTTTTCAAACTTTATATTCTTGCAACTACCACATTTTACTTATGTTTTAGTGTTATATATGTATAGAATATTATATATATTATAATATTATATTAACATATAATATAGTATATACATATAGTATACTTTTTATTATAGAACATTTCAAATACAAATAAAAGTGAAGAGAATGATTCATTAAACTACAATTACACATTAGACTGCTCTAATAATTGCCAATGTTCTGTTGTCTTATTTCATCTATTTCCCTCAATTTTTTTCTCTTTTTAGACAGATTATCATCATTCTTTTTGGTAGTCCAATTTTCCCAAACTGGGCCGAAAGAAGCCATTCAAGCTGACTATAGAGTCTTTTTGATACAATCCATTTTTCTTAATTTCAGTCCCCATAAGATGTTCCAGCCTCATTTTATTTTATTTTTTACAGCCCTAGATTTGAACTAAATAATTTTTTTTTTTAAATAAGAGCCCTAGTTCCTTTTACTTGGAGATGGGATTTGCACACCAAGATCTGGGCAGTATGTATGCTCATTGCTACTTCTGTGTTACTCTTCTAGGTTCCTTCAGTGGACAGCACTGTGAAGACATTTGGTAAAGGATCATGGCTTTGGACTGATTTCTCCAACTCCAGTTTAATATCACAGGATTCTTCCTTTCCTTCTGACATTACATATGTTTACTTTCCTACTGCCATAGTGAAAACGCTGGTTCCTGGCAATATCACTAAATGTACTTGTTTCTTCTATCTTATGATGTACACAAAATAGTTCTAGAATCATTATATTGATAATACCACCAAAAAAAAAAAAAAACTAAGTAAAAATCACAATTGTCTGGCAGATTATTTGTCTTAGTAAAAGTACAAATCTGAAATATTTGCTCCAGAGTTCCATAAATTAATTCATTTCTGCTTGTGGGTGCATGTATAACTTTGTTTTTATTTCATCTATAGTTAGGTTAATTTTGTACTTTTTTATAGTAAGTTGTATGTTTTGCTTTTTAAAATCCACTTGATTCAAATTTACTTTTAAATTACATATTATATGCATAGCCATGTATCTCCTGTAGATTTATACAAAGTGAACCTTCAAGTATGCATTTTTTCTAATTGATAGAAGTTATAGTGATCCCAGGATGGAATGCAGACTGCAACAAACAAATCTAACTGTATTACAAACACATGATATAACCTCAACTGGAGACTAAGAGAAAAGAAACTGGCTTAAAGTAACTTTGTTAAATCAAGTTTGCTTGGATTTAAAAAGTCAAAAACTAGAATAAGGGAGTAAAATCACTACTGTCTAGTGGGTAAATTTGTTTCTCAAAGGGGTACAAGTTAGCAATTCTGAAACTACTTTATATGTATCTAGGGATGATTTTGAAAAGTAAATATGCTATAGAAAATGGAAGACAGCTTTCTCAATGTCACAGAAATAAGTTACAAATAAACAAGAGAGGAATACTAGAATGAACCACACAGTGATGGATTAGTCAGAGACATCAGTAGAAACTCACGTTTAACAGAACTAATTATAGTTATGTCTATACATATAAATTAGGATGCTTATCTACATTTCTTCAGTCTGGGAAATGTAGTATGGGAGCAGTGAACATCTAGCAGCCACAAACATACCCAGTGCCCAAATCTTGATTTCTAAATACCATTCTCCAGTAAAAGGAACCTAGGATTTTTTGGAGAAATGGCTAATTCTAGAACTGAAACAGGGAATATACAGGACAATCCTGGAATACACACTCAAGGAAAAGGAATACACACTTAAGGAAAAACATTACCTCCTGGTAGTGTTGGTGGAGGAGGAAAGTATCTACATAAATTATTTTGATTTCTCCCTGCTTTCATTTTTTTATTTATATTAACTCCAAGGCATGGATGTTTATTTTATTCTTTGGCTTGTATTACAATATTAGCATTATTTATTTCAGTGCTCACATTATTCAGCTTTGGACATTTGGAGCTCCTTCAGATTGGCCACCTTTGACACACTCTGATCCTGGGCAGCAACATAAGAAGGGTTGGGTCGTGGGGCCAGGATGCTTTTGTAATGGAGTCTTCTCCAAAAGCCCCCTCTAGCATAAACTTATTTCAGAAATAACACTAGTGAACAAGTAACCCTTTCCAAATTATTTTGAATCTAATCTAAATCAATTCTAATTGTTTTTCTTCTGTAACTTGTAAAAATTAAAGCAAATATATCTAACATGTTTCTGAGCCATTTGATGTAGTTTACTGAAGTATATATAACACACAAACTGTCGATAATGAAAACATACTGGAATAAAAATGATAAGCATCTGCTCTGACATGAAAATTATTTTAATCAAAATAATTTTACTTCTTAAATAATTCCTAGAAATATACAAGATTAGAGTAAGTGTTCATTGGTAAAGCTTCAAATTTTGTTAAAACTAGTTTATTTTATTTTAAACACAGTGGATTAGACATTATAAATATAGCAATGCTTAGAAAATGGTAATTCTAAATATAGCTACTGCTGCTGATAGTACATATGTACATGAAACAAAATTGACAAAGAAAATTGAATCTATCTTCACACTATTGGAGTTTGCTACATATTTAGGAATAATAAATGCTAATTGCATGTGTGATGTTTTTAATAAAGGATAGACTTTTAACTAACAACCTTAATTATTCTTCTTGGGTAAAATATTTATGTAATTTGCTGTCTAAAAATAGATAATATGTTACTTAAAATTGTGTTTTAAAGTATACACATGATGATTTGACTTTTAATCTAAATTATAAAATGTAACATATGGTATAATTTTCTATTGTTGATTAATAGTGTACAAATTATTAAAAATTAAACAGCCATGAAACCATCATTCTATTCAAGAAACAGAACATTACCAGTATCCCAGGAGCCCTTAGAATAATCCTTCTCAATTACCTATATGCCTTTAGCATATAGGTAACAATTTTCACCATGTTTATAAAATCACCCCCTATTAGATTTGTGTGTTACCACCTAAGTATATGTAAAACGTTATGCAATAGAATGTAGATTTGGTGTTAACTTCCAATGTATAAATGAAATCATTGAATTTTGTTTTGTTTTGTTTTGTTTTTGCCTGTATTATGTGGTGCTACACTATTCATATTCTTGTAGGGAACAATAGAAAATTTCCATTGCTGTGTAATATCAACTATATACAAATGAAGAACAGAATCAATTAGAAAAAATTAGAATAGAATAGAATAGAATAGAATAGAATAGAATAGAATAGAATAGAATAGAATAGAATAGAATAGAATAGAAGAGTGAATGGAATGGAATAGAATGGGCATTGAGTTATTGAGCTATTTCTAGTTCATGGTTAATATGAACAATGGTGATAATTTTTTCCTTGTAAAATATCTATTCTGATGTTAAGTATCAGGCATTACTTTTTAAAATTTTGTTTTTATTCAAACATAATAATCATATATACTTATAGGATACAGTGTGATGTTTCCATACATGTATACATTGTGTAAAAACCAAATCAGTGTATTTAGCATGTTTATCATCTCATACAATAATCATTTCTTTGTAATGAGAACATTCAAAATTCTCTCTTCTGGCTATTTTGAAATGTACAAGACAATATTTTTAACCATAGTCACTCTAATGTGCAATAGAACACCAGAACTTATTCCTTCTGTCTACTGTAACTTTGAACATGTTGACAAATTTCTCCTAATCCCCACTGCACCTCCCTTCCCCAGCCTCTGGTAGCTACTATTCTACTCTTCAATGAGATCTCCTTCAGAGTCTACATATGAGTGAGATCATGTGGTATTCATCTTTCTGTGCCTGGCTTATCTCACTTAACATAATGTTTGCCAGGTTCATCCATGTTGCTGCAAATGATAGGATTTTATTCTTTTCATAATTAAATAGTATTCCATTGTGTATATACACCACATTTCCTTTATTCATCTGCTAATGGGCACTTAGGTTAATTTCATATCTTGGTTATTGTGAATAGTCCTGCAATAAACATGCCGCACTGATTTTGGTATGCTGATTTCTTTTCTTTTGCATATACACCTAGTTGGATTGTTGCATCGTATGGTAGATCTACCTGTACTTTTTTGATGAACCTCCATATTGTTTTCTGTAATGGCTGTACTATTGTACATTCCCACACAGTGTACTAATGTTCCCCTTTTTCTGCATCGTCACCAGCATTTTATTAAATAGCCATTTTAACTGGGGTGACATGATATCTCTTTGTGGTTTTGACTTGAATTTCCCTGATTATTAGTAATGTTCAGTATTTTTTACATACCTGTTGGCTTTTTGTATGTTTTCTTTTGAGAAACATCTATTTAGGTTTTTTGTCTCTTTTAAATTGGATTATTATTATTATTGCTATTGAGTTCTTTGAGTCTCTTCTATATTCTGGTTATTAATCAATTTTTAGATGGATAGTGTGCAAATCTTTGATCCCATTGTGTATAACGTCTGTTCACTTTGTTAATTGTTTCCTTTGCTGTGCAGAAACTTGTAGTTTGATAAAATCCCATTTGTTCATTTTCAATTTCGTTGCTTGTGCTTTTGAGGTCTTACACACACATATACAAATTTTTGCCTAGACCAATGCTCTGTTTCTTCAATGTTTTCTTCTAGTAGTTTCAGGTTGTACGTTTAAGTCTTTGATGAATTTTTGACTTGATTTTTGTATATGGTGAGAGATGAGGTCTGGCTTTATTCTCCTGTATATTCAATATTCTCAGCATCATTATTCAAGAGGCTGTATTTTCCCTCAATATGTGTTCTTGGCACCTTTGTTGACGATCAGTTGGCTGTAAGTCTGTGTTCACTACTCTGTTCCATTGGTCTATGTGTCTGTTTTTACACAAGAATCATTTTTGGTTGCTACTGTTTTGTAGTGTTTTACGAATTCAGATAGTGTGATGCCACAGGCTTTGTTTTTTGTTTGTTTGTTTGTTTGTTTGTTTGTTTTTTCTCAAAATCTATTTTGCCATTTAGGGTCTTTTGTGGTTCCATACAAATTTTAGAGTTGCTTTCTCTATTGTAGCAAAAAATGTCACTGGTATTTTGTTAGAAATTACACTGAATTTGTAAATCACTTTGGTTAGAGTGGCCATTTTAACAATAATATTTTTTCCAATTAATTATCATGGCATAGCTTTTTATTTATTTGTGTCATGTTCAATTTCTTTTATCAATGTTTTATAGTTTTCAGTATACAGATCTTTCACTTCCTTGGTTAAATTTATCCTTAGATATCTTATTTTTGTCACTATTATAAATGGTATTGCTTTTTCAATTTCTTTTTCAGATAGTTCCTTATGCATATGTAGAAGCAGTACTGGTTTTTGTATATTGATTTTGTATCCTGCAACTTTACAGAATCCATTTACTAGTTCTAACAGTTTTTGATGGCGTATACAGGGTTTTCTATATATAAAATTACATTGTCTACAGAGACATTTTGATTTTCTTCTTTCCAATTTGGATGCCTTTCATTTGTTTTCTCCTCACCTATTTTCCCAGCTAGGGCTTCCAGTACTATGTTAAATAAAAGTGGTGGAAATGAGTATTCTTGTCTTGTTCCAATCTGTGAAGAAAAGTTTCAACTTTTCCCTGCTCAGTATGATGCTATCTGGGAGTTAGCTATGTGTTTGTAATATACAGCTTTTATTATATTGAGGTACATTCCTTCTATACCTACTTTGTTGACACTTTTTGTCATGAAGGGACGTTGAATTTTATTAAATGCTTTTTTATGTCTATTGAAGTGATTATATGGCTTTTGTCTTTGATTCTGTTAATGATGTATCATGTTTATTGATTTGCATATGTTGAGTCTTCCTTGCGTCTCTGGGATGAATCCACTTGATCATGGTAAATGACCTTTTTAATTCGCTGTTGAATTCAGTTTGCCAGTACTTTGTGGAGAGTTTTTTCATCTACGTTCATCTGGAAGATTGGCCTGTGATTTCCATTTTTCTTTGGGTTTTCATCTGGTTTTGGTATCAAGTTAAAACTGTCTTCTAAGAATGAGTTTAGAAGAATTTCATCTTCTACAATTTTTTAGAATAAATTGAGAATAATTGGTACTAGTTTTCATTTAAATGTCTGGTAGAATTCAGCATTGAAGCCATAAGGTCCTGGGCTTCTCTTTGATCAGAGATTTTTTAATAACTGATTCAATCTCATTATTCACTATTGGTCAAAATTTCAGGTTTTAAATTATTTCATCATTCAGTTTTGGTAAGTTGCGTATGTGCAGGTATTTTTCCATTTATTATAGGTTTTCTAATTCGTTGGTATATAGTTGTTCATAATAGTCTCTTAGATCCTTCGCATTTCTGTGGTATCAGCTGTGATATCTCTTTTTCATCTCTGATTTTATTTGTTTGGGTTCTGAGTTCTAAGAGGGAACTATATATTTTCTCCCCCTGAGTTACTGTAGATAAAAACTTGTGGATTTTGTTTATCTGGTCAATTAAAAAAAAAACTAGCTCTTCATTGGTCTTTTGTATTTTTTAAGTTTCTGTTTTATTTTTTCTCCTCTGATCATTACGATTTACTAGCTTCTATCAGTTTTAGGTTTAGGTTTGTTCTTGTTTTTCTACTTCTTTAATGTGCAATGTTAGGTTGTTAATTTAAGACTTTTTTTTTAGATAAATGTTTATTGCTATAAACTTCCCTCTTAGAACTGCTTTTGCTGTGTCCCATAGGTTTTGGTATGTTAAATCTCCATTTTCATTTGCCTCAAGGAATTTTTTAATTTCACTGTTAATTTATTCATTGACCCGTGGATTGTTCAGGAGCATGTGTTTGATTTACATGTATTTGTAAAGTTTCATGTTTTGTCTGGTTATTTATTTCTAGTTTTATAACACTGTGGTCTGAGAATATATGATTTTGATCTTAAATTTTTTAAGACTTGTATTGTGGCCTAACATATGATCTATCCTGGAAAATCTTTCATCTTTATTTGAGAAGAATGTACATTCTATAACTGTTTGAAAGAATGGTCTGTAAATATTTTTTAGGTCTATTCAATATAGAGTGTAACTTAAATACCATGTTTCTGTATTGATATTCTGTCAAGGTGATCTCTCTATTGTTGAAAGCGGGATGTTGAAGTCCCCTGCTCTTTTTGCATTACAGTCCATCTCTTTTTTTAGCTCTATTAATATTTGTTCAATATATTTAGGTGCTCCAATATTGAGTGCATATATATTTATAATTGTTATATTCTCTTGCTGAGGTGATATCTTTATCATTATATAATATCATTTCTCTCATTTTTACATATTTTTTACTTACGGTATATTTTATCTCATGTAAATAAAGCTACTCCTGCTCTCCATGGAATGTCTTTTTCCATCTCTTCACTTCCAATCCATGTGTGTCCCTAAGGGGAAGTTTGTCTCTTGTAGGCAGCACATAGCTGAGTTTTCACTTTTTATGCCTTTTGTCACAGTATGTCCTTTATTTGGATAATTTAATTCAATTACATTCAAGGTAATTATTGATAGGTAAGGACTTACTGCCTCCATTTTGTTAATTTTGTTTTGTTTTGTAGGTTCTTTCTTACTTTACTTCTCTCTTACTGTCTTCCTTTGTGGTTAAGAATTTTTTTTAAGTAGTAAGTTTTGATTAATTTTTTAGTGTATTTCTTCTATATTGTTGCTTTGCAATTGCTATGAGGCTTACAGAAAGCGTCTCATAGTTTTAGTAGGTTATTTTAAACAGACAGTAACTTAACTTTGCAAAAGAAAATTAAAAAAGAGAAAAAACTCCACTCTTCCTCTTCCCCCAATATTTTGACTTTTTAATGTCATAATTTGTATCTTTTTATATTTTATGTACCTTAACAAATTAATGTAGTTATTATTTGTAATTATTTTGTCTTTTAACTTCATATTAAGGTTTACCCAGCACCAATACATTATCAGACTGTTTAGAATTTTGTTATCTACTTACTTTTAAAATTGAATTATATACTTTCAGATGTTTTCATGTTATTAATTAGTACCTTTTTCCTTTATTTAAAAGAATTTCCTTTAGCATTTCTTACAAGAAAGGTTTAGTGCTGAGGAAGTTTCTTAGCTTACGTTTGTCCAAAAAAACCTTCATCTCTCCTGCATTTCTGAAAGACAGCATTGCTGATACTGTATTCTTGATTGGTAGGGTTTTTTTTTTTTACTTTCATCGCTTTGAATATATTATCTCATCTCTCCAAGCCTATAAGGTTTCTACTGAGAAGACTGCTGTGAGACATGTTGGAACTCTCTTATATCTCATTTGTTTTTTTATTCTTTTGCTGCTTTCAGGATTATCCCTTTGTCTTTGATCTTTGACAGTTTGATTAAAATATGTCTTAGGGTATTCGTATTTCAGACTGAACCTGATTGGAGACCTCTGACCTTCCCGTTCCAGGTTAGTTGCTGGTTTGGAAAGTTTTATGTAATTAACTATTTAAATAAGCTCTCTATCCCTCTTTCTGTACTCTCTCTAGAACAATAATGACCTGTAAATTTGCTTTTTGATGTTATTTTACTAAATCTGGTAACTTTCATTCATTTTGATCTTAAATTTGTTAAGGCTTGTTTTGTGACTTAACATGTCATCTATCTTGGAAAATGTTTCATCTAGGTTTGAGAAGAATGTACATTCTATAACTGTTTGAAAGAATGGCCTATAAATGTTAGGTCTATTTGGTATAGAGTGTAGTTTAAATACCATGTTTCTATATTGATATTTTGTCAAGGTGACCTGTCTATTGTTGAAAGTGGGATGTTGAAGTTGAAAATTTTGCAAGTTTTCTTCATATCTTCTTATTCTTTTTATTTTTCTCCTCTGAGTGTATATTTTTAATTAACATGACCTCAAGTTTACAGATTCTTATTCTGGTTGGATCAATCCTGCTGTTGATACTCTCTATTATTTTTTTTTTATTTTATTCATTCTATTTTTAAGCTTTAGAGTTTCTACTTTTTTTATTATATCAATCTCTTTGTTAAATTTCTCTGATAAATCTCTCAATTGTTTTTCTGTAATTTTTTGTAGTTTGCTGAACATTGAAACAGCTTCTTTGAATTATTTTTTGGGCAGTTTTTCTGTCTCATCACTTTAGGGTGAGTCACTGGCACCTTATTTTGACCATTTATTGATGTTATGTTTCCTTGATTGATCTTGATCCTTGTGGCTCTACATCAATTTCTGAACATTGGAGTAGGCACCTGATCCAATATTTGTAGTGTGGCTTTGTTTGGGAGTTTTCTTCAGTGTTGACCTTATTAGCAGATTCAGGGAAGGTTGATTAGTGAGAACCCTAAGCTTGTGACTGCTTCCGGAATTACAATGCTAGAAGACACCTAACCATATACCATTGTGGCCTAAATATTTTTGCTGCCAAGGCTGACACAACGCTGGATCACACCCAAAGCCCATGGTCACCAAGACAAGCACAGTGCAGGTTGTCTCCAAGTCCTAAAGATTATATAGCTTGAAGTTTATTTAAGGAAAATGTCAATGTAGTCAGCTGGCCATAATATGAACTGGAGCATGAATTTGTCTTACTGGGATTGCAGAATCCCATCTGGTGCTGGGGTGGTCTGAGGTTCCATCTGTGGGTACTGGCCTAGTGTCAGAGTTGGGGAAGTTCTGCCTCATGTTAGATTTTACTGAGGCAGGCCTGTACTGGGTTGCAAGGTAAAGTCCTATGCTTACTTTTATCTTCTTTCCCCAAGAAGACAGTGTCTCTCTCCAGCTGTGCTGCCTGGGGATGAGCTAAAGGTGGCATTGGCAATCCTGTGGCTGCTGAGGCTAATGCAACATTGGGTCACAGCAGATGCCCACTAACTCTGAGACCAGTACAGCGCTGGAGCATGCCTAAGGTCCTTGGTGCCATAGCCTGCCTGGCACTAAGGTTTATTCAGGGCCAAGGCTGCTGTAGTTTGTAAGTGGTGATGCAGGCTGAATTATGTCTGGGTTCTGGGGCAGGTCTAGAGGCTTCATCTGGAGGTAGCAGCCTGGTGTCAGAGGCCAAGGGGTTATGCCCAGTGCTTGATTTTACTGTGTTGGCCCCGGTCTTATGTTCCAAGGCAAAATTCCATGCTAATTTCCTCCCCTTTTCCCAAGTATACCACATTCCTCTCAATGCTGTGCTGCCTGAGTTTGAGGAAAGAGTATTGAAAGTAATGTAAAACTGTCCTTCCTACCCTCTTCAATACATCTTTTCTTATTATTACACTATAACCAGATACTGTGAGCTCTTACCTGTTTTTCTGAGCTCTTGCGAAGGGTTTTTCTTGTGGAGATAGGTGTTCAAATTGCTGTTTCAGTGGGAGAATAACTTCTGGAAGGACCTACTCCACTGTCTCACTCAGCCCTCTCTCACTCTTGAGTGTATTTCTAAGAGTGGAATTGCTCAGTCATAGGGGAGAGAAATCTTAAACTCTGTAAAAATGCCATACTTTTTTCTAATGTAGTTGTTTTAACATACATTCCTATTATCTGGTGAAAGTCCAGATTTGTCTATATTTCTGCTGGTAGTTGACATTGTCAATTATTTTTTGCCCTGTGTTTTTCTTTAAAATAAACTGTAGTTCTATGAGTGATTCTAGAGAATTACCAAGCCTTGGAGAATCACTGGAACCCTGAATTTGAGAACACCCATAGTGCAATTGGAGTCTGAGTAAGGGTCATCTTAGGGACTATGTTCATTAACTTGTGGAGTCTGCATTTACTTTAAGTTGTTAGTAGCAGAATTGAATTGCAGTAACCCTAAGTTAGATTTTCAACAAAATAGTGGGCCCTAATAATTGTCCAATAGTCTCAAAATCTAGAAGGCCACACAATGTGATCAATATAAGCTACAAAACTGTGTGTAATATAACAGTAATGGGGGTGGTAATTAATTTTTTAAAATCAGTTGCACACATGCAAGATAAGAAGAATATCATTTTTAATACTTCTGTCTTAATCCTTTAGAGACTTGGCCTAATTCTGTCGTCCCTTTCATATATTTTTGGTTTAGAGAGTGTTGTAGATGCTCACATATCACTCCTTCCCCAAGATTCTCCTCTGAGGCTTCTGTTCCAACACCACTCCAGGGTACCTAAATGTCTTCAACTGGTTTTCCCACGTCATGCTTGCTTAGAAGCAATCAGATTAATTGTCATTATTAAAACATTTTAGTGGCTGCCAGTGACTTTAGACACTTCCAACAACATGATATGACTTGAAGATCTTTCATAATTTGGATTCTGCTTATTTTTCTAGTCTAATTTTTCTGTAATCCCTCAAAACTCTAATGCTGCTACATTGAATTTAAATTCCTCTTTTGTCGGGGCACATTGTCTTATCTGCTCAAAATATTTTTACTCACTTATTTGCCTAGATACGAATTTACAGAATAGCTGGTAAATATTCTAAGTTTAATTTATAGATAGATAATAAGTAGGTGGTTTAAATACGTACGTGACTTTACTTGGTAACTGCCTGAGGTTCCTTGATTTTTAGTGATCAAACAATTAGGAAATTAAGCCTGAAGACTTCCCATAAGTTTCATTTTTTGTGTGATTCCTTATTTCAAAAATATATTAAGTGAATAAATACCTAAAATTTAAAAAAATATAAGAAAAAATCCAGTGTTTTTAAAAGCATATTATAGCTATAATTTCAATTACACTGTCAAGAAAAAAAAATATCTCCACGTTGTTACTCAGCCGACACTGTTCACAGGCTCTTATCCAGGTGTGTGTGCATGTGTGACAGTCTAGTAAATGTCCTCCAGATGGTACGGTGGGTAGAGGGATTTGCTGCCTTTTTTCCTTAGCATTGAAGCCCTGGATATCCCCATGGCTATGCATGAGGAAGGTATCCCTGTGGCTACGTGTGAAGTTTAAAAGCTTTATTCTTGTTCTGTAAAAGTTTCTTTTAGCATAGCAACATTCAGAGATGAATCTCAAAGCAAAATAACTTTTAAGCTTAGAGTTCTGCTATGAAGATTACTTTCTTTGGTAAAAAGAATCCCAAATAGTGTCTGAAAACAGCTTTCCATGGGCACATTTTATGATTTGAAAGTCGTTTTTTTTCTTTTTCTTAGAAAGGCTGTTTAGAAGCCTAAATAACTAACTTTAGTGAAAGAGAAAAAGTGCTCACCAACTTTGGGAAGTAGGAAAACTATCTCACATTGTCTGCCTCCCATCTGCAACTCAGCTGCCAGAGTAGCAGCCACCCCACCTAATATCACAAACACATAATTTCCTAAATAATGATTTCTAAGAGTACAACAACAAACATTTTAACACATCAGTTTGTCATGTTAATTTAATACTCTTTGAGGCTTCCCCATTCCATAGTCATTCTGTGTGTACTTTTCTCCTTTACTGATTTAGACGCCTCTGATGTATCAACGCACATCCTCTTGATCTCTCTCATCTGTCTCTGCTTTCAGCCATTGTGAATGTTCAAACCATCTTAGCACCTTTTCTTTTTCTGGTGCTGCAGCCCTCCTCAGCCATCCAGCTGATGTGGGAAGTTATAGAAACCCACTCTTTGCCAGTGCATGCACAACCCAGAGAAAGGGGTGAGTTAACCATGGATTAGCTAAACATTGAGCAATGGGGAATGTGACCTAATAGAGAAATGATTGCCTCTTTCTCTACCCTCTACAAAAGACAATTTTAAGATATATTCCATGTGCTTTTTTTTTTTTTTTTTTTGACAGAGTCTTGCTCTGTCACCAGGCTGGAGTGCGGTGGCACAATTTTGGGCTCACTGCAGTCTCTGCCTCCCGGGTTCAAGCGATTCTCTAGCCTCAGCTTCTTGAGTAGCTGGGACTACTACAGGTGCACACCACAATACCCGGCTAATTTTTGTATTTTTAGTAGAGATGGGGTTTCACCATGTTGGCCAGGATGGTCTCGATCTCCTGACCTAGTGATCCGCCTGCCTTGGCCTCCCAAAGTACTGAGATTATAGGCTTGAGCCACTGCGCCCGTCAGCTTTTTTTAAGGGTTTCAAAGGATCAAGCAACCAGTTGCCCACAGGAAAGGCCGACTCAGAGTGTGACCCCTCTCTCCCCATTTTTCTCTTCTCATCCTTATTCCTTTTCCCCGGGATGACACCCCCTACAGCCCCACCACAACCTCACCAAATACAATTACGTAAGCATTTGTTTCAAGCTATTTGTAGATAACCAAACTAAAATGTTCACCATTACATCTAATAAATTATTAAATATTTTCATTATTATCTTCTTTCCTATTCCCAGTGACACTACTTGTCTGAGAGCTTTGGTTCAGAGCCTCATCATTTCTCACAATAGCTTCCTTTTTTTCCCTTTACCTATTCCCCAAATATTTTACATTATTGCTAATGTTATCTCTCAAAAAATGCAAATCTTTTTCACTAATCTCTTAATTTACATTAATTTGATTAACATCCTAGACATTTAGTAGGGTATATAAGACTCTTCACAAACCAATCAATGGCTACTTTTCTAACCT
This sequence comes from Homo sapiens, assembly GCF_000001405.40. Taxonomy (NCBI): domain Eukaryota; kingdom Metazoa; phylum Chordata; class Mammalia; order Primates; family Hominidae; genus Homo; species Homo sapiens. The sequence goes on along the minus strand of NC_000004.12, from coordinate 178,487,322 downwards.
AATCCCCTCAAATACATGTCCTGTTTACCAACACATATATACTATATTTTCAAGCAATAGAAGCTTCTAGAGAGATTTGCAAAGTTTATTTCATAAATGCCCTTTTATGTTACAGTAAGGATGGAAGTGTTAATCAGGAAACATAAATATACACTTGCAACATTTGTTTACATTTCTATACACACAGCTAAAGGAATACCACCCTCTGTCTAGTGCATTTGCAATCCTCAAAATATATTTAGGTATTACTTGTTCTGAAAAAAAAACTGCATTGATAACGTCACTTAATAATGAATTTAATCACTTCCTTTTCTATACTATTCTATACCTGCTGTTTCATCTGTTACATCATAAATCTTTTTTTAGACATTTGTTGAATTAGATTATTGTGTTCACCAGAAAACCTTTCTTAATGTTTCTATTTTTAATACATTGCTATGCCAGATAATCCTTACAGCTTACTCAAAAGTTTGTAACCTGAGGCTAATTCTCCATCTTTCTGCCTTACTAAGAGATTCCTTTCTGCATTTATTATTATTATTATTCCTTTCTGCAATTATCATTTCTGAAATTTAGACAAAATGACTTTTATGAAGCTCCTCATTGCCCACTTGTTTTGCTAAACATTGAAAAATAATAATTAAAGACTACCTTCGGGTCAATTATATTCAGCATCTTCCTTTAAATTTTCATTTTAGATGCCTACACAATAGGTGGTCCCACACTTTTCCCATTGATTAACTTCCACTCTCCAGATGACAAAAGTGAGGAATGGCCTAGCCACCACACTGTTAGGAGTGGCCGTGTGAACTACATCTGTCCAATGAGATGTAAGGAGAAGTAAGATTAGAAGTTTGGGAAAAATATTTCCTCTTAGATTGAGGGTTTACACCAAAACCAAGCTGCCTCCCATTTCTCCTTACTTTATTCTCCCTTTTGATGAGTTAACTAACATAAGCACTTGAGGTGTAGAATTACAGCCACCATATTGTGCTTATGAAGTGTTAAGTGTCATAATAAAAGTTCAATGTATTAAATCTAGTGAAATAGATGTAATGTCAGGGTCTTGAATAGCATTGCTGAGTGTACAAATCACATTTTTACCTCATGAAGTGTGCAGAAAGAATATGTTTCCCTGTGTTTTTAGCCCCTATTAGTTGAGTTCATTTAATTTTGCTTAATTCAACCAATATTGATGGAGTTTCAACTAGTGGTAGAAACTTTTCATATGGAACTGAAATAATAGTTTAAAAAGCAGAGAAAAATATTGCTGCCTTCATGGAATTTAACCTGTTATTGGAAGAAAAACTATAACTAAAAATCAATGAAGGGTCTCTCACGAAAATAATATGGGATAAGGACCCACTTTGAGCCAAGGTAAAATAACTGAAATTGAATTTGCCCTTCCACCTCAACCAATTAAAAGCTGAACAAACTATATGAAACTGTTATTTTCAGACATGGGACAGGGCATGAGAATGACCCTTGAAAGACAGGAAAGAAACAAAAGAAATGAAAACATGTTCACACGAAAGACTTGTGTATGAATGTTAATAGCAGCTTTATTGTAAAAGCCAAATACTGGAAGAAAAACTGGAATCCATCAGGTAAATGGATATTGCATACAATGTAATGCTAGTTAGCAATAAAAAATAAGCTATTAATATACCAAAAACCTAGATTAATCTGAAAATAATTACTCTGAGTAAAAGAAGCTGGAAGAGCAACAACAAAAAGTATGTACTTACATACTACATGATTTCATGTATATGGATTTCCAGAAAATGCAAATTAAGTGCATTTCTAAAGTGACAGAAAGCATTTTGCTCTTGGGATATATTTGTGATCTCAATTGCCATGAGAGTGTCATGGATATAACATGTATAAACATAATTACCTAAATTATATAAGAATTTGTTGAACATCAATTACACCCTAATAAAGTTGTAGGAAATACCATCAAGTCCAAAATATATACAAGTTCCTCGGAAAATGATGTCTTTCTTTGTATGTCAACTGCCTGTCTTTCCTTGGAAACCTTAAATTCTATTAACAATTACAATCACAAAAGTAATGATAGCTAAAAGTTGCTAAGATTTTATTATGTGCTAGTTAGAGTTACGGGCTCTTTATATGTTATGTTTGCCTCAAAGTTCCCTGACTTAATACACAGTCCCTCACTACAATGCAATATATTCATTACAAAATAAATAAAAGTACACAAAATAATCATTAGAAAAGAATTGGGAATCCTGAAAATAATTAAATTCATAAATTTAATAGGTGACAAACGACTTTTCAACCATTAAAAAGAATATCTTATTTAATAAATGGCATTAGTCTAAATGTTATTTCAACTTCACGTCCTCTGTAAATATAATTTTAGATGAATTAAATACGAACATACAAATAATTAAAATGTGAAGGTGATTGACTACATAGGAAAATTAAGTAGAGATGAAAAATACAATGAAGATTTAATGTATTCTTGAAGTCTTTATTTTTAACAAAGCAATCATCATTTTCACAATTTATTCAAACCTTTGTTGGCTTCCAGGCATTTAATTTTCTGGTCCAATTATTCTAGTGAAAACATGTAAATCTTGAAACAAAAGCGGCAAAAATTACTGTCATTAATGAAGTTTTCTGGATAATATACATACAGAACAAGTCCTTCTAATTTGAATTGTTTTCAAGGGTGACCTAATTTTGAAGAGAAAAGTATTTATAACCCATGCAATTAAGTTCACTTAAAAAACTTACCACCTCGTGTTTCCAGATTTGATATTTGTGTTTGACTTCATCTTTTATGTTTTTAGGACTGTTTTGTTTTAGTTTATTAACAGAATAAGTGAAATTCTAAAAGAACATATTTATTTGGGTTTCTCAGAGTAAGCCAAATGCAATCTACCAATTTGTTTTGTAAATAGGGCACTCACATCCTGCACACATTCCATATTCATGTTCCTTTTAAGTCATTTTACAGATGGTGAACTACCTACAAACAGACTAGTGAGAAAAATTTAAAATTGTTGGTTTAAAAAAAAAAAAACCAAACAGGATACCCTCACTTACTTCCATATCCATTCTGTGCATATTTATGACCCTCTGACAACATACTTGAGGAAAGTGCATCATATCTTTTCCTGCAATTCCATTTTTTTTTCTGTTCTCTGCAACCCCCAGCAACCTCATTCCCCAGTTTTTCTTCAAGTCTTTGAAGGCATAAAACCACATTGTGGCCATATCTTTAAGATTGGCAAAAGCAGTATATTTTCATATGATTCTTTTTCTGAGTCTTTCAAAAGACACTTGTATATCATTGTCTTTCATCTTAATGTACATAGAATAAATAACATTGAATCTAATTGAATAATGTGGATAACATTTATAAACGTAACTTACATTAAATATTTTCTTAGTCAGCATTTTACTAGAATTTAACAATAGAAAATACAATGAGAGGCCAGGTGCGGCAGCTCACGCCTGTAATCCCAGCACTTTGGGAGGCCGAGGCGGGTGGATCACCTGAGGTCAGGAGTTCCAGACCAGCCTGGCCAACATGATAAAACCCTGTCTCCACCAAAAATACAAAAAAAAAAATTAGTTGGGCCTGTTGGCACGCGCATGTAATCCCAGCTACTGGGGAAGCTGAGGCAGGAGAATCGCTTGAACCTGGGAGGTGGAGGTTGCAGTGAGCGGAGATTGAGCCATTGCACCGCAGCCTGAGCAACAAGAGCAAAACTCCGTCTAAAAAAAAAAAAAAAGAAAAAAAGAAAGAAAATATAATGATAGAAGTTGTATAGAAATATGATGTCGCTGTGGGGTTTTAAAAAATCTTCACTGCATTAGGGCTGCCATTCAGCTTAAATGAAATTGCTACACTACACCATACATATGATTATCATTTCTGAAAACTTCCACCAATTCTGCTTATTTAAAAAACTGAAAGAAGTTACAGAATACCAAATCAATATTTTCTATATTTGCTATCAGTAATCACTTAGATGTAATCACATGTATTTATACCATCTATATTTTATAAATAGAATAATTTTTATGGTTCTTTCATTTTTATTGTCAGAATTGAATTTTACAGAAAATGACACGGGAGAAAATATTACCTTATAATGAGTCTCTTCTATCAGATCGAACATAGGTTCCAGTTGATTTTCTGGTCATATTACTTCCACATAAACAGCAAATACATAATGGGAAGAACTGCCTTACCTTGCGCATGCTTCATTCGTAAATCAAAAGCATCAGCAGTTTTACAAATGCCTTTGATATTCTGCATGTACAAAGAAAATAAATGATTGAAAAATGAAAGGGAAATGCTTTTTATTTATTATGGAGCTATGGTGAATTCTCAGGATGGCCTAGATATTCTACTGATTTATTATACTCTCTTGCCCAGATGTTTGATTAGTCTGAATGAATAAGCCTTCTATTATAGTATTCCGAAGAAACAAGTTTTGCACCGGTACATTTTAGAACGTGGCCTATTTTAATAAAGATATAATGTTATAGAAGTGAAATGGGAAGGATCATTTACCCTATTTTTAGGTTATCACTACTATTTTTCACTTAACATAATTAATAATATTCTAAAATTATAGCAATAGTTGTATTTCACAAAAGTCTCAAAAGAAACTAGAAAATGAAATATATAAGCCACTACAGTAAATATGCAATATTTAAATTTAAATGTTAAAATATTTAAACTGCGCTTACTGCACATCTTGTAATTATAAATATAAATATAAATTACAAGAAGTGCAGAAAGCACAGTTTAAATATTTCAATCACAAATTGTGATAGAAGACAAATTGTGATAGAAGACACACCAAGATGGGCTGGGTGCGGTGGCTCACGCCGGTAATCCCAGCACTTTGGGAGGCCGAGGCGGGAGAATCACCTGAGATCAGGAGTTCAAGACGAGCCTGACCAACATCACGAAACCCCATCTGTACTAAAAATATGAAAATTAGCCAGGCGTGCTGGCACTTACCTGTAATCCCTGCTACTTGGGAGGCTGAGACAGGAGAATCACTTGAACCAGGGAAGCGAATGGTGCAGTGAGCCGAGATTGTGCCACTGCAATCCAGCCTGGGCAACAGAGTGAGAACCTGTCTCAAAATAAATGAATAAATAAATAAATAAATAAATAAATAAAAAGACTATCAATATGGTAGTATAGTTTTTGACTGTCCTCATATTTTTTTTGTTAAAAAAGACAAAAACAGGCATAAAAGACAGAATAGGCAAAGCAAAACTCCTAAAGACAGTATGGGCCGAATCAGAACCAATGAGGGCTGTGTCCAGCCCCCACAGGGTTTGAGTGACGGGTAGAGGTAATGCAGAAAAGAGAAAGGGGTATTTGAAAGTTCCCAAGTAATTAACATGTATTTTTTCTGAAAAGGAGAGGATCCCACTCTGCATTGAATTTTCAGTGGCAGATCTGAGGAAAAACTGATGACAATGGGAAGGGCTCCACTGTCTTCAATATGTGACTTAGTATAAACAAACAAACAACCTGGGGTCCTCAAAGCGTTTATTAAAAGGTCAGCATATTCTGTCGTCCTCTAATTTTCAGGGACTTCAGAAATATCAGAAAAAAAATCATTCAGAAGGAGAGAGGAAACTACTGGGGGTGGGAACGGGGGCAGGTAACTGTTGGTAATCTCTAAACTTAGCAGAATAGGAACAGAGCACTAGGAGTAAAGATGAAAGCAGCTTTGATAGTGGTAAAAGGCATCCAGAGGAAAAAGATCCCAAAATTGTGCAGGTGGCTACACAGAGAGGCCATAATTTCCAATATTCATTATTACAAGGGCAAATGTTGTCCTTAATCCAGGAAGCTAGGGAAGCTACCCTGTTTTCACCCCACTGTGTACACAGAAACTTCCATCTCCACATACAAGAAAACACATCTCATTTAAATATATACAACAGAAAAGGAAAAAAAAATCTTACAAGAAAAAGAAGTCTAATTATTAAGTGAAAGACAATGAGAACACATCAGAGCTTTTGTAATTAATTATTTTAAAATTGCTAAAACACCTAGAGTACTCAGATCTTTATTTCCAAATATTATTCTTCACTTAAAAGAACTCAGGATCCTTGGAGAAATGACTGTTTCTATGGCTGGGACTAGGTACAAATAAGCTAAAAATTGTGCCAAAATACAAGAAATTTCTTCAAGAATGATGAGAGTGCTTGTCAAAGGTTATAGAAAGCAGCTGGAAGGAGCCCTCCCTGGCCAAACCTGGGACAAATGGGATTATAACCTATTTAAAAATAACTATCCATGAGCTTATAAAATACAAGTGAGTACTTGAATAAATAAACAAATAGAAAAAAGAGAAATTTTTATCATTATAGTAGAATGCCAACTAACAGATGCAGAAGAAATAATGGAATTAGACAGTCACCATTTGGCAATTATCATAGCAATGTTTGATTCAAGCAAGAATCATAATTTTCTGGGATACTTCATGGGTCAATGTCAGAGGAGAGCATGATGTTTGTTTCATCTCAAAGTCTCCCACAGAGTACTTATTGATTGCAAAGGGAGTATTAGTAACTGCTCAGTAGAAGAAAAATAACTGGCAGATTCCACATTAACTGAATGATCAAAGTTAACATCAAAGTGATCAAAGTTAACATCAAAGTGATCAAAGTTAACCAGCAATGAAACACATCAACATCAAAGGACCTTTTTTATACACTGAACAGGTTACTATGCCACTTTTGTGGCATTCCCCCAAAACTGTAAAATATGAATTTAATCATCATGAAACATCAGGCAAACATAAATTTAGAAGCATTCTATAAAGTAATAGGTCTGTACTCTTAAACAATCCCAATGTCCTAAAAGACAAAGCAAGACTTTGGAAATATTGCAGATGAAGGAACACTAGCAAAGCATGACAATTATATGAAACATGACTAGACTGGGGACCACGAATCAAGTATTGCTCTGATGATTGTGCCAAAATACAAGAAATTCCTCAAAGAATGATGAGAGAACATGCCAAAGGCTATAGAAGCCAGCTGGAAGGAGCCTTCTCTGGCCGAATCTAGGACAAATGGGATTATAACGTATTTAAAAATAACTATACATGAGTTTACTTATAATACTATAAGTAAATAATTGTGAAAAAATGATGTAAAGCAAAGTATTACTTTTTTTTAAATTTAAATTTCAATTTAAAAATTGAAAAAGAACAATAAAATCGTGCTAGTATATCAATGTTAATTTCTTGATTCTGATAATTTTACTATTATATAATTATATGAGTGTGCTTACTTTTTAGAACACATTTAGAATTTACCTCTTAATAAGTGAAATGTTCTGGGAATGCATTTGTAACCAGAAATGTTACAGTAGTCATTTTTGGAAAATACAATCTGCCAAGGATGCCAAGTATTAATTCATTTTCATTTTTGCCATGTTTCTTGTTCATTATTCCATCATCATTTATTGAAAAATCCACCATTCCCCCATCAATCTCCAACGCCGTATCTGTCACATATTGGATTTCCATATATGTATATGTGTGTTTCAGGGTTCTTTTTCATTCCATTAATCTATCCATTTATGCTTGCACCAAAACCATGGTGTCTTTGTTCACTTTTTAAACTTGTTACACTGAGAGGCAAGTATCCATGCACCCGCCTCTACACACAGAGACACGCACTCACCTTTGTTCTTCTCTAGAAGTGCCTTGGCTCTTATTTGTCCTTTTCTGTTACGTGTTTCTTTGTTCTTCTCTAGAAGTGCCTTGGCTCTTATTTGTCCTTTTCTGTTACGTAGATAGAAAAATATACAGATATTGATATTTTAGAAATATGTAGATATAGATAGGCATTTTAATGAAGTTATCCATTTCCATGGTGGGGAATTATTGGGGGTTAAATGGAGTCATATGTAATTTATAGATCTATTTGGGGAGAATTAGCAACTTTAAATATTAAGTCTTACTCTTCATGTACATAGTATGTCTACTTACTTAGGTTTTAATGTCCTTCCATAAACTTTTAAAATTTTCTCCATAGAGGCCTTACACTATTTGGAGATTTAATCTGAGATAGTTTTTGTTGATGTCATAAAATATGTTGTTAAAGTGACTTCTCAAAAGTAAGGCTCAGAAATAAGAGTAGTAATAGAAACCATATAAAATGCTGCCATGGACTTTTGATGAAATTTCTAGAAAGAAGTTAAGTGGTCATCTTTTGTACATTCACATTTCTAATGAGCCTAGATCTATTGACCACACTAAAAAAGAGGTTTATCTTTGCTAATTAATGCCTCTTTTGCATTGATATGAGTAAAACTGGCCAAAGAAGAAAATAAAATCTCTCAATATAAAAACTCTGAAATAGCTGCCACTGAAACAGAGTCATCACAGGCCTTTTAAAACAGATGATATGTGTTTTAGTTTCAGAGTTAGAGTTTGCCAACTTGAAGTTTAAAGTTAGAGTATGAAGTAAGAAAAAGGCATGTCATTATCTGGCTGTGAGGAAGAACATTAGATTAAAAATAATCTGAATCAGCTCTGAATCAACAACATCTCAAGCAAAATGACCACAGTCAGCTTTTCCTTTTTGGTTTTATTCTGTGAGCTGCCCCTCTCTCCAAATGAACAATCAATTCTTGTTCCTGCAGTCTTGGATCAATAGACAGTATGCTTCTCAAACTAATCTATTTCTGGCTTGATCCAGGCCTAGAAATCCTGCTTCTGTGAGGCTGTCATTATCTGCTTTTGATAGTTATTTTGGCCTTTGTGGGAACATGTACCTATGTGTCTATTCCCTGAAATATCAGTGTCAGTTCCTGGTTCAGAGATACACAGTACAAATTCTGGATCCAGATTGTTGAGATTTGCATCTTACTTGTATGACTTGTTGGCTGTGCAACTTTGAATAAGTTCTTTTACATTCCTAGTACCAAGGTTTCCTGATATCAGTCATTCTATTGGTTGGATAAATCCTACTCTTTTGTTTTGTTTTGTTTTGTTTTGTTTTCCTTTGGAAAACTCTAATACATTGACTGACTGAAATAATCTTAATTGTATTCTGGCTTTGGGTTATAGAAAGAAGTTTGGTTTTCTGAATGCAGATATTACTACCCATTCTAAATGTTGCTGACACCGATGACTAGGTAAATATGCAAGCTCTTAAGTAGCTCCATTGACCACTGCAGAATAAACACATGAGATGAAGTCTGCAAATGCTCTTACAAGCAGCCCACTTGCATGTGTCTTGAAATTTTCCGATTCTGTTGCTAGGTACCAAGCTTAAACACAGGTAACAGTAATTGTGCCTATGAAGAGGCCAAAACTTCTTTATCATTCATCTACAGGCAAAGAGACTAACCTAAAGTCTACCCCTGTCTAAAAACAAAGAAATAGAAAATAAATGTAACAGATGCCTTAATTCTTTAAAGCACATATGTATGTAATATTCATACTATTGTAACCTATTCTAGTTTAAATTTGGAGTATGTTCTGCTTCATTCCGCAGATGGAATATTTTCTCTATAGCCCATGTCATGTTTTCATGAAGATGTGATTTCTCTAAGTATATTGGACATTCATCACTTCTAATTGGATCTTTTATTTTATAAATACCACACAAGTGGCATGAAATGCTTCATGACTCATATTTTATGCAGAGATTTCATGAAAAAACTGATATAGTTGATGTTCTATTTTTCCCTAAAAGTGGATATATCAGAAATGGTCAATTGTAACTGTGTGTCTTTTGATGATTTTCATTTTGAAATGATTTCAAGGTCTTTTATCAATAGGAAAGGTCATTCATAAGAAGGTGAGACAGATAATAGTTCTGCACAACTTACTGCTTCAATCACAGCTGAATCTGTGTCTCAATTTGCGTACGACTACTTTTTCATAACAGGCATATCAGTAACCTCATCTCCTTATACCTTTGCTCAAAAGGAGGGCACATTAGTTTTGCGAATTTAACATCTTTACAGTATACAGGTACCCTGACAGGAGGGCTAAATACTTAAAAGTTGTATAATCTGTTTCTAATTTGAGGGAAAATGACAAGAATGTTTCTAGGTGAAAGAGTCAGGAGAATGCCTTCAGTTCTTTGGTCTTAATATGTGTATGTAACTGCAAAATAAAAATGCATTGGAAATAACACGATTGGAAGTCAGGAAACCTAGTTTCTAGCAGTGGATTTCTTTTAAAACTTGCTATTAGATCTTCTGCAAGCTACTTCAACTTCAGTTTCCTTTTCTATTTCATGAGAGAGTAAGAATATTTTATCTCTCAGGCTCTGCACAAATTGGAAATTTCAAAAATTTACACTACACAAATAATTCTATTGTGCTGTCTTCCCGACATGAAACTTCATTCCAAATATATGTGTGAAGAGATGTTAATTTGTTTGGCTATAATAATCATTTCATTTGTATATGTATATTAAAACATGAACATTCCAAATCTTCAGGCAATATTTCTTGGTATGTAGAAACAAAAAGGCTGTTTTGTTTCTGATTGATCCAAATAGTTTTGTAAAACCTTGAGTAATATGCATTTAAAGTTATATTGTAATTGTCCTACGGCTGTCTTTTAAGTAAGAGTTTATCAAGTTTGGGCTTCCCCCAGTCACCATATAACTGCTGTAAGAGCAAGCGCAGTATTGTTTTCAGCTGAATTAACTTTCTAATTTTCTGTTCTCCTAGTTGTAAAATGTGAGGTTTCTAAACACGGCCCACTCTTGTCCACTTTCTCATATCAACAAGCAATTAATTTTTATATTTACCTGTGATACAATCTAAATGTTATGTTGAATTTGAAATTAATTATGACGTACAAGAGAGTCAATAAAAGTGCTGTTTTAAATAAACCATACACAATGAATGTCAGTTATTCTAAGGAACAAAAAATGTCTGAATTTTTTATGTGTGCCCTTATTCACTTACTTATTTTTTTATTTATTTACCAGACATTCATGAAACACCTATTATGTGCTAGGCCCAAAGTAAGCTGATATACATAAAAAGATAAACAAGTCAACGTGTCTAACGATGTCAGCTCTTTAGAACACTAATTCTGTGAAACTATTATTTTATATACCCAGATTTTTGTTTGTTTATAGAAAACATAGACACAATCAAGAAAGTTTCCACACCGAGTTTCTAATTTACCAATATTAGGACTATTACTAAACTAATGGCATCCAAAATGTCTTTCCAGGCATAGTTGTGTGTCTGCTGCATATGTACTAGGTATACCACTTGTAGCGGCTGTTAAAAAATACTCATGGTCATACCTATTCTGCCCAATCCTTGATGTCCCAGTCTCTGAGTCTAAGAGTCAGAGATGAGTTCCGGATCTTCAACTCAGGGTCTCACACTTTGGCATACTTCATTTTTACATCTTGTCTAGCTATTTTTTTTATTTTAATAAGAATTGCATATGTTTAAAGTATACAACATGTTTCAATATACATACACAAATGAAATCACTACTATGGTCAAACAAATTAACATCTCTTCACACAGTTACCTTTTTGTGTGTGTGATGGCAACACCTAAAATCTACTCTTCTAGCAAATTTCCAATGTACCAGCAGAATTATTAGCTATGGTCATAATGCTGTACAGGGACCTCTAGACTCACTCATTATGGACAACCATAACATTGCATCCTTTAACTATACCCCTATTTTCCTTACCTCTCCACCCTTGATAACTACCTTTCTACTCTGCTGCTGTGTATTTGACTTTTTAAGATTCCTCATATAAGTGAAGACATGCAATGTTTTCCTCTAATTGCATTTAGCATAATCTATCTTGTCACAAATGGCAAGATATCTTCTCCTATAGCTGAATAATATTCCACTGTATACAATTGTTTCTTGGTATGTGCAAGGGATTGGTTTGGGCCTCTGCGTGAACCAAAGTCTTGATGCTCAAGTCCCACAGTCAGCCCTGCAGAACCCATCTACATGGAAGTCAGCTCTTGGTGAGTTTCCTATTCTGGTAATACTGCACTTTTCATCTGCATTTGTTTGAAAAAAATCCATATATAAGTGGACCAGCATAGTTCAAACCCATGTTGTTCAAGGATGAACTTTATATTTAATTTCCTTATCTATTCATCCGACAACAGAAACATAGGTTGTTTCCATTTCTTGGCTATTGTGAATAAGGCTGCAGTGGACATCTTCCATACTTCCTTGTCCTTATTCTTTTTCTTTCCTCATTCCTATGAAAGCTAAACTTCAATAAAGAGACAGCATTTTTATTAGCTGGAGGAGTACCTGACCCGTAGAAGATGCTTAATAAATAATTGTTGAAATAATTTGTAAAACTTGAAAACATAAACCTTAAAATTTATTTTATGGATTTCCTTAAAACTTTGGATTTTTAAGCAATTTTGGCCTTAAGCAATCCTCCCACTTTGGCCCCCCAAAGAACTTGTATTACAGGTATAAGCCAGCATATCCAGCCAATCATTGCTTTCTTTTTAGAGATTTTATAGACTTTTTGAATTGCTAAGACAAGTTATTGGAAACATTAATTAGTAATTTCTGGAATTTCAATATCATGTAATCATCTTTTAATAACCCAAAATAGCATAATAAGAAAAATAGCTATAACATATTCTATGTTATATATGAAGAAATTAGATTTCTTCCTCTGTATCTTTAATCTTAGTGCATTTATATTTCCCTAATATTTGCTCTTTTTTAATAAAACTTCATGATGATAATTTCTAAAAAGATGTTATCAAAAGTATTCTGCATGTTATTCATAGTCATTTTAAAATATTTTTATACTTTTTTTCATATGGACATTTACAATTTAAATTTTATTTACAATTTTAGTTACAATTATGATTTTCATTACAATTATAAATTTCATTTACAATTATAATCACAAGAATAAAGCATTTTGTTAGTACATACTTGAAAATGTGTTGTTTTTATTTGTATTAAAATATTTGTTTTTCTTGAAAATATTCTATATTTATAATTTGGATTATATTAGTAAATAAAATAAACCTTGTCTTTTTCTAAATTCCATGTGTTAGTAAAGCAATATGTTGAAAATACCTTAGAACCTAAGAGGAAAATTTAAAATATAATAAGATAGTTTGGGGATTATTTGACTATAACATATGTTAGCAATAAAAATGTCAAAAAAAAAGTGCTTGTTTGTTAAAGGATTATTTACTGAGTAACGTAGGCCAAGATATTTTTCAAGTCCTTAGAATTTGGTATTTGAAAGATATGGTCATTAGGTTAAGGACCTTAAGGACAATGTGCAGCTTTTGAAGCATCAGCACAGTGGGCGGAATCATGTAAGATACAGTTTCGGAAAACATACATGAGTGGATCTTCCTAGTGCACTTGATCCTTTGCCTTCAGTAAAGTCATGCTGCCCTTCTTATTGCAATCCAATCTTTCTCCTAGAACTACATTTATTTTGCTTCTGAATCATTGAATATGTCAAGCAATAATTTACTTCAGTGTAGCCTTACATAATGGAGACATAAAGAAAACACATTTTTTCTTGCAATTTTTTCATAATTACTAACAGAAAAGAGAATATATAAAGTTTTTATTAATTTTTTCCTGCTGAAAAAGCTGGAATCTTGAGGGAGGAGGTTTTCCAGCATCCATTGATCAAATTTTACTCAATATGAAAGCATGACTTGTTTAAAACAGTATTGGAATTATTACATGATTCTCATATATATGGTTATATAATAGTGTCTTTCTCAATAGAGAGAAATCTATTAATCTATTGTTAAAATATTTACATATTCTTAAGAACATAGATATGTAACCACCAAATTAATACAGGCTCTGGCTGGGCAGAATGACTTACACCAGTAATCCCAGCATTTGGGGAGACCGAGTCAGGAGGATTGCTTGAGGCCAGGTGTTCAAGAACAGCCTGGGCAATATAGGGAGACCCTTTCTCTACAAAAAATAAAAACAATTAGCCAGGCATGGTGGAGTGCACTTATAGTAGTCCCAGCTACTTGGGATGCTGGGAAGGGAGGATTTTTGGAGCCCAGGTGTTAATAACAGTTTTACAGTGAGCTATGATCGGGCCACTGCACTCCAGTGTGGGCAACAGAGAAAGACCATCTCTCTAAAACAAACAAACCAAAAATATATGGGTTTTTTTTGTTTGTTTGTTTTTTACTGTATACTTCTCAAATTAAATGTATAGAAAATAGCACATTATGTTAAATTGACCTAATTGTCAAATCTATAATGGTACAGAATGAAATACTAATAAAAAGGTTTTAGAATCTCCCTGCTTGATTTGTTTGGGTAAAGTACTATATTAATTAGTTAAAAAAATAAATTTGTTGCTAATGTTATAACAATCAGAAGTTTTTGAATAAACATTTAGATTTTTCACTTTCATTAAAATTTTAATGGATCTGGGATTCGTAGGCCCATATTATAGCATGGAAAATACAAGGAGCTAAGAAATGCTGCTCTCTTAGATTGAAATTTCAAAATTGTACCCTCACACTAACATAGTATGTTTCTGTATAACACTGGCCTGCAACCCTTGCTTTGAAATTCTGCCTTCTTCTTGTAGACATTGCATGCCAACAACCAAATGGCTGTCACCACTTTTTTTTTTTTTTTTTTTTTTTAAGGCAGTGTCTCACTGCAGCCTGGAATTCCTGGGCTCAAGTGATCTTTCCACTTCTGCCTCCCAAAGTGCAAGGATTACAGGTATGAGCCACCACTCCTGGTTAATTTCCTATTTACTTTTTATGGAGTTGGAGGTCTTGCCATGCTGCCTCTTCTGGTCTTGAACTCTTGGCCTTAAGCAATCCTCCTGCTTTGACCCCCCAAAGAGCTTGTATTACAGGTATGAGCCACCATATCCAGCCAATCATTGCTTTCTTTTTAGAGATTTTATAGACACTTTGAATTGCTAAGACAAGTTATTGGAAACTTTAATTGGTAATTTCTGGAATTTCAACATCATGTAATCATCTTTCAATAACCCAAAATAGCATAATAAGAAAAATAATTATAACATATTCTATATTTTATTTTTATAATTTTATAGCTATATTTCATTTATTTAAGTAAATAATTTTATTTCTATTAATTTAATATTTATTTATTTATTTATTTATCTTTTGAAATTGATTCTTACTCTGTCTCCCAGGCTGTAGTGCAGTGGTGTGATCTCGACTCACTGCAACCTCTGCCTCCCAGGTTCAAGCGGTTCTCCTGCCTCAGCCTCCCAAGTAGGTGCCCAACACCATGCCTGGCTAATTTTTCTAGTTTTAGTAGAGACAGGGTTTCACCATGTTGGCCAGGCTGATCCCAAACTCCTGACCTCAGGTGATCCACTTGTCCTGGCCTCCCAACGTGCTGGGATTACGGGCGTGAGCCACTATGCCTGGCCCAAATATTTTTTTGAGATTTTCGTTTCATTTCTTTTATATTTTATAACTAACATTCTGTTCTAAATGGTATTAAGGGATATGTAGTATTATAGAGTCCTGTAAAGAAAAATAAAGTATTGGGTAATGCATGAACAGAAATTAGGATTGTGAGAAATCTCTGCACACAGACTCAATATGGTTCTCAAAAAGGAAGTGCAACACCCTAGAGGCGTGTTTTTGTTTATAAGGACAGTGGGATATCTGGCCTCTGGTGAGGTGTTCTGAGGGTGTTTTTGATTGTTAGGATAATGGGGTATGGCCCTCTAGTGAGCAACCAGGGAAGCCAGATTTCTTGCAATGTCATGACAATACCCATGTAACCAAGAACCATCTTTTGTCTGGCTAGGCTTTTGAGTGAATGTCCTCAATATTGTAAGGCAGTGCTTCTGAGACATTACTGTGTTTTTACATCACCCAAATATTCCTGTCAAATTGTGAGTTCTGACCAGCTCTCCGGTGAGAACCATGTTGCTGGTTCTCAGAACACTTTTCTGAGTTGCAAGTCCTAGGGTTCATTAGTATATGTGAAAGCCTGTTTATAAATATCTAAGCCAAGAAACTCACTCTGTTTTTATGTAAATGCAAACAATTTTGGCATTGTTCTTACACATTCTGAATTTTCCAGGCATGCAAATGCCTGGCAAACGAGAGAAAGACTGTATCCTTTTGGAAAAATTGCATCATCAACAGCAACGCTGTTGCTTATGTTTTTAATGAAACACATAGTGTAGGTCTGGATGGTAGCTGCCAAGATATGATTTCTCACATAAGAGCAAGCATTTGACTACTTCATTATGTCTAATTGTGTCATTGTGCCTAGAAATTTACATATTAAAATTCTCATTATAATTATTATTATCTTTTGAGATGGAGTTTTGCTCTGTCACCTAGGCTGGAGTGCAGTGGCGCGATCTCGGCTCACTGCAACCTCAGCCTCCCAGGTTCAAGCCTTCTCCTCCCTCAGCCTCCCTCCTCCCTCAGTAGCTGGGATTACAGGTGCATGCCAACATGCCCAGCTGATTTTTGTACTTTTAGTAGAGACAGGGTTTCACCATGTTGGTCAGGCTGGTTTCAAATTCCTGACCTTGTGATCCACCTGCCTCAGCCTCCCAAAGTGCTGGGATCACAGGCGTGAGCCATTGTGCCTGGCCAAAATTCTCATTATTTTATAATTCATTACTTTCCATTTATTTTCTTTGCTTTACAATCATGCTATAACATTGATATTTTTAAAATTATGTGGGATGAGATTTATTTCTGAATAGGAAATGAGGTTTTTAAAATTATTTTCATAAAATGTGGGGTGAGGTATTCAGTTTAACAGGGGTGAAATATGCAATCTAATGCAGATTTCTGTTGTTCTGTCTTTTTAACTGTTTAAAGAATTAGATCTAAAATGCAATAAGCCCACTGATCGTAGTTTTAAATCACATAATAAAGAATAACTAGATTCCCATATAATGATAATGTAACCAGAGTACCACTCTCAACATCTCCACCAACTAGGATGTAAATATTGTGCTGTAGCCTCTCCTACTCAAAGGACAAGCAGCATCTTTATTACTTGGGAGCTTTTAAATAAATGCAGACTCTCAGGCTTCACCCTGATTTACTGTGTCATAATCTACATTTTATCAAGATCTCCAGATAGTTTGAATGCATTATAAAGTTTGAGAAACACCATTCTACCCGATCCCCTGAATACTGACCCTCAAGTCCCTACTCACTCTACTGGTAACAGAAGCAAGCATGGTACCCTCTATCTATTTAGTGCAACAGAATCTGCAAAGCCAATGGGGCTTATGGTTGGGAATCTTCTGCATCTTGGCATGTCGTTGTAACCCATTATTTTCTGAATGTGAGGGAAGTTCTATAATATGGGTTATTGTCTCTTGTCTTGGGCATGTTAGAGGTCGTTATTTCTTGGGAAGGAAGTAGGCGAAGAGAAATGACAATGATGGGGGCTGCAGGAGGGCTCTCACCAGAACTGTTGCATCAAAGCCCAGTTATGGTGACCGGGCAGTATACTTCTTCCTTTCCAAAGGAACCCTTGCCTCTATCAGCACCTCGGCCTGCTCATTAATATCACTTCTCCAAGCGACAGCAGGACACAGAGGTTTTATCAAGCCCAGAATCACGTTTCCTTTCTCTGTCGCAGATTTTCTTCCACAATTAAGCAGGTTTTTTGTTTTTGTTTTTGTTATTTTTTTACTTAATAATTGGAAATACTAGATTTGAATAAATCCATTCTTCTCCCATTTTCCCTCTCCTACTCTCTCTCTGAAGATGACTACTAACCCTGTATCATTATTCTAAGTAGTCTTAATTGCAGCAATCCCTAATAACAAAGGATCTTTGATTAAACTAGCAATTCCTCCCTCATCCTGTGCTTGCCCTTCAAAGTAAACCAATCATTCTTAATACCTACAGCACAGAAGTGTCTCATCACACTAGACAATGAAAGACCTCACCTTATACATATATGCAATTAACTAAACAAACAAAAAAGCACTAATTTCAGTGATCTTTGAATCACTGAAATTTCCTGTGCACTGATTATAAGTTGGGGGGGGTATGTGTACACGGCTGACATCATAGCAAATTTAAGGTAATTTTGCTGGTGTTGCCATTATGCAGACAATAGGGTAAAGTGATCTTTAGCTGGGGCAAACGGCTAAAGAGTTAAATACAGAATGAAGAGGAAAAGGGAATGGATGATGTCTTTCTGCAGTTTGAAGTTATTGACATATCAGGGACTGGACCAGAAAACATAGTTTCCTAACTCTCAGCTGTGCTTCCCATAATTTTAGGTTTAATGTCTTTTTTTGTCAACTTGAATGTCAACTTTAAATCTCTTGCTTATCCTCAATAACAACTGGATAGGAATGAGGGGAAGATATGGACAGGAAAAGATTATGTATTCATTCGCCATTTCTAAATGCATTTGAGAAATCTTTCCATCGTTTCTATTTTTGTTTGCTAGTTTGTTGCTGCTTTGTTTTTATTTCTTTTTTTTCACTTTACTACTCTAAATTTTTCCTACTTAAAACCCTTAGAAATACAGTGGTTTTAGTCATACTTTCAAGTAATTATTTGAGTCAAATTTCACTCAAAATTGATATGCTTTGGCAGTTCACAGCTGTTGCTCAAGCAAGAAACATTGCTGCTTGCTGAATAGAATGCACACATTGTGATTAGGACTGCACATCTGGCAGTAAAATTTGTTCAGTTCGGGCCAACTGGCATTTCTGGTCATCTGGAATTATGCTATCAAATAGATAAGTCACAGATGACTACACTGCACTACCACAACTATCATAGAAGTTCTAGAATCACCCTTTATGAGCGAACATAAAGAGAAAAGTGCAAAGACTTCGTGTTTTAGGTTCCTGCTACTAAAAATTTTAAGAAGCATTCTGCAGCGTCAGAGCAAATTTCTAGGTATTGGAATGTTTTTTCAGTATTCTCTTGCATTTTGTTTGCCTCCAACACATTCCTTAGCCCACGTGGTACTCAAGACACCTTCCAGTTGACCCCTGCGCCCATCAGCCAAAATCCACCAAGACACCACTTCCTTTGCTCTATTCTGCTTAGTCAATCCCTGTTTATGTTTAGGTTAATGCCATATATGTCACAAATACTTAAAGACATAGTAGGAAATCCAGTTATGTTCAAAATAAGAGAATAGTGTAACCTTAATTGAGAACATAAATACTTTGTTGGAGCAATCAGAATCTCCCATTTATATACTAGGTTCTTCCTTAGGTTCATTAGCCTGTTTGTCCTTGGAATAACTTTTTATCCTTTTGTAGACAAGACCAATAATTCATGAGAGAATTGGGAATAGAAAGCAGCCCTCCCTATTCCCAGCAGAGTATTCTTGCCACTAGATTATATTGAGTTGTTATACACATTAGCCATTTCCCTTGCACACTGAAACAGATCAGTATTTTTGATTGAGTTTGACATTTTAAAATTTAACTACAATAGCTTACCCTATAAACAGGAAGTGACTGTAAAACAGATGTTCTTATTTAGAGAAGATGTTACCAAAAGAGCAAATCACTAAATTTGTCCTTGCTGTAATTGTGTCATTTAAACCAAGAGGAAAAAAAAGTAAGAGTCCTAAGACTGAAGAAACTCTGATACAAAAATTATGCCATCATTCAATGTTATAAGATGTCACCTAAAGAAAGAATGTGATTTAAGGTTCAACACTGTCCCCATGTGATATGAATACCAATTTCCAAATTCTGGTATGCAATTACTTAGTGAAAAACTTCCAATATGTGTGAAAGTAAAGATTTGTGGGTGGTTTTTTAGTGAGTTAGGAAAAAGACTAATCCTCAAATTCTGTAAACCAGTAACTGTGTTTTTAAATTTTGTAGTGAAAACAAATTATGTGCATTCATTAAATATGAATTCTTAACCATGGACTTTATAAAAGTTAAGCAATTGTGGGTGATTTTTTTTTTTTCTGGAGGAGATCTGTTTAAAAAGAAGACAAATTAGGCTGGACGCAGCGGCTCACTTCTGTAATCCCAGCACTTCCGGAGGCTGAGGCAGGTGGGTCCTGAGGTCAGGAAATTGAGACCATCCTGGCCAACATGGTGAAACCCTGTCTCTACTAAAAATACAAAAATTAGCTGAGCATGGTGGTGTGTGCCTGTAATCTCAGCTACTCTACTCGGGAGGCTGAGGCAGGAGAATCACTTGAACCCAGGAGTCAGAGGTTGCGGTGAGCCAAGAACACGCCACTACACTCCAGCCTGGGTGACAGAGCAAGACTTCATCTCAAAAAAAAAAAAAAAAAAAAAAGAAAAAAAGACAAATTTACCATTAAGATAATTTTGAAATAAAAAACATATTAATTTCTCGTGAATATATGTTTTGAATGAAATTTTAAAACTATTGAAAATTGTTTGTATGGTTTTTAGAAAAGTAAAATGAGTATTTTTAAGCATTTTGTTCTGAGATAATACTTATTGACTACTTTCTGACACTTTCCAAGATAATTTGCCTTCATCCACAGCCCCTCAGAAGATATGGGACCCACAGCCCGTCAGAAGATATGGGACTGGGGGTCATATTTGTGCCTAATGGTTTTATTTACATAATCACAACTGTTAAGAACATGGTAGACAACTGACCCAAGTTGGGGCAAAATATTTGGATGAGCACACTGAAGATTTAGTCAATTATCCAACAGAAGCCAGATAGAATGCCTTTTTGTTATTGAGACAGGAAAATAAATCAAAAACTTAACAAAAGTCTCTGGTGAAAAACTATAGCTCTGATGGAGATAACATAAACTTGGTCCTTGTCTTTCAGATTAAATCTCAGTGTGATCTGGCTGTACTTAATTTCTGTTTTTTAAATGATGCTAATATTTTACTTACCAAACAAAAAATAAAAAACTATGACTGAAGCTAAAACTGGGATATTTTTCTTAGTGTAATGATTACAATATTCCAAGCATTCTAGAGTCAATGTGATTCAGATATGCCATCTTGAAACTATATTTCTGGAAATCAATTTAATTTTTGACTTTGAATCTGACTCCTGGCAGAGAATTTAATCTGACTCATGGCAGAGAATTTTGAGACTTTTGATTAAATGATCTGCTCAGGATATATAAACTAATAATAAGTCATTTCAGAAATTTCATCTTAGGTATCCCTTACTGTTCTTGTCATTATTGTCCTGGAAAGAAGCATGGCCCAACCAAGGGATCCCCTGTAAGAATCTATTTATGGAATTGCATACATGCCAGTGGCAGGAATTAAGTCAAAGAGAGATGCATCACACATCTGAATAAGATGGTTCTGGGCTGGTATCAGACACTGAGTTTCTTCAAAATGTCTCATAGTGGCCCATATTGCAATTCATTCAAATTTGCTGGGCTCAGACTCTGATTCCCCCAATGTATTTGGGTACATGTTTTATGTTCTCTGAGCTGGTGGCATCGTGCTGCATTTCTCTGATGTG
Organism: Homo sapiens; assembly: GCF_000001405.40. Taxonomy (NCBI): domain Eukaryota; kingdom Metazoa; phylum Chordata; class Mammalia; order Primates; family Hominidae; genus Homo; species Homo sapiens. Next base: position 178,465,859 of record NC_000004.12, on the reverse strand, counting down.
TGACTCCTTGAATTATAGGATGATAAAACAGACTTTCTTACTAGTTTGTTAGTTCAACAGGAATAATTCTTTTTTGCATGCACTGAAACACAGAAATCATAAAGAAAGGGATTATCGGGGCCACCTTTTGTATCTAGATGAGCCATATCCTACTTAGATTTTTTCATTAAACAGTGAGATGGAATTTTTCCAGTACACTTTCTCACTCAAAATTCTCCTATTTTCTCTTTTCTCAGATAATCTTTATAATTCAGAGATTATACTATCATAATATCTTTTTTTTTTTTTTTTTGAGATGGACTCTCACTCTGTCACCCAGGCTGGAGTGCAGTAGTGCGATGTTAGCTCATTGCAATCTCTGCCTCCTGGGTTCAAGCGATTCTCCTGCTTCGGCCTCCCAAGTAGCTGGGATTACAGGGGCCCACCACCATGCCAGGCTAATTTTTGTATTTTTAGTAGAGAGGGGTTTCATCATGTTGGCCAGGCTGTTCTTAAACTCCTGACCTCAGGTGATCCACCCGCCTCAGCCTCCCAAAGTGCTGGGATTATTGGTTACGCTTGCAATATCAGAATGGAATTTTTGACCCTGTGATTATTAATGTGTCAACTTGTCTAAACCACAGTGCCCAGGTATTTGGTAAAGCATTATTTAGATGTTTCCGTGAGGGCGTTTTTGGTTGGGATTGACATTTAAACAGGTAGATTTTCAGCAAAGCAGATTGCGATCCACAATGTGTGTGGGACTCATCCAATCAATTGAAAGGCTGAACAGAATGAAAAGCGGTCCTGTCCCTCCCTCAGGACCACCCCACACCTCTAGCAAGAGAGAATTCTCAGTGGACTACCTTCAGACTTCATCTGCACCACTGGATCTTCCTGGTTCCACAGCAGGCTGCCTTTGGACTGGAAGTACAACTCTTTCCTGAGTCTAACAGCTTCTGCCATCAGACTGTGTAGCTCATCAAGCCTCCACAATTGCATGAGCCAATTTCTTAAAATAAATCTCTCTCCATATGTGTGTGTGTGTGTGTGTGCATGCACACACACACACACACACACACACACATATCCTATGGATTCTGTTTCTCTGGCAAACCCTGTCTGATACAGACCCCCTAAAACCTATAGCTTGTTCTTTTATTCCTCCTGCATTCAATTTATAATTAGGCAACTTCTAAGTATCAGTTAAATAATTTAAAAGATAAGACAACATGAAACCAACATTAAGCTTTATACAAGATATATATATATATTTATTAATTTTTGTACACATTTACTAATTAAAATGTATTAATTTATTATTAATTAAAATTATAGAATTATAACAAAATAATATGTCATTTCCAGCTTTTAGAAAGGTGTGTATGTAAATGAGCCCAATGACCAACTAAAGGAGGAAATGATTTTTAAAAAATTAAAAAAAATATGAAAGAGCGAGGATAATGACAGGAGACTAGATTTATGTTGGAATAATCATCATATGAATAAAATGTGAACAGGAATTCAGGTTGTCCTACCAATTTCTTATCTCTTTCTGTAAATTTCAATAACAATCATACAATGACCACAATGGGCACTGATAGCTATTTAGCAAAATAAATTAAAACAATATATAGCCATCTTACTTGGCTTTCCACCCCTCTTCTCAAGAAATAAATTGCTGAACATGTCATGCTATTTTCACCCCTTCACCTCACTTGTTCACCTCTCTCCCTGTATAAACATCCTAGGTTCTGAGATTGTTAGGGAAAGCTAAAGGCCAGTATTTCACAACAAGTAATTTTCATCTATTAAAAAGGGAAAATGGATAAAATATAAATATGTTTAGACCTTCATGTTTTTTCTCTGTTAGTGATAATCATGTGCACTAAGCACAATAATGGACTTGAGAAGACAAGACGCTCGATACCTATAATGCATTTCACTAGGCATGCATGATTTATACACTGACTGTATCTAAAGGCATTCAAGAAATGATGCTTATATTGCATCACAGCTGGAAGAAACATAAGCATTATTAAAATTTAGTAATATAACTTTTAATAGTAAACCAGTATCTTACTGGTATGATTATTAGTGTCTTTCTCAAAATAAGATTTCTATATAGAAGTTAAACAGGTTATATCTGTAAAATGCAATAGATATACTCAAAAAAGGAAAAAGACGTCTGAACTACAAAATAATACAAATGTGTTTTGTTAATACATTATAAAATAAGAATTCAGGTGTTCGTTTATAGAATATTTTCACTTTAAAGAGTCTTTACCCTCAGGATCTTCTATTGAGAGTACTTTATGAATAATCATGAGAATAAAACTTTACCATAAAACTAATTATAAATAATGAAGAGTTTGTGTAAGCGTAGGTGTGACATTATATACATAGCTACTTTCAAACCATTTGAAAATCATATTTAAATGATTTAACATTTAATATAATTCAGGAGTGGTCATCATTTTGGAAATCTATTCTCTTCATTTAAAAGAAATTATGAAGTTCTAGAACCTGCTGAGAGAATTATAACAAGGTTTTAGTATGTAGTGTCTAATTCTGACAGTGTTGTATCAACTCGAATGTGATGAATTTCTGTTGCAGTATTTTTTAAGGGCAGAGAAAGGAACAAAATGACTTTGGGAAGAAAATGGCCTTAACCTTTTGTTGTTCACATTAAATTCCTTTTAATACAGCACCCACAGCATGTATAATTCTTCCGTTATTATGCACAGATTGGGAAAGAAAATGCTGCTACCTGACAATCCAGGCAAAGTCCAGGACCAGGTCAAGGTAAAGAGGAATGAATGAATCTGAACCTACTTGTAAGTTCCGAGTCATTAAAATCCCACATAAGTGGACTCACATAGCTTACCTGGCCTCCCCTTTATTTGCTTTGAAAGAAGAGTGAATGACATGGCAACTGCTTGTCCACATTCCCCGTCTGGCTTGTTTGCATTTGATCTGTTCCTCAACGGCCTCCAGGGAGGCTGTTGGCAGTGATTGATGTATACCTTCCTCCTGTAGACGTTGCTCTTGGGAAAGCTTCATTTTTTATCTTTACCTTCCTCACAGAAAATCCTTTCAAACTCCATTCTTACTTCTTCCAAATGGATCTTTTAAAATTTCTCTTCTCTTTGTTTCACAAATCCCATCAAACAACAACAGATTTCAAAGATAGTTCTGTAACACGGGGGATGGCTGAAAATTCAGGTACCTTTCTTGATGCCATGGATGTTCCTAATTCCAAAATCAACTACGCTATTTTTCAAAGTGGATGAGGGTTCTATGATACTTGTTGACATATATCCAACAGACATGAAAATAGGTCGAGTTTTCTTGTAAGCCACAGGCTTGATGTGCAGTTCAGTCAACATACCAAAATGTTTAAAATGCCTATCACCCCAAGACTTGTCCTTAAGGAAACCAACAAACAACATCAACAAAAACCCTACGATTTGGAAAGATTTGGATAGACAGACAGACAGACAGACAGACAGACAGATAGATAGATAGATGATAGACAGATAATAGACAGAGAGACAGACAGATAAATAGATGGATAGATAGGTAGGTATAAATGAAGATACATACAGTTATGCATATACACATTTACCCCAACATGTTTATTCTCTCACTCTCCTGCGGATGTAAAATTTTAGAGCATGCTTAAAATTTAGGAATTAGTGTTTTCCTTCCATCTCAGTTTTAGTGTGTACTTATAAAGCAAATCATCATCATCTATAATAAAGGCAAGGCCCACCTATTTCTCATTCTGCAAAGTGCTTCTGTTTCAATTGGCCCTATTGAAAATAACACTGTGTATTACCTATAGGTGATGTAGATATTAATATGATAATAATAAACTTAAAAGTTTTCCAAGAATTACATAGAAGTAGGAAATTTTATTCTCACTAAAAGAGTGACTTGACTTTAAACTCTTCCCTAAATCAAACCAGATACCTCCTCCAATATTTGCAGGGTTTGATTAAATTGATTTTTCCAGGCTTTATGCCTATTTAATAGAAGTATCTAGGCTCCATCTCTCCCTTTTACCATGAAAACCATTCTCTTCAATATAATCCACACTAGTCTCCAATTTTTTTTTTATAATGAAAGGATTATAGACCAATGATAGCTCTAATCTACCCTGAGCACTTCTGTTGATTTCAAATTCTACTTCTTCCTTTGTTTAACCATTTTCAGAGTCTTGCAGTAGATTCTGACCTGCAGTTGGGAAAAACCAAGAATGGCATAAGATTTGACCTGAGTATCTGACAGAGCTTGTGATTTCTCAGCCAATGGAATCATGAACTTGGTTTATGTAAGGGAGATGAAAACAGGCTCAATTGTTTCCAATAGGTTCCATATCTGTAGACTTTGCCTCCAAATTATAAACATAAATAGACTTCCAAATTTCATCTAGATTAAAACAGTTTTTGGTATTTTAATTAAAATTTAACTAATCATATTAGTACTACAATTTTAGTTACTACTTAACAAAAAATGATATAACAATATTCCTTTTGATGGCTTGTTTCTACAAAATTTGACAGCCATTGCCAAACTGTCTAAATTTCTGAGTTTAAGTTATTGATTATGACCCATCCCCCAGTTACTTACTAGAATCACAAACTTACTTTTATAATTCTTCTGACATTCTAATATAATAGGCTGTCATGAGAATTTTAGTTTTTCTGACATAGAAAAGAGAGATGTCCTCTCTCTCACACACAGACATATACACTTTATTACTACTCTTTTCCTCTCTCTCTCTCTTTCTCTCTCACACAGACAGACACACAAATACACGGACACACACAATGGAAGTGATATTCCCTAGGCATCTGGAATGATATCTCTCTTGCCACTTGAAGTTAGGCACTGCTATGCAATGTCCTTTGATCAATAACAAGTGAACAAAATTACGTGGTCACCTCTAAGTAAAAATATTAATTGGTAGTCTGGATATGACAGTTTTCTTTTCTCTCAAAATTTCAAATGGTAGTGCTTTTCCCAGTTTGAGTCTCTGACAAAGCAAGTATCATAATTTCTGCAATATTTTAGAGTAGACAGAAGAGACTAACATTTAGTAGGTTATAATGATTTCTTCAGCAATTAAGCAATTGCAGTTGCACATATACTTCACTCATTCACTTACTCATTTATTTAGAAATAACATGTTAGTTATATTTTGAGGAAGGCTCTAAAATTAAGAAACAATAGAAGTTAAATTTGTGTTTCAAGGATAGTATGTTTCAGTTTCAGCTCTATCTCACATTATGTGCATTCATATGCTAACTTAAGAGAATTTCATAACAAATTATATGAAATATCTCCAGGGTAGAAAATATGTACAGGTGCATCTTTCAGCCACTGATAAAAAGTACTTTATCGTTTTGTAAAATAAATGATAATAATGGTGAGATGAGGGCTTCTGTTAGGACAGACAAGGGACGGAAAGCAGAGACCTAGAGTCAGTAACCCATATGGGTTTGCCCTGTACTAGTGGGATTTCCTGGACACCGGACTTTCCATGTTGAAACCGAGAAAGCCCTAGGAAACCAAGAAGAGTGGCTCATATTAAATGGAGAACTAAGTGCAAGAGTTTTGGTTCTGAACATTTAGCATGCTTCAGAATTACCGGGAGAACTCGTCAAAACCCAGACTGTTAACCTGTAGTAGGCAGAATTCTAAGACGGCCCTCAAGATTTCTGGCCCCAGTTGTATGTACACCTTCTCACACATATTCAATCAAACACAAATTTAGTTGCTGCTGTAAAGACATTATCAAAGAGGTAATTAAGGTCCCAAGTCAGTTGACTTTATGAGAGGGAGATCGTGCCTGATTTAATCCATGAGCCCTTTAACTCTGAGTTAGTCACTCAGTAATGGAGGAAGTGAGAAATTAGAAACATTAGAAAGACATGGGGCACCATTCTGACTTAACAAAGGAAGGGGCCACACAGCAAAGAACAAGGGCAGCCTCTTGGAGCTGAGGCCAGCCCTTGGCTGACAGCCAGCAAGACATGGGACTTCAGCCCTATTTGGCGGGAAATGGATGTATCCAATATCCACAGTGAGCTGGGAAGGAGGTTTTTCTCTTGAGCTTCCTGACAAGAACTCAGCTGAGCCTACACCTTTATTCTAGCCTAGTTATAACCTGAGCAGAAAACCTAATCATGCTGTGATGGATTTTGGCCTATCATCTATGAGCTGATAAATGAATGTTGTTTTAATTTGCTACATTTTTGTCAATTTGTTACATAGCAATAGCAATCTAATACACCGGGCCTTACTCCCAGAGTTTCTTGTTCAGTATGTCTGAAGCAGGGCCTGAGAATTTATACTCATAACAAGTTTCCTGGTGATACCTCTCTTGCTTGCCTGCAATTTAAGGACAGCTACACTAGTGTAAAAGCTGGGCTTTGGGCCATGAATGACATAAGAAAGGCTAGGAACTTGATAGGTCATTGAGTTCTGCCGTGTAGCAATTCCTGTTGATTCCACTCAGTGGACAATGTGGCCAAGTATGAATAAAGCAGAAATTACTAGTGCGAGGTTGTTTCAGACCTTGATATTCCTACTGGAGATACTGGACAGTTGTCCAATAAGAACTAAGACAACATCGTTGCTTGGTTCTACTTTCATTGTTACTGTTATTATTGTAACCAGCAAGGAAACACCCAGTTTTTGATGACACTGACACAGATGGGAGTGTGAATTGACTGTTATTTTATTTAGCACATGGTAGTATGTAGTCCTCAGAAGAGTAAGAGAAGAGCTAATATTTAGAATATTTAGGTAGTGTTGTATCTTGACTCTGAGTAAATCTTATTTTTAATTTTTATTATGGAAATATTAAAACATATAACAAAAGATGTTAAAACAATGGATTCCCATGCACACATCAACCACATGAACAGGCTTTAACAATGATAAGCAAATGGCCAACTTTGCTTCATCCCTGTCTCTACCCAATTTTCTCCTTTCCTAGGGTTATTTTGAGGATAATACCAGATATCATATCATTTTATCCTTAATGATGTCAGTATCTATTACTAATGAAATATTTTCAAAAACATAACCACAATACTATTACAATAAATATGAAAATAATGACTCAGAATCTTAAATAGTTTGATTTTTTTTTTAAGTCATGCCCATATACATGGGTGAAGATGAAAATATTGATCTTTTTCTCTTTCCTGCCTTTCCAGGGAAAAAACACTTTTGAAAGGAACAATTTGGTGATGGCTTGGGAAAATATAAAGGAATCCATTTGATCCAGAGCATTTAAAGTGGTTGAAACAAAATCTTTAGAGTATTTTACATTGTCAGGGAGATTTACCTGATGGTAAACCGATTGCAAAGAGCCTCTGGAGATTCTTTACAATTATCTCTCAGTTTTCTTCTGCCTGGTGATATGTATAAGTGTATATACATATCTGCCTGAGTGATAGGATATGAATGATATGAAGATGAAAACTTGCATTGATCATAAACCAGCTGTCATTTCATCACTCTGGCTCTGGTTAACCAGAGGTTCTCATATTGTTCCTGAGAATTTGACCAGTTTGTGAACACAAGTTTGAGAGCAAGAGCTGAGAAGATAGAAAATGTTCCACATAATCAACAAAAAACATAGGCGGCATATCAAAAAACATGGAGGAAGTAAGTGAGACAATATTTGAACAGAGAGATGAGTTAGCACCACATAGTTGAATAGAAGCCTACATAAATTTCAGTATGTCTCCCACCCATGATGTTCAGATATTCAACTGTTTCTGGATCATAGGTAGAAAATGCTGTGATTGCACCTGTTGAGGAAATCAGTTATGGGCTGAAGATTATGTCTTTGATTTTGGGGAAAAAAAAAAAAGAAAACAGGTACAACACACGAATTGAAAGAATCTGTACAAAGGAAAGCATTGCCATCCCACATTACCTTTAGTCTTAGAGGATTTTTAAATTTTCCTATCAAAACTTGAGTTTACTTTGAATGATAACAATATACTAATTGTCCTATATTTGTTTGTAAATAAATAATGTTTTGCTTTTATTTCATTCTTATGCCAAACTTATATTTGGAGCCCTGAGTAGTATTTGTCACCCAAATCTCTGAGTTTCATATTCTACTTGATGTTTTCACAAAGCGATGTGCTGCAGGGCAGAGCATATGAGTAGTTAAAAGAGGATATTATGAAGTCTCTGAAAAAGAAAAATTCTTCTACATTATGGGCAAATGTCACATTTTTAAACTCACTCTTTCTGTATCACCAGAGATTGCATTTGTTGAAAATTTCAGGTTGCTGGATATTAATGGTAATGGAAGAAACCTAAGTCAGCAGGGACTGCCTAATTATTCAACACACAGAAGGGTGAGTCATTATAAATGCCAGTAAAACCATAAGTCTCTGAGATAGTCTTAAAATGTCACAAAATCTTCTCCCTTAGAACTGAGAATTTCTAGAGATAAATATACACCCATAAGATACACCCTTAGTTTTTCATAAGCCTGGTGGTCTTTGTTTTAGAGCTTGACTCTAATAAAGCCAAGTAGACAATTTTTTCTGAAAGAGGCATCTTGATTGAAACAGACTCAAAAGCAAATCAGTGAATGCATTTATAAATATATTTACATACATATGTAATAATATTTATTTACATTATGTGGGTATAAATATATTTAAATAAATCAATATAGTATGTATTTAAATTGTCACACTATTTCAGCTCTTTTTGTTTTCTGATCCTAGTTCCTGTCTGGCATCATCATTCAATACATTTCCTCACGCACCTTATGTTCCAGGCTGTTGAATTACAGTTTTTTGTTTTTTCTTCATATATAGTACTTTGAGTCTTTGCATATTACATTTCCTTTGCCTGTAGTCTTCTGTTGCCCGGTTCTTTCTCTCATTCAAAATGTAGCCCAAGTTTAGCCCCGGATTGCCTCTTACTCTGCTGCCTGTAACAGCAAATAAGTGGGCTCACTGGTTAATTTCACATAATAATTTCAGAGCTTTATTTATCTTACATTATACATTCTGCAATCTGTAAATTCAACTAGTCAAGTTACCTAGAAAGTAATGATTACTCAAAATGTTAAACAAACAAGTGGGCAAGTCCATGAATATACTGAAGCTAACAGAATTTGTTAATAATGCAATACTTCAATTATTGGTAGACTGTGTAGTTTTTCAGAAAATTCATTTTTTCTTTTCTCTTGAACTTAGACTATATTTCTTGGCCAAAACTGCTACATGAGGCCATGTGATTTATTTCAATCAGTTATGTGACTGGAAGTCATAATACTTCTAGTCATAGCCAACCAAATATTTTCTCTGTAGTTCTCTTTATTTCTTCATCCACTAGCTAGATATAAAAATCCCAGGATAACTTTGAAATTCATGTGTTTTTTTATTCCAACAGCTTATTCTAGAATGTGTCTAGCTAGTCTTCTTTCCTCCCCAGTCAAGTTTTACCTGAGCAAGATACAAACTTTTCTTGTTACAGCAACTAGCATTAACTTAATTAATACGAGAGTTGTTATCAGAAATGTGATACTAACTTTAAAAAATCTTAAATTATAGCAGCATGATTTACACATGCACACATATGTTTATTGCAGCACTATTCACACTAGCAAAGACTTAGGACCAACCCAAATGTCCAACAATGATAGACTGGATTAAGAAGATGTGGCACATATACACCATGGAATACTATGCAAACATAAAAAATGATGAGTTCATGTCCTTTGTAGGGACATGGATGAAGCTGGAAACTATCATTCTCAGCAAACTATCACAAGGACAAAAAACCAAACACCGCATGTTCTCACTCATAGGTGGGAACTGAACAATGAGAACACATGGACACAGGAAGAGGAACATCACACACCGGGGACTGTTGTGGGGCGGGGGAAGAGGGGAGGGATAGCATTAGGAGATATACCTAATGCTAAATGACGAATTAATGGGTGCAGCACACCAACATGGCACATGTATACATATGTAACAAACCTGCACGTTGTGCACATGTACCCTAAAACTTAAAGTATAATAATAATAATAATAATCTTAAATTATGTCATTGTTGGTGAGGCAATGAGCTACCAAGATACTAATAAAAGAGACTGAAAAAAAAAATGGAGATAACCGTTAAGCAGTGGGAAAACAAATGTTCAAAATGTCATCTGTGATAACTCATCAGGCAGACCACATGTCCACTAAGCTTCCAGCTCTGGGGGAAGAGATTGGAAAACAGAAGTTAGTAATGTATGTTGGGAGCTATTAGCTGCATTTAGCAATATATTATAAGAATGAGAAGGCATCATGTGAAAATTGCCTTATTTGCAAGCAAAAATGAAAGGGAATAGAGAAAATGCATATATTTGAGACCACTGTAGATTAGCTTCTAGATTCCAAACAATATAAATACAATGTTAAAATATTTTGAACATCAGAATTCTTTTTGGCCCAGTTCTGCAATAATAATTAGATGAAGGCCAGCGGTCTCAAGGTCACCTCTATTAAATTGAGCAAGAAAATGCGGAGCAAGGAAGCAGCTGAGTAAGGAAGGCAGAACTCTAGAAGTCACCTGGAACCTACTGAAAACAAATATTTGAAGATGATTCCATTTTTGAGGAATCGTCATTTTGAATTTTATGTCAAAAATCCTGTAATCTCAAACCAAAAAATAAAGTCTTTTATTATTTGACTATTTTGTTCCTAAAATTTTGCTAATATGAAATTGGCTGCGAAAGTTACAGCCTACAGGAGAAGCATCCTCTTCAGTACCCCCTTCTGTCATGTCTCTGTTAACATTGATACATACGTAAAATCCTTTAGCTGGTGGAGCCAGGGCAAAGGAGGTCGGCCATCAAAGAAGTTCCATACAGATAGCAGATATGTGGTCTAGCCAAGGCGTTTCCATTATCCTCGATTGCGGCGGGGGCTGCCCCCTGCCCGCCATCTGCCTGCCCAGCAAGATTTCCTACGGACCAATGATGGAGGTGTGTTCCCTCTCATCCCTTTTATGAGCTAGGATTTTTGTTGTTGTTACATTGCCCCTTCTCCATTGTATACTTGCTTCTCAGGGCAGGTTTAAGATAAACTGTATTTTTAATTTACAGATCTCCAGAGCTCAGAGTCCCATGTAGATAAGAGCCAGCTGTGACTGAATGGGATTTGGGACTACCTCCCATAAGTGCGGTCTGTGCTAGAGCAAAATACGAAAGTTGCTTGAGGAACAGAAGGACAGAGTGTGACGGAAAATGGTGGTTTGTTTATATTTCCTTAAAGCCCAGCCGGCTTCACCTCTCAAGACTGTGACAAAGAATGGTGGGTTGTTTATATTTCCTTACTTTTTGGGCACACAACACTATTTTTCATCCGCTTTTTCATGTGTCTATGTCACTAAATTTTAGGCAATGGATTATCGGTGTAAATGGTGTTAACCAGTTTTATTTCAAACATCTCCTACACACACAGAAAGAATAAAATGTAACTTAATCTTTAAATAAAATAAAATAAAATCTTCCTCAGTCTTTCATCCATTATTTTGCTCGTGGTCACTTGATGGGTGCTGACATCCAGAATCACCTTGGAAACCAAGTGCTGAAGATGGTGGCTCTGTCAGCTCGGGTTCTGAATGGACATTTGATAGAAGCTGCCTCCTCCAAAACTCCCAACTAACCTCCTGTCCTAATGAGAGGTGAAGCCAGATGGACATCCTGGGTCATCGAGTGGGGACTTGGAGACCTTTTCTATAGCTAGCTAGAGGTTTGTAAAATGTACCAATCAGTGCCCTGTAAAAATGCAGCAATCAGCACTCTGTAGCTAGCTGGAAGTTTGTAAAATGCAGCAATCAGCGCTCTGTAAAATGGACCAATCAGCACTCTGTAAAATGGACCAATCAGCAGGACATGGGCAGGAACAAATAAGGGAATAAAAGCTGGCCACCCCTGTCAGCAGCTGCAACCCGCTGGGGTCACCTTCCACGTTGTGGAAGCTTTGTTCTTCTGTTCCTCTGCAAAAAATCATGCTGCTGCTTACTCTTTCAGTCTGCACCACCTTTAAGAGCTGTAATATTCACCACGAAGGTCCGCAGCTTCATTCCTGAAGTCAGCCAGACCATGAACCCACCGGAAGGAACAAACTCGGGACACACCAACCCACTCTGGATTGGATTTTACCTGAGCAATAAAGAGACTTTTACTATGGTAACTCACTAAGATTTAAGGATTTCCCTATTACAGCAACCACTGTAGTATCATTTTTAACTAACAGTAACCTTCAGTTAATCCCAAATGTAATGTGTTACTTTTATAGAACAACTTAATAAAAATATATAATTTCCAAATAGCAGGCAGTGTCCTCCTAACAAAGATTTTACTTGTATGCATTTCAGTTCTTTGTATACTTAAAATGCATATACATTTCTCAAACTACAAAATACTGCTATCTTTCTTGCTAGTCTGATCTGGGATCAAACTTCTAGCCGATTCTCCTAGCTGCCTACATCAATATATTTATCCTAAGGCAACACTCCTGTAAACTGTGTTTTTGGTTCCAAAGAAGTTCATTTCCCTGCTTTGAAAATGATAGCCCCAATTAACTAGTTGCAGTTTCTCATATTCCCCATGAGTCACTGAAGAGATGGCTAAAAACAATCAGTATGTCTAAATAAATTTCAAAATTTCTACATCGATATTTTGAAAAAAATTGGTGTAGAATATTTTATTTGATATGCATGCATATAAAGGCCCGTGTAGGAGGCAGGGCAGTTACTATTAGTGCCGTTTCACTAATGAATAAAAGCCTGGGAGTTGTTGAGTCCTAGGTCATTCATCTGATGTGTGGCTGACTCTGGTCTTCAGATTCCTACTTTAGGGCACTTTTCAACTCACCAACGTGCTATCAGTTTTTAATTTAGTGCAACAAATCACAAATCTCTGCTGCAGCGTTGCTGCTCTTATTTTATTCTTCTTCTTCTTTTTTGTTTTGTTTTACAGCTGGAGTCTCGCCCTGTTCCCCAGGCTGGAGTGCAGTGGTGTGATCAGTGTTCACTGCAGCCTCAAAACCCTTGGCTCAGGGAATCTTCCTGCCCTGGCTATGTTTTTTCTTTTTTAATTTTATTCTTGAGATCTGGGAAAGTATATTATAATCTCATGCATTCTTTAGCACCTTTCATACTTTCTCATACATTATAGGCCCCAATTTTAAAAAATGTTAATGGGTTAATTGCTTCCAGTTTTCATCTCATTCACTCATTCATTCATTCAATCTGTTCATTCATTTGAGTTGCTCTCGGTTTTCAGACCCCTGTCAAATTATGCCTCCAGTTGACAAACAAGGTGGACTCCCTGTGGCTCAAAAGGTTAAAAAGTAGAACCGGAAGCCACGCGCAGCGGCTTGCGCCTGTAATCCCAGCATTTTGGGAGGCTGAGGCGGGCGGATCACGAAGTCAAGCGATCGAGACCATCCTGGCTAACAAAGTGAAACTCTGTCTCTACTAAAAATACAAAAAATTTGCCGGGCGTGGTAAATAGAAAAAATCAGCCGGGCGTGGTGGCGGGTGCCTGTAATTCCAGCTACTCAGGAGGCTGAGGCAGGAGAATGGCGTGAACCTGGGAGTCGGAGCTTGCAGTCACTCTGCAACCAAGTTGAAGGACAGTTCCTGAAAACAATGTCAAAAACAACTGCAGCTGGAAATTTCCCACTGACCACCAAGAGACCACCTGGCATCAACTGACCAATACTTGGAACCAGCTAATTAAGAGCGACTGGTGCTTTGGGAGCATCCAATCAAGACTCTCTTCCTTATTCCCCTGACCACGCCTCCCCTCTTCTGTGTATCATCTGTGTTTTCAGTGTATCATCTGTAACTCTCCAATCCTTCCTTGGAGCACATTTTTGTTATACTCAGAAGGCTGTGGCTCCCTAACCCACAGATTGTTTCTTTTCAGAAAATAAAGCTTTCTTTCTTGCCTCTGTAGATCTCATGGTCTTCCTTTGTTAACACCGTTCAAAGCTGTCTTTTCTGTTTGAAGTTTGTTTATTTCCACATACAATGCTTATTAAATAAAATATGGTCTCTGTATTATCAGGTACTTGGAAAAAATATTAAAGGAGAGATTAAACTTCAATATGGTTTGTGTAGTTGCGTATCAGTAATCTTTGAAGAAAATCTGAATGAATAAAGTAAAAAAAATTCTATACCTACTTTTTTTTTTATTTTATTGAGATGGGAGTCTTACTCTGTTGCCCAGGCTGGAGTGGAGTGGCACAATCTAAGCTCACTGCAACCTCTGCCTCCCGGGTTTAAACTATTCTCCTGCCTCAGCTTCCCGAGTAGTTGGGATTACAGGCATGAGCCACCTCACCTGGCTAATTTGTGTATTTTTAGTGGAAACTGGGTTTCACCATGTTGACCAGGCTGGTCTGGAACTCCTGACCTCAAGTGATCCACCCGCCTTGGCCTCCCAAAGTGCTGGATTTCGGGTGTGAGCCACCACGCCCAGCTCTACCTACTTCTTTAATAAAAACATCTATAAAAGTAAGCAAGTTAATACCAGCCCTATCAGTATTATGAAAAGACATGTATATTTTGATCATATGGCTTGTTATTCTTCCCAGCTTTATTGCCTACTGATTATTTGTCACTGATCATGTCTAACAACTGCTTAAAATATTTATCTGTATCATGTGTCTGGGTTAATATGTTTAGGGGGAGATGGTATAATACCACCAACCTCACAGGACTGATTAAAAGATTAAAGGAGAAACATATGGGAAAGGGATTTTATAAAGAACACAATGATCAAATATATTATTATTGTTGAATAGTTTTCGGATATGTAAAGAAAGTTTTTCACTTAAATTCTCAGAATCATTAAAAGGGAGGAGAAACAATAAAAATAATGATATAACTGGGAAACTGGATTAGGGAAGTCATATTGGAGGAGAATGGATGGGTAGAAATCTGTGCTTCTGACCTCAAAAGCTTTGTTTGATCAGCTTGTGGCTGTGAATGCTTGCATGAACTGGCCATGCCTTGCACTCTAGGGCAAATGCGACCTGACCTGCTCTTTTAAATGGAACATTAGGAAACTTGTGAGGATCCACAAAAGATAGGCTGCACCAAATTCTCCAGGGAAGCCACAGCTGGAAAGCTGTTTGTCAATATGAGATAAATGTCTCCAAAGTATATACTTGTAGCTAGTGATATTTCTCTGTGCCGTATAAAGGTTACCAAACTCTTTCCCTCCAAAATACTGCTACATGGTATAATGGGTATTTTGAATTAAAGACCCTTAAGGATCAAGATGCTGGAGGAGAAATTTCTGCTATCTATGGAAAGACCTGCAGGATCCTCCAAGGATAACAAGTGTTTTTCCTTCCCTCCCTATTACCACATTATTACAAAAAATTATAATAAAAGAATGAGAGAATGCAACCACACATGAACAGACTCTAGGCTTATTCCGTTTCAAAGAGAACCATTTACAAGTTAAACTCTGTCCCCAGTAATAATTGATTGCCTCGCCACAGGATTGCCTGTATTTCCCATCGCCCCCCACCCATCTGCAAAAAAGCTATATAACTTTCTGTACCCCATTGAAGTTTTTACTCTATGGTTCTCCCCCATATACATTAATAAATTGATTTACCATTTCTTCTATTAATCTGTCTTTTGTCAGTTGATTTTTCAGTGAATTTTCAGAGAGTGAAGGGAAAGTTTTCACTTGACCCCTACACAGGAAAGTCACTTAAAAGATGATACACCGGCCGGGCAAAGTGGCTCACGCCTGTAATCCCAGCACTTTGGGAGGCCAAGGTGGGTGGATCACGAGGTCAGGAGATCGAGACCATCCTGGCTAACACGGTGAAACCCCGTCTCTCCCAAAAATACAAAAAATTAGCCGGGCGTGGTGGCGGGCGCCTGTAGGCCCATCTACTCCAAAGGCTGAGGCAGGAGAATGGCGTGAACCCGGGAGGCAGAGCTTGCAGTGAGCCGAGACTGCGCCACTGCACTCCAGGCTGGGCGACAGAGCGAGACTCCGTCTCAAAAAAAAGACGATATACCTAGAACAAACTAAGCATTTTCAGTCAGATGAGATGCTTCCAGGGTTGGGGTAGTTGACCCACTCTCTGCTTTTCAATCACTTCTAATAAGTATGCCTGAGATAAACTTGCTGTCCTCCAATTCCCTTTTGCTCATTTCTTTAATTACCCAGAGTCATCTGGAATTATCTCTCTTCTCACGACAGCCCTATGATTTAGATATTATTATCCTCCTCCTTCAGATAGGGACATAGAGTTTAAAGTTTTATTAGTTTTCAAAAAAAAAAAAGGTAAAGCTGGTAACAGGAGGAGAGGAATTTGAATTGAGTTCTATGTGAACTTCAAATGTCCTCTTTGTTCTTCATAGCATGGCTTTTCTCAACAATACCATATTTTACAGTAAAAGAAATTGTAGTTTAGAGGGATTCACTGATTCCTGACGTTGTCATAACTTATACCTGGGCCATGGGCCTTTCTCTTCAGCTTCTAAATCTAACTATACCCCTTTCTTCACTTGGAATTTTCATTTACACCAGCATAATATGAGAATTGATAACTTTCACAGTGATATTTATCTTATTATTTTGTATTGTAAATGTTCCAACATTGGTTCTAAGTTGTAGTTATATATATGCCTTCAAAAATATTCTGACTAATCACAGTGAAAGAAGTTCTTATTATCCATATAATTCTGTATTCAAACTATAAAAAATACTCATCCACTTTAAATTGTTTTTAAGTCTGAGAGCCAGTTTGTGGAGTTGAATATAATAAAGTATTTCTGTCATAATTTTCTAATGATTTTTAATGTCAACAAACACATATTCTTTTTTTGTGCTGTTTAAAATAGTATCAGGAAAATATTTCTAGCTTTGTCTTATGGCAAAATGCCATCACATAGGTCCATTCCTAAGCAGCCATATGGCAATGGCACTGCCATCTGCTTATCTTGATATTTCTTTCCTGGCAAACCTTGAACCCATATGGGTTCTTTGTGGTCTCATCCGTGAACATCAGGAAGAGAGGTAAAATCAATATCTACACTTTTCCCTGGAAACAGCTTTTTATAATTACTCTGCACATGAAGATCATTTTATTTTCTATTTACCTTCTTCTTCCTCTAGTTTTCACACACCTGCCTTCTTCTAATAGAAGCAGGAACAATTTGATTTCAGGAATATGTGAAAGCTGTCAGGGCAAGCTGTCAGGTTTGAGGCATCATAATCACCTCAAAGGACTGACAGCCTGTGCTTTGTGGATTTGAAACTTCATCGCTCAGAAGATAAAATGATCCATCCTTTTACATGTTGACAGGAGAGCAATTTGGTGTCAATGTGGAGAGTCACATATTCAGACAATAAGACAACACAGAATCATGAAAAGGCCTTTTATATTTCCAGTGACAACCATTTTCAATAATGCCTAAAATACTGGATATGGAATGTTTAGAATAATTTTAAGTAAATATGTCAATTTCTTATGGGAAATGTTCTCATGCTTTAGTGAAAGTATGGTAATAGCCAATTTGCCAATCCTCTCTTTCGTATCTCACTTATTCCAAAACTGACCACATACTTGGAAGTAAAGCACTCCTCAGCAAATGTACAAGAACAGAAATTATAACAAACTGTCTCTCAGACCATACTGCAATCAAACTAGAACTCAGGATTAAGAAACTCACTCAAAACCACTCAACTACATGGAAACTGAACAACCTGCTCCTGAATGACTACTGGGTACATAACGAAATGAAGGCAGAAATAAAGACGTTCTTTGAAACCAACGAGAACAAAGACACAACATACCAGAATCCCTGGGACACATTCAAAGCAGTGTGTAGAGGGAAATTTATAGCACTAAATGCCCACAGGAGAAGCAGGAAAGATCTAAAATTGACACCCTAACATCACAATTAAAAGAACTAGAGAACCAAGAGCAAACACATTCAAAAGCTAGCAGAAGGCAAGAAATAACTAAGATCAGAGCAGAACTGAAGGAGATAGAGACACAAAAAACCCTTCAAAAAATCAATGAATCCAGGAACTGGTTTTTTGAAAAGGTCAACAAAATTGATAGACTGCTAGCAAGACTAATAAAGAAGAAAAGAGAGAAGAATCAAATAGACGCAATAAAAAATGATCAAGGGGATATCACCACCGATCCCACAGAAATATAAACTACCATCAGAGAATACTATAAACACCTCTACGCAAATAAACTAGAAAATCTAGAAGAAATGGATAAATTCTTCGACACATACACCCTCCCAAGACTAAACCAGGAAGAAGTTAAGTCTCTGAATAGACCAATAACAGGCTCTGAAATTGAGGCAATAATGAATAGCTTACCAACTTAAAAAAGTCCAGGACCAGACGGATTCACAGCCCAATTCCACCAGAGGTACAAGGAGAAGCTGGTACCATTCCTTCTGAAACTATTCCAATCAATAGGAAAAGAGGGAATCCTCCCTAACTCATTTTATGAGGCCAGCATCATCCTGATACCAAAGCCTGGCAGAAACACAACAAAAAAAGAGAATTTTAGACCAATATCCCTGATGAACATCGATGCAAAAATCCTCAATAAAATACTGGCAAACAGAATCCAGCAGCACATCAAAAAGCTTATCCACCATGATCAAGTGGGATTCATCCCTGGGATGCAAGGCTGGTTCAACATATGCAAATCAATAAACATAATCCAGCCTATAAACAGAACCAAAGACAAAAACCACATGATTATCTCAATAGATGCAGAAAAGGCCTTTGACAAAGTTCAACAGCCCTTCATGTTAAAAACTCTCAATAAATTGATGAGACATATTGATGGGACATATCTCAAAATAATAAGAGCTATTTATGACAAACCCACAGCCAATATCAAACTGAATGGGCAAAGCTGGAAGCATTCCCTTTGAAAACTGGCACAAGACAGGGATGCCCTCTCTCACCACTCGTATTCAACATAGTGTTGGAAGTTCTGGCCAGGGCAATCAGGCAAGAGAAATAAATAAAATGTATTCCATTTGGAAAAGAGGAAGTCAAATTTTCCCTGTTTGCAGACGACATGATTGTATATCTAGAAAACCCCATCGTCTCAGCCCAAAATCTCCTTAGTCTGATAAGCAACGTCAGCAAAGTGTCAGGATACAAAACCAATGTTCAAAAATCACAGGCATTCTTATACACCAATAACAGACAAACAGAGAGCCAAATCATGAGTGAACTTCCAGTCACAATTGCTTCAAAGGGAATAACATCCCAACTTACAAGGGATGTGAAGGACCTCTTCAAGGAGAACTACAAACCACTGTTCAATG
The DNA here is from genome assembly GCF_000001405.40 of Homo sapiens. Taxonomy (NCBI): domain Eukaryota; kingdom Metazoa; phylum Chordata; class Mammalia; order Primates; family Hominidae; genus Homo; species Homo sapiens. Next base: position 178,446,479 of record NC_000004.12, on the reverse strand, counting down.
AAATAAAAGAAGACACAAACAAATGGAAGAACATTCCATGCTCATGGATAGGAAGAATCAATATCATGAAAATGGCCATACTGCCCAAGGTAATTTATAGATTCAATGCCATCCCCATCAAGCTACCAATGACTTTCTTCACAGAATTGGAAAAAACTACTTTAAAGTTCATATGGAACCAAAAAAGAGCCTGCATTGCCAGGACAATCCTAAGCCAAAAGAACAAAGCTGGAGGCATCACACTACCTGACTTCAGACTATACTACAAGGCTCCAGTAACCAAAACAGCACGGCACTGGTACCAAAACAGTGATATAGACCAATGGAATAGAACAGAGCCCTCAGATATAATACTACACAACTACAACCATCTGATCATTGACAAACCTGACAAAAACAAGAAATGGGGAAAGGATTCCCTATTTAATAAATGGTGCTGGGAAAACTGGCTAGCTATGTGTAGAAAGCTGAAACTGGATCCCTTCCTTACACCTTATATAAAAATTAATTCAAGATGGATTAAACACTTAAATGTTAGACCTAAGCCATAAAAACCCTAGAAGAAAACCTAGGCAATGCCATTGAGGACATAGGCACGGGCAAGGACTTCATGTCTAAAACACCAAAAGCAATGGCCAAAATTGACAAATGGGATCTAATTAAACTAAAGAGTTTCTGCACAGCAAAAGAAACTACCATCAGAGTGAACAGGCAACCTACAGAATGGGAGAAAATTTTTGCGATCTACTCATCTGACAAAGGGCTAATATCCAGAATCAAGCTGAATAATTATATTATTGAAATATTTATGTGCATGTACCTATGTCTTTCTTTTTTTTGTGTTTGATCAATTAAAAAATTTTGTGTATAATTTTCAAACTTAAAATATCTCTCATATAAAACAAGAAATATGAAAAAAATTACTACTATGTTGGGAATAAATAAATGAATAAATAAAACTCATTCAGGAAACTCACTGTTTACAATAAAAAAGAAATTGAACTATAGCCTTGCTGTGGGCAGACCTGTATTAGACAGAATTAATGTTTTAGCAAGTGTGACTGTGATGAAGTATTCAAAATTAAATCTTTCTAGAATTCAAAGTCCATCTTTTTGGACTCCAACACTGTGCCCATTCCTGATGTAAGTAGTCATTCTACTTGAGAAATTAGCATAGATCCATTGGCAGGGACCTCATGCTTCCACCTATTCCTACCTATTTCTTCTGCCGATTTTGACCTACTAACTTCAAAAATTGAGCAACCATGAAATGGGTTACTTTCTAAAGAAAATAGGTTTTAAACTTGAGAAAGAAATTTTGTGAAACTCTTGTAAGTAGGAAGATTTAAGCCAATATAGTTACATATATTTTTTATTACAAATCTCTTTAATGTCTGAGTTTTTCCTTCAACATTTATTTAACATTCAGGAAGTACATGTGCAGGTTTGTTACCTGGGTTGATTGCCTGATGGTGAGACTTGGGATATAATTGATCTTGTCACTCAGGTAGTGAGCATAGTACCTAATAGTTGGTTTTTCAACCCTTGCTCTCCTCCCTCTCTCCCTCCCACTTCTAGTAGTTCCCAGTGTCTATTATTGCCATCTTTAAGTCCATGAGTACCCAATGTTTAGCTCTCACTTATAAATGAGAACATGCCACATTTGGTAACCCAAGATGACCATTTAGGAGAAAGTGACTGGGTGCGTATAGCGATAGAAATGTATAAGACCAGACGCATACATTTTGCATTTTATGTTCTTCTAAGGAAGTGAGGTCTATGTCTAAGAATAAAAAATAGAGGAGTAGAAATTCATATAGTGTTTTGAAATGACTAAATGTACAAATTTGTCTTGTTTAGCTTGGCCAGAAACTGTGTAAAACTCCTAATAAATGTCAATAATACCATTGTATTTGATTTTCTTTTAGTCTTTTCTAAGATCAGGCTTCCCATGTTCTATTAGATAGAAAATTTTATCGGTAATGTTCTGTTACAGAAAGCACAAGGGTTATATGAAGAGTGAATCTCCAGATTAATGGGCTTCACAAAGAAACTCCGTGATGTTTCAGTTTTACAGAGAGATGCATGCAAAATGCCTATACAAAACTAATTTATTATATTTCATTAAGTAAAAACAAGTTCCATAATAATTCTATTTTCCAAACATTTATTTGTGGGGAAAAAAGCAAATGTTATGTAACAAAGAATACAGGTTAGAATACAGGCAAGATTATAGCAGGTAACAACTGAGAGAGAGAGGCACAATAAAATCATTTCAGCTTCCACAATTTCAGATCCCAGGAAACCTAATCGCTGTTCAGCATGCAACAAAAATCTACTGGTCACAGGAGTTCCTGATCCTACTAGATTGTTACATTAGGGCACAGCTTCCTGTGGTCGTCCTGTAGTTGCAATGAAGGATTCGACATAAGCTAGAGCAAAGAAATAGAATACAGAGGCACTTTGCGGCTCAGCAAAGAATCAGCTCATAGGATATTTCAAATCTTGAGTGCTGATGCAGGCCACCAAAATCCTACAGTCATAAAAGGCTACAGGTCATGGCTCAAGTCTTCTACTACTGATGCTCTCAACCCCAGTGCACCTCTGTAAGAAACTAACATATGGAGGAACTACAGCTACTCCCATTAATATCCTTATCGACTGGAGCCTTTGCTGTCTTTCTTTGTTACATAGTAACGAAAGGCAAAAACAACCTAGAATCATGTTGCAGTGAAATTCGTGCTAATCTTTAAATCCTGATTAGCTCTTTGTGTTCTGGTTTAGTTCAATTGACCAGGATGATTTAAAGTATCTGCCATGACTGCCCTTTCCCGAGAAAAGTGGCTGGAGTGGTTTCATACACACAATCACCATGCGTTTACCAACCAAATCATAAGGGAATGGACCACACAGTTTGAAGAATACAGAATTATGCGTGGAGGTGAAGCAGCCATTTTTCTCAAAATGGACGGTGACCAGTAAGCATTTTAGGAGTTTTATGGCTGCCTAGTGAAGTTAGTCTGCTTTTAAAAAATACACTTTTTCATATCACAAATGTATATCAACATCTCTGTTTTATTTTCACATAAAAATTGTCCTTTTTTTCCTGCTACAATCAACTAGAGGACCAGTTTTAACAAACTGCAGAACCAGCAGTTTTGCTAAGAATCGTCTGCAGGCTGCTCTGAGCACACTCTGGCCTATGGGTTAGCCCTACCCCACAAGGAGCAGTCAAAAAAAAAAAAAAAAGTGACCATGAAATGAAAAACTTAAAATAGATCTATTTACCTTAGTTACCCATCTTTCATTGTGCTTGTCGGAAGCAACCCCCTTTCCTATTTTCCTCCAATACATCAGAAGTGGCAACTTTGCTCTTTCTACTTTTACTTCTTCCTAATTTCTGCTCCGCACAATGGGGAACTAATTATTACATGTGTATTTAAAAAAATAAGTCAAATAAATTAAAACTTCTTTCCACCTGGGTTTCTGTGACCAGTGCAATTCATTTGATATTTTAAAGAAAATATACCTATGGTTTGTTTGTTTGTTTGTTTGTTTGTTTTGAGACGGAGTCTCACTCTATCCCCCAGGCTGGAGTGCAATGGCGCGATCTCCACTCACTGCAACCTCCTCCTGCCGGGTTCAAGCAATTCTCCTTCCTCAGCCTCCCGAGTAGCTGGGACTCCAGGCACCCGCCATCATGCCTGGCTAATTTTTGTATTTTTGTAGAGACGGGGTTTCACCATGTTGGTTTAAATTAAGATTAAGATCTACAGATAGGCGGTGGAAGAAAAAAAAATTTTTAAAGCAAATAAAACAAGTAAAACCAATATTACATGGACATTTTCCCTCAGATAGCTACACTTGTTTTGTTTTTGTTTCATCATCAACTCTCACCTCAAACACACACACAGTCAATTAGATAAACATAAATCAAACTTTCAAGTAAAATCTAAAAACTTCTGAGGATTAATAATTAATCTATACTCCAATCAATATTCCAATAACAGAAATCTACCATAGTTTTACCTTCCAAGGAACTAGTAAACCTCCTGCTCACACCACTGTTTCACTATTCCTGATAGAAATACATGATAGGGAATGTCAATTTCCCTTTATAGAATCTAATCATTTTGTTAATGGGAAATTGTTTTCATTGCCCATCATCCATTACCTTTTCTCTTTGTAACAGGATCTTGTTTTTCCTTTGATACAATAGGGAATGTGTCCATTTCATGAACATGTATGTCAGGTTAAGCAGGTCTCTTCAATGAGCTATTTACTATACCACTGGGATCAAAATGATTAATTTAGGTGTGGGGTCACACCAGGCCAATCAGAGCCATTAAACGTCTCCTGGCTTTTTTGGCCTGGAGTAATTTTTTTCCTCTGCGGTTGTGAAGCTGAGGTTGCTAGCAGTCTTTTTCTTTTTCTTTTTTTTTGTAATAAACTGTGGAGTGTCTGTAATCAAAGAAAGCGCAACAGAGAGGCATTGCTTGCTGGAACACTTGACTCCAGTCATGTGTCAAATCACCTCTACATATAGCTTTACCAAGAATGTATGCTAATGTATTCTCTTTTTATTTAATTCAGCTGAGTTGAGTCTCTGGCTAATATTATCCTTACTGTAATCAACTAAATATCAACACCATCTCCAATTGCAAAACATCACTACCAAATTAAATAATCCTAATTTTCAGGTACTTTTTATGTGCTGGTTTCAGTATAAATGGTTATGCATGGAGATGTAAAAAGGGTAATCTAAGTGACATTGCCTAGTTACTACATCTCTTACTAGAGAGTAACAAAATAAGGTACAATTGTTTTTGTTTTTGTTTAACAATTAAACAGAACATTATATGAGAGAGAAGGACAAATATAAAACATGAATTTAAATGTCTATTTGGAGTTTGGATTGTAACACATTAATACATTACTTCAGAGCAAATAATGATGCACGAATTAGACATTTCCAGCTTTGGTTTCTGTGACTTTTTTAATACAGAAACATGTTTACATTCATATGTACATTTAAACTATATTAGGGTTAACATTTTTGAAATGCCAAACATGAAAATTTTAATAAAATATTTCTGCCTCATTTGGATTTACATGTGCTTTGTGTTTTTACCAAACGATTGTATTGTTTACTATAAAAACACCTCTCTATGTTGTTGCCTTGCAGTAGTTCATTATGCTTATTGCTGAGTAGTATTCCGCTGTATGGATATGCCATATTATTTATTTATTCACCAGTTAAGGAAAATTTGAAACTTTTTCAGTTATAAAGCTTATATGAACGTATATGCACAAATTTTTACATAAGCATACGCTTGTATTTCTCCTGGGTGAGTACTGAGGAATGAAAGAGCTGGATTACATGGTAAGGAAATGTTTAACTTTTTAAAATAAACTGCAAAATTGATTTGCAAAATGGCGATACATCATATACTCTTATCAGGAGTGTTTGAGAGTTCCAGTTTTTCCACATTCTTACTAACATTTGGTAGATTCCGTCTTTAACATTAGTCATTCTATTAAATGTGCAATGATGTATCATTGGGTTTGTAATTTGTGTTTCCCCAGTAATTCATAAGGTTGAGCCTTCATTCTTTTTTTTTTTTTTTTTGCTTTTGTTCTGTTCAAGTATTTTGCCCATTTTAAAAATCAGGTTGTTTGTTTTATTATATTTGAATTTTGAGTGTCTCAAAATATATATATATATATAGATACAAATCTTTTGTAAGGTACATCATTTATAAATACTTTCTCCTAGTCTGTGGCTAGTCTTTTCTTTCTCCTAACCATGACTTTTGCTGAACAGAACATTTTAATTGTGATGCTAATTTATTATTTTCTAATAGATTGTGCACTAATATCATATGTCGAAATAATTATGCTCTGTGACAGAAGCTGAACAAAAGAGTATTTGCCAAATAATTCCATATATAGATAACTTTATAATCTTCAAACTCATCTTTAGTAACAGAAAATGGATCAGTTATTGCATATAGAGTGGAGTCACAAAAGAGATAATGTGAACTGAGGATGATGAATATGATCACTCTCCTGATTGTGGTGATCATGTGTGTCGATATGTCAAAACATATGAGGTTGTAAGTTTAAATATGTGCAGTTGATTGTATGTCAATTATATCTTAATAAAGTTGATTTTAAAAAACATATACTTAAAAGCATATGTAAATATTTGCTTACTGGGAGCTCAAATCAAATTGAATAAAGCATGATTTATCTTTATTGTTTAATTTGTGGCTTGAATAGCTCTTGAGTGGTTTTGTGAAATCCTTGTTCTTAAGAGGATAAAACTGACACTCAGTGATCATCGCAAAAGAATTGGAAGGGTAAGGCAATACATGGATCTTTCTGTTTGTAGTTCCCAGTTATATGGTCACATCCAGCTTCTTTTTTCTTTCCTTTTAACTGCAGAGACAGACCTGATCAAATCTACCAATAACAGTCACAATGACAATATTCTATGTCCAAATTCCCTTATTTTCTCTTAGGTAGCTTATTATTTCAGTGAATTACTGTTAAATTCCATTTCTGCAGTGTATATCCCAGCTTGATACAGATTGTTTACTTTCCATTAGACTAGCCTTGGAATAACTCCTGGTCATAGTGCTCTGAAAGTCTATTTAGGGGAAGAAGGAAGAGAAAATAATCTGTATGTGAAGGCCAGAAGATACAGCAATAAAAATATTATTCTCATTTATTCAGAAAAGAAAACAGTGAAAAAAATCAAAATGTGCTGAGTTACAAGACAATTTGGCTTAAAAAGATCATCACTTCTTTAACAAAAAATGCTGTTGCAATATAGGCATATACGTGAAAACCCATGGGCAATAAAGGCAAATAGATCCTATCCCCATAGTTTACTAGTTGAGGGACATTAAGCAAAGCATTTAACCCGAGTAACAGATTTCTAACCTAATCTATTTATTTAAAAAATTTAAGAAATAAAATGTTGGTTCTTCTTTTCTTCTATCAGTCTTAAAGCTATCAATTGTTTACCAACAGTCAAATGAAATATTTTAAAAAAGAAAACACAAGACATCTAAAAGCAATACCTAAAAGTAAAAGCATACCATTTAAAAGTAAGACAAAGTATTGGTTAAATTTAAACGAAATTTGAAACAATTATGAGGAAACATATTCACTGAAAAATTGGTAGAAATTAAAAGAAAAATATTCTTCTATGTTTTACTATAGCAAGCAGCAGATCTCTTTCATGATTAGAGAAGAATCACAAAAATATTACTTTATCTGCAAAATTTCTCTGTAGTCTTATATCCAATATACCCTTTGTAGGACATTAATGTATTCAAGCTAGTCAAGTGACATCTTAGTTTTCCTGTGCTCTTTAGGTTTCACATTCAAATAATCTTTCATTCTTACATTTAGAGAAACTATTCTCCACAGATAAATCAGCTTTTCTCAGACTTGGCTTCTATTTCCTTTAAGTTAGGATGTTCTAAAGAAAATAAAACTCAGCCGGGAGCGGTGGCTCACGCCTGTAATCCCAGCACTTTGGGAGGCCGAGGTGGGCAGATCACAAGGTCTGGAGTTCAAGACCAGCCTGGCCAATATGGTGAAACCCTGTCTCTACTAAAAATACAAAAATTAGCCAGTCACGGTGGTGTGCACCTGTAATCCCAGCTACTTGGGAGGCTCAAGCAGGAGAACCGCTTGAACCTGGGAGACAGAGGTTGCAGTGAGCTGAGATCATGCCACTGCACTCCAGTCTGGGCTACAAAGTGAGACTCCATCTCAAAAAAAAAAAGAAAAAAGAAAAGAAAAAAAGAAAAGAAAAAAACAGAACTCATTCTGTGTATTCAATCAGGGAGGCATTTAATCCAGAAAATTAGGTGATTACAAATTGCTGAATTTTGTAATCACCTTTCTGAATGATTTGGAGTCAGGCCGCCACAGCTAGATTACTTGTTTCTGAAAGACATCTTCATATAAAGAAATAACAAATATTTTCTTATCCCCGCTATTATTGCAACCACTTCTTGTCTAAAAAGCTGATGGTTCAGCACTGTAATAATGAGACTGGCCATCTTCTAAGCTTCCATCTCTCCAAAAGTTAGAAAATGCTTCCGTTATTACATTAAGTATTTCCAACGGAAATAATTCACTTGCAGAATCTTAGCTGTAAACGACTCTCAAAATTTTCATTTGTACCTTTGCAATCTCTGCCATTCACACATGGACACAAGAAAGAGTAATGATGGAGATGGGTTGCCAAGTAACCTGATCTACCATAGACAGTTCTTTGGGTTATTCAGTGCCCAAACACATCCTTCTACTCCTCATGGCAAGAAATAATGTGTTCACAACAAAATAATGAAAAATGTTCACTTAAATACAATATTTTACTCGGCGTTTTCAAGGGGATATTTGAAACTGTTCTTCTGGAGAGGATGTTTGCTTCTCCTCTAGTTTAGTCATAATATGTTTTTGAATTAAATCTCAGGCAATTAAATATAAAGTTGATCAGCAAAAAAGACAGCTTAAAGCAGCAGAGAATGTTTTGCTTATACATAAGATGTAGAAAACTTGTAAAGATACAACCTAACAAGAAGCTAAAGCTGAATAAACTAAAATGAAAACCAGAAATCTTTTATTGAATACATCAGAAAGTTGAAGTCATACACAAGACAGTGAAATACCATAACATTTACAAGGTAAGTCACTTCAAAGTGATGGGATAAGAACAGGGACACATCCCTGGCAGCGCACACAAGGAAGAGAGCCCGGGAGGTATACCAGATGTTACAAAGAATTTTATGCAAGTTTTCAGCTTATGCTAAAAGCTGAGAGTGGACTAGCAAGACAGTTTAGAATCCCCAGCAGTCACAGACAGGAGTGGAGTCTGTACCCACCCACAGGCTCTGCTTCACAAATCACTGGAATTCATGACAATAAAATATGCACGATGATACTTAAAAGTTAGATTGATTTCTTTATTATTATGAAAGGGCTTTAGCATTGATAATTTTCACATCATTTTATGGGCATTGCTGCCTGAAATGTAGACTTAACAATTTATAATCCACTTAGTTTCTAAGGGCAATTCATTTGTTCTCCGTGCCAAATATATAATTAAGAAATGCTACTGTAGACGCAAGGACAGTTTTAGGAGATCCATTGTTTGTTGACTGCTGGAGTGTAACTCTGCAAATTATGTTCCATCCTAGGCATTCCAAAGCTAACAAGCTTAAGCATGAAAATCCCAACCTATGTGAATAAATATAAAACAAGTAGACCATATCGGGTTTAATTACACTCAATTTTACCTTTCAAATGGAGTTACAAAGAAAAAAAGTATTGTTTTAGTTATTCGTTTGCCTTGAAGTATTTAACCAGCATCAGACAACTTTAGGTAATCAAGTTTATCAAGGGTTCTATATGAAAATGAGATATTAAGATAATTTACTAGGTTCAATATGCAATTAACCTCAGAGGCATTAACAAAGCTTTTTAATCTGTGAGATACTATATTCCAAAACATTTTACTTCACTATTTTATATTTAATATATCTTTCACTTTAAATTAGAGATCAAAATTTAGCTTTTAGGCCTATACTATTTATATGTTCTATGTCTGTATTTGATATTACTGATAAAAATGAAGAATATTAATTCACAAATAGCTTAAAAGATCAAAAGGTGCAAACCCACATGTGAGTCTAGTTGTACGATGTATGGCCTGCCTGGGAATAGTAAGGCTGTTTTCAAAGGCAAAAAAAAAAATCCAAGTGATATCAATTATAAAGATAAAAGCATAAAACAAATGTTTGCAGAGTGTTTTATATGTAGTCTCCCTGATGACAGACCCTTGCAGGTTTTCTTCACTGCTGCATCCCCAGGTGTTTGTGTGAAAGTTGCTCACAATATTTTTTCTAATGAAATGGTAATGAAGAAAAATATAAATATTTATAGCGACATCAGAAAAAATTCTGCCTTATGAGATATGCCATTTCTGCTTAGAGAAGAAAGAAAAATAAATAGGGAAAACAAAATCACATATTGAAAACCCAATATGTCTCTGTAAATATTTTTCTTATTCAATATTCACATCAACATTGTGTGGAAGTTGTTCTTTATTTTACTCCAAAGTGAGGCAAACGGTACCAAAACAATCTACCCAAGATTGCACAGCTAGGAAAACAATTAACCTTAACATACTTGCCAAGAGAGTTTGTTTGATTCTTTCTTAGACCTTAAACCATGGCTATATTCACAGAACTAGTAAGCAATAGGGCGTAGTCATTTTGGTCATTTCAACCATTCCCTTTATCCAATTACTTGACTGTGACTGAATTCACTGTACTGCTATCAATTAATAAGCTAATTACTTAAACTTTAATCATATGCATTTCATTTATTTACAGTATATTCACCTTGAATAATTTACTTGCAGACACTATTTGTCTTTGTTACTAACTGCATAGGGTTCTCATGTTCTTGTCACAGTCACCCAACAGTTTATGAAGACATTAAAGACACGGGTTACTCCAGTCAATCCCATTCACTTAATTCCCAGTAAAGATTTCTGATGTGAATTCCTTCCCATATCTGTACTTACAGAGGAGAGATAAAAATAACTTATCATGAAAACTGAAGATTCACTTTTAGCTCATTCTCTCTCTCTCTCTTTCCTATCTGAGTTCTAGTATGATCCCTCAAAATACTCAAGGATAAAAGAACCCTCCCAGGAAGATAAAAGTAGGAGTTTCTCAAGCTTTTCCCCTTCAAATTACTTCAATCCTTTTCTGGAAAGTACCACCCTGTAATACAGAAACAATGCATTGTTCTTCTTCTCATAACCAGGAGTATGCACTGTTCTTTCGTCAGCGTTGGCTCTTCTATCACATTCTTAATCGGAGACTAGGCCACAGATTGAATACGTGGGTTTTTAAAAACTAATTCTCATGCAGTAAGGCGTATAAGTTGCTATGTTGGTATTCTTCCTAATAGGTTCTCTGTTTTATAATCCTTGAAACTGAAGGCCAGACCATGTGCTGACATTGCTTCATGGAACCCTAGTAATAATGCTTTGAAGTAAATGCAGTTTGGGGAGGTAATTTTATCTTGATATTGAGTATATAAATCTGAGATTCTCACATTTCCATATGTAATGCTAGGAATTTCATTTCATACAAAAGAGACATCACCAGGATGATTAAAAGTAAAGGTGTTCTATCCATAGGAAACTTTTTAGGAATAATTGATGGCTTTAATTACATGTCTAGATAAAAGAGCAAAACTCCTATATAGGAAAATGATATAGCAAGAGAAGCATATTCTCTCATTAAAAAAAACTGCTGCTTCTGTCCATTTTATACATAGATTTTCTTGGTTTTTCGAACGCAATATTTAAATATCATCATGTTAATAATAATAACAATAGGTCTCATATATTAAGGAATTACTTCAGGCAAGGCTCTCGGCATAGGGTTTCATGTGCAGTGTTACATTTAATTCTCAGAACAACCACATTCATTGTGTATTATAACTCCATTTCATTATTTCATAGCCAAAAAAACCTGCAGATCAAAAATCAGAGTCACATAACCTGCTTAAAATAACAGATTTGGTAAATGGTAGACTTAGAAATTAATCAAGATGTATTTTGTTGATCAATTTCCTTGTGCTGCTTAGTGGATACTTTTAATTATATCAACATTATTCCTATAATAGAACATGATTAAGCAAACCTGATTTACCTTAGATGATAATACATTTATCTAATATTTCTGCATAATAAATTGTTCTATGATATTATTAAACTTAAAGATAATCAATATGCTCCACTTAGCTATAATAGTTCATTTCACAGAATTATCTAATAATCCCTAGTTTATATTCTTTTCTAATATGTTAGTAACATGGGAAATTAAATGTTTGAAATTTGTCAGATTTAAAATGTGACATCTATGTATAGAATTTGTCATTTATTTCTCATATTGTTAAGAAAACATTCAAGATAATACTTCCTGAAGAAAAAAAAAAAGAAATTTGACAATCGCCTGTGTTTTTCCTCTGAAATGGCCAACAGTCTAAAAAGTTACTACAAACAATATAAATCTGAGCTTTTTCAATCTTTATACCAAGTCACTTTTCTAAAAAACAAAAATATTAACATTTATAAATTCTTATTTGTAAAGCTGCCTATAGAAAGAAATCCTTATCTTTTATTTGACCTGAATTTAATGTGTTATTTTTGTTACTTTAATATCTTACATATTTCATCATTTGAAGTAATAAAAGATATAGAGAAAACAGAGAGGAATGTAATTGACTACTTAACTCTGTTTTAATAGCAACAGGAACAATAGCAGCAAAACTCATTGATGTATTATAGAAATTATTTTCCAATATGTCTTTTCAAGCTCATATGATCCAGAGATATTTCAGAAGGTCTCATTCAGGTAAACAACATAGAATTCATTTATGTTACTTATTTATTCTTACCAAAAAATTCTTATCTTCTTTCCATATATAACCAAGAATGACAGAAGGGAGCATATAGCACTTTAAAAATAATATTAAAGATGAAAGACCTACAATTATTCCATGTGTTCATATAATTAGGGGGTTATATAAAAAATAATATTCCTAGAAAAATAAATAAACCACGGAGATGTCTGATCTACATCGTGAAGACACCCAACTAGAATGTAGAAGAGTTACTCTTGTCTGGAAAGCTAGTCATACATCGTTTAATTTATTTTTAGAATATTTTTAAATTTGTTTAAATAAATGTGTATTTAAAGCATTAGAAAAAGAGAGAATTTTATTAAAATTGAAAATAAATGTCAATAAACTATTCTATATTAGCATAAAAAAACACAAAATTCAAAATATTTTCTTTTAAAATATAAAATCATCAACTTGACCGTTGATAATTTTCACAAGTGGTTCATAAACCTGACTTTACCAAAAATATATTTACTTTAGCAAAAATATAAAATCAGGTATGAACTCTATACAAAGATAACTTTATGGGCAGACATTCCTTTAGCATCTGTGGCATTGGGTGTGCTATTTTAATTGTATGTATTATTGGTGAGAGAATGGATTTGAGTTCTAGAAAGGGATCCATGAATAACAGTATAAGAGATTTTCTTATGTTAAGATATACATATTGTACCCAACTATGATTGTTTGAGGTCTTCATCAGTTTTCAGGCTATCAATGTACAGGATTAAGTGTCATAGTATAGAATAACTATACTATACATTATCTGCCCACAGTGCTTTTATCCTTCATTTATATGCCCATACTTTGGAAATTAATACTCCTACAATGAATGTGATTGTCACGGGGACAGCAGTCATAATATTATGCAAAAGAAGTTCAAATCAGTGGACTCATGATCCATACTAGGTCAATAAAATTCTAGATTCCACGAATATATAAATCTAAAAAGTCACTTTGACTTGAGTCAACTCATGACAAATTTTAGTAAGAAGGTTTTTGTTTTTCATCTTGCTGAGATACCTAAATTTGCCTCAACTCTACCTCGGATTTGATCTTGTGTTTTGCTATTTCATAAGTACTGCAATCTAATTGGAATCCTTCAAATGAATGCTTTTTTTTGTAGCTTCTATTGTTTTAACTAAATCATGTGATGCACTTGTCAATATAGAGAAAAGTGCCATCCTGACTGTAATAAACTCAAATCTATTTTTCCTTCCCATAGATTTCCATTTCATAGATAGTTAAGAAATCAATGCCTTCAATATTGCATTTTACTTAGCCTGAATTGATGCAACTATAAGTCACAAAGAAAATGAGAGACAGAACCTGCTAGAATTGCTTGGATGTGGTTTATGCAGGCTACTAAAAGAGGCCTATGAGAGAGAACCTAGTAAAATTAAACAGACAAAAATTGGTGTGGCATGAGTTTGCAATTAAGTTTAATAATGCCAGATGGTACTAATAATTGGTGAGAAAGGTGTAATCCTATCTTTCTGCAAAATTGCTGCATATTTCTCTCAAGCTTACTCTGAAGTTTTTGTAAAGTTGCTCTTTATTCATTTACCCCAGATGATGTCTACTTTTATTTTCAGTTGGATAACACTATTCACAATTTGATGCTCATATACAGAGTGACCTGTGAAAAATATAAGCCACCTGTATTCCAAGGCTGTGTTCCCCTCTCTGCCATTTCCTTAGTGCCTGCTCAATACTTCTGCACAATCACTCTTTTCTTCATCCTTAAATGGTATATATTTGTAGGAATATATAGATTTGACCATTTTCTGGATTTGCCTGTGAGATTCCTGGCTTATGCTGTCATAGTTTAATTAATGCCGCTGTTATTAAAAGTGTCCAGGTGTAGATAAGAAATTATATGCTCATCTCACTATAAGATGGGTGATGTGAGGTAGAGGTTATTAGACTTGTTTGAGAAGAATGAGGACCATAGCACAGTATACTTTTGCAATTACTCAAACTGTAAAGATCTCCAAGCAAAGAAAATCCATTCGTTTGTAATTAAAATGTTTAGCTTCACATGTAAACCTTCACATTTTTCTTTTAAAAAAATCTTTCTTTATTTATTTAATAACTTTAGAGACAGGGTCTGAGTCTGGCACCCAGGCTGGAGTGCAGTGTCACAGTCATAGCTCACTGCAGCCTCAAACTCCCAGACTCAAGAGATCCTCCTGCCTCAGCCTCCCAAGAAGCTGGGACTACAAGTGTGTACCACCATACCCACCTTCAAACGTAAACTTTTGAATATGTTTTCCATGTGAAAACACAAACTGAAGAATATACACGTGAGACATTTCATATACAACATTGAAGAGAAAATACCATTTGTATGTGTTTAGGGGGACAATACAAAAAGGCAACTGGCACAAACATTATTGATAAATTGTTTCTGGGAAAAAACCCAGACTTTATCTCCTGCTGATGACCGTTCAGTGATGTGACATATCAGTAATAAACATTCTTGCTGCTTGATTGACAAAAAATATTAATGCAGAGGTATGCATCCATGATTTTTGCATGTATAAGCATAATTACTCAGCTATTCAATATTTTTCTACAGTAAATTTTAGTTGCACTTTAAACATTTCATTTATTTATTTTTTTTTTAAAGACAGGATCTTGCTCTGTCACCCAGGCTGGAATACAGTGCTGTGATCATAGCTCACTGCCGCCTTGAACTCCTGGCCTCAAGCCATCCTCCTACCTCAGTCCTCCAAGTAGCTGGCACTACAGACACTTACCACTGTGCCCGGCTTTTGTAGACAGAAGGTATCACAACGTTGCCTAGGTTAGTCTCAAACTCCTGGGCTCCAGCAATCCTCCTTCCTTAGCCTCCCAAAGGGCTGGCATTACAGGCATGTGCCACTGCACCCAGTTCACACTTTTAATTAATGTGATTATTTTGAATTACTTGTGATACAAGTCTTTATAACAACTATTATTTGTTCTAAATAGATTTTTCTTGTTTTCAGAGAAATGTCCATGATATTGATTTGCTTAGTCGTGCCATTATGTATCCGTTATGTTTACACATAACATTACATTTTAACCTAATTATGGTACTATGCCCCCTGGCATTCTATGGTGAATAGTTACAGAAATAAAATGTAACTTTCTTGATCACACAAACTACATATTTTATATATATAGTTTTAAGTATATATATTCTTAAATATACCTAAATATCTTAAGGAAAATAAGCTTTACTTGTTTAATCATTTGAAAATAAGATTAATCAAATGTATTTATTTCTCCTTTTATTAGCTACTGGGAAGATTTACAGTACTCCTTAATTTACAAACCAAAAACTTGAATATTTAATATTTGTTCTTTAAATTTTCCAAATGATTCCGTTATTATTTGGGCATGTACAGTTGACTTTTAGCATAAATAAATAGTTGGTTACCAAAAACTTTCTGCCTGAACTGAGAACAGTTGTAGACATGACTATTGTCTGAATTGTGTAGATTTTGTATTAATTTTTCTTCACAAATCATAGGAAGGTAGAGTGAAAATAAAATACATTAAAAATAATAGAAGAATAAATACAGAGAGGAACACTAAGATCAGAATAAGCAAACAAAAAAGCAAAAGATGGAACAAGTTCCAAATTAGAGGAAAAAGTTTCTATACTAAGTGGAAGTGGTCGGTATATTTGCTTCTGTGCTTTGAAGGGGATGAAAACATGCAAGCTCAAAATATGCCACCTTGGCATATTGATTCCTTAGAGCTGAAAGCAGTTGAGAAAACGCAGATGTAGGAAGGCCTCTCTGAACCCTTCCTTTCTACCTAAAAGAAAGGCATCACATTTCCCATGAAAAACGTCTCCCTTCTCCCATCACCAGGCAAAAAATGTTCTTATTACTGGAGTCAGGGAGGAGACACCAAGATGAATTTACAAAAACCGACCTACTAAAACAACCCTATCTTCCATTAGTCACTTTCTCACAGTTAACCACCCCAAGTCCCCTTCCCACTTTTTTGTCTTGTCACATCTTCCCAATTCATCATACCTTGCTTTTTAATTTTTTTTTAATTTCTAAATTGTGTAAGTAAAAAGCAGGTGTATACACAGGCATGCAAATCACAGGTGAATAATCACATCATAAAGATGGAGTACCCATTCCCTCAAACATTTATTCTTCGTGTTATAAACAATCCAATTACACTGTTTTAGTTATTTTAAAATGTACAATTATTTTTGACTATTGTCAGCCTATGGTACTATCAAATAGTAGGCCTTATTTATTCTTTGTAACAATTTTTTTGTGCCCATTAACCATCCCCACCTTCCCCCGACCTCAACCACATTTCCCAGCTTCTGGTAACCATCCTTCTACTATCTTCAGGAATTCAATTGTTTTGATTTTTAGATTCCACAAACAAGTGAGAACATAAGTTTTGTCTTTCTATGCCTGGCTTATTTCACTTAACCTAATGACTTCCAATTCCATCCATATTGGTGCAAATGACTGGATCCCATTCTTTTCTCTGACTCAATAGTGTGGACACTTAAGTTGCTTCCAAATCTTGGCTATTGTGAACAGTGCTCCAACAAACATGGAAGTGCAGGTATCTCTTTGATACACTGATTTCCTTTCTTTTGGATATATACACAGCAGGGGAATTGCTGAATCATATGGTAACTCTGTTTTTAGTTTTTTGTGGAACCTAAAAACTGTTTTCTATCATGGTCCTGCTAATTTACAGTCCCATCAACAGTGTACAAGTGTTCCCTTTTCTCCACATCCTTGCCAGCATTTGTTATTGGCTGTCTTTTGGATCTAAGCCATGTAGACTGGCATGAGATAATGTCTCATTGTAGTTTTGATATGCATTTCTCTGATGATCAGTAATGCCCAGCACCTTTTCCTATGCCTGTTTGCCATGTGTATGTCTTTTTTTGAGAAATGACTATCGAAATCTTATGCCCATTTTTTGATCAGATTATTTGATTTTTTTTCCCCTAGAGTGATTTAAGCTCCTTATATTTTCTGGTTATTAATACCTTGTTGAATGGAAAGTTTGCAAATATTTTCCCCCATTCTGCCGTGCAGAAGCTTTTTAACTTGATGTGATCTCATTTGTCCATTTTTACTTTGATTGACTGTGCTTATGGGGTATTGCTCAAGAAATTTTTACCCAGACCAATGTCCTGGAGATTTTCTATAATGTTTTCTTGTAATAGTTTCACATTTTGAGATCTTAGATTTAAGTCATTAATCCATTTTGATCTGATTTTTCTATATGGTGAGAGATAGAGGTCTCTTTTCCTTCTACTGCATATGGATACCCAGTTTTCCTAGCACCGTCTATTGAAGAAACAGTCCTTTCCCCAGTGTATGTTCCTGGCAGCTTGGTCAAAAATGAGTTCACTGTAGGTGTGTGAATTTGTTTATGGGTTCTCAATTCTGTTCCATTGGTCTATGTGTCTGTTTTATGTCAATACTGTGCTGTTTTGCTTACTATACCTCCGTAGTATAATTTGAATTCAGGTAATAAAATTCTTCAGTTTTGTTCTTTTTGCTTAGGATTGCTTTGGCTATTCTGGGTCTTTTGTGGTTCCATATAAATTTTAGGATTTTTTTCAATTTCTGTGAAGAATGCCATTGGTATTTAGATAGGAATTGCATTAAATATGTAGATTGCTTTGGGTAGTATGGACATTTTAACAACATCGATTCTTCCAATGATGAACATGGAATATCGTTCAATTTTTTGGTGGCCTCTTCAATTTCTTTCATCTCAATTTCTTTCATCAGTGTTTCATAGCTTTCACGATAGGAAAATTTCACTTCTTTGGATAATTTAATTCCTAGGCATTTAACTTTATCTGTATCTATTATAAATGGGATTTACTTAAAACATTTTTTCAGATTGTTTACTGTTGGCATATAGAAATGCTACTAATTTTTGAATGTTAATTTTGGTCCTGTAACTACTGATTTTGTTTGTCAGTTCTAACAGTTTTTTGGTGGACTTTCAGTCAGTCAGATAATATTATTTGCAAACAAGGATAGTTTGACTTCTTCCTTTCCAATTTGATTACGCTTTATTTATTCTCTTGTCTGTTCTAGCTAGGACTTCCAGTACTATGTGAAAAAATAGTGATGACAGCAGACATCCTTATCATGTTCCAGATTTTAGAGGAAATGCTTTCAGTTTTTTTCCCATTCACTATGATACTAGCAGTGGGTCTTTTGTATATGGCTTTTATTACGTTGAGGTATGTTCCTTCTCTCCTAAGTTTTTGAGGATTTTTGTCATGAAGGGATGTTGAATTATATCAAATGCTTTTGTAGGATCAATTGAAACGATCACATAATTTTTATCTTTCAGTCTGTTCATATGATGTAACACTGATTTATTCGCATATGTTTAACCATCCTTGCATCCCAGGGATAAATCCTACTTGGTCATAAAGAGTCATCTTTCTAATGTATTGTTGAATTTGGTTTGCTAGTATTTTGCTGAGAAGTTTTGCATTCATATTCATTGGAGGTATTGGCCTGTAATTTTCCTTTTTTGATGTCTCTTCATTTGGTTTTAGTATCAGTGTAATACTGGCCTCGTAGAATGAGTTTGGGAGTATTCTTTCCTTCTCTATTTTTCCAGATAATTTGAGTAGGATTGGTATTAGTTCTTCCTAAGTGTTTGGTAGAATTTAACAGTAAAGCTATCAAACTGCAATAAAAGGCCTCCCAGGCTTTTCTTTAAGGGGAGACTTTTTATTACAGCTTCTATCTTGTTACTTGTCATTGGTCTCTTCAGGTTTTGGATTTCTTCCTGATTTACTCTTCAGCTGAGATTGGTCTGGTTTTCTTTTGTGCTGTAGCAGGACCACACTGAGTTCAGTGCCTCACAATCGCTGTGCTCTCCTTTCATCAGCACATAGAAACGCTATCCACACCATGCCACCACTGCCAGGGCAGGGGATGGGTGGCACTGAAAATTCAATATTGTTATTTCTACCTATTCAGTGGATCTTTTAGCAATACAAAGTTAAACCAGGTACCGGGAATGCTCACCTGATCTTTGGTTCTCATTAAGGTGTTTTTTGTGTGTAGATAGTTGATAAATTGGTGTCCTTGCTCAGGAGATGATTCGTGGAATCTTCCCTTCTATTCTGCCATCTCGCTCCACTTCAAGTCCCCTTTGTTAAACTGGTATATAATCTTTGAAGCCTATCTGCTTTTGGGGGACTTCATTTGTTTTATATGAAGGCCTCAATGAACATGTAAAAATAAACTTGTTTTCTTTTTTCCCGTTATTCTGTCTTTGTAAGTTTACTTTTCAGGCTCAACCTGAGAACCTAAGAGGGAAAAGGAAACTTATTTTCTCTCTTTCAATTTCTAACAATAAATACGCTAAACCAAACCCGGTATTATGCCCTCTCATCTCCACCCATGCATACACACATGCTAGCCTGGTGTTACCTCCATAATAATTTTTTAAATTAATTGTCTAGGTTGAAGATTCTAAAAGGAGTGGAGTACGCTACTTTATTTCCTTGCATTTCCTATTCATTGTAGAGTTAGGTCTGTTGGTTGAGGAGATGTGCTAGGCAACATAAGGTTGTTAGGGTTAATATTATTAAAACTATTGTTATTTACAGTGGAGGCTTTTATTTACTGCGTAATAGATCAGTACTTCCTTTGCATTATTGGGCATTTGTACTATCTGATCTTAGTTTTCTTATTTTTTAAAAAAATGGGTAACATCTATATTATAAAGTTTGTTTGTTTTTTTAAGTGTTAATTCTGCCATTGTTTCAAACTTACCAGCAAATTATAAGAGCAACACAAAGAACTTCTAGATGCCCTTCACACAGATTCCACAAATTTCAGTATATTACTACAGTTATTTTATTCTGTTTCTCCTATGTGTCTGTGTTTATATATATGTACATATACACATGGTTCTTAATTACCAGTTGATAAGACCCTTTTATTTGTAAATATATCAGTGAGTACAATGGATATTTTCTAAATAAAGAAATTTTCTAACAGTTCCATAGTAAAATTATCAAAATCAGGAAATATATATTGACATACTACTATTATGTAATCTACTGATTTTATTTCAACTTCACCAATTAATGGAACAATATTTTTATAGCAAAAGGAAAATTCACATCATGGATTACATTTATTTATGATGTCTCATATGTCTCTTTGCTATGCTTTGGATATAGTTCATTTGTCCCTATGAAATCTTATGTTGAATGTGATCCTCAATGTCAGAGTATTGGAAGGTGAGGTCAATTGGAAGGTGTTTAGGTTGTGGGGGGAAAAGTCCCTCATGAATGATGTGGAGGTATTCTCACGTTTGTCAGTGAGTTCCTATAAAACTAGATTTGTTCCTATGATAGTGGGTGGTTATAAACTCAGGACATCCCTCAGGCTTTCTCCTTTTTGCACATGCTTACCCTTTACCCTTCTCTGCCATGTTTTGACACAGCACAAAAGCCCTCACAGAAGTGGAACGGAAGGGAACACCATGCTTTTTATACATACAGCAAAACCATGAGCTAAATAAAACTCTTTCCTTTATACGTTACCCAGCCTCGGTTATTCTCTCATAGCAACACAAATGAACTAAGACATTCTTTAATCTGAAAAATTTGCTGAGTGACTTTTGTTATTTATTACTTGAAAATTTTTAGGAGGACTGGCCAGTTGTTTTGTAGACCATCTCTCAATTTTTATAGTACTGCTTCATGATTAATTCAGGTTATGGACTTTTGGCAGAAATATCGCAGAATTGATGCTGAATCCTTCTCAGTGTTCTATTACTGCAGAGTATGCTACTGATCAGTCACATTGTTGTCTAGCCTAATAACTTTGATCACTTGATTAAGATAATGCCTACCAGGTTTCTTCACTGTTATTTACTATTTACCCTTTTCTAGTCAATTAGTATTGTGAGAAGATATGCTGAGTAAAGTAAATATCTTGTTACTCTTTAAACGTCTACCCACTAGTATATAATTTATTGGTGTTTCTTGTTGAATCTGTTATTGTGATGACTGGTACTGGTTATTTTCTATTATGTTTTCTACATGTATTAGTTGGCTTTCCACCGTAAGAACAACCTTTTCCTTCCACCCTTTTCATTCATGTATATATAATATATGTATTTATAGTAGTATGGACTCATGTTCAATTGTGTAGTATCTGATCAATAAAAACACATTTAATCAACTTCGGTGTTCTTTTGACATGTTACCAATATTTTTTGAACACTCCTGTTATAGAGTAAATCTTTATCTCTAAAATTCATATGTTGAAATTCTAACCCAATGTGATGGTATTAGGAGTTGCAGCCTTTGGGAGGAAGTTAGGTAAGAGAGCAGAAACCTTATGAATAGGATTAGCACCCTTATAAGAGACTCCAGGGTATTCTTTCACCCCTTTTACTATGTGAGAACACAGTGAGAAGAAAG
The DNA here is from genome assembly GCF_000001405.40 of Homo sapiens. Lineage (NCBI taxonomy): Eukaryota > Metazoa > Chordata > Mammalia > Primates > Hominidae > Homo > Homo sapiens. Next base: position 178,424,506 of record NC_000004.12, on the reverse strand, counting down.
CTATCTATAAACTAGGAAGCAGGCTCCCATCTGACACGAAATTGGCTTGTATCTTCATCTTGGACTTCCCAGCCTCCACAACTGTAAAATATAAATATTTGTTCCTTAAGCTATCCAGTCTGTGATATTACTGTTATAGCAGCCAGAATGGACTAAGGCAGAAAGTTGATAACAGGAGCCGTATGCTGCTGTAACAGATACCTAAAATTGTGTACTCAGCTTTGTAACTGGGTAATAGGAAGAGGTTGAAGGAATATTGAGGTACAGCCTAAAAATCTTACATTGTTGTGAACACACCTTTAAAGGTGACTCCAGTTAGGGCACAGAAAGAAATCAGAAAGCTGTAGAGGAAGCTGTCATTTTCTTAAGAATACTTAAATAACCATGAACAGAATGTTGTAGAAATATGAATGGTAGAAGCCATTTGGTTGAGGTCTCAATAAAAAGGAACATTATTGAACAATGGAGAAAAGACCATCTTTGTAATAAAGTGACAATGAACTTGGCTGAATTGTGTTCATGTTCTAGTGTTTTATGGAAGGTCAAACTTGTGAGTGATTGAATAATTCAATATTTAGCTGAAAAGATTTCTAAGCAAAATGTTGAAGGCCTGGCTTGGCTCCTTCTGAATGCTTATATTAAAATGTGAGAAGAGAGAAATGATTTAAAGACAGAGTCGATAAGCAAAAAGAAAGAGGAACATAAAGAGTTGGAAAAGTCTCAGCCTATCCACATTGTAGAAAATTAGAACTCTAAGGTGAAGGCCAGGTGATTATTTGATAAGGAGAATAGTATAGAAGCCAGGAGCTATTTTTCAAGACAATAGAAGAGTGACACTAAAGGCAATTCAGAGATTCTCAGGACTGTCACTCCCATCACAGGCTGATCACAGGCCTGGAGTGCACAGGCCTGGAGTGCATAACCGTCTCCACATGTTTCAAAGGACAGGTCCAACTGGAGCCACAGGGCTGTGACTGGAATCTTGCAAGGCTGTAGTGTGTACTATTAATATACAGTGCTTAATATAAATAGATATCATCATACTGAAGCAACCTTGAATTCATGGAGAAATTTTTACTTGATCCACTTATGTCGTTGTCTTAATGTAGTATCAGATTTTATTAATTAACTTTACAGGGGAAATTTTTGCCACAGTGTTTGCAAATCTATTAGTCTAAATTATTTTTTCTTTGTACTGTCTTTATCAGGTTTGGGAATCAGGGCTATCCTAGGAAATAATCTATGGTGCATTGAGACTATCTGGTGTTTGAGGTTTGATATATTCCTCTATGATGCCATCTTGCTTTCTATCTCCAGTGCAATTAGTTTTGAAAAACTGCATTTCCCTAGGACTTTTTTTTCAATTTCTCTAGGTTTTTGAGATCTCATAATTTTCCTAAAATGTATTTTGTTTCAATGTTTTTTTTCTAGGAGAATTTGTCATTCTCTTACCTACTCTTATCTTGTAGATATAATTATACACTGAATAAAATAGTAACTAATAGTCAGGTTGCAGTGAGTGATGATGCCAGGACTTTTTCTCCAAGACTTTGTTCTTAATTCTTCTTTCTTCCCCTGTGTTTCTTACCTATATTGTCTTCTATAAACATTGTCTTAATCACACTGTTCTTTCTTTTACTTTTTTTACTCTTTTATATGTATTTAAAATGTTTTCTTTTAAAAAGTCGTAACCCACTTAAATCTGTGAATACCTTGAGATGCCTATTTATCTTTAAACATTATTTTCTTATATTTTTGGTAAAATAGGTTACTAATGAACTAGTGAATTTGAAAATTTTTAAACTCTTTGTTTTTAAATATTGTGCTGTGTTTAATTGTGTTAGAATATCTTTGTTTCTTAATAAAAACTCTCAGAAGCACAGCAATATGAGCACAAGCTCCATATGGGCGAAGATTGTATAAATTCTATTCATTTCTCTTTTTCTTGTACGGTGGCTGCCTACAGTATTAGTGAATAAATTAGTTGACCAATAATTGTTTAATTACTAATTGTATTAGTTCATTCTCACATTGCTATAAAGACCTAGCTGATACTGTGTAACTTATAAAGAAAAGAGGTTTAATAGGCTCATGATTCTACAGCCTGTACAGTAAGTATGGCTGGGAGGCCTCAGGAAATTTACAATCATGGCAGAAGGGGAAGAGGAAGCCAGCTTATCTTCACATGGCAGCAGGAGAGTGAGGGAAAGGGGAAGTGCTACACACCTTTAAACAACCAGAACTTGTGAGAGCTCACTCACTATCATGGGAACAGCAAGAGGGGAAATCCAATCCCATGATCCAATCACCTCCCACGCGGTCCCTCTTCTAACATTGGGAATTACAATTTGATATGAGATTTGGGTAGGGACACAGAGCCAAACCCTATCACTAATTAATTTTAAATATATACATTTAAAAATGTAAAACACTAGTATCTCAGTCTCTTAAACAAGTGCCTCTCAAATATTTCCAGTGAAGATCCTTTAACAGAAAGAGAGGTTAAGCCAATATTCCTTGTACTCTATTCAGCCCTATTCCATTTGGAAAAATCTCATAAACACTCTGAGTCTATTTCAAACACGTAAATAGATTTTCATATCTATTCCTTTATATATCTGTTTCTTTAATGGGAAAAAAAAAACCCTATTTTCCTAATTTGTGAAGTAAAAAGATAAAATCAATCTTTCTAGTATGACAAAGCACATGTCACTGAGCCAGCTCCATAGTGATGCTTGCCCATCTCTTCTACCAATTCTTCTCCCTACTCCATTGTCGGCACTTGAATAAGTTGAAAAGAGGCTCTTCATTTCCTTTAGTATATTCTTGGGGTACTTTTTTACTGGCTTCCTTGGTGGTGGCATTACACTATTTTAAACATGAATAAATGTGTTTATCTAATTTGCCATGTACTATGTATAACTTAAATTTGTAGGTGTGAATCTGAGTATGATTATAATAAATGCCTGTTTGCATTTTTGATGTAAATTAGAATAGTATTCATTTCCAATCCTGTTCATCTTTCATAATTAAAGGACTTTTTGAAAAGAATTTTATTCCAAATAACTTAAAATATTTACTTGGGTTTTTGATTACATTACTTGATCAATAACTAGGGATCTTGTTCATTAAAACAGATGTAATTTCGTTTTTATATGATAGATTCCTTCATATTTTCAAATTCCATGAATAAAGAGATGATAGATAGACAGATAATAGATAAAAGTTTATTCTTACTTGGGAAATTAGATCACATTATTTTAACACTCATTATCTCAGTGTCATAAAATAATTCAAAATATTATTCAGCAAATGATTATATTTTGCTTAAAGTGCTATATCTCTAGATTGAAAATTTACCTAAACAAATAACATTTATCTTTTTAAAATAAATTAACTGATGGAATGGGAAGGACTTTGATTTTCCAATGCCTAACAGTATCACACATTTGGTAGTCAAATAATAATTTTTTTATAAATTTAAATATTCTTTATATTTATTTATTTCTGTGCGGTTGCAAATTCATTCATGTGATCATTCATTTTTACAGAGTATATGTAGCTTTGTCACTTTCTTTTTTTTTGAGACGGAGTCTCTCACTCTGTCACCTAGGCTGGAGGGTAGTAGCATGTTCTTGGCTCACTGCAGCCTCCGTCTTCCAGGTTCAAGCAATTCTCCTGTCACAGCCTCTCGAGTAGCTGGGATTACAGGCATGTGCCACCATGCTTAGTTAATTTTTGTATTTTAGTAGAGATGGGGTCTCACCATGTTGGCCAGGCTGGCCTTGAACTCCTGACCTCAAATGTTCCATCTGCCTCAGCCTCCCAAAGTGCTGAGATTGAAGCCTGAGCTACCGTGCTCGGCTTTGTCACGTTTTAAAACTTACCTCCTCTTTCTCTTGAAACTTCCATTCCCTAGTTCATTCATGTAGTCACTTGAAGAGTATTTATTCATTGAGTGCCACAATATGCCAGACATTTTAAATGTAACAGCGAACAAAACAGACAAAGCTCCCTGCATTTATAAACCTATTTTGTAAGAAAGACAGACAATAAATGAGAGAAATATTAATAATATAAAAATGAAGAGGAAGTTAGACTGAGATAAATGCTAAAAGCAAAAATAAATTTTGAAAAAATAAGTGTTGAAGAAGAGAATCTTAAATAGTTCTGAGAGAAAATAACAAAAACCTTCATTGTTGTTTAACTGACAACTTAAAGCAAGCGAGTGATCCATGTGTCTACTGAGAGAACATTCCAGACAGACGGAATGACCACAGCAGAGTCCCTGTGAAGGAAGCTTGCTTCACAAGTTTAAGAAAAACTGATGAGACCAGTGAGAGGCTGGGGCAATGGAGAAAGTAGAAATAATGTCAGATAAATAACAAGGTGCCACATATTTTGAAGCTTTTAGTTTATTGTCAGGATTTTGGCTTTTACTCTGAATATCATGAGAAGCTGCTAGAGCATTGTGGGCAGCAGAGTGGCCTGATCTGATGTAGATTTAATAGAATCACTATCTTCTGAGGTGAAAATCCATCTTCAGGAGGCAGACAGGTGGAAACAAGAACAGAGAAATGTCTGTACAAAATTGCATGTGAGATGGGTGGAAGCAGAAAAGGTAGGTAGAAAAGAGAGGATCCCCCACATAAACAGCACTTGCTCGGTTTATACTGCTTTCAAGCACTCCCCATGGAGGACCCTTTAGGCCAATTCCTCCTTCCTCATTACCCTGGACGTTTGTCAACAATGTTCTAAAACTAAAACTCAGTGCCATGCTTTGGCTAAAATATATCTACTTCTTTTTAAATCACCCCTGGCTCGCCTTCTATGATAAATGATTTTAACTCTCCCCTTCTCTGGTGCCATCCACACTCTCAGATCGTTTTCCATTTTCCTTATTTACACCCCAAACTGCACCCGCCTCCACTATCACCCATCATTGCTTCTTTCGTGTGCTCTGCACAAGAAATGTTCAACTCCTTCTCTAACAAAAACTGTCTGTCAAGCCTCTTCTAAAAAAACACATCCCTCCAAAAAGTTTTCTTGATTTCTCCCAAACCTCCCACCCACCATGGTGCAACTTATTAAGACTTCCACAAGCTAACTTCTATGAGTCCCAGGAATATCAAATCATTTCTAATCTTCACAGAAACCCTCTGAAGGTATAATCACCTCCAACCACCAGGATGGAATTTGAGACACGGAGAGTATAAGTGATGGGTCATGGACTGTCCAACTGATAAAGTATGGCACCAGGTCTTAAAATCAGTTCTATGTTGCTTCAAAGCTCAAAAGTTTTTCCCCATGCCACATAGCCACCACATGTGTGATTTCAATCATCCTATGTAATAGCAGCAGTAACAGCAATTTTTCTTAATACATCCTAAGCTACTTAAGGCAAGAGCTGTTACTCACGTTGAAATTTCTTCCATTGGCCATGTAATATCTTGGCTAGACAGTATTATCAAATGAAATATTTCTCTTATTTTAAATTTCTCCTTTTTGAAAGGCAGATGTGTATTTTAACAACATTCTAGTAGTTTACCCTCTTCCTAAAGAAGCTACAATGTTTGCTATTATCCCAGTATTTCAACTATGCATTTATCTCTGTTCTGGTTGTTTTTACTCCTAATTTTAATTTAGATGTTCTATTTGAAGTGAGATTACATATGGGATAGATATGTTGATTCAAAATTTAGAAGATAAGAATTAAAATTATTAAATTTGCCCACTGTGTAAATTAAGCTCTTTCTCCACTACTTAAATGAGGATTTAAATTTGGATTTACTATTAAGATTGTGTTATAGGATTTGTTCATATAAAACATAAATTTATATCAATTGTCCATTGCATTTTGAAAGCTTTATGGTTAAAAACTAAAATTGCAATGATGACATTATTATATAAAAATGATGATGAGACCAGCCTGGGAAACAGGGCAAGACCCATCTCTACAAAAAATACAAAAATTAACCTGGCATGGTGGCACACACCTGTCACCTAATCTGTGATCCTAGCTACTCTGGAGGCTGAGGTGGGAGAATCACTTGAGCCCAGGAGGTGGAGGTTGCAGTGAGCCAAGATTATGCTAATGCACTCCAGCCGGGGTGACAGATTGAGACCCTGTCTCCCCTACCCTCCAAAAAATGATGATGAGGATGTTACTGTGAAATCATCTGAAAATTAATGATTCTAATGACTAGTGACAAGTATTTTCACACTTTTCACAATATCATTAGTTAAGATGTCTCTAAGATTTGAGGAAATATGGTTAAGAAAGATATTATCAGAGGGAATAGAGAAAGACAAAGTATATGTTTTCCTAGGCAAAGAATCTTTAATATTTCTAATTCTGGAAAAATATTAAATACTAATTGTGAAATGCAAAAAGCCACCCCAGTTTTAAGTTACTGAGCTTTAATGTACTGTGTTCTAAAGACCACTTTCAATATTTTCCCCTGTAAGTATATAGTAACAGAGAACATTTTTAATAGATAATAAAAAAGAAGTATCTTGGAGATGCATATTAATATTTTATTTCTAATCTTATCAAATAATTAAGTTTAAAATGAATGTCTCCTTAAGATCATCAGAATTATGGAACATAACGTATAATTCAAAGCTGAAGGAATTTATCATTAAAAGGGCAATTTTGGTTGGTAATGCCATTTCTTTAATCAATCTGTCCAAAAATTCATTAACTGTCTTGGCATTAAGAAAATCTTATACTAAGTTTTAAAGAACTGAGAAGTGATTATATTCCTTATATATTTTAAATTTTTTAAATAAAGAAGTCACAAAAGAGGCCTTACTAGGTTTTTCTCTATTTTGATTTTGCCTGAAATTTCAATCATCTTATGTTTCAAATTGTTTGAATCATTATTATCACAGATGTATTATAGTGATAATATCCCTGCACAAGAAATGTGTAAACAATGTAAACAATAATCAAAACATTAATATTAACCTTACTATCTAAAAAATAATCAAATTTTTTTTCTTTAGAAGTGTGAAACTTTGAAGTGTTTAGGACCCAAAAAAATAATAGTTGAAAGGCCACTGTCATCATTTTTATACCTCTATTTGGTAGAGTAAACATTGATGTCAGGAAAATATAGCCCCTGGGTTTTATTATACGTCTTGGACCAATCTGCCTCTTCATTGTAATCTTCACAAATAATCAATTCAATATACATTTGAGTGCTTTCTACATCCTATGTGCAAAGCACTTTAGGGAGTCTAAGAATAAATGGAAAAAATAATGTGCAATTTATTCTGCACTCTATTTTGAAATGAATTGAGCCAGGGAGTGGGGGTAAACCAAACAGAACATGTATACTTTTCATAAACTGTAAATAGGAAAGAAAATATGTTACAAAAAGACTACATGACAAAAAGTCATAGCTGAATAGGATAATAAAAACAAAAGAAATTTTAGTGTCAAGAAATACATGTAACACATCATACAAATGTACTAAAACCCATGAATGGTTAACCTGTTCTTGATTCTCGAAGCAAAATAGCTAACACGATCAGTTATAGACTTTACCGTTAAAATTAAATAATACGATAGTAAATCAAAAGAAAAAAGTTTCCCCTGATTCTTATACATACAAAAAAAAAACAAAAAACAAACAAACAAAAAACTTGTATTTAGGCCTTCATGAAAAAGAAGCAATAACTTTGGGAAACTAGCCTCTACTATAATCCAACAATTAAAATCATAGGGATGTTCATACGGCTATTACAGGGTTTTTGTTTGTTTTACTTTGTTTCAGATTAAAGAGTTGCCTATATGCCTATAATTAAATTTTTTCATCCCAGTGAAATATACATAACTTAAAATTTACCTTTTTTTGGAGACTAAGTCTTGCTCTGTCACCTAAGTTGGTGTGCAGTGGCACAATCTCAGTTCACTGCAACCTCTGCCTCCCATGTTCAAGCGATTCTTGTGTCTCAGCCTCTGGAATAGCTGGGATTACAGGCACGCACAACTAATTTTTGTATTTTTAGTAGAGACGGGGTTTCGCCATGTTGCCCAGGCTGGTCTCGAACTCATGGGCTCAAGCGATCCACCTGCTCTGATCTCCCAAAGTGCTGGGATTACAGGTATGAGCCACCATGCTTGGTCAAAATTTACCATTTAAATTGTAAGGATACCTTGAAGATATTGTCACAGGATCCTTGGGGTGTCACTTCACCAGCTGGAAACCTGTGTGGCCGGTGGTGCCTTTGGCCAGATTTTGCTTGGGCCTCCTGGGCTGGTTTCGCCAACTCAGCCTGGCGGGCTGCACTGGGCTTTTGCTACTGGCCCAGATCCCACACCTGCCAAGGGAGAGCCAGGCGCAGGCGGAGAGAGGTGCATGCGCGAGCGAGCACAGCGTCTGGTCACTACGCACAGCCAGGCAGACTGGCTCCTGCGGGGTGGACAGCTCCAGGTACTGGGGCGGGCTCTAGCTCCCTGCAAGTCTGTGGCTGGACCAGGCATACCGGAAGTGGCTTCCACTGCAGGCACTGGGAAATGCGGTGGTGCCTTACACCCCTGGCTCAGGGGACTCCCAGGTCTGGGCTCCTTGAAGGGCTTCTCTCCATAACTCCTCTCTTTCTCGTGCTCACAACATGAGGAGCAGCAGGGACGGAGGGCGGAGCACGTTTCGGCCCTGTTTGTGTTGCAGCTCTTTCAGTTCCGCAAATGGCTGGTCCCTAGTTCTTGTCCCATGTCCAGGAAGGATGAGGTAAGTGGACAAATAGAGAATGAGCAAGGCAAAGAGGTGCTTTATGGGTGACAGTACAACTCTCAGGAGACCCAATGTGTTTAACTCCTTTCCACAGGCAGGTCATCCAGGGGTCTGTGCAGCTCTCTGCCCTTAGGGGTGAGGAGGGGAGTGGGGTGGGCAGCTTCTATCTGCTGGCAGGTCGTCCCAACGTCCGCCTGAGTTTGGGAGTCCGGAGTTTTTTTGGGCTTCAGAGGGGAGGAAGTGGATGATGATTGGTCCATGGGTGGCCATGAGCAGGCCAGAAAAAGCACCGTAAGTTCTCACTCCAGTCGGAGTTGAGACTGCCCTGAATAGCCGAATTCGGAGCCCGGCCGCCAGGCTTTCAAGCTGCCCCTGGCTTGAAAGTGGATTTTCATGGAGGACCTACCCTTTCCACCCAGGAGTGCGTCTGCCTCCTGCCGCTTTTCATGGTGCTCAGGTTGTTCATGCAGAGGGGTGCCTGCAGGCCTGCGCTGAGCCACCCTCAGCACCCCCTTGTCCTCTCTCCCATGCTGGTCAGTGCCCAAAGTCCGGAGGGGGCGGAGACAGTAGGGGGCTGGAATATCAGCGCTGCACCCAGCCCCCAGGCTCGGCCACAACTTTGTTCCAAAATCAGAGTGGGTGCTGGGAGCTGAGGAGGCCAGGAGGCCAGGTAGCTGGAGCAGGCACTTACCAGGAAGCTTCCTCCCCCGCGCCCCCTCCCCGCCCCCAGAGCACAGGCATGCCCGGGTTCATGGCTGGGCAGCTGCAGCTATTCCAGAGAGCGCAGGGCTCCTGCCCCACAAAATCGGAAGTGGGCGGGGCTCCTCAGACAGGCCACTGCTGCCATCAATATTGTGGATTCCATTCCAGACCACTGTAGTGAAGCAAATATCACAATAAGGAAAGTAATTAGATTTTTTTTGGCTATGTAAAAGTCATGTTTACACCATGTTGTAGTCTATTAAGAGTGTAATAGTATTGTTTAAAGAAAAAATGTACCTATCTTAATTTAAAAATACTTCATTGATAACATATGATAATGATAATCTGAGACTGTCTTATATGTGTGCTATTCAGGGCAATCCAAAACAATCATAATAGCAATGTCAAAATCATTGATTTCAGACCATCACTACAGAAATAATCATCATGAAAAAGTTTTAAATATTGTGGGTATTCTCAGATGTGACACAGAAACATGAGGTGAACACATGTTGTTGAAAAAAAATGGCACTGGTAGACTTGCTCAAAACAGGGTGGCCACAAACCTTCAATTTGTGAAAAACGCAGTGTATGTGAAGCACAATAAAGAATTAAATGGGGGTATGCATATATTTTAAGTGTGTAGTTCAATGGCATTAAGTACATTAAGGCCTGTCATAATGTTTTGCAGCTTTTACCACTATCCATCTTCAGAACTTTCTTATCGTCTGAAACTGAAATCTTGTACCCGTTAAGAAATAATCCCCCATTCTCTCCACCCCTGGGTCCTTTGACAGCCACTAATATACTTTCTGTTTCTATGAAATGGAATTATGCAATATTTACTCTTTTGTGTTTGACTTTTGATTAGCATAAATACAATTGACCCTTGAACAACACGGATGTTAGGGACATTGACTCCCTGCCCAGTCTAAAATTCATGTGTCACTTTAGACGTCCCAAAAACTTAACTATGAATATCCTACTTTGGATTGGAAACCTTGCCAATAACATAAACTGTCAAATAACACAGATTTTGTGTTTTATATGTTTTATATACTGCATTCTTACAGTAAAGCTAGAGAAAATAAAATTAAAAGAAAGAGAAAATATATTTACTGTTCATTAAGTGTAAATGGATCATTATAGAGCTCTTTATCCTTGCTGTCTGCATGTCAAGCAGGCTGAGGAGGAGAAAAAAAGGAGGAATTGGTCTTGCTGTCTTGGGGGTGGCAGAGGTGGAAAAAAAGCCACATATAAGTAGATCTGTGCAGTTCAAACCGGTGTTCAAGGGTGAACTGTATTTTCGTGGTTCATCTATATTGTAGTATGATCAGAGGTTCCAATTCTTTTTTAAGGCTGAGTAATATTTATATTGTAAATATATAACATAGTTTTTTTTTTTTATTGACTTGTCAATGCACATTTGTGTTGTTCCAACTCTGGGCTAATGTGACTAATGCCACCGTGAGCACTGGTGTACAAATATCTGTTCCGGTTTCCTGTTTTCAAATCTTTGGAGTATCTCCTACAAGTGGAATTACTGGGTTATATGGTGATTTTATGTTTAATTTTTTGAGGAATTGCCACATGGTTTTCCATAGTAGCTGCACTATTTGGTATTCTTAGCAGTAATTCACAAGGGTGCTAATTTTGCCACATATTTGTTACAACACTTGTAATTTCCTTTTTACAAAAAAATTAATAGCCATCGTAATAGTTGCAAAGTGGATTCTCATTGTGGTTTTGACCGGCATTTCCCTGATGGTTGGTGATGTTGAGCTTCCCTTCATACACTCATTTGTCTTTTGTAAATTTTTGAAGATATACTTATTCCAGCCCTTGTTCAATTTTATATTTGAATTGTTTTTCTTTGTGGTTGAACTGTAGGATTTGTTTATATATTTTGGATATAAGGGCTACCAATTATATGACTCGCAAATATGTTCTTTCATTCCATGGTTTGCATTTTCACCCTCTTGATGTTGCCCATTGATGCATTAAAAATTAAAAAGTTAGAATCAATATTAATAACTATTATTAATATTAAATATTATTAATAATATTAAATTATCATTAATTAACATTAATAATTAAAATTTTCCAAGTTTTTATTTTTGAAAAAAATTGATGTATCTATCTATTCTTTTGTTACCTGTGCTTTTCATGTCATATCCAATAAGTCGTGCCGAATCCAATAACAAAAGTTTTTCTCTTATTTTTTTTTCTAATAGTTTAATAGTTTTATGTCTTATGTTTAGGTCTTTAATCCATTTTGACTTAAGTTTTTGTATATCATGTAAGGTAAGAGTCCTACTTCATCATGTTGCATGTGGATATCTACTTTCCTAACACTATTTGCTGAAAAGATTGTCTTTTCCCCATTTCCTCATTTAATGACCTTGGCACCCTGTTGAACATTATTTGACCATGTGTGAGGGAATTTCTTTCTGGGCTCTATTCTAGTCCATTGGTTTTTTATTTTGCCAGTATCGCACTGTTTTCATTGCTATGCTTTTATTTTAAGTTTTAAAGAAGGCAAGTATGAACCCTCCAACTTTGCTGTTATAGAATTGTTTTCACCAGAGTTGCTTGAGATTTCATATGAATATTAGGATGTATATGTTTGTTAAAATTTATCAAATTTTATATTTTAAAGAGGTAATGTATAGTAAATGGCTTAGTATCTGGTCTATCCTGGAGAATAGTCCATGTGCCTCTGAGAAGAATGTGTATTCTGCTCTAATTTGGTGAATTCCATGGATGCCTGTTAGGTCTAGTGAATTTAGACTGTTGTTCAACCTTCTATTTAATTATTGAGGTTTTGTCTAGATGTTCTGTCTGGCTGTCAAAAGTGGCATATTTTTGTCTTAAGCTATTATTTTTAGAATCATCTATCTCTCCCTTTAATATTGTCAGTTTTTGCTTTATGTAATTTGGTGCTCTATTTTAAAGTGCATATATCTTTATAATTGTTAAATTTTGATGGTAGAGTGACCCACTTATTCTGAGATGTCCTTTTTATCTTTAATAACATGTTGTTTGCTTTAAAGTCTATCTTGTGTGATGTTAATATAGCAATTGCAGTTCTTTTATGGTTGCAGTGTGCATGGTATGCTTTTTCCATTCTTTTTCTTTCAATTTGTTTCACCTGTAAATAGCACAGATTTGGATGCAAATTTTCTGATAGATAACCTCTTTTTTTATGTTATTCAGTCCATTCACTTTTAATATTATTATTAATATGGTCAGAATAACATTGGCTATTGTGCTTTTTTATTATGTGCTATATCTTTCTGTTTCTGTTCTTCTTGTAGTGGATTATTTTTTATTAAGTGGGTGTTTCTACTGTAATATTTTAATTCCTTTAAGAGTTTTTCAAGTTATATTCTTTGAATTTTGTCAGCTTTTGTCATATGGCTTACTATACACATCTTAACATCAAAATTAACCTCAGACTTATAACTTAATTCCAGTTATAGATAAATATTTTCTCCTATATAGTTCTATCCCTTTCCTCCCTTTATTGAAGTATTATTGTTATGCATATTAAGCCTACATATTACAAACTAAACAATACATTATCATTTCTATAACTTCACAAAAGTTTGTCTTTTAAATAAGTATTTTAAAAGACTTTTTAAAAAGAAGGTAAGAGAAGAAAGAAGAGCAAGTGTTTATACACTTTAATATTAATTTTTGTGTCACTCAGTTTGGGCTGCTATAACGCAAATGCCATAGATTGAGTGGCTTAAACAACATTTATTTCTCACAGCTCTGGAGACTGGAAAGTCCAAGATCCTAGTACCAGCAGATTGGGCGTTTGATGAGGGCTTGCTTTCCCATTTATAGATGGTTCCATCTTATTGTGTCTGCACATGGAAGAAGGAGCAAACAAGCTCCCTCGGGCCTCTTTTTTTTTTTTTTTTTTTTTTTTTTTTTTGAGACAGAGTCTCGCTCTGTCGCCAGGCCAAAGTGCAGTGGCGCAATCTTGGCTCACTGCAACCTCCCAACCCCCAGGTTCAAGTGATTCTCCTGCCTCAGTCAGACCTTTTTAAAAAGGCACTAATCCCATTAAAGAGGGCTCCAAATTATGACCTGATTAACTCCTGAAGACCTCACCTTCAAATATCATTACTCTGGAGGCTTTAACATATTAATTTGGGGGGGAGGGGGACATAAACATTTAGCTTATAATAATCTTATTTACAATTTCGAAATCTGTTCATTTTGTTCCCTAAAGATTTAAGTTATTGCCTGGTGTTATTTCCTTATTCCCATGCAGCTTGATCCCCACCTGTATGCTGTTACTGTCCAATATTTTACATTTCTATTTAAATCCCAACATACAATTATATACTGCCATAGACTGGATATTTATATTCCCCCAAATGTATATGTTGAAACCTAATCCCCAATGTGATGCTATTTGGAGGTGGAGCTTTTGGAAGGTGATTGGGTCATAACTGCAAAATCCTGATAAATGGGATTAGTTCCCTTGTAAGACAGTCAAAAGAGATCTCTCACCTGTTCTGCCACACAGCAAGAAGATGGTCATCTATGAGCCAGAAAGCAGGTTCTCACCAGACACCAAATCTGCCAGTGTCTTGACCTTGGACTTTCAGCCTGGAGAACTGTCAGATACAAATTACTGGTTTTTGTTTGTTTGTTTGTTTGTTTGTTTTAATAAGCTACCCAATCTATGGTATTCAGTCATAGCTCCCCAAACTAAGATATTCACATATGATTTCATAAGATTTTAAACAAAATCCTAAAACTTAAGAAAATAAAGATTTATGCAAGTATACTTTCTTTATATCAAAAAAGCTGTTTTTAGAAAACAAATTTCTTAACATACAGTAGACACCTAATGAGGTTTGTTGCCTCATTCATGAATACCAATGTCCTCATGAAGAAAAATTAAGACAAATGTACAACCAAAGTGGACAGTGTTTAATATATCCTTCTTAGTAACTGTTAGATTAGCAGAGCAAACAAAATTTAAGCATATAGATGTTTTAAGCAATATAATTTAAATATTTTCACCTAGTGGGCAGACATAGAGCACTGTCCTTAAAATTTCAGATTGTAATAGTGTTTTTCAAATATACACAGAATTTCTATGGAAGTGATTATATGCTGGTCCAGAAAATAAGTCTGAACAAATATCAAAGGGTTATCGTAGAGTGTATAATCTAAGACTGTCATAACATAAACTTATAAATCAATAACAAAAAAATCAGTAATATGTCTACATGCCTTTAAATTAAGAAATGATATGTCTAAATAAAATGTGGGACAAGAAAAATGTTGATATGGATTTTAAAATACTGGACCAAATACAAATGAAAATGTCTTCATCAAAATTGGGGGGATATGATGAATTCTGTATTTAATGATAAATTCTAGGCTTAAATTATTTTTAACAAATTATGAAAATTACTAATCTAATTATCCACCTCCAAAAATTAGAAAAATAAAGCAACTAAAATCCTAAGACTATCAATAGGAGTAAATAATAGAAGTAAGGTAAAATGTTGATAATATCAAAAGCACATGTGATAAAGTGGATTATCAAAGCCATTTTCTGATGGCTATTGCCAAATGCTGCTAGTCTCACTTTCCCCAAACCATGAGAATATTCACCTATATTGTTTCACCTTTCTCATTGAGTCCCACAACTACCTGGAATTAATTTTGGTACATTGTCTGAAGGTGTCAGTAAGGCTAATATTCTGCAATATAGAGAAAACAATGGCCAAAATATCATTTTTTTCATTTAATTTGGTGAATTTTTAAATAAAAGACTTTTTTTTAGAACAGATTTAGTTTACAGTAAAATTGAGATGAAGGTATGGAGCTTCTCTATATCCCCATTGTTGCAGCACGTGTATAGCCTCCTCTATTATCAACATCCCCCAATTTGTTACAATTGATGAGCCTACATTGACACATCATAATCACTCAAAGTCCATGGTTAACCATAGCATTCATCCTTGGTGTTGTACATTCCGTGGGCTTGAACAGATGTATAATCACACGTGTCTACCACTATAGTATTATCTAAGTACATTTACACCCCAAATCCTCTATGCTCTGCCTATTCATCCTTCCCCATCCCCCTAAGTCCTGACAACCACTGTTTTTTTTGTCTCTATAGTTTTGTCTTTTCCAAAATGTTATATAGTCATAATCATAGTATATAGCACTTTTACATTGACTTCTTTCACATAATAAAGTGCATTTAAGTTTCTTCCATGCCTTTTCATGGTTGGATAGATCTTTATCATTAAATAATATTTCATGGTTTGGCTGTGCCATGGTTTATTTATCTATTTACCTACCGAAAGATATTTTAGTTGCCTGCAAACTTTGGCAATTAGAATAAAGATGCTATAAACATGCTTGTGCAAGTTTTTGTAGGGGCATAAGTTTTAATTTTTTTGAAGTTAAAATACCAAGAAGCCATGATTGCTGGATTGCATGGTAAAAATGTGTTTAGTTTTGTAAGAAACCATCGAACTGTCTTCCAACATGACTACAGCATATGGCATTCCCACCAGCAATAAATAAAAGTTCCTACTGCTCTACATCCTTGCCAACATTTGATGTCATCAGTGTTCTGGATTTTGACCATTCTAATAGTTATTTAATAGTGTCTCATTCATTGGGATTTTTCTTTCTTCTTCTTCTTCTTTTATTTTTTATTTTTTTGTTTGTTTGTTTTTGGTAGAAACAGGGTCTCCCTGTGTTACCCAGGCTAATCTCGAACTCGTGCCTGGCCTCAAGCAATCCTCCCTCCTCGGCCTCTGAAAGTGTTGGGATTACAGGTGTGAATCACCCTATCTGGCCATTCAGTGTTGTGCTAACTTGCATTTCTCTGATGATATATGATATGGAGCATCTTTTTACATGCTTATTTGCCATTTCTATCTATTTTTTGATGAAGATTCTATTAAGATATGGAACTTTTAAAAATCAAAAATCGAGGGTTTTTGGGCCAGACGCAGTGGCTCACGCCTGTAATCCCAGCACTTTGAGGCTGAGGAGGGCGGATCACCTGAGGTCAGGAGTTCCAGGCCAGCCTGGCCAACCTGGTGAAACCCTGTTTCTACTAAAAATACAAAGATTAGCTGGGCATGGTGGCACCAGCCTGTAATCCCAGCTACTGGGGAGGCTGAGGCAGGAGAATTGCTTGAACCCGGGAGGCACAGGTTGTAGTGAGCCAAGATCGCGCCACTGCACTCCCAGCCTGGGCAACAGAGTAAGACTCTGTCTCAAAAAAAAAAAAAAAAAATTGAAGGTTTTTTTTCTTACTTTTATCTTAGCTTTAGGGGTATATGTGCACGTTTGTTACAGAGGTAAATTGCATGTCATGGGGATTTGGCGTACAGATTATTTTATCACCCAGATAATAAACATAGTACCCAATAGGTGGTTTTTCAATCCTCTCCCTCTTCCTGCCCTCCACCTTCAAGTGGGCCCCTCTGTTTGGGTGTTTGTTCTTCCCTTTTTGTGTCTATGTGTACTCAGTGCTAGCTCCCACTTGTAAGTGAGAACATGTGGTATTTGCTTTTCTCTTACTGTGTTAGTTCACTCTAAGATAATGGCCTCCAGCTCCATCCATGTTGCTGCAAAGGACATGATCTCATTCTTTTTCATGGCTATGTAGTACTCTATGTTGTAGATGTACCACATTTTTTTAATCCAGTCTACTGTGGATGAGCGTTTAGGTTGATTCCATGTCTTTGCTATTGTGACTAGTGCTGCCATGAACATACACATGAATATGTCTTTATTGGTAGAACAATTTGTATTCCTTTGGTTATATACCCAATAATGGGATTGCTGGGTCGAATGGTACTTGTGTTTTATGTTCTTTGAGAAATTGCCACACTGCTTTTCACAATGGTTGAACTAATTTACATTCCCACCAGCAATGTATAAAAGTGTTCCCTTTACTCTGCAACTCACCAGCATCTGTTATTTTTTGAATTTTTAATAATAGTCATTCTGACTGGTGTGAGATAATAGCTCATTATGGTTTTGATTTGCATTTATCTAATGATTAGTGAATATTGAGCTTTTTTTTTCCTATGCTTATTGGCTGTGTGTTTTTTAATGTTGAATTTTAAGAGTTTTTGTACAGTTTGGATAACAGTTATTTGTCAGATGTCTTTGCAAATATTTCCCCTCAGTCAGTGGCTTGTCTTTTCATTCCTTCATTCACTGATATTTACAGTAATTGTTTCAAGACTTCAAGTGTTATTTTTAGGCACTCTCTCATACAAGTACTAACCAGGCCCAATCCTGCTTAGCTTCTGAGATCAGAAAAGATCAGACATGTTCAGGATGGTATCACTGTAGACTGTTCTATTATATTATTATTTTTTTCTTATTTCACAAGTTGAGTTTTGAGAAGCAGCACTTCAATGTCATTCTTTCTAGAATTCTGTCACTGAACACTAGCTCATTGTTCAAACATTAAGAATTAATGATTTATAGAATGTAACTTTGAAATATTTCGAGACATAAATCAAGTAGTCATATGTTGTTCTTGGCTGATACACACCACACACATGTGTACACACACACGTATATGTAACATTGATTGTTTATAAATTGACTAATTCTTTCTTTTCTAAACTTGCTAGTATCCTTAAATTTTAGAAGAACAACCACAGAAAGCAAATTGATTTTTCTTCATCCTTGTGATGTTTTTCTAGAATAAAGTATAAAACTTGCTTTAGACTAAAAATCACTATCATAATGGAAAGAATGTGGTCAATGTCTCTTTGTTACCTCCTTTAAAAAGATTAAACCTATAAATAAAATGGTGCAAATCATATTAAAATATTCTCATAAATTTTTAGATTTATTATATGGAATTATATAATTTGGTTAATTTCAATTTTTTTCATTCATAAAGTACCCTGAATAGCGTATCTGCCTTTTTGCTAATATCACATAAAGAGCTTTAAGAATTTGCTATGCAAAAGTATTATGCTTACATTTCTGCAGATTTTGCCTTGCATGTTAGATTTTTTTCTACTTGAATTACTGAAAGGTAATTTAATTCACTTTAAAATATTTCATTTTCTTTGAGTGCACAGATGTGTCCTAATCCTATTCAAGTAGCTACCAGAATCATGTATTGCAAGTTACTCTTTTATTTCAATATTTAGTAGTTACTTTTCTCTTATAACAGTAGCCTTTATACCTACTGATTATAAGGATAAGAAGGTATGTAATTATGGCTACCTGGTCTTCTAAAATGCCATTTCAAAAAAAAATTTACATTAACTTTATCTGAATTCTTGAGGAAAATGAAACTCAGCTCTTTTGAGGTAATCTTCATTAATATGAATTTCCCAAGTATGAATCAAAATAATAAAATTAACCTGCAGATGATTGTAAGCCAACCCCAATGTATAACATCTGTCATTATCATTGATATGCACAGTAATTGCTTCCAGACTTCAAGATTTGTGCTACAGTGCTAAAGGAAATTTTGTTTGAGAAGCTGATTTATTAAGGGCCCTTGATTTGTAAGTAATAAAAATCCATAGTAGCTAACAAGCAAAAAAAAAAAAAAAATTCCGGGTGGGGAGGCATGTATAAGCTATTTATTACTTTTGTAAGGAACGTCTAGTATAAAATCACAGAGTTGGTTCATGGAATGCAATGGCACATATAGGTCTAAAACTCAGATATAGACTAAAATTAAGGACTGAAGTGCTTTAGAGTACTGCTTTTAAATGTCGATTTTATTTAATTAATTTTATTTAAATGGCTATACAATTCACGGGGAATTCTGGTTAAACACAATCTTCTACATCTGTGGGTCTTTCTGGAACCTGGGAATCCATCTTTCCTGGAAGGTCCCAGATAATATTTACTCCCTGCAAGTTATAGTCCACACACTGAGCAGCAAACGTTTTGAAAACTGTGACATTCTCCTTTTTTTTTAAATAGAAATTTTTTTGTAGGGGTTAGAAAGACCATGAAGCCTAAGTACAGATTTTCTAACTCTGGGGGAGGTTTATACTTTCTATCAGTCAACTATAATTGGGCACTCAATGTGGTGCAGATATGGCTATTAAAGGACCATCCTTATCATTTTCACATAGATCTCAGAGAAGCAATAATTATCTAGAGCTGAGCAATTTTTTTCAGCTGAGGATCTTCCTACTGCAGGAAATTAGTGAAAATAGCTCTTTAACAAAAAGAAAGAGAATTAGATGTTTCATTAAAATCAAACAGTATTTATAGCACATGGCCTGGCACAGTGGCTCATGCCTGTAATCTCAGCATTTTGGGAGGCCAAGGCAAGAGAATTACCTGAGCCCAGGAGTTCAAGACCACCCTGGAAAACAGAGAGTGAGACTCTGCCTCCACAAAAAATTAAAAAAAATTAGTCAGTCATAGTAGCATGCTCCTGTAGTCCCAGCTACTAGAGAGGCTGAAGCAGAAGGATGTCTTGCGCCCAGGAGTTCAAGGCTGCAGTGAGCTGTGATTGGGCCACTGAACTCTAGAGAACAAGATCCCCCTCCATATATAATTATAGCACAGGCGTATAGGAATATTTTTCATTTGACTTTTTTTTTCTCACCCATTCCTCTACAGGTAACATACAAATCTACAATAGCAGTTTATAAGTATTTTTCACCTCCTAGAGGGTGATGTCCATCAGTGGGTTACACAGGAAAGTTAGGTAACTGAATAATGTCATTAAAGACCTAGTTTCCAGCTGGGTGCAGTGGCTCATGCCTGTAATCCCAGCACTTTGCGATGCCACCTGTAGTCCCAGCTACTCAGGAGGCTGAGGCAGGAAAATCTCTTGAATCCGAGAGGCGGAGGTTGCAGTGAGCTGAGTACGCACCATTGCACTCCAGCCTGGGCGACAAGAGTGAAATTCTGTCTCAAAACAAACAAACAAACATTTCCATTTAGTTCCTGACTTGCTTTCCATGCAATCAGATTTAATCCTCTAATGTAAGTTTCCTGTTCCATATCCAGGAGATGTGTCCATATCCCTGCAGAATAAAATGAGAAAAATGAAAAGCTAAAAGGAATGAACCATGGAGTCTATTTTAAAAATAAAGATAACTGTTAACTTTTTCCACAAACCAATTTAAAGAGAAACTTTACCAAAGAGTACATATAGATGGCAATTAGGTACATAAAAAGATGCTCAATATCATTATTCATTTGATGAGCACAAAGGCAAACAATAAGGAGCTACTACTATTCACCTATTAGAATGTGCAAAATTTAAAAACTGACCATACCAAGTGTTGGTGAGGATCTAGAGGAATTGGAACTCTCATGCATTGCTGCTGGAAATGTAAAATCACTGGGCAGGGCTTTTTTTTTTTTTTTTTAAGTTAAACATACATTTGCCAAATGACCCATTTTTTTCTGCCTGAGATGTTTGACTAATTGATATCAAATCATGTCTGGCCAAAGACCTGTACACACATATTCACTGAAGCTTTATTTATAATATCCCAAACTGGGAACAATTCAAATGTCCACCAATAAGTGAAGTGATAATCAATATTACTCAGCAATATAAAAGAATAAACTGAGCCAAAGAAGTTAGATAAAAAGAGTATATTTTGTATGATTTCATTAATATGAAATTCTACAAAATAAAAACTAACAATCACAAGATTGGTAACTGTCTGGGCACATGTGGGGCAGGTGGTAGGGACTACAAAGGGGCCAGAGAATTTTTGGATGGTGATGTCTCTATTCAACTGTCATACTGTGTTTAGCAGTTTCACGGGTGTAAGCATATGTTTCCAAGTTCCATTTATTGCACGTCAATTATACTGCAATTGAGTACTGAAAAATATTAAAAGACATCCACATTAAGCATACTATAGTGAAACTAAAAAGCCCCTCTAGATGAAAAGGAAAAATCAAATCTTAAAATCAGCTGGGGGAGCTATGAATCTAAAATTGAATATATTCTTAAGCACCAATTTAAATACATGACCACCATACCTTGAGGAAGCTGGGTTGAAAGACAATAAAAAGAGCTCTTAAAGGAGTCTCTCAAAATGTGGTTTCAGACCATCAGTCTCAAAATTACCCTAGGGTATGGGGCTAAGAAAATTGCATTTTGGAGAAGTACCCTAGGAGGAAAAAACTTACTTTTATGGTTCACTTCTTTCATTAGTTTCAGTCTCTCTCTGCCTTTAGATTCCTGCACAACCTTTCTACTGCCAAAGAGTTTGAGCAACCAATTCGTTAAATCCTTATAACTCTTCGGGACTTCTCTCTTTCTGGACTTGGAGTGGCTCTGAACCATCATGATAACCTCTTCTTCTCTGATTTATTTAATATCATAAGAAAAAAGCTGGAGCCCCTTACAGTGACTTATTTTAGAGAGACCAGATAATTAACATACTGTGGAATTATCACTATTAAATGTGCTGTAACCAGGGTTTTTTTTTTTAATATAGAATTACTTATGGGTTAAAGATTGGTGTCAGCTTTAAAATGACCCATCGCAATGGGAAGACACAGAGAAAATATGGGCAGAGTCACCCTTTGTCACACTCTTAGTCACCCTACTCAGTAAGGTCACTAGCTCTGACTATGCACTGGAGAACTTCGCAAGACGAGAGGCCGGTTATCTGTGTGTATAGAATGTCTCTGCCCCATCAATTCAGATCACACTTCAGGCCATCAGTCCACTCTCCGAAGGTCCAAACCAAGATAGGTTATGTGCTTGTTTAACTCGATGATGGTTTAACTCTGTAAAAACAGTTTTCTTTTCCTATTAGAAGCATTTATATCATTTTTGTTCTTCATTTCTTGGCGTGTAATTAAATCAATTGTGGCTCCTACATTTTAAATCACTTTAGCTATGATTTTCTTATGGCAACCATATGACCTTATTAATTTTGAATATACCCAAGAAATGTATATGTAAAAGTTCTAAAAGCCTAACATCTGAATTATTGAAAATCAAAATGATACTAACATTTCTCTGGTATCAATGTCAAAATATATATTCATTCCAGTCAGTATTTAAAACATTATGTCCTTACATAGCTCTGCGAGAACATTACCATGCTTTTATTTGTGATTTAATATCAAGTGGGAAGAAATAAGAGCAAGTAAATCAATAAATCATTTGTATTTTCAGGCATGAGTGAAGTAACTTTCTTTTGGTTTCTTTCTTTCTTTCTTTCTTTTCTTTTTTTCTTAAAGCAAACAAAGAGCTTTATTATAAGTGATGGGAGACATCCACAAGTGTAGACAAGTTAATGTGAAGTTATACACCTAGGAGAAACACACGCTTGAGAACCTGGATCCCAGCGTCTCTATTTGGCCTTGCAAGTCTATCCTCACCCCTAGGCCACATCACTGGAAATTGAAGGATTGGGCTAAAAGTCCCTCACTGAGGTTTATTCCTTCTTTGTCATTTTTTGGGGGGCACTACTTTAGTTCCCTAAGGCCGCTATTGCAAAGCACCATAAACTGGGTGGCTTGAAATAACAGAAATGTATTGTCTTACAGTTCTGGAGGCGAGAAGTCCAAAATCAAGATGTCCTAAAGAGCCATGCTCTCTTGGACAGCTCTAGGGGAGACTACTTCCCTCAGTTTCTGGTCTTTGCTTCCCTCAGTTTCTGGTCTTTGCCAGCAATCCTTGGTATTCCTTGGTTTGCAGACGACCGTCTTTTCCCCGTGTATCTTCACATCATCTTCCTTGTGTGCTTGCCTGTCTCTGTGTCTAAATTTCCTCTTTTTATAAGGACACCAGCCATACTGGATTAGAGTCTCCATCTCCAGTGACCCCACTTGACTTAATTACCTTCTAAAGACCCTGTCTCCAAATAAGCCACATTCTGATGCACTGGGGGTTAGATTTCAACATAGGATTTTGGGGGCAGAAATACAATTTAGTCCAAAACAAGGACCATCTTGAAGAAAAGGTGATATTTGAAAGGCCTATAATGACAAACCCATGAATTGTGTGTGCTAGTCAGACATACCACCCTGAGGTTCTAGGATAAAGTTACTAGTTTACAAAGATACCATAATAACATATGAACAATTATGTTGTAGGAAAGTGCATACTGCCTACTATAATTTTACAGAGAAATGCAAATGTTATAACCCAAGTGAGCTTCAGAACCCAACTTACATTAAATTCACATTTGATCATTTCCTATGATCATTGGTATAAAAATCAAATACAGATCAAGCAAAAAAGAAATCTAGGTTTTTTTTTTTTTGCTAAAAAGTTCCAACAGAAGTTGATTAATGTGCTACTAAAAATTATCATAGAATTCTTTTGCATCATAAGTACTCAGAACTCTTTTAAATACTACATACAAAGAGCTTGGATATATCAGACTTTCACAAAATCAGATTTACACCCTTTCTCAGCAACACAAGCATTCATTACATAAACAAGGCCACGGGGTCTTTGCTTGTCACCACCAACAAAGACCCATCCATTCTTCTGGCTTTTAACCAGAACATTCATGGCCCACCAGGAACTGCTTCAGTTCCCAGGATGGTTTCCCAGTGAATAGCGTCAGGGCCAGCCCAGTAATGAAGGTCAGCAGACAGTGTCCAGAGAAAAGATAGAACATCTTGTCAGTGCAGTGAGCAAGTGTTTCCTGAAGCTCATTGCAGAGGATGACCAGAGTAAGTAGCAAGCATAACTGATGCTGGCCAAAAAATCCAGATGTCCCAAGAAAGCACGAAGTTCACCAGACCTCCATAGCCTCTGTGGCATACAAAAAGGACTTTTTTTTTTTAAGCAAACAAAGAGCTTTATTATAAGTGATGGGAGACATCCACAAGTTGTAGACGGTTAATATGAAGTTATACACCTAGAAAAAACACACATCTGAGAACTTGGATCCCAGCATCTCAAGTCTATCCTCAACCCTAAGCCTCATCGCTGGAAATTGAGGGGGTCCAGTGGAGGACTTGGTAGAGAGCTGCAGATCTGGTGGAGGGCTTGGTAGAGAGCTGCAGCCACTAGAGAGGAAGCAGAGGCATCGTCCACCACATATGCCAGAGTGGTCACAGCAAATAGGCTGACCAGGGAGCATCTCCACCCAGCAGGGCCTGCACCTTGGTTCTGAGAGTGTTTTCTTGGTGCTTTTGGTGCATGACAATGCTCAGAAAGAGGCCCACAAGGAATGGCCCAAATTGGCATAGGGCTTCACGTAATACTCTAAGAAATACAATAGAATCACCTCTTCGCTGGCTTCTGATGGAGCCACCACAGGAAGTGTATACACCAGTGTGAGCATAGCAGTGGCTGTGAAAGATGCCAAGAACAGCACAGCCCTGAGGAGGATGAGGACACGTATACTTCAGATGACAGAAAAAGTATCTGAGTATGATATTAGGGGCTATTCCTTTGTCTGAATTCTGATGCATCTTTAAACACAACCTTGCCCTTACCCAACCACTCCAGGTCTTAAAACAATAGTTTTGTTCTTGCTTATGCTGTGCACCCAGGCTGATGGAGCATGGGAAGTTCACCAAGGACCATGGAAGACGACAACCTTGGTTTCTATAAAAATAAATAAATGCATTTTAAAATCATGAACTCAATGACCATGTGACTTTATTGTGATCTTTTGAGAAATTATTTATTTTCAGATAAGTGTTCAAGATAAAACACTGTATGAAAGGACATACAAAGTAGAAAATTAAAAATATTTGGAGGAAGTGAAAACTAGGGTAATTCATCAGCACTTTTTGAAATTATAATATTCTTAATTATATGCATGTATAAATACATATGTAGAGTTACAGCATATAAATACATATATATTTATACATGTAAATTTCTCAAAAGTTCTATACCAAAAATTCTTAATTTTAGTTCTATCATCTCAATTCTTCTGTTACTCATTTGCTATTATCATTTTAATTTTAAGAGAATATTGCAAAATATTATATAAACTGCATACAGAAGCATTAAGAGAAACGTGATATTTCTGTACTTCTATTTTATCAGTAAAAAACATGTAGCCCCTTTTAAGATCTATTTTTTTTAAAGTTCTATTTTTTTTCCAAGTCAACATCCATCTATGAGGAAACCAACTAAATATATTTTTTGCCCTTCACTCTCGATAAGAGATTTACAAATGCTGGACAAATGGGCCTAGAGGTTTTATATAACCTGTGAGTGTCTCTCTGTTTCATGTTAGTCTTTATTATTGTATTTTTTGTTAAAAGATAGATTAAAGGAATAGCTGATGATTTTCCAATGCTTTCTTTTAATAATAAAACATATTTTCAATAATTCAAAGTTTACTTAATGAAATTAGAGATTATTTATCCTTAATTCTTGGACAAATGAGATTTTCAATATGGCTGGCAATGATGTAGTTTGGTTGAAATAGCAAAATCAGCTCTATGCTGCAGGCTAATTTTCACTGCAACACTGAATACCTTTAGTTGCTTACACACTTACACTAATCTTATTTAATCTGTGTTCTGTTCTCTTTAAGAATGTGGACAGAGATATTTGCATAGTCTACTAGTAAACTTGTTATAAAATTTTAACACTGGTTCTTTGTAACAACTGCTGTAAAATCATTATTAAGCTGATTTTGTATTGTTTTTGTTTTAAATATGAATAATTTCACATATGCTTGGAAAGTCAGATTTCCTTTATAAATAATATTTATATTTACTTTGCCACACTTCTGATACTGTATTCAAATTTACTCTGTTCACTGAACATGCAATGACTCGGCATTTTTATTATTTCATATTATATTATATAAGAAAAACCAAAGAGAGAAGGATGTACCTGTTTTCAGTCCCAAGAATGACTACTTCATTAACTCATGAATCTTTTGCTTTTTTCTCTCATTTATATTCCTTCTCTGCCACTTAATTTCATAGGAAATTTGGAAATATCAGCAATAGACTTTTTTAAAAAACGCAATTTTATTTAAACAAGATAAACATCTGATAACCATATTTATTTAACAAAAGATGATGAATATATGTAAATTACATGGGATGTATATACAATCATAGTTTTCATTAGTATTTCTTTCCCATTATTATTCTTTTGTAATAATTTTAGAGTTTATTCTTTACAGCTATGACCTCATAACTATATGGGTTTCAGTATCTCCTATCAACGTAGGACAAATTATTCATGTTTCAGTACTTCAATAATGAGATGTCAGCCCATAATCCTCCCGGTTGAAGGGATTGTTGGAAATGATTGAATCCCTAGTGATAATGACCTCAATGCCATTTAAAGCTTGCCCTCATAAGAAAGTACATGCTCTCTCAGAAACCCCTCATATTCCTCTTAGCATTTAACATTTTTTTGCATAATGCCATATATGTGCATCATATATATGCATAATCCAAACTGAAAACCAATTCAGCAATAATCATATGCACATAGAGTAGTAAGTACTACTTATTTTGAAAGCTTTTTATGGAAATATGTGGATATCATCTTAATTTATTTCTTCAGAAAATCCAGAATAAAATGTTGGGGCTGCTAATTTTCCATTGCTGTATGGTAGATGTGTTTGTCTGCTAGTATTTTTTGTTTGGTTGGTTTTTTAAACATCATGACTTTGATGATGTTTACAACATAAAAAGTTTTTACCTAATGATTTTATATCCATGAAAGTTTCCTCTGTGATTGCTATAAATTTGCAAAGAAAAGAGGTATGTATCAGAGTTCCACCAGAAAACTGAGTGATATATATGTATCAGTGATATATGTGTTATCAAAAGATTTATCATAAGGATGTGGCTTACAAAATTGTGAGGCACGGCTAAGCAAATCTGAAATTTATAGGGCAGGCCATCAGAAAGGGCAGCCTGGAACTCTTAGGCAAGAGCTGAAGCTGCAGTCCACAGGGAGAATTGCTTTTGCAGTTCTCCTCTTAATAAAGCTTTATAACTTAATCAGGCCACTCAGATCATTGAGGATAAGCTCCTTTACTAAAAGTCAACTAATTATGAACTTTAATCACATCTACAAAATACCTTCGCAGCTGTGCCTACCTTAGTGTTTGATTGAATAACAGGGGCACTATACCATAACAAGTTGACAAGTAAAAGTGACCTTTACAGGTTATTTCCTGTTTTTATAAAGTTAGCATTCCCTTAATACTTGAATGATGAAAATATAAATGCATAAATCAACTGTCAATGAACTCAACGCTGGGCGTACCATGAAATCAGTTTACTTTATATATTCATGGTTTCTATTATGACAGCCATATTTTAGTAGTACTTATAAGTTTTAAGATCTTGAGGCTGATAGATGCTTAAAAATTTAATCTGTCATATTTTGACCAAGATATAGACATTATTATATGATTGCACTTATGGCCATATAATAACAAAAAATTCAAATCCATTTATATCATGAATAATATTCCAAATTTAGCTCATTCTTTCTATATTAGGCATATATATAAAATAAAGATATAGATGGAAAATGACAAAGATGTGTTAGTGCTTATAAAAATAATTTAATAGCCTAAATAGATATGACACCAATATAAATATACAATATTAATCTTTGACTTAAAAACTTCGTAATACATGTAGTTAGTGGACAATGACTAAACATAGGACTTATGGCTTAGAAACAAAGCACAAATGGTAGAAAAATGAATACAGATACCTTATGCTTCAACTTTTTTCTGTTTTTTTTTTCTGGCATTTTTTTTTTGTTTTACCAGTCTCCCTAATATTTCTCTAAATCCCTATATTCCTTCTCTTTACATCCTGTATTAATTTTCTATTGCTATATAACAAATTAGTACAAATTAAAACAACATAGATTTATTATCTCAACAATTCTGTGGATCTGGAATCTGGGTACATGTTAACTGAGTCCCCTGCTCAGGTTCTCACTAGGCTGATATCAAGATGTCAGTGACAGCTGTCATCTCATCTGAGGTTCAGAGTCCTCTCCCAAACTCAATGGTTATCAGAATTCAGTTTTGCCCCTCTGTAGAAAAGAAGTAACATTTTCTTGCTGGGTGTGGGCCAGGGACTGCTCTCAGCACCTAGAGGGCGCCCTTAGCTTCTTGCCACATGGCCTCCTCCAGAGGCAGGTCACAACATACTTTTTGTTTGTTGGAGGGTAGGAGGAGTATCTCTTTTACTTGGAATTTGTCTCCTGACTTGAGTCCCTTTTAAAGACTCACCACTAGATTAGGTCAGTTCTTCTCAGGATAATCTCTCTTTTGATTAATAATACAAAGCCAACTGACTAGAGACCTCTATTAAATCTGTAAAATACCTTTTTCCATGTAATGTAATCCAATCATAGGACTGATATTCTATTATATTCACAGGTCCTGCTTACACTTGACAAAGGATTATGCAAGGGGATGAATCATCTTAGAAATCTATCTACCACATACTCTAAAATAAAATTTCCCAATAACATGTTAAAATAATAATACACTGACCTAGTAATATAGACAGATTTACTTTTCAACTAACTTGTTCTAGGTCTTTTTGTTTATGGCAGGATCAAATAGAAATCAGAAATGTCCAGCGTTTCAAAACTGTAAGTAATTGTTAAGAATCCTCTTTCACTCCCCATTTCTTCAACTCAGAGTTAATATACGGACTTCACAGAGCACTGAAAAAAAACATTCACTGGGCAAAGCCAGTTTCATTAGAGAAGTATTGGCTCTCTTCACTAAAAAAAAATCTCTTATATATATATATATATATATATATATATATATATTACATGCACATATGTATCGTGTTTGTGCATTTAAACACATAGATTTAATTAAGAAATAAAACATGCTATTACAAAGAGTAGTTTTCCAATGAAAATTGATTAGACAAGAGGATATGATTATCAAGTAGATTTTTAAATTTGAAAATCATCTGTCATTTTTGAATAATGTTTGTAGAAAATTATGGATAGTATAATTCACTACTTCACTAAAAATGTAAACTTTAAAAATAAACCTCTTCAAGAACTACAAACCACTGCTCAAGGAAATAAGACAAGACAAAAACAGATGGAAAATCATTTCATGCTCATGGATAGGAAGAATCAATATCGTGAAAATGGCCATACTGCCCTAAGTAATTTATAGATTCAGTGCTATCCACATCAAGCTACCATTGACTTTCTTCACAGAATTGGAAAAGAACTACTTTAAATTTCATATGGAACCAAAAAAAAAGCCTGAATAGCCAAGACAATCCTAAGCCAAAAGAACAAAGCTGGAGGCATCACACTACCTGACTTCAAACTATACTACAAGGCTACAGTAACCAAAACAGCATGGTACTGGTACCAAAACAGACATATACACCAACGGAACAGAACAGAGGCCTCAGAAATAATGCCAACATCTACAACCATCTGATCTTTGACAAACCTGACAGAAACAAGAAATGGGGAAAGTGTTCCCTATTTAATAAATGTTGTTGGAAAAACTGGCTAGCCATATGCAGAAAACTGAAACTGGACCCCTTCCTTACACCTTATACAAAAATTAACTCAAGATGGATTAAAGACTTAAATGTAAGACCTAAAACCATAAAAACCCTAGAAGAAAACCTAGGCAATACCATTCAAGACATACACATGGGCAAAGACTTCATGACTAAAACACCAAGAACAATGGCAACAAAAGCCAAGATTGACAAATGGGATCTAATTAAACTAAAGAGTTTAGGCACAGCAAAAGAAACTATCATCAGAGTGAACAGGCAACCTACGGAATGGGAGAAAATTTTTGCAATCTATCCATCTGACAAAGGGCTGATATCCAGAATCTACAAAGAACTTAAACAAATTTATGAGAAAAAAACAACCCCATCAAAAAGTGGGTGAAGGGTGTGAACAGACACTTCTCAAAAGCAGACATTTACTCAGCCAACACACATGAAAAAAAGCTCATCATCACTGGTCATTAGAGAAATGTAAATCAAAATCCAATGAGATACCATCTCATGCCAGTTAGAATGGTGATCATTAAAAAGTCAGGAAACAGATACTGGAGAGGATGTGGAGAGATAGGAACATTTTACACTGTTGGTGGAAGTGTAAATTAGTTCAACCATTGTGGGAGACAGTGTGGCGATTCCTCAAGGATCTAGAACTAGAAATACCATTTGACCCAGCCATCCCATTACTGGGTATATACCCAAAGGATTATAAATTATTCTACTATAAAGATACATGCACACGTATGTTTATTGCAGCACTAGCACTATTCACAATAGTAAACACCTGGAACCAACCCAAATGCCCATCAAAGATAGACTGGATAAAGGAAATATGGCACATATACAACATAGAATACTATGCAGCCCTAAAAAATGATGAGTTCGTGTCCTTTGCAGGGACATAGATGAAGCTGGAAACCATCATTCTCAGCAAACTAACACAGGAACAGAAAACAAATCACTGCATGTTCTCACTCCCAAGTGGGAGTTGAACAATGAGAACACATGGACACAGGGAGGGGAACATCACACACAGGGGCCTGCCAGGGGGTTGGGGGCTAGGGGAGGGATAGCATTAGGAGAAATACCTAATGTAGATGACGGGTTAGTGGGTGCAGCAAACCACCATTGCACGTGTATACCTATGTAACAAAATGGCACGTTCTGTACATGTACCCCAGAACTTA
The DNA here is from genome assembly GCF_000001405.40 of Homo sapiens. Taxonomy (NCBI): domain Eukaryota; kingdom Metazoa; phylum Chordata; class Mammalia; order Primates; family Hominidae; genus Homo; species Homo sapiens. The sequence continues at coordinate 178,393,404 of NC_000004.12, read as the reverse complement.
AAGTATAATGAAAAAAAATTACAAAAGAAATAGCTAAAAAAAGGAAAAATATTAAAAAATAAAATAAAATAAACCATAAGTACATCTTTATAGATTTAAAACCCTTTGAGGAGAAGTTATACCTCATTTATGAACTGTACTATTTTTTGTTGCCATTCAATAATTATGTTTCATTACAATTTTTAATGTACTTATGTTTTCCTTTATGATTCTTAGATGCAGAATGTTGCCATAGAGTAAATATATTTTAGTCTTGCGTTACTTTGAAAGGTAATGGATGAATCAAGTTGCACTTCATGTATATTCATTTCTTCTGGTTCGATCAATTGGTATAGCACATTGTGCACTATTAACTACTTATGTATTCAATATTGCACCTTGTCAAAAAAGCTATCTTCCAAAGCGTTTATACTAATGCAAAGTAGTAATCTGCCCTAGTAAAAACATGCAATATACATTATGAAATATTTTGAAAGGGAATTGGAATCTGTCATTATTGGATCTATAAACTCACACTTTAATGAGGAAAGGGATTTGAATTTTTATAGAATAGTGGTACACTAACAGCAAATATAATTTTAAATGCTTTTTGTCAGGTTGTATAACATTAAGATCATATTTGAGTAATTCACTGTAAAAATGGGTGGAAAATTAAAATTTGATACAAAATTATAGAGTTTTTTTGTTTAATATAATTACCCAGCAGTACTAGAAAGCCAAAGAGTTGGTTATAATGAAATCATTTATATTTTAAAATATTTGGCTTCATGAAAAATTATGAGTTATAATTATGATTACATTTAAGATGAAAAGTACAAAGATATAAAGGTAGTAATACAATGTCTTACTCTCAAGGCAAAATAAATATTACCACTCATAAGTAAGCACTAATGAAATAGACTATTGACAACACAATAATTAGGGGTCTTAAAAAAATAAAGTTTTTTTTTAATAAATCATGTTAATGGGTTGTCATTAATCACTAGCCTGGGTTAAAGCCTAGAGTTGACTATTACATCATAAAAAGTGAGCTTTGCAAAATAATATGACATTGAAACACTATATAACTCTGAAAAGTAAACCTCTGGGAAATGAATTAATGGTAGCAATTATACAATATATAATAGGATAAAAGTTCAACCATATAAATATTGATGGCAGTTATTTAGGAATTAAATGCATGGTTAAAATTGTAAGTGCCATATGAGAATTAAATACATCAGAAGAAATATTGTTTGGAATGTAATGAGAGACAATTCCACAAGTTGGTGCAATATCATAAATGCATAATTACATATAAGTTTTGATTTGAGAGCCTAAGAGTAGGTTACGCAGTTCATTGAAATAAAAAATGATACTCTTCTCTATGGGGAATTTACAACTAATCTGAAAAAGTACAAAATTTTAAAACAGAAACTTCTAGAAGTACAGCTTTTAGAACTAAGGTTTAATTTAAAAACATAAATATCATGTTTTAAAAAATGATACCTTATGCTTAACATATTAATTATTATTATTTATTATTTTCCAGGTTGTTCAAGGTAACAAAACTTAACAGTTTCATCTACTATTGTTATTTTCTTTAAAGCAAAAGCAGTTCTAATTTTTTCATGACTCTAATCATTATAACTCTAGTACATCTCATTGAATCATCATTTTTTAATAATAACCTTTATTTGTATAATATAATAATTCATAATTTTAACTACTTGGAATAAAATATTTTAGGGCAGTGTAAGTTTATAAAATTTTGGAAAAATAATATTTTAAATGGCAAAAAGTATTCTAATATTTTGTTTTGAATTTAATACTATATTAATCAATTTTCTTTCAAAAGTAATTAAATGTTTGTAAATGTGTTTATTCAATGTCTTAGCAAAAGATAGTATAAACCAAAAAAAAAAGGAATAATATTTAAAATACATAGTAATTCTTAACAGTCATTGGGGAGAATATACTTTCCATGATGCAATATAAATTAACAGGAAAAACAGAAAATATTTAAGAGATCTGTTCAGGCTGAGTGTTTCTTCCTAAGTAATAAGCATGAATGTTGTTTTTTTTCCAATTATTATAACTTGTGAACTCTATATTAAAGACTAAAAGACAACTAAACATCGGGGAAGACAAAAGGAGCAGAGACATTTATGCTAATAAAATGCTATTGGAGAAAATGCATTTGACATTTTAAAATGGGCTAAAAGCAAAGTTTCTCTGTAATCCTCACTGACTTTAGGCTTATTTGAGCTTAACAAAGGCTTGACATACATAAGGAAAAAATAAAAATAATAAAAAGGAATTAATGCTGGGTTCACATATTCTGTAAAAAGAAAAGGAGAATAAAACAAAAAACAAAGTCTTAGATATTGCTATGTGTAATGCACCGGTGATTATTTCTTTGATTGGATAAATAACGTTAAGCTGAATTCAGTACAAGATGCTTTTTGACACATTGTCAATTTTCAGTTTGTTTTCAAGTCTTCATTAGATTCCTACTTTTTTATAGTATTTTTATTTGAACTACTGAGATATTTCTGGGTTCTAATGTGCTACTTAACAGAGTGCAATTGAATCTATTGTTTATCTTTTGTTTCACTTGCAGCTAATGCTTTTACTCTAGGTGATACCATGCCAGTATGTGATCACCAAAGATTTTCATTTTCCAGCTGTTAAAGAATCAAACAATTTTGGAAATTTACTTCCCTACACATGATTAGTTTTATTCTGTTTTAAATTTTTGCCATGTAAGAAGGGATTTTATTTTCTTTCCACTCAGGAGCTGAAAACATTAGTTGAAGAAAGGAGTAAGAAACTATTTGATTTGATTAGGAGGGAGAGAACTGTGTGGGATACTGACGTGATGAAGAGGAGGAAGATGATGATTATAATAGCTAAACTTTATTGAAATCTGTCTGTATGCCAGGCACTGCGCTAAGTAAGTTATATAAAACAACTTCATTTAACTCTCATAACAATCCTGTGAGGTATGCACAATTATAGTTCCCAATTGTCAGATGTACACTAAAGTTCAGAGAGACATATAAGTTAGCCAAGTTCATTTATTAGTAGTAAATAGCAGAATCAATAATCACAATCAATACAACACTCCCACAAGTAATTGTGTAATTACGATGTCTGACTGTACAGTAAAGAAGAAGAACACTAAGTTTGGGGAAGAACTCCTGACAAAGGGCAATTAGGGTGCTATCTAAGGAACAACCAGCAGTGCCTAGTCCCTAGGCTGTCTACGCACCATTTTAGTGTCTATCAGACAATTAGGAACACCAAAAATATGGAGAAAATATCTTGAGATGCTGTATTTCAAATACCGAAGAGGAAAGAACTAAGTAAACAGAGTATGCATTGTGAAAGGAAATTGGCAGCAGTACGTTAGAAAATAGTCTATGTTAGAATCGAGAGCCTGGAATGAGATGGTGTATATTGTAGTTGGGGCATTATTTTTTAAAAATAAAGACCGATATGACTAGAACATAAAAACCATGGGGAATATTGTAAAATAAATTTAAAAAAAGAGAGAGAGATTGGAATCACAGAAACCAGACTGGGCAGAGCCTTCTATTACCTGTGAACAGTTTAATTTTTGCTCTTTGTTCTAGGAAGAAGGTAAATCCACCAAAGCGTTTTAAGATGGCGGGGAATGATATACTCACAGATGTGTTTTGAGAAAGACTCCCTGGTTGCAATAAATGTGGGAATACAGGTAAATTAGTTGAGTGTTCAAGTAAGAGGGAATAAAAGCTTAGATGAGAGTGGAGACACAGAAACAGAGAGAAGTTCCCATAAAACTGACCGATGTAGCAGATGCCTTCAGTGCCCTGCTTGAATCTATTCATCCTACCCTGCAGGAGGCCTGTACTAAGTTCCAAACGTGCTGAGGGCACTCTATATACCTATGCTTCAGCATGTTCTCTCATCATTGGAGTATGCTCTGCCCCTTTCCAGAGTAGGTGAGAAGAGCTAGAGTTAATGTCCCAGGAGCAATCCTCACTCAATGACAGATGAAAGGAGGCTGGTGGATAAATACCCAGAGTTTTCCTCCTTCACAGAGAAGTAACAATTTGGAGATGTATATTATGTAGTTTTTCAGAAGTTCCTCAGAGGAATTCAGTGCCACTTGCTTGCAGCAGTAACCTCCCTGATAATACATCTATTTTTTGGCTTTTCTCCCTTCTCTGGCTTCCTCCCTTCCTCCCTTCATCATCACTTCCTGGGATATTTTCCCAGATAAAATAAATTTGCATCCAGTTCCTTCATTTAGGGATACCTGTCCTAGGAAACAAAGCAAAGACAATAAGACCTGGTGATTTACTGAATTTGAAAGAGTGGATCATGATACCAGTTTACTGCCCTTTAGAACAGGAAGAATGTTGAAGCCATTTTCTAAATAAAGATCCTCACAAAAGGACAATGTTTTTAGAGAAAGCTCATAAGATTTGTGTCTTAATATTTTGTAATAGATTTCCTGTTAAGACATTCAATAACAACATCAAGGAGATAAATTTGTTTGCACAAATATAAGCCAGAGCTCTATGAATTTAGAAATCATTGGTATATATGTGATGATAACTTTATGGATGAAATTGCATAGGCAGAGAAGATACAATAAGATGAGACTCTTGTATGGAGGCATAAGAAAATCCATACTGAATGGCCAGTTGGAAGAGAATGAACTTGCAGAGAATATGGAAGCAGATTAAGTCACACCTCAGGAAATGAATGAGGAGTGGGTGATGTCATAGAAACAAGAACATAATGTTTTCTCCTGTATTGTGAATCTTCCTATAAATATAAGGTGTGTTTTCGGGGACCGTGCCTTCGGACAAGTCACTGATTTTAGTTTTTTCTTTGTTAGAATCAGCTGATTTCTCACAAATTTAGGACATGATAGTCTAATATTAAACTCTGTCATCTAAAACAAGGACATCATGGCCACTTTCCCGCATTGTATTCATCCTAATGCGTAGTACAGTACTTTTAAACTCCATCTATAAAAAGGCAGGATTCTTTAAAAATACAGTCTCCTTGTATTTCTATAAAAGAAATAATTACAGAGCAATCACCAGCAGGAATACTTGAATTCTTTCTGGTGAAGAATTGCAGAGAAACTACACAACTACAAACTTTTACTCTTATTTTATCATTAATTGCATTTCCATTCATTTCTCCAAGGGAAGCTCATTAGGGGAAAGGTTAATGACACTGACCCCAAACACCTGCAGTTATGTTCCTTTAATCCATATCACTTGACCAGGAAAGAGTGTGACTAATAATGATATACATACATGACTTATTCACTTCTTGGTCCCTCAGTGCTATTTTGGGTTCACAAAATGTTCTATTATTAATATCAGCTAAGTATTAAGGAATTTTATTCTGAGTCAGTGCTGGCATCTGGGATACTGTTCTGTCATATATGAATACTCAGAACCCTAGCAATGATCTCACGATTGGGGTCATCCAGGATATTGCATCAGATAACTTCAAAAAAAAGCACACTTTTTATAAGCCCTCTGGTATATGATGCAATGGAGCCGCATGAAAAGTGGAGCATAAACCTTCCTTTGATCTGATACTACTTGGGAAATACTGCTCATTATGCACTCTTTTATCAATTGCCCTCCTCAGAGAATTTATTAACCCCAAATTTGAAATATAATTCATTCTTAGCACTTTGCTAGCTGACATATAACTTCAATCCTATCAACATTTTTAAAATGGAACCAAGTGACTTGCAAAATCATAATATTTCATGGGGAACTTTATTTTACATCTAGTTCTCAGTGTATAAATGCTCTCAGGTCTATATCTTCAGAGTCTTCTAATGAATGTCCATTCAGATTTTTAATGCATATTTTTGGAAACGTTCCTTCTATTGAAAATGTTTGATTACTCCTTTCTGTCTGTGCAAATCATACCTGACAGTCAAGGACAGGCTAAGTTTCCAGGATTCCACGGCTCCTTCTCCAGCTAGTGGAGTCAACAGTTTTAACAATGGTCAAGAGTTGACTTGACTGCTGTATAATATATATATAAGATAGATAGATATATATATATCCTATTTTGCTGATTCTTGTACATTCTTTAAATCTTCAACAAAATTACAAATTCATTGCATTGAGAACAGATGTTTCCTGTCACAATAAAGATAGTTGGCCAGTTCATCACATGATGGGTTTATCATCATCAGGAAAGATATCAGTTTAATCTCTGCCATTCATTATATTGAGATTTAAGCCCAATTATTTAAATTCCATATGTTTAAATTTCCTCATCTGTAAAATGGAGAAAGTAATAGTATTTATCCCCAAAGACATTTGTGAGAAAGAAACTAGCTAATTTATATAAAAAAAGTTTATACATACTATTTTCTCAATAAATAAAATTGGTAACTATGAGATACAGACAAGTACAATACACTTATCCTCTTTCTAATTGTAAAATGGAAAATCATATTATTCAATATAAATTTTAATTTTAGAAAAGACACATTTTAATACTCTTTTTATAATATTTCCATATAAGTACATGATTATGAGATTTCATGTTTAGAATTCTAACAGCCTTATTTGTATTCATATTACTAAACCTAGGCATGAACCCGTGGCTTTGTGATTTAAAAAAAGGACATTCAGTAAATATGCCCACAGTTGCGAAAATATGTATGTCTTTATAATAAAAGACTAAAAATACTACCTATTACAATGAATACCAAAAATCTGATAAATGTAGAAGACAATCCAATTCAAATATATAAATGAGTGATAGAATATTTCAACATGGATATACCATATATATATATTCACACACATATACACACATATATATATTAAGTTCTGGGATACATGTGCAGGTTTGTTACCTAGGTAAACGTGTGCCATGGTGGTTTGCTGCACCTATCAACCCAAAACCAAGGTATTAAGCCCAGCATGCATTGGCTATATATCCTGATGCTCTCCTTCCCCCTGTCACCCAACCCCAACAAACTCCAGTGTGTGTTGTTCCCCTCCCTGTGACCATGTGTTCTCATTGCTCAGTTCCCACTTATAAGTGAGAGCACGTGCTGTTTGGTTTTCTGTTCTTGCGTTAATTTGCTGAGGATAATGGCTTCCACCTCCATCCATATCCCTCCAAAGGACATGATCTCATTCCTTTTTATGGCTGCATAGTATTTCGTGGTGTATGTGTACCACATTTTCTTTATCCAGTCTATCATAATTCTAAGTTACTTTGAAAGCTTCAGGAAAGTGACAAATGCTACTACTGATCAAAGGAATAAAGCTTGATTAACAAAGAAAAAAGTATTTATAAAATAAAGCATCATCATTCTCATATATTATCTGGAATTATTTTCACAGATGCTCAAAGATATTATATTTTCCACAAATTATTGAAGTAAATATATTAAACAATATTCACATGTTAAATTAGAAAAACACCTAACTGCATTTTAATTTTATAGTATTTGAGGAGTTTGATAAATACTTCTGATTAATGTTGAACCAATTTATAGTTAAATTAGCTTGTCCTTTAGATGACTCCTAAGATTTACATGTTTGCTTGATTTAAAGCAAATATTATACAATGAGGTCAGAGCATTCTTTCTGCAATACAATTTTGCAGCACAGAATTTAGTATAAATAAACTATTTAGTTTTGCCTAACATATGCTTTGACTTAGGTATCACAAAATAAATCATGGTGGACAACTATGGTAGCAGAACAGACACAATTATTTTGTTCTTATTTTTTGTTTTGTTTTTGTTTTTGCGTATTTGTTCAGCTTGCTTTACATGTTTGTCTAAATGTAAACACTAAGTAAAAGAGAGTATATTGGCACGTAAGAGAGATGACAGTATGGCTCAGCTGCATGTGTGAGTTTGAATTGCATAGTGGCCAGTAACCAGACAGATTTGGATTACTCATTTTTCTTGATATGTAATTATGTTAGCCAAGCTTAAACACCTCCTCATACATGGTAGAGTTATGGCTGTATGCTAGATTTTCTGATGCTAGGACTAATGTTCTTTTCACAAACATAACAATGACAACTAATATTCTTAAATAGGCCCACAATAGGAAATGAATAGGGAGTTATCTATTAAGAGGGAAAGATTATCTGACATTGGGCCCAACTTCATGATACTACCAAAATTCTTATCACAGTTCTTCTGATATATGGGTATGAATATTAATACTGGATGGTGGTGATGGTTGTACAACAATATAATTGTACTTACTGCCAGGGAAATATACATTTAAAAATGGTTATGGTGGCACATTTTATGTTATGTGTATTTTATTACACAAAAAAATTATTTTTTTTCTAAAAAAATAAACGAGATCCACATGCAGAGCGTGCAGGTTTGTTACACAGGTATGCATGTGCCATGGTGGTTTGCCGCACCTATTGACCTGTCCTCTAAGTTCCTTCCCCTTACACCCACCCACTAACAGGCCCTGGTGTGTATTCTTCCCCTCCCTGGATCCATGTGTTCTCAATGTTCAACTCCCACTTATAAGTGAGAACACGTAGTGTTTGGTTTTCTTTTCCTGTGTAGTTTGCTGAGAATTATGGCTTCCAGCTTCAACTGTGTCCCTGCAAAGGACATGATCTCATTCCTTTTTATGACTGTATAGTATTCAATGGTGTATATGTACAACATTTTCTTTATCCGCTCTATCATTGATGGTCATTTGGGTTAGTTCCAAGTCTTGGCTATTGTAAATAATGCTGCAATAAACATTCTTGTGCTTGTGTCTTTATAGTAGAATGATTTATAATCCTTTAGGTATATATTCAGTAATGGGACTGCTGGGTCAAATAGTATTTCTGGTTCTAGATCCTTGAGCAATCACCATACTGTCTTCCACAATGGTTGAACTAATTTACACTCCCACCAACAGTGTAAAAGTATTGCTATTTCTCCACATCCTCTCCAGCATCTATTGTTTCCTGACTTTTAATAATCTCCATTCTGACTGGCATGAGATAGTATCTCATTGTGGTTTTGATTTGCATTTCTCTGATAATCAGTGATGTTGAGCTTCTTTTCATATGTTTATTGGCCATGTACATGTTTTATTTTGAGAACTGTCTGTTCATATCCTTGCCTGCTTTTTTGATGGTTTTTTTTTTTTCTTGGAAATATGTTCAAGTTCTTGTAAATTCTGGATATTAATCCTTTGTCAGATAGGTATATTGCAAAACTTTTCTCCCATTCTGTAGGTTTCCTATTCACTCTGATAGTTTATTTTGCTGTGCAGAAGCTCTTTAGTTTTTGGTTTAATTAGATCCCATTTTTCAATTTTGGCTTTTGTTGCCATTGCTTTTGGCGTTTTTGTCATGAAGTCTTTGTCCATGCCTATTTCCTGAATGGTGTTGCCTAGGCTTTCTTCTAGGGCTTTTATGGTTTTGGGTTTTACATTTAAGAAATTTGAAGTCATTTTTTCTAATTCTGTGAGGAGTGTCAATGGTAATTTGATGCAAATAGCATTGAATCCATAAATTACTTTGGGCAGTATGGCCATGTTCGTGATATTGAGTCTTCCTATCCATGAGCATGGAATGTTTTACCATTCGTTGGTGTCCTCTCTTATTTGCTTGAGCAGTGGTTTATAGTTTTCCTTGAAGAGGTCCTTCACATCCCTTGTTAGCTGTATTCCCAAGTATTTTATTCTCTTTGTGGTGATCGTGAATGGGCGTTCATTCATGATTTGGTTCTCTGCTTGCCTATTGTTGATGTAAAGGAATGCTTGTAATTTTTGGACTTTGATTTTGTATCCTCAGACTTTGCTAAAGTTGCTTATCAGTTCAAGAAGTTTTTGGGCTGAGATGATGGGGTTTTCTAAATATAAAATTATGTAGTCTGCAAACAGAGACAATTTGACTTCCTCTCTTCCTATTTGAATACCTTTCTCTTTGTCCTGGCCGGAAATTCCAATACTATGTTGAATAGGAGTGGTGAGAGAGGGCATCCTTGTCTTGTACAAGTTTTCAAAGGGAATGCTTCCAGCTTTTGCCCATTCACTATGATATTGGCTGTGGGTTTGTCACAAGTAGCTCTTGTTATTTTGAGAAATGTTCCCTCAATACCTAGTTTATTGAGAGTTTTTAACATAAAGGAATGTTGAAAATTATCAAAGGTCTTTACTGCATCTATTGAGATAATCATGTGCTTTTTGTCTTTGGTTCTGTTTATGTGATGGATTATTTAATTATGTTTATTGATTTGCATATGTTGAACCAACCTTGCATCCCAGGGATTCGGCTAATTTGATTGTGGTGAATAAGTTTTTTGATGTGCTGCTGGATTCAGTTTGCCAGTATTTTATTGAGGATTTTCCTAGCCATGAGGAATATTGACCTGAAGTTTTCTTTTTTTGTAGTGTCTCTTCCCGGTTTTTGAGTCAGGATGATGCTGGCTTCAAAAAATGAGTTAGGGAGGAGTTCCTCCTTTTCAATTATTTGCAATAGTTTCAGAAGGAATGGTACCAGCTCCTCTTTGCATTTCTGGTAGAATTCAGCTGTGAATCTGTCTGGTCCTGGGTTTTTGTTGTTGTTGTTGTTTGGTAGGCTATTAATTACTCCCTCAATTTCAGAGCTTGTTATTGGTCTATTCAGGGATTCAATTTCTTCCTGGTTTAGTCTTGGGAGGGTGTATGTGTCCAGGAATTTACCCATGTCTTCTAGATTTTCTAGTTTATTTGTGTAGATGTGTTTATAGTATCCTCTGATGTTAGTTTCTGTTTCTGTGGGGTCAGTGGGGATATCCCCTTTATCATTTTTATTGTGTCTATTTGATTCCTATCTCTCTTCTTATTAGTCTAGCTAGTGGTCTATCCATTTGGTTAATGTTTTCAAAAAACCAGCTCCTGTATTTGTTGACGTTTGGGAGGGTTTTTCGCCTCTTTATCTCTTTCAATTCATTTCTGATCTTAGTTATTTCTTGTCTTTTGCTACCTTTTAGATTAGTTGTTCTTGCATCTCTAGTTCTTTTAATTGTGATGTTAGGGTGTCTATTTGAGATCTTTCTAGCTTTCTGATGTGAGCATTTAGTGCTATAAATTTCCCTCTTAACACTGTTTTAGCTGTGTCCCAGAGACTCTAGTACATTGTGTCTTTGTTCTCATTGGTTTCAAAGAACTTCTTGATTTCTGCCTTAATTTCATTATTTTCCCAGGAGTCATTCAGGAGTAGTTTGTTCAATTTCCATGAAATTGTGTGATTTTGAGTGAGTTTCTTCATCCTGAGTTCTAATTTGATTGCAGTGTGGTCTGAGAGACTGTTATGATTTCAATTCTTTTGCATTTGCTGAGGAGTGTTTTACTTCCAATTATGTGGTCGATTTTAGAATAAGTGCCATGTGCCACTGAGAAGAATGTATATTATGTTGATCTGGGGTAGAGAGTTCTGTGGATGCCTACGAGGTCCACTTGATCCACAGCTGAGTTCAAGTCCTGAATATCCTTGCTAATTTTCTGTCTCATTGATCTGTCTAATACTGACAGTGGGGTGTCAAAGTCTCCCACTATTATTGTGTGGGAGTCCAAGTCTATTTTTAGGTCTCTAAGAACTTGTTTTATGAATCTGGTTTCTACTGTTTTATGTGCATATATATTTAGAATAGCTAGCTCTTCTTGTTGAATTGTTCCCTTTACCATTATGTAATGCTCTTCTTTGATCTTTGTTGGGTTTTTTGTTGCTGTTGTTGTTGTTTTTTGAGACAGAGTCTTGCTCTGTCACCCAGGCTATGGTACAGAGGAGCCATCTCGGCTCACTGCAACCTCTGCTACCCGGCTAAAGTGATTCTCCTGCCTCAGCCTCCCAAGTAGCTGGGATTACAGGCATGTGCCACCTTGCCCAGCTAACTTTTTTTGTATTTTTTAGTAGAGACAGGGTTTCACCATGTTGGCCAGACTGGTCTCAAACTCCTGACCTTGTGATCCACCCACTTCGGCCTCCAAAAGTACTGGGATTACAGGTGTGAGCCACTGCACCCAGCCATTTGTTGGTTTAAAGACTGTTTTGTCCGAGACTAGGATTGAAACCCCTACTTTTTTTTTTTTTTTTTTTTTTTTTGCTTTCCATTTGCTTGGTAAATTTTCCTCTGTCCCTTTATTTTAAGCCTGTGTGTGTCTTTTGCCCATGAGATGGGTCTCCTGAATACAGCACGCCAATGAGTCTCAACTCCTTATCCAATTTGCCAGTGTGTGTCTTTTAATTGGAGCATTTAGCTCATTTACATTTAAAGGTAGTATTGTTATGTGTGAATTCGATCCTGTCCTCATGATGCTATTTGTTTATTTTGCAAACTAGTTGATGCAGTTTCTCTGTAGTGTCATTGGTCTTTATATTTTGGTGTGTTTTTGCAGTGGCTGTTACTGGCTTTTCCTTTCCATATTTAGTGCTTCTTTCAGGAGCTCTTGCAGGGCAGGCCTGGTGGTAATGAAATCCTTCAACATTTGCTTGTCTGGAAAGGATTTTATTTCTCCTTTGCTTATGAAGCTTAGTTTGGCTAGGGATATGAAATTCTGGGTTGGAAATTCTTTTCTTTAAGAATGTTGTATATTGGTCCCCAATCTCTTCTGGCTTATAAAGTTTCTGCTGAGAGGTCCACTATAAGTCTGATGGGCTTTCCTTTGAAGGTGGCCTGGCCTTTCTCTCTGGCTGTCCTTAACAGTTTTTCCTTCATTTTGACCTTGGAGAATCTGATGATTATGTATCTTGGGGTTGATCTTGTGGAGTATCTTAATGGTGTTCTCTGTATTCCCTGAATTTACATGTTGGCCTGTCTTGCTAGGTTGGGAAGTTCTCCTGGATAATATCCTGAAGTGTGTTTTCCAGCTTGTTTCCATCCTCTCTGTCTCGCTCAGGTACTCCAATCAATGGTAGATTTGAACTTTTTATGAAGTCCCATATTTCTTGGAGGCTTTGTTCATTCCTTTTCATTCCTTTTTCTCTATTCTTGTCTGCATGTCTTATTTCAGTAAAGTGGTCTTCAAACTCTGACATTCGTTCTTCCACTTGGCCTATTTGACTGTTGATACTTGTGTACGCTTCACGAAGTTCTCGTGCTGTGTTTTTCTACTCCATTTGGTCGTTTATGTTACTCTCTATATTGGATATTCTAGTTAGCAATTCCTCTAAGCTTTTATCAAGGTTCTTAGCTTCTTTGCATTAGGTTAGAACATGCTCCTTTAGCTCATGTAGTTTTTTATTACCCATTTTCTGAAGCCTGCTTCTGTCAATTCATCCATCTCATCCTCCACCCAGTTCTGCACCCTTGTTGGAGAAACGTTACAATCATTTGGAGAAGAGGCACTCTGGCCTTTTGGGTTTTCAGCATTTTATCATTGATTCTTTCTCATCTTTATGAGATGAGTTTGTCTAATTTCAGTCTTTGAGGCTGCTGATCCTTGGATGGGGTTTTTGGGGGGCCTTTTTTGTTGTTGTTGTTGTTGATGCTATTGTTGTCACTTTCTGCTTGTCTGTTTTTCTTTCAATAGTCAGGTCCTTATTCTGTAGGGCTGCTGCAGTTTGCTGTGGGTTCACTTCAGGTCCTATTCATCTGATTCGCTCCCGTGCTTGGGGATGTCACTCAAGCAGGCTGGAGAGTATCAAAGATGGGTGCCTGCCCCTTCTTTTGGGACCTCTGACCTCAAGAGGCACCAACTTTATGCCAGTTGGATCACTCCTGTATAGGGTGTCTGACACCCCCTGTTGGAGGGTCTCACCCAGTTGGGTGGCACAGGGAACAGGACCCATTTAAGGAAGCACTTTATCCCCTTGGTGGAGAGGGTGTGATTCACTGGGGGGAACCCACTTGTCTGGGCTGCTAGATTCCTCAGAACTAGCAGGAGGAGAGGCTAAGTCTGCTGGTCTGCAGAGACTGCTGCCAGCCCTCCCCCTGTAGTGGGGCTCAGGCCTGGGGAGATCCGAATTCTGTCCTTCAGCCTGTGGCTGGAGTTATTGGAGATCTTGCAGGGAAGCCCCAGCTACTGAAGAAGGATGAATCAGGGTTAGACCTGAAGAGGCACTTTGGCCACAGACTGCCACAACTGGTGTGTTGGGCTATGGGGACAAGTCTTGGGACCAAGCCGTCCAGCCTCCCTGGCTCCAGCAGGGGAAAAGTGCAGCCTGGAGCTATGGAAATGGGTGCCACCCTTCCCCTGCCCAAGAAACTTAGTGTGTTAGGCAGTTGCAAGTCCTAGTGATGGCTGCTGCCCCTCCCCCAAGGAACTCAAAAGCTTAGACAACAGGCAGCCACAGCCAGTACTAGTTGTCCATCCCTCCCCTGGGAGTTTGGTAGGCTTAAGCAGATTCCAACTGAGAGGCTGTAAGAATTTGCATGCCTTGGGGTTGGACGCTAGGCCCCAGTGGTGTGAGTTCACGAGTGGAATCTTCCAATCTGTGGGTTGCACAGTTCCATGAAAAAAAGCACAGTTTCCCTGGCTGGATAGCATGCTTGCTAACCACCTCCCTTGGCTGAGGGGAAAGGGGTTCTCCTTCCCCCTGTGGTTCTCAGGTGGGCCACGACACCACACTGCTCTTCCTTCTATCTGTGGGTCACGCCGGTCTTCTAGTCATTTTTGATGAGAGAACCTGGATACCTTGGTTGCCAGTAAAGGCTTCACACACTTACGTTTTTTTCTGATGGGAGCCTGCAATCGCTGCTGCTTCTACTCCTACACTAAAAATTATTCCTACTATATGTAGTGACTTCATTTATTTCTAGTGGCTTTCATTAAATATTGTGAATGTTTTAAAATGTTAATACCATTTAACTTTAATTGGTTACTTTGTTTTATGATATATGAAACGTGCAATAAAAAACTAAGGAAATTATCTGAATCTACTAATCCATATATTTCAGGTAAAAGCAAAATATTGAGCTGGCTTAATATTATATGTATGCATCATTTGAATTCCTTTAAATCTCAGCAATTTCGGACTTTTTTTTTTGCTTAATTCCTATGATTTTTTTCATTTCATCTGGTTGTAATCTTAGCTCTTTTAAATGCTAAAGTAGAAAGAATCAAAACAATAGAGCATATGAAATTATGACACAGATTTCTATAAGTGTTCTGTTCAAGACTCGCAACTAGTAGGCACGCTCCAATGTAGATTATCGTGTTTGCTATAGATGACATTTAGTTGTTTTCCATTATTAAAGGATGTTTCCTCTTGGAAAATTATGTTTCATGAATGTGATATCTCACCACAAATTAGAAAACCTACTTTTGGAGAATTCTACTGGTTTGCTAACAATGGGCCAAATTAGAAGTAATCCCTGACATTGTTCTGACTGTAGGTACTATGCTTAACTAACAGGATGAACACCCTTGGAACCTGGAAGCAATCACTTGTATTATACCTAAACCCTAGATGACAAAAGCTTACAAATTGACAGCAAGGCAACTACTCTTTCTGTCAAGTTAATGTTTATTAAAATAACATATCTTTTTATTTACTCTCTCTTTCTACATCTTCATTTTTTTTCTTCTTAGATGTACTTCAATTTTTTAAAGGTTAAATTATTTATTCAATATTGTGTAAAATAATTTGGAATTCTTCTAATCAATACCCTACTGATGTAGAATAAAATACTAGAATGTGTTAAACACAATATTTGATGTATTGAGAAAAGAGAAGAGTTGACAAAATTTAACTCTAGAATTAATTTCTTATATCCATGAATTACACTCCATTATTATTTTAACACATTCACCTTTAACCAAACAGGAAATTTAGCTGTACTGAGACAGGCAGGGACTCAGGTAAGGAAAAAAAAGGAGGACTACATACTTATATGTCATTAAATTGTCAAGATGCTAGTTCTAATATTAGATAAGAGAAGGAGTTTATTATATACTAGGTTGGTGCAAAAGCAATTGTGGTTTTGCCATTACTTTCAATGGCAAACCTGCGATTACTTTTGCACCAACCTAATACATGCTATATTGGGTCAATGATGAAACCCCTTCTATCGTAAATGAAGGAATACGGTCACAACCTGTGCATCAGAGTCTATAAAAACAGCAAAAACTCTTACTACTACTAAATGCAGTGGAGTAGTTTATAATATAGGGAAGCACTTATTAAAATGCATATTCTGAATGTGCAGTTCTGGCGGGGAGCTGAAAGTCTACATTTCTTTTTTTTGTTTGTTTGAGACAGAGTCTCGCTCTGTCGCCCAGGCTGGCGTGCAGTGGCGCTATCTCAGCACACTGCAAGCTCTGCCTCCCGGTTCACGCCATTCTCTTGCCTCAGCCTCCCGAGTAGCTGGGACTACAGGCACCCGCCACCACGCCTGGCTAATTTTTTGTATTTTTAGTAGAGATGGGGTTTCACCGTGTTAGCCAGGATGATCTCGATCTCCTGACCCCATGATCCGCCCGCCTCGGCCTCCCAAAGTGCTGGGATTACAGGCGTGAGCCACCACGCTGGCCTTTTTTAATTTTTTTTTTGAGATGGAGTCTCACTCTGTTGCCCAAGCTGGAGTGCAGTGGCGTGATCTTGGCTCACTGTAACCTCTGCCTCCCCAGTTCAAGTAATTTTTCTGCCTCAGCCTCCTGAGTAGCTGGGATTATAGGTGCACGCCACCATGTCCCGCTAAGTTTTGTATTTTTAGTAGAGACAGGGTTTCACCATGTTGGTCAGTCTGGTCTCAAACTCCTGACCTCGTGATCTGCCCGCCTGGGCCTTCCAAAGTGCTGGGATTACAGGCGTGAGCCACCTCGCCCAGCCGAAAGTCTACACTTCTAGCAGGGTCGCAGGTGACGCTTTTGCTGCCCCCAGAGACTACAGTTTGGGTATGATTGATTTGGAGTGCGTAATAGAATGTCTGGAATCTAACTCAACAAGTTGTCAGCTGGTAAAAGTTTGTGAGAGTCGACTTCAGTGCTCTCCTCTACAAAATGGCCATGGTAATGGTAGTGTGGTTATTGAAATTAAAATATGCTATACCTTTAAAATGCTTAAAACATTGTCTCATATTGAGCAAATACTAAAATAAGTTAGCTGTTATTCTTGCTATTATTATATGTTAGTCTCAGGCACTCATGAAATTAAAAAATAGCTTTTCTGTGTTTTCAGAAGAATATATTTAGATAGAGTAGAAAAGTTGTGAAGTTGATACTCTATAATTATGTTAACTTTACTTATAATACAAATAAATGATAGAGAATGACTTGGTTTTAAATCCAATTCAACTATAAATGCTTAGCATTTTTTATTTGCATATCTAATTAACCTTTCAATGGTATACTACCACACACTTAATTCATTTTTTTAACAATGTGTCTTTAATACAAACTATTTACACATGAATACCTCATTTTAATTAAATCAACTAGGAAATCTGGTATTAAGAGATGAGTAAAAGAGCATACACCGCATATATTAATTAGTTATACCATGAAAACTATATCACAGACTTCTTCTTTCTGGTTCAGCATATGAGGAAGTTGGGGTTACCATTCTATCTAACACATAAGAAATTAAAAAGGAAAAAAAACTGAAAAAAAAATCAGCTCTTCTTAGATCTGTAAGAGAAGTGAGTTCACAGGACAAATCACTGCCCCTTAAACTGGAGAGACAGACAGGGAAATACAGACAATCACAACTTCCCAAGGCAGAAACCTATAAATAGAAACCTCTTTCTATCTCTCTCTCTCTCTCTCTCTCTTTCTCTGTCTCTCTCTCTCTCTCTCCCTCTTCCTTCTCATAACCATTGAGTGATCTTAGAAGTGGTTCCTGCCCTGTTGTAAAGTGAGATGGATTGTCCCTGACTGACACCTTGAATCAGCCTGCAACAGACTCTGAACCAGGAGACACAGAGCTAAGCTGTGCCCTGAATCCTGACTCCCAGAAACAATGAGATCGTAAATGCGTGTTTTAAAGAAACTAAGTTTTGGTATATTTGTTACAAAGCAGTAGATAACTAACGCAAGCAGTTATTTAAAACCAAATTATACCTGTAAGTCTGAGAACTTAATTTAAAAAAATACTTAAAACTAAAGATATATATTCTATAAGATTTATCCCAAGAAAAAGGGAAAAATAAATGAAACAAGTTGATCCTATGAGAATTAGAGAAATTTATTCAGAGGTTAGTAAGATTTATGTTAAGAACATGTCATAGACAGGATCTAAATGGATAAGAAAACTTCATAAAGTGATCTTAACGAATTAGGCCATTTGTTTTAATAGAAAACTAAGTACTGCTAAGCAACTTTGTCACTAACTTTTATAAGTCAAAGTAATGTATTTTAGCTTTTACTTCTGCTGTACTAATTTCATCATGACTGGATAAGTACATTTCTAGAGAGTTAACGATATGTTACATAGATCAATTTTGAATTGCCTATTTGAAATTATTACATCATTTATGAATCTGTCTGGTGCAATATAAAAACTTAGAAATATGCTAGGAATTTAATTGTAGTAGGTGGATCAGGTATATGTGGATATTTCTATGTATAATTATAATCAGAGCGTTTAAACCAAAGCAAAGTAGAAAAATGTCCTTGAATGATTGATATATTTTATGTAAAATGGACATTTTCCAAGAATATCCTAATTATTCTGAGGATTAGCAATTATGCATAACAATTATTCATGTGGAATTTGAATAGAATTAAGGCACAGATAACAAAATATGAAATAATAATAGTGCCATTGCTTTTCTATAAAATAATGATGATAATAGAGTACAAATAAAATGTACACTAAATTAAAGGCCATTGGAAAAGATAACCAAATATATGTTTTAATACTGAGAAAAAGGTTTCTGAAAAGAAAACTTTATTGAGAAGAAATAATTAAAAAATACATTTATAGAAACACATACTCTTTCATAAGCATATGAAAGAAGACATGTAGAGTTGAATCATCACATAGAGTTAACAGAATGTTAAAATGAATTTTCTTATCTTATTGCTCTAACCCAGTGTTTCTCAATTGTGAACGAATTTGTACCAGAAGACATTTACCAATGCCTGGAGACATTTTTGCTCATTGCAACTGGTGATGCTGTTATCATCTACTGGGTAGAAGGCAGGAATACCGCCAAACATTCTACCATGCACAGCCATATACATCAAGGAATTGCCTGGTTCAAAATATCAATAGTGCTTCTGTTGAGAAACTCTCCCCTAACTTCTCTCTTGATATGGTGTCATTCACAGTGATAGTTTCTATTTCCACTTTTAAGCAGGTGACTTATCTATTTGTATATCCATCTTAAATCTCTTCTTTGAGCTTCAGGCCCATTTAGTTCACTATCTACTTGGTTGGTATTTTGCTTTGATTGCTTTTCAAGGCATCTGAGCTCATCCTTATTCTAACAGAAGTCTCTTTCATATTTTCTGTCTCACTAAATGTCCAATAAGCATCCAATTGTGGGGATGTCTTTGACACAGTTCATCTACCATCTCCCATTTCTAATCCATCATACAGTTTTATTAATTGTAACACTTTATAGCTCTCAAATCCAACAACCTCTCTCCATGTCAGTAGCTACTATGCTCACACCTCTGCTGCCCCTCCTCGCTTATCTGAGACACACATAAAAAATACAACAACAAAGGGCACGTGCACATTTTGTGGATTTTGTCTTTCCAAAATGTACATTTGATCCTGTTATGCTTTGCTTGAGACTATTTAAATGATAAAATGCTTAACGTGCCACACAAAGCTCTCCAGTGTTTGACCATTCCTTCTTCTTAGGTTCATTTTGCAACACTATTTACTGAATGTTCACTGTGTTAAAGGCCCTCAGACCTACCATGTCCCAACCTCACCACACCTCTGCTCTTGTCACACCCTTTCCTACTCATTTTGTATTTAGTAATGCATATTGTTTAAATTCGACTAAAGGCTATCTTAAGGATAGTATCTCATGACTCTATCAGATCTCTTTATGATAATTGTTCAGAAGAACACTAGCCTTAATTCAGAATTCTTGTCATAGTGTCATGAAAATGGTTGTATTGCGTGTGTGAATATTAATCATTTTAAAATACTAATGCAATCTCAATTCTGAGAATATTGATTGCTATATAATAAATGTTCTATAATATTTGTTGAATGAATTATGAAAATAATCTCTAAGTTATATTGATCAAGAAAAGGTTTATTCAGTTGAAAAGAAAACAATATATTTAGTAGCAGAGTAAGAAAAGAGAAAAGAAAACATTAAAAAGCAGCTGTCCATCTATACTGAACATCTGTATATCTGCACCTGGACACAGGATGGAATTAAAATTCAGAAGGAAATATAAAAACATATATATATTTATATACATATATGTCTATTCATATCTGAAAGTCTGGACCATCTGTACTGAACATACATACATCTGTACCTGGACACAGGATGGAATTAAAATTGAGAAGAGAATATATATTTAAAAAAACAAACAAAAAAATATGTATGTATACACACACATATATCTCTGTATCTGAAAATCTGGACAATTATATGAATGAAGGAAATTCAAAAATTAAATATCTCTATACGGATATACGTTTTGACTTTTGTAGTGATCAGAGTGCTGGATTTATTATTTATTGTATTTTTAATATAAAAATAGTTCTATTCAAACATATCGCTGAAAATATTTTTTTCTCAATATGAACATATACAGTTGACCCTTAAACAACAAGATGATCAGGGGTGCTGACTCCCTACAGTGTAAAAAATTCATATAAAACTTTTGACTCCCCAAATATTTAACTAACAGCCTGCTGTTTACTGGAAGTCTTACTAATAACATAAACAATTGATTAAATATAGGTTCTATATTATATTTATTATATGCTATATTCTTACAATAAAGTAAGCTTGAGAAATAAAAAGGATACTAAGAAAAATATAAGGAAGAGAAAATACATTTACTATTCATTAAGTGGAAGTTAGTCATCACAAATGTCTTCATTTTATCTTCACGTTGAGTAAGCTGAAGAGGAGGAAAAAGAGGTTGGTTGGTCTTGGTATACCAGGGGTGGTAGAGGCAGAAAAAAAATCTACATACCACATATATGTGGCGACACACAGTTCAAACTCATGTTGTTCTAAGATCAACTGTACCTGCGTTTATTAACATGAGAACATGTGCACCTTTTATTGATTGTATGAAATTTTAAAATGGCATGAACGAAATTGTTGTTCTGAGCCATATTTTCATACTTTAAATTTCTTAATTTATCTGACTTAGTATTTTGTAAATAATATGTTCTAAAATGTTTAATTTTTATTATTAATTTATTTTATAATTGTCTTCAATTTTATTCAGTGCTGTACTACATAATTAGAAATTTTAAATTTTTAAAACTTGCATTTTACTCTTTGCTATATACCGTAATATTTTAAATGAGAAAATACTGTTTTAAAACTAACCTGTAAGATTAGAGAAAATTTATAATGATAGATTTTATTTTTAAATTTGTAAATATTATAAATATTCTCACAGGTATAGCCTTGGTTGCTTTTATTAGATCACATTCCTTTTATAAATAATATTTCAATACAAAACTTGTTAAATTCGATATGTATTGGGGATGTGTTGTTACATTTAGATGCTGCAAAAACTTTAGGGCTTAATTTAATGCCATTATGTTATAAGATAAAATTTTATCTAATTACAAATAGAAACCGTTTCAAAAGAATTTCCCAATTTTAACACTTAAAAATCAAATCCTGAGGACTAATATCAGCAAGATGACAGAATAGGAGTTTCTGGTGCTCATTTTCTCATGGAAATATCAACTTGAACAACTATTCACATGCAAAAACATATTTACAAGAGCTATGGAATCCAGGGGAGGAATTACAGAACCTGGGTTGAGTGCAGAAATAGGAGAAGACAAATTAAAGAAAGTAGAAGCACAGCATGGAGAGTAGGAGTCCAGCCTGAACAGTGCAGCATGAAGAGAAATACTCTCCATGCAGAGCAAGGAGAGTGAAGTCAACATTTGACTTTGCCTTGGATTCCAGCATCAAGGATGACCCAGTAAACCTTAGTGAGTGGCCAAGTAAAAGTGGGATTATATATTCAATGTCTTGGAAAAACAAAACAAAACAAAACTACCAACCAAAAATAGTATACACAACAAAACTGTCATTCAGAAAAGGAGAGATAAAGGCTTTTGCAGACAAACTAAGGCTGATGGTGTTAACTACCACTAAACACGCCTTACAAGAAGTGTAATAAATGCCAGCATGAAAAAGAAAATATTTCAAATATCTCTCTTTAGCTAGACTAACCAAGAAAAAAGAGAGAAGACTCAAATAAATATAAGTGAAAGATGAGACAATAGAACTGAAATCACAGAAATACAAAGGATTGTAAGAAATTACTATGAACAATTATATGCAAAAAATTGAATAACTCCAAAGAAAGGAATTAATTCCTAGAAGAATACAACCTACTAAGACTGAATCATGAAAAAAACAGAAAATACAAATAGACAAATAATGAGTAAAGGTAGTGAATCATCATGCAAAAACTTCTCAACAAGGAAAAACGCAGAACCAATGGCTTCATGTGTGATTTTTGCCAAATATTTGGGAAGAATTAAAGCCAGTTCTTTTCAAAATTTCCAAAAAAAATGAAGATGAGGAACCCACAAGCTAATTTCATGAGGCAAAGGTTATTCTGATATCAAATCCAGAGAAGGACACTGCAAGAAAAGAAAATTACTTGCTGAAAATAGATGCAAACATCTTCGACAAAATAACAGTAAACTGAATTCAACAGCTCTTATGAGAATCATATATCATAACCAAGTGGGATTTACCTCTAGAATGTAAGAATGGTTCAATAAACACAAATCAGTAAATGTGATATGCCACATTAACAGGATGAAGGATAATAATTGTATGACTAGAAAAAGCATTTGACAAAATTTAACATTATTGCATTATAAAAACTCTCAACAACATAAATATTGAAGGAATGGATCTCAACATAATAAAAGGCGTACATGACAAGTCCACTGCTAACATCATACTCATACTTACATCCCTGTCATAGCGTTTTTCTAAGTTCAGGAGCAAGACAAAGATGCCCATTCTCACCACTTCTATTCCATACAGTAATGGAAGTCCTAGCCAGAGCAATTAGGCAGCAAAAAGAAATAAAAGATGTCCAAATTAGAAAAGAAGTAAAACTGTCCCTGTTTGCAGATGACATAACATGATCACGTATATCTAAAATTCATATAGAATCAAAAAAGTCCTTGATATTGTTTGGCTCTAAGTCGCCACCCAAATCTCATCTCAAATTGTAATCTCTAGTATTGGTGGAGGGACTTGGTGGGAGGTGGTTGGATTGTGGGGGCAGATTTCCCGCTTGCTGTTCTCTGAGTGAGTTCTCCTGAGATCCCATGGTTTGAAAGTGTGTGGCAGTTCCCCTCTTGCTGTTTCTCTCCTGCCACCATGTAAGACGTGCCTTGCTTCCCCTTTGCCTTTTGCCATGATTGTAAGTTTTCTGAGACCTCCCCAGCCATGCATAACTGTGAGTCAATTAAACCTCTTTTATTTAAAAATTACCCAGTCTCAGGTAGTTCTTATAGCAATGTGAAAACAGATTAATACAGACCTCAGTAGCCGAAGCAATCTTGAACAAAGCTGGGGGCATCGCACCACCTGATTTCAAAATGTGCTACAAAGCTAGAGTAATCACACTGGCGAAAGAACACATTCTTTTCAGAGGCACATAGACCAGTGGACATATAGGCCAATGAAACAAAATGGAAAGCTCAGAAATCAGCTCATTTATGGTTAATTGATCAATCTCAAAGGTGCCCTGAACACACAATATGAAAATGAGAATCTTCAATAAATGATGTTAGGAAAACTGGATATCTACATGCATAAAGTTAAGTACTTATACCGTATGCAAAGAATCAACTCAAAACGGTTTAGAAACTTAAATAGAAGCCATGAAACTGTAAACTACTAAAAGAAAACACAGGAAAAATCTTCTTGTTGGTTGGGGCAATGATTTTTGGGTTACATCCCCAAAGCCCAGGTAAAAAAAGGAAAAATAGACAAATGGGATTATGTCAAACTATAAGCCTTCTACACATTAAAGGAAAGAATCAACAGAATGAAGACACAGCCTATGGATTGGGAAATAACATTTCGAACAATACATCTGAAAAGTGGTTAATACCTAAAATAACACTGAATAGTAAGACAATAAATAACTAGACTAAAAAGTGGGCACTCTTGGACTCACCTGGACTTGAAAAGACATATATCAAAAGAAGTCATATAAATGGCCAACGGCTATAAGAGAATCTGCTCAGAGAAATGCAAATCAAAATCACAGTGAAATATCACCTCACAGTTGTTAGAATGAATATTTTTTAAAGGACAAATATATCAAGTGTCAGTGAGTATTTAGAGAAAAGTTAACATGTGTGCACCAATGGTGGGGATGTGAATTAGTACAACCTTTATGAAAAATAGTATGAAGGTTCTTCAAAAAATTAAAAATAGAACTATCATATGATTTAGAAATCCTATTTCTAAGTACATATGTAAAGGACATGAATTAGTATCTCAGAGTGACATCTACACTTCCATGTTCATTGCAGCATTATTCACAGCAGCCAAGATATGGAAGTAATCTTTGTCCATTGATGCAATGATACGTGAATAAAGAAAACATTATATATGTGTACTATAAAATACCCCATAATAATACACTCACTATAATATTATTCAGCCTTAAAAAAGAAAACAAAATGTTGTTTGCAATGACATGGATAATTCTGGAGAATATTATGCTAAGTAAACTAAGCCAGGTATAGAAAAACTAATACCGCATGATTTCACTTATGTGTGGAATCTAAAATGGTTGAATTGGTAGAAGCAGAATAGAAAGGAGATTGCCAGGAGCTGTGGGGTCGGGTAAGCAGGAGATGTTAGTTATGTAGTGTGAATAAGTGAATAACTTATGGAAGCCTAATACAGCATGATAACTGTAATTAATAATACTGCTATTTGTGCATGAAATTTTCTAAGAAAGTAGACTTTAAATGTTCTAATCACACACACACAAAGTGGCGACCATGTGAGGTGATGAATATGTTAATTAGCTTCATTGTTAGAATTATTTAATGACGTATACTTAAATACATACAATTTTTATTTTTCAATTCTAACTCAATAAAGCCAAAAAAGTTTTAAAAATAAATTCTTATATTCAATTTGTGACTCTTTATTTAGTATTTTCAGTGCCTTCCTTGACATTTATGGGGTTGGATTACAATGGGTTTTCTTTTCAATTTTTTTCCCAGTAATTAAAATTTAATACAATCTTAAGAATATTTAATATTTCCAAATAGTTATGAAAAAAGTAAATAAGAACAAAATCTAGAGAACTCACTAAAATGAAAATTAAAACATTTATAAAACTCTTTGAATTATAAATCCTTACATTTTAAAACTTCAACTAAGAATAGCACAGAAGAAAATAAATGCCGAAATATATTTTTATATTAAAAATAATCGTCATTACAAAAATTATAATAGTTTGCGTTTAGAATATATTTGTATATTTTAAAATACAGTATCTAATGCAACTGATTGAATAAGGTATCTTATTTGGAAATATTTATAAATCATGTATGCACCACAACAAGTTTTAAGACAATTTCAGGGTTTTTCCTTCTATGTGAACCTTTCAAAAAATCAATTCACCTTAAATGTGTGGATCTCATTGTAACCTGCAGCATACAAATCTTGCACATATTTTGTAAGATTTATACCTATGTTTAATATTTTTGGTGCCACTTATAAATGCACTATTAATACTCAATTTCCATGTTTTTATTTATAGTACATAGAAATAATTGTTGCCTTTTTGTACATTTACCTCGTGTCCTGGATGACTTGCTAATTTAATTTATTTGCTGAAGTAGTTTTGTTGCAGATTATTTAGGATTTTCTATATAGATAATATCTGAATACAGGGTTTGTTTTAGCTCTGCTCTCTCCCTCTCTCTCTCTCTCTCTCGTATATATACAGTATATGTATATATATATACAGTATATGTATACTGTATATATGGTATATATAGTATATATGTGTATATATATTATATATGTGTGTATATATAATACATATATAGTATATATGTATAGTATATATAGTATATATATACTCTTTTTATTTTATTCTCTTGCTTTATGACAAGATTTTAAAATTTAAGTGAGAATACATTTTGCTATTTATATTTCATATAAATTTTCTTTCTGTTAATGTATAAGATAAACAATTTTAATCTTCAGTGTTTTAATTTTTAACTGAAATTAATTAGCATCCATAAAATAGCAAATGTTTCACCTTTAAATGAATGAACTTTCCAAAGCTTTACTTTGATTCCATGAATTGGGTGGATAAAAACCAAAAATTATTAAAATTAACTAGTTTTTATGAAGCATCTTATGTTACTGTTATAAAACTGGAATAATGTGACAATTGTTAAGATTCTTGTTTTGCTAATAGTGCCAGTCTTAAAAGCTATTACCTCAGTTTTCATGAGTGTACAATACTTTGATTGGAAAAAAATTTAATTAATTATAAGAAATAATTTAATCTAAATACAAATGTATGCTTCATAAATATCCACCTAAGTATTAATTTTTAAAAGACATTGATGCTTTATTAATTTTTTCTCTTTCATATTGCATATGCTTAGTAATGTCCCTAGGACTCATATGTTGGATTTTAAATGTTGACAAATATTTTGTGCAAATTTTATCTTTAATATTAACTTTGTCAGTGAAAAAAATTCAAGGCTGATATTTCATTAAAAATGCATTTTTAAATTTTTAACATACTGCTCCAAAAGGGGTTTATTGCATTAAAAAACAATAAATGGGGTTGGAATTATTCTAAATAGTAAATAAAAACCCCTATAACAGGCGATTTGAGACTACTCTATACTAGGCCTTTTCTTAAGTCTAGACAGAAGAGCTGCCCTGGGCTCTGTAAATTAGCTTGGCTGTTCTGAGCCTCCTCTGCTGATGCCCCCACCATAGGGCAAGATGTCTGCAGGAACAATGAAAAGTTATCACCCCAAATATCTCTCTTTTAAATAATGATATATGTGTGATACATTTATATATGTGTGTGTGTATATATATATATACACACACACATATATATACACACATACACAACAGAATCTTTTAAACTTGATTTGTGATTACATTGACTACTTAATGAAAAGTAATGGGTACATGCTCACAAAACCAACTTCATAAAGATTCACTTTTTTCCCGTTACATTTTTCCCAAAAAGATCATCATGCTCAGTATTTATCATATTTGGGGTGTAAGGTATGTGCCTTTTCTCTGATGGTTGACTGGTAAGCTAATTGAGAAAATAATGATTAATCTATGCATATCATCCAAACTATCTAGGATCCAAAATGTTCATTGAATGAATGTTTTCCCCATGAAAGCTAGGAAACTTGCAACTGAGATTTTTCAGAAGCCTAAGTGATAAAATATATTTCATATGGCCCTGAATGTTTCCTTTCATATCTTTTAAGACACATTCTTCTTCCCATGACACCAAATACTGGAAAGAAAAGCAATATCCTCTCTATGCCTGAATTGTGGCTTTTTACATATTAATATGAGTTTAATAAATATTTACTAATTTCTTGTTTTAGAAATCTAGCATTCGTTACCATTTTTTTGTGTGTGTATGTGGTGAAATAGTTTGTGTTCTTTAGGCCTTCACATTAATTGCAGTTTCAGATGCAGACAGTGACATGAAAATACATATAAGACCATAATTGGTAGTAAAATAGCACAGTTGTGTCTGTTTGCATGTAAATTACTGCTATTACGAGCCGTGGTGCTTCTTGAAATTGTAAAATAACCATTGGGTTATAATTTTAGTAGACAGTAGCTATTGCTACTCCTGAGTATTCATTATACATACCAACTATTTATTTGATGCTTGTGTTTTTTTATTTACACATATGGCATCTTGACAAGCATATCTGCCAGCATGTAAGTATTTATTAGAAAACCAGGCATCAAATCCAATCCTTTACTCTGTTAAGATAAGTCCTTAGGTTTTCAGCATGCTTAAAATGTATTTTTTAAAAAGGTAAAGATATTTATAATGTTTTAGTATTGCTATACACATTATATTAATAATTGTGGGTATAGCAGCCCATCCCATAGCAACCCATCCTGGACCCTCTCTTGAAAGTATTTTATTTTTTTATATTAATATTTTCAAGTGGTGAATTGTACTTTATGTCAACATTAATAGTGCATTGACTCTTACTGATAATTTTGTATACCAATAATTTATTAAGTGGTGAATCATATATTAATGATAGGAATATGTGAAATGCTAATTGGCATATACTTCTGAAAATCAATAATTTCTTAAGTTTGGTGATTACACTTGTTTTGAAGTTCTTATGCCTTGATGACCTCCAGAACATTAATGCAGTATTTCTTGTGCTTATTTAAAGCAACAGTCAGTAATTTTAATATTTTTCTCTCATATTCTTTATAAAAATTAATTAATGAGAAATATTTTAATATTAGCACATAAGCTGCTATTAGTTGATTATTTACTTGTGGGAATTTCCATTTTGATTTTGCTGTAAACTACAGAAAAATTATATAACAAAAATAATAGTTTAAAATGTTATATCTGTTTCGCGTTGTCCATAATCTGCAATTAAGTACACATTCTGCAAAGGTCATGCTTTCAAAAATGCATTAAATCAAGGATTTTAAGATTTCAGTGTGGATCATTCAGAAGTACAAGTGTTATAAAAATAAGAATTTTAAAAACTCTCCAGAAAAAGGGCAAATATTCTTCAACAATACAATTTTTATTAAGGATGTACTTATAATAATAACTATATAACATAATTATTATATAATATATATAATAATAATACCTATTTCAAGGCAAATAATAAAGTTTCTTTTTTAAAAAAAAAAAAAGGTAGAATGTTACTTAGAAACATCCCAAAGTACCTACTTAGCCCTTGCTCTTTTTTCTGAGTTTGGCCTGCTTGGGCTCCACAGGCCTTCTGAGTACACCTAGACCTCATGATCATAATTGATTAGACCGAGAGGGTTTTCTTGATTCAAAAAAGGCTTATAATATCTTTCTCACAGGAATTTTTAAGTCTGACACCAGAAAATTGGGTCAGATTATGGCAACTAGCAGATGATGGAGTAGTTTTGACTTAGGCAATGAAAGTTCTTCAGTAGCAGCTTATGACTATGCATGAATCATCGAAGCAGAAAAACTGCAGAGAAAGAGGAGAACCAGATATCCCTGAAGATTGCTGAAGGAATGAGAGAGATTTCCCTGAGGGATTGCGGCACTCCCAAATGGGGCTCCGTTGAACTTACTACCTTTGGATTTTGTAAGATAACTTTAAACACTCCTAACAAATGTAATTTATTTTTTCCTAATTGAACTTACTTGAGTGACTTATTTTCCATGAAATTAATAAGTATTAATTAAGATTTTTCTTTTCTCACTTTAATCATCCTCCTATCATAGATTCAGCACAAATTTGATTTTGGCATATATTTTATAATTTCATTTTAATTTCAGATAATGTACCAATTGACTTTTAAAAAGGTGACACATTGCATAATATTAGAAACACATCTATTCTAATACCTGCATTTTACAGGTGATGAATATGAGAGCCAGAGTATGTAAGGGATTACAGCAGATCATACAGGTGAGTGGCACAATAATTGGGAGTAAACCTTAAATGGTTGTGGGTATCAGGAGACCTGGGTTTAACTGTAAGTTTTGCAGGAAATTTTAGAAATAACTGTATTTTTTTTTTACTTTTTTATTTTTTGACAGAGTCTCACTCTGTTGCCCAAGCTGGAGTGCAATGGCACAATCTTGGCTCACTGCAACCTCTGCCTTCTGGATTCAAGCGATTCTCCTGCCTCAGCCTCCTGAGTAGCTAGGATTACAGACGTTCACCACCATGCCCTGCTAATTTTTGTATTTTTGGTAGAGATGGGGTTTCATCATGTTGGTCAGGATGGTCTTGAACTCCTGACCTGAAGTGGTCCCCCAGCCTTGGCCTCCCAAAGTGCTGGGACTACTACGGGCTTGAGCCACCACGCTGGCCACTTCAATTTTTAAACAGAATACTGGATTAGAACATGTAAAATTCTATGAATATTATTTAATCATACTATCATTCTATGACTTAAAGGCAAGTGCTTGCAATCATTTATTTTCAGTTGACACCTTCATCATCTTATCAGTAGTGAGCTATAAGTGCTTAGCAACTGTTTCTCTTGACAAAAGTGTGTTCATATACATACTTATATATATATATATACTTATTTTTTGCATAAACGTTATTAATATAAAGCATCTAAAGTACACATTTTTCAAATAATAGTATATATAATATTTGTGTTGTTATTTCCACATAGCCAATTCATTCACAGAATGTATATTTTTGTTTGTTGCTGAACTTTTGTATCAGTAGCCAGCTGAATATGACTATATTCTTATATGAATGTTGTATAATATTTTCATTTAAAGTAATGAGTAAGAAAAAAGAAAAACAATGAATATGTATGTCAAAAATACACTTATTTGGCAATGACATGAATAGCTTATTTCCTGAATCAGATAACTCTTTCCCAAAACAGAATAATATTTTCTAAATATTTATCTCAAATGTAGCCACTACTCTCAATATTAGCTTACACCTTTATATTGAAACTACAGTATTGATATTTTGCATCATTTTCTGAAGTTTAGACAATCAACACAGCAATAACTCAAGGCCTGATGGCCATGGTGTAAATATGCCAATTATAGCTAATTTGAAGTTAACTGTATGACATGATTGAAACTGTCGTTGAGAAGACAGGCACAGTAGCACAACAGTATTCCCACAGTAGACACAAATAACCCCAAAATTAGAAGTAATCATACAGGCCGGGCGCGGTGGCTCACGCCTGTAATCCTAGCACTTTGGGAGGCCGAGACGGGCGGATCACGAGGTCAGGAGATCGAGACCATCTTGGCTAACACGGTGAAACCCCGTTTCTACTAAAAATACAAAAAATTAGCCGGGCGTGGTGGTGGCTGCCTGTAGTCCCAGCTACTTGGGAGGCTGAGGCAGGAGAATGGCATGAACCTGGGAGGCGGAGCTTGCAGTGAGCCGAGATCGCGCCACTGCACTCCAACCTGGGAGACACAGCGAGACTCCGTCTCAAAAAAAAAGAAGTAATCATACAATAACTAGGTATTAATAAATTTTGAGCATTACATCTGTTTTAAATACTATTTTATATAATTTTACAAATAATGTCTCTATATAACAACTTGTTAAAAAATATTCATGGTTGGGCATGGTGGCTCATGCCTGTAATCCCAGCACTTTGGGAGGCCAGGGCGGGCAGATCACGTGAGGTCAGGAGTTTGACACCAGGCCTGGCCAACATGGTGAAACCCTGTCTCTACTAAAATACAAAAATTAACTGGGTGTGGTGGCGAGTGCCTATAATTCCAGCAACTCAGGAGGCTGAGGCAAGAGAATTGCTTGAACCCGGAAGGTGGAGGCTGCAGTGAGCCAAGACTGTACCACTGCACTCCAGCCTGGGCCATACAGCCAGACTCTGTCTCAAGAAAAAGAAAAAAAAAAAATCTGGAAATGTAACAGTTGGTTCTCATGAGCCATTAGGAGCTGGTTCCAGCAGACCTCTGGTGCTTGTGTATGATAAATAATGATTACAAGGTCAAATATAAGTGTTCTAAGAAAGTTATATCTAATTTGATTGAGCAGAGATGCTAACATGAATATTTAACAAACAGTACAGTTTGGCATCTGCCTACATACTCATAATACCTATGCTGTGTAACTGGTCAGCCGTCAAGTCTGGAGGTGAGTTGAAAGGAGGAAGGGTTATGACATGTAATAAAGAGGGACTACAACTTTTGAACTTGAACGTAAGCAAAGACTGAGAGGTAAGGATAAGAAAGTATTGTGGCTTGATAGGAGTATAAGGTATGCTCTGAGGAAATGTACCATAGAGGTTTGAGGACTTGGATTCAGGCATTGCGTGGAAGGTCATATGCAGTGGGTGAAGATTTTAAATCAGTTCATTTGAAGTGCTTGGAGATGGAGAAGCAAATGTGAATCAACATTTTGAATGTCCTCAAAAAATTCACAGCTTAAGCTCGCCTACCTGAATATTCACTTCAGCAGATCAAATGTAACACATCCTGGATAAAGACATAAAAGACCTGTGAACAATGTGCTGTGGGAGTCAGGGATGTTGAGTAATTAAATTTTTCAGAGAGATCATGGAATAGTTCACCTGATGAACAGATATTTAAATTGGGTGAAAGATAAGTTTGGTAAAAGAAGAGAATTCAGTATCATTAAAAGCAAAGTGTAAAAGAGGAAACGTGCAAGGGAGAGAGTTACAAAGAAGTTCAATGAGGCAGGAAAGATAGAAGGGTTAAAAGGTTACTGTCTAGATATTTAAATGGAAAATAGACAGGAGTCAGACTGTGAAAGATCCTTTATGCTACGCTAAGGAGTTCAGATTTTATCCTGCGGGAAAGAGGATATGGCTTTTTAAAAAACTGAAGCACTACTATATATCTATAAAATAAATTTTAAAAACGGAAGCAGTTGTGCTTCTGGAAACAGTAAATTTGGTGGCTATTTGTGGGAAGATACTAATGTCAGTATCTTCTTTTGCGGTCATCTAAATGAAAGATAAAGAGAACCAACACACAGGCAGTAAAAGGGTGAGGAGATGTCATTCAACAGAAATGTTCAAACAAACTAAACCTGAACTGATAACCAAATTTTTGGAGGAATGAGAAAGGGTGAAATTCACCCTAGAAAGTCTAGTTTTAGTGAATAGCTGGATGGTTATGCCATTTTTTTTTTTTTTTCTTAGACGGAGTCTCGCTGTCACCCAGACTGGAGTGCAGTGGCGTGATCTGGACTCACTGCAAGCTCCGCCTTCCGGGTTCATGCCATTCTCCTGCCTCAGCCTCCGATTAGCTGGGACTACAGGCGCCCGCAACCATGATTTCCAAATGTCAAATCATTAGTTATAGAAAATCAAGAACGATTACTACACTCTCACCAGCTTCATGATATACAAACATCTAATGTGTAGTTCTAGAAAGTATAGCTTGTTAGCTGTCAAATCATTATTAAAACCACTTGGGGTACAACCGATGCACACATAAATACACAATTTTGTATCGCATCCACTTTGAGGTTCCCTTACGAATGTTCAGAATTGTGACGCATTACTATTAGTGCCCTAAAATGACGGTAGTAAAAAGAAAAATATATGTATTCACTGTGTATATATCACAGAGTCATTTTTATAGTCTTTGATTAAAAACTGAATATTTTATAAAGTATTTCAGCAACAGTAGGTGTTCAAACTCAAATCAAATACATGCATGCTCTTCCTCAAACTTTCAAAACCTATATAGTTTTGGCTAAAGCATATGCTAAATGAGATAATAGGGATCAAAATTAACTGGGAGTTTGTGGTTCTAGAGTAAAGCTTATGCTCCGTTATGGACTAACTAGAGTTTAAATTGCAATGTCCGGTCAAGTGCAAAGGCTCACACCTTTAATCCCAGCACTTTGGGAGGCCAATGTGGGCGGATCACTTGACGTTAGGAGTTTGAGACCAGCCTGGCCAACATGGTGAAACCCCATCTCCACTAAAAATACAAAAATTAGCCAGGCGTGGTGGCATGTGCTTATAATCCCAGCTACTTGGGAGGGTGAGGCAGGAGGATCGCTTGACCCTGGGAGGTTGAGGTTGCAGTGAGCCAAGAGTGCCTGACTGCACTCCAGGCTGGGCAACACAGCGAGACTCCATCTCAAAAAAAAAAAAATGCAATGTCCATGGAGAATAAAAAACCTGATCTTAGTCCATCTCCCTTCTCTAAATTAATTAAATTTAATGGGATTAAGCTAGAGGGGCTGTGAAAGGACTGTTCCAGGGGTCTTGGCATATATTTGAATAATATTACTATTCTAGGTATCTTGTTGATGCAGAAAACTAAGACACCCATGAAGGAGAAGAATAGGATCCAACCTCATGGAAGAACGCTGACAATAGGTGCTAGGCAGAAAATTAGAACCTTGACTAAACTTCCAGGGGTTGAAGAGGAGGCTCAATTTTCACTGAGAAGACTGGAACTGACTTACACTATAAATATAAACTGCAAATTTGATTCCTGATACATTACCAGGCTAAAACAATTAGGTGGAGTTGAACCTATATATAGAAATTTGCAAGGACATGCAAGTGGGTGGAAATGAAGACAGCAAGGACAAACTCAAAGCTAATTCCCCAAACTGTAGAATACATTTGGGGGCCAGAAAACTATGGAAAGTTAGTGAGGTTTTTCAGAGTGTGTCAAAGGAGAAATCGGTATCAGAATATCTGTTATTATGAATTCTCATTCCCAATTATCTAATACCCCATTCCCTGGGAGAGGATTACATTTCAGTTGCTTGCAATGGATCTATAGTGCCTTCCTGCAGGAGGAGTGAGAAGCATACTGTTATCAAAGTCATTGACTTGGCCAGGTGATTTGTTTTTTGGTAAATGATGTGACAGTATGCTGATTCCAAACAGAAACTTTGAGAGTGACGGTAGGTTTAATCCAACTCTGTTGATTTGTTTTTCTTTTAATTTGTTTTTAATTTGCAACAAAACAGCATGCTACAATATGAAGCAACATCCTGAAAAGGAAGAAAAAACAAAAAAAGGCATGAGCAGAGCTGTCAACAACTTTAGCCAACATGACAGGAAAAGCATTTGTTGTAAGCTTGTGATATTTTAGGGTGATCTGTTAACACAGAAAAGCTAAGCAGTTCAGAAATTTTATGTGAAGTGAAAGAGTGTCACATTTTTTTTAAAGAACATTGTATATGATATTGGCTTCAAGACTCTGTAGTGGACATCAAGTAAACTATAATTGGAGCATGAAAAATGGCAGCCTGTTTTATTTATTGATGAAATTTTATGTATTAATGAAACTGGCAGCGCTGTTCTCTAAAATATCTCTCAAGTCACATAACGTACCTAATTAAAATGTGACTTTTGGCAAAAAGGGGTAAGATATAGAACTTTGTGAAGGGTGTTTTTGTTATTATCAACTGGACTTGACAAAACAAAGATGAGGTCAGGAAAGGGTTCACTAGTGAGCCATAAAGAGTAAAAGAGAAATTCAACAGTCCAGAAAAAAAGGTGTTAGAGGGCTGGCCAACTTAACTGTTTCTAATATGCAACCAATAAGTGCTAGCATTTGTAAGTACTCTGAACAATTAAGATTAATTAATAATTGACCTACAGCAGAGACCAAATTAAAATAATTGACATCTTGTTCTTTGTTTAAACATATGAGTAGGTTAAGGTAGCTATGAGTAAATCATTTCAGTTGAACAAAATGTGTCAGAGAAAACAGACCAAGGTTGTTTTCACAGGGAAGTCTGATAAATGCAAAGTCACTTTAATTAAAGAGAGAAAGACAAAGAGAGGTGAGGCTGCCTCCAAAAGCACCGTGAGTGTGACCATTTGTACGCTCAAATTAGAAAGGACTCAATCATTTGGAAATGACTGGAATCTAACTGATGAAAAACAAAGTTATAAGAGAGCTATACTGCCAAAACCGTCAACAAGGACTAAAAGAAATCGTAACCTTTTGAAATGTAAAACAGTTTCTCATGTCCACAATGCCTACAGCCAGTACACAAGTGGTTTAGCCACCAGTGAAGGGACATTCTCCAATGGCCTCTTCAGAGATGACCAAGTTTAACTGTACAATAAAAAAAGGAAGAACTATCCTGAGGGTGGAGCCAAGAGCCACTGAGAACACACTGGGGAGTTTCCAAGAAGCAAAATCATATCATAATCATGTTCCTTGAAACATCTGGTCAACAGAATTCCAGAATTATCACAAGCCATTGACCACCGTATGCCGCCCATTTATCTCATTTTTGAATAGCAGTGTTGATTGTGAATCTGTGACATAATAGTGATATTCTATGATTTCAGTTGAGTATGTAAGAAGCAGGTTTTGGCGTGTGCGTGTGTGTGAGTCTGTGTGTGTGTATATGTGTGTGTATTTATGCACCACCGAGTTTAAAAAGCCAGGTTTGTACCTAATATAGAGACTTATCAATAAATTCTGATATTTGAATATGATTGCCAGGACTGGATTGGATTTTTGGTATATTAGCCTTGGGGAGGAGTTGGTTATATTTAGCATATAGGGAAAAAAAAGAGAAGTAAGTATTTATGCCTTAGAGGAAGGACATTATACTTTGTACTATTATGTTTTCCTCTTCCCTGTAAGTGGATTATACATCGCTGTGTTGCCATGCAACTGCATCGCCTTCCTGTGGAAGGAATGCACTTCAGCTCCTTGACATGAACTTGGCCATGTAAATTATTTGGGCCATAAATATGTGAGCACAAGGACCAATAGGCCAGTTTCTCATGGCAATTTTAACAGCCATGATGTACTCTCTTCAAAATTATCATGTCCTTTCAGCTCTCTGGCTCTTTTTTCCAAATCTGTAAGAATTTTGTATCCCAAAAGGAGGCCAGCTTCTCCAGACTAGGTCATACAATAAAAGAGAAATGTGGAACAAAACAGAGCCACTGATATGTAACGAGGGCAAGAAATAAACCCTTGGAGACTTTCTGGTCATTTGTTACTGTAGCAAAGTTGACAAAAATGCAATGTAATAACATCAATTGTTAGCTTTTAAGTGTACTGTGGATTATATGTGTTATAAATTATTCCTTGGAATATTAAGATAATTCACAAATTGGCTTTCCATTTTGAACTTATAGGCATCCTAGTAGTCCCAGAAATAAAAAATGCAATATTTGATATGGAGAGTTTGAATGGATAGACTGTTCTAGACACATAAAGCCTCAATGTAGCCTAGATTTGTGATGCCCAAAACTGTACATGAAAAAAGAGCCTGCTTTTGGTCTGTTGATGTAACTAATGACTGATACATTTATCTTATAATTATTGAATATATTTCTGACATAGTATTGGAAGCCCAGATAATAAACTAGCAATGGTGAATTGAGCAAAAATGGAGAGACATAGTAAATATAATCGAATGTACCTTCTTATTAAAACATTCTTCCTGGCAATTTAGAAATTGCCTAAGGTTGCATGCTTAAGATTTCAAAAAAAAAATTTACTTACAGAATAGTTATGACTTTCATTGAGGATTGATCTTATTTAGAAAATCACTTCACCATTTTTTAAATGTTACATACATACAATGAAATACTATTCAGCTTTGAAGAAAAGACATCCTTCAACATACAGTAACATGCATGAACCTTGAGGATGTTATGCCGAGTGAAATAATCCAGTCGCAGAAAATCAAATACTACATGACTCCACCTATTTGAGATATAAATTTCATAATATTGATGAGTGGCATGTTGGTCTCCAAGAGTTGGAGAGAAGGGGAAATTGGGGGTTACTACTAGTCAATGGACATAAAGATTCAGTTAAGTAAGGAAAGTAAGTTCTAGAGATCTGCTGTATAGCATTGTACCTGTAGTCGACGATACCACATGGTACACTTAAAAATTTATTATAACGATAGATCTCACATTGAGTGTTCTTATCACTATAGAAATAAAATTTAAACCAGATGTGGTGGTTCACGCCTGTAATCCCAGCACTTTGGGAGGCCAAGGTGGGAGGACTGCTTGAGACCAGGAGTTTGAGACCAGCCTAGGCAACATAGCAAAACCCCGTCTCTAAGAAAAATTTAAAAATTTATCTGGGCATAGTGGTGCAGGCCTGTAATCCCAGGTACTCAGGAGGCTGAGGCACAACAATTGCTTGAACCTGGTAGGTTGTAGTGAGCCAAGATTGTACCACAGCACTCCAACGTGGGTGACAGATCGATACTCTATCTAAAAAAAAAAAAAAAAAAAAGAAAGGAAAAGAAAAGAAAAATTGGGCACAGTGGTTCATATCTATAATTCCAGCACTTTGATTGGGCACAGTGGCTCACATCTATAATTCCAGCACTTTGGGAGGCCAAGAAGGACAGCTTAAGACCAGGAGTTTGAGGCTGTAGTGAGCTGTAATTGTGCCTATTTTAGACTCTGTCTCTGAAATAATTAAATTATATTAAACTTAAAATAAAATTTAATTTTTACAGATATGCTGCCCCTGTTAAATATTTACACTTACCTAGTTTTTATTTTTAATGTGTTATATTTTAAAATAATAAAACCATACAGTTGCTCTGTATTTCAAAAATACGAAGCACATACACAAATATCATCAAATATGACCCTTGCACCCTGGAGTAGGAGGATGAACATTCATTGTTATTCCAGCTTGTGAAATGAGACTCTGAGGCTCATAGATGTGCAGCACTTGCCCAACATGAGCAATAAGAGGTGGGACTGAAGTTGCTTTCCTACATCCTGACTTAAAGACCTCTGCTCCTTAGTGTCCTTTTTTCATACAAAAGATTAACTTCTCTCTTGAAATTATCTGTCATTATTTCCAGTACTTCCTTTCTGCCTGTCTCCCTTGCCCTTTCTTCCTCTTTCCTTCCTTCCTCTTTGCACCAAGTCATCAGCATTCACTATGTTCCTAGTTCCTGGGATCACTGTTAAACAAACACAAAAGAAAAAAAAAAAAACTTCCTTTGTCTTCAGGGGACTTAAAATGATAGAGATAGGCATAAAGTAATTAATAAAGTGTCAGACACCATGAAACAAGGATGTACACGTTACTATAGCATCCCAGAAAACACCTAACCCAGGTGTATTTGGTATTTGAGGAAAACTTTCAGAAGGCAATATCAGCTAAACTATATCTTAATAGAACTCAAAAGAATTGGGATAAGGATGAATGCAGTCCAAATCAAAAGAACAACAGGTAAAAAGACAAGAAAGTCCCCCAAAATATGACATGTTCTGTATTCTGTAAGCAGTTATAAGACCTAAATGCACATCAAAAAGATAGGCCTTGTGAGAGATTAGAATGTAAATGTAGACAGGATCAGATTATAAAAGCATTTAGATTTTGTTTAGAAGGCAATGGGGAACATTTAAATGATAAGGTGATTCAAAGATTGAAAGATTAGGTCCTCAATAACGTGACCAGATTTTTTTTTCAGTGGTGTCAGGCTGGTAAAAAACACCAATTCAGGAAGGCATGTAGGCTGCTTTCTGGTTCACAGATGGCAACTTTTAGATGTGTCCTGGGGTGGTGGAAAGGGAAAGGCAGAACTCTAGGGCCTCTTTGATAAGGGCATAATCCCACTCATGAGGGCTCTGCCCTCGGCCCCACTTCCTAAAAACATTAAAATGGTGATTAAGTGTCCATATATGAATTTTGGATAGACACAAAGTTTCAGACTATAACAGTCTGTTAGAGGTTTTATCTCAGAAATACAGTCAGCCTAATATGCACTGACTCCTCTCTTACACACCCAGCTGTGTATGGGTGTTTTCTTAGTAGAAGATTTTTTAAAATTCCCA
Source organism: Homo sapiens (assembly GCF_000001405.40). NCBI lineage: Eukaryota > Metazoa > Chordata > Mammalia > Primates > Hominidae > Homo > Homo sapiens. The sequence goes on along the minus strand of NC_000004.12, from coordinate 178,353,782 downwards.
ATAGAAATATTTTGCACTATGTTCACCAGTAAGAAATTTTAAATATCTAAAGTAAATGCCGAGTTTATTTTAAGAAGCTTTTAAAAATGTGTTTCCATTGATTGAATGTCACCAAATCATCTTGTATCATATCTAGAGTTTATTCTCTCATTTTCCTAGTTGTTTTTCTTTCTGTTATTATTATTTTTTAGATAGATAACCTCAGCTGAGCCAAACTCCCATGATTACATGAAAAGAGTGTCCATCAGGAGACCAAAAAATAGTCTAATTTAAAAAATATTACCCTTTTTCCTAAAACTTTTATTCTGCTTCTATATTAGGATGTGTTTGTGCACAGTTTTCTCAATTTGGAGCCAACTAGTATTTCCTGAGGGAAACAAAGAGGCATCCATTCATATACATTAAATATTAAGATTTCCCACTCTTAATACAAATGCATACAGCAATGTATACTACATGTAATCATCAACATGGGGATTTGCCACAAAGTTGCAATTTAAAGTTAGAGAAAACAATACACTTTTTTACCTTGGTATCCCTGGGAGGAAAGGAGAGTGACATGCACTATGCCAGTGCTTTGAAACATATGTATCTGCAAAAAGAGCTATCTGAAGCTGGAGTAGAGTTTTGTTAAAGATATTGAGCTAGTATGTAGGTATACACCAATTAATCATCTTAATAATAAAATGATAAAATGCATACCACTTAGTCATTTAGATTCCAAAAGAAACATTCATATTCAGAGTATAGTAAAGAATAGAAAAAAAAATCTGTTTTAAGATCATGAAGAGGAGGAGAGGAAGAATGACCTAGGATTACAATACACAAATTTTTTAAAGTGGTTTCCCTAAAAATAAACTATATATAGACATCTCCATAAGTTTGAGAAATATACACAAGTGCCATGTTTGTTATACTCTTAGTAAAACTATTTCCATGCATCACATGAAAAAAGACATTTGAAGTGCTTTTATTAAACAATAGGAAGACGCTGATAAAAATAAAGGCCACTGTGTGCGATCTCTTTGCACACCAGTGGTAGAGCACTGTTTTAATTCCAATTCATCATTATAATAGAACCACCACGAAAACCTAGTCACTTTCTGGAAAGCAGTTTGAGAGAATAAAGAGCTTCCAAACCCTATGCTTTCTTAACAGAAAATAATGCTACTCTAAGAAAATTATTTCCAAATTATCTGATATTCACCTGAAGCCTAGCAGCTGCCACTGGTTTTCTATGCCTGCTGGCTCTTTTGTAGTCAGGCATGTTTGTAGAAATAAATAATAGCATGTTATAATTTGTTAGTAAACGTGGTCATTTCTTCCCATAATATTTACTTTTCGAGTCCATGTAAACAGACTGAAAAATTTACTTGAAATTCAGTCACACATAGCTGAGAAATGAAAAAATACTGACTAGTGTGACTTGCAATAAATAACAAAATATGACATAATAAATTACACTAAAAAATTGTAAAGATTACAACTACAAATTCCCCAGAAATATGCAATTGCATTTGTCTACCAAGTTTCTTAATCTACCCATGAGCTGACAAGATGTACATAGAAATAACACATAATAGTGACCTTTACATAAGTGAATTATATTTCTGTTTAATATTTCCTTCATTCAAAAGCACCTAAGAAAACATAAAAGGTGCTTGGTACCTTTTATTTATCCATTTTTAAATGCATTTTGCAATATTGCAGTGCTTCTCAAAGTTTAAAAATTCCTACATTTTATACAACTTATGTACCTGGTCACTCAAATTGACAGGCATATGGCAAAGCAGATTTTTTTCAATGGGTGGAATGAAAATGAAGATAAAAATCTACCAGAAGAATTGATTCTTAATGGGAAAAAAAAAAACCTCTCTCCCCTTAGTGCTGTCAGTTGACTGATAAATCATAGATCAAAATCCTTCCTATAAAATATTGAAAGAAACCCTCTACAGGTCCAGACTTATGCTTTAATGATTTGTGCATACTAAAGACTATTTGAGTCTAAAATAAATTCAGAAAGTTATCCCAGGTCCAATTTTCTGCAAGCCAAAGGCCATCTGCTCAGTAGGTCTATAATCTTGATTGTGTGTGTGTGTGTGTGTGTGTGTGTGTGTGTGTGTGTGTGTGCAGACAGAAAGAGAAAGAGATGTGCTCACATCATATTGCCTATCAATTTCTCCAGGAAAGCAGGTATAGATATTATTTTGCACATATTTTTGTATTTTTCAATAAATATTAAAAATTAAGAGATTAAGTTAACAGATTTTAGAATGTAAACCAAAGATGGAAGCAACTGATTCTTATCAGGTAGTAATACTACTAATTACTAAGCATACAAAAACAATTCTACATACTGTCCATATAATATATGCAGAACTGAAAAATACTGCCAAGTAAGCTCTTTTATGTTTGTTATGTTTTCAAAAGCCATTCATTTGGTTGGATGTATGTATTTCTTTTTATCACTCATTTTTGTGTATTCATTGAAGGAATAACCAAATGGATTAAAAACCACAGGTAAACATCTTGGATATCTTGAAAACACAAATCAAATGCACTACATAATACTCAACTTGCTGCATGCTGATTTCATTATCTTTTCCTCTGAATTCTCCTATGCATACCATGGCACAATTCTTGTTTAAACCTCTTATTGTTAATTCCAGACTTTGCTTAAATCCCCTACCCTTTCCAAACTACTGATTACTTTCTCTAAACTGTTCATTGAAATTAGCAGAATGTGCTTAGGGAGAACAATGTTCACCGACACCGTGTTCATATCCTTGAATAAACCCCTTTCGGACTCTGAATCACAATTCTTCACTTCCTAGTTAGCTCATGGATCCCTTCAAATTAATGTTTAATAATATTTTTCAACCTTCTAATGCACTTCACCAAAAAGACTGGTCCAAATCACCTAATCTTTCATTCTGGATAGACAAACCAAGTCTCGCTCATTTTTACATACCTGAGAGCATTTCAAAGCACTGGGGTTTGTGCAGAGGGCTGAGTTCCACCTCCTACACTTCTTGCTGCTAGAAGAATGTGTCTCCATTTTCATGTGGGTTGTCAGATGCATTTTCCCAGTCACCAGGTCCAATTTCACACATACAAACCCCATCACAAATAGAGGTGGCATGAGCTCACACTAACTGGTTTTGATTTTTCTTTTTTGTTTCTGTTTCAAAATACAGTTTCTCACACTTTTTGGAAGTTCCACTAGGTACACATTCCATTGTAATCAGTGTTTCTATGTGTTTGTAGCGACTAGTGGATTTGCACGTCACCTCTGATGGTCATCATGCCTGAATTTTGGAATTTGATTTCTACACTATAAATTCTGCCTTTTATTGCTTCTAGTATACAAATATATTGTCACTGTGTTCTAAATTTCTTTGCAATCCTGCTATAGATCATCTATTTCATTTTACTTTTAGCTTTTCTCCTCATGTTCTGTTACCTTTTAATTGGATCCTGCTGAATTTTCTGCTCAACTTGATATTCTCAACAGGATTTGGGGAACTATTATTTTAAAGACTATATTTTCTAGCATATTATTAAGAATAACAAATGCCACTTTGGGAGGCCGAGGTGGGCAGATTACGAGGCCAGGAGATCAAGACCATCCTGGCTAACACGGTGAAACCCCATCTCTACTAAAAATACAAAAAATTAGCCGGGCATGGTGGCGGGCACCTGTAGTTCCAGCTACTGGGGAGGCTGAGGCAGGAGAATGGCGTGAACCCAGGGGGCAGAGCTTGCAGAGCGAGACTCCGACTCCAAAAAAGAAAAAAAAAGAAAAGAATAACAAATGCATTACAATTGTCTGCTGGACTGTTCAAGCGTGTAATTTCTATAAATAGAGTTTACTTGTGAGATTTCCTATGATACTGTTTTATCTTGTTCTGCCTTATACATACCAATGACGCATGTTGTTTGACTTTTTCTTTTGATGCTTTATTTGGCCAGCTAAGATTTATCGTAAATGTTTATTAACACAGAGTCTTTGACAGTACTCTCTACTTGCAGGCTGGCTCAAATCCATCTTTGTGTTCTGTAAATTTTTGACTAGTTGATATGCACAGCTCCTATTGGTTTCTCATCTTAAAGAAGTATGCCTGCGGCAAAGTTGGACCATCAGTGGAAATATGCTAACTCCTACCTGGAGCTGTGGAATCTCTTTATGGCCAAGTTGTCTTATATCTTACTTACTTAATATTTAAATTTAATATTAATTCCAGCATGAGTTGTGACTATGAGTAGCAGACTCTACTCCAAATTTGTTGTTTTACTTGGAATCAGTTCTGCACTACCCAGGATGCCATCAAGTCCCACAACTTCCTGCCACTTTCTTCTTCCTGACCACAATTCTCGTTTCCCTCTCAGGAGATTCCCATTTTCCATCCTGAGGGGGTGCAGAAAAGGTAGAGACTTTGGGGAAATGCTCTAGCAATCACAAAGAACACCCTGAGTGCTGGAAAACTAGGTGTCTTTATATTTCTTTCTGATATGGGTCATGAGTCTCTACATTATTAGGAACTATAGAAGTAGGTAGAGAGTTTAAATATCTCTTTTTGGGAAGTCTCTTTTGCAAGCAATAAAATTCAGGTGAGCTATTGAGTGAATAGTGTGCGTGTGTGAGAGTGTGTCTGCGTGTATAAATTAGGTTCATCCACATTGCAGAGTGTGGAGACCTCCAGACAAATCCAGCATTATGCAGTTTTCCAGTTAAACATACATAGATTCTAGCCTATAGCATGTCACAGGTTCTGTCATTTTATTGTAATTCAAATTACCCTTATTAGAGAAATACGTTTAATGGATACATTCATCAAAATGTCATATTTTATTTATTTCATGGTGATTTTTTTTATTTTTAACAGAGGAAATGAAAATGTATTTTATTATCAAATGATATGACAAAGTTTAACTGACAGCATCTTTTCTTTCTTTAGTATGAAAGAAAAAAGTGAATGTAAAACAGGTGGGTATGTTTTAGTTGATTGGAAAATGATTTTTTAAAATAAGATAAACCATCTATGGATAATAGAGAGAACCTAATGTTTGTATTTTATAATGTAATTTCTAAATAAATATCATTAACCGAACCTAATTACATAATTTTACATGAAGCCCAATTCTTACAGTAATAGTGTCATCACTTTCTACAACAATTTTCTATTCTTTATGATGGTTTTAAAAACTATTTTTCCCTACCCCATAAGGACAGTATTCTAGTTAGGTTTCAATCAATATAACTAAAAAAAATAGCTTTATTGAAATAGAATACTTTGGGGGACCCAGGAAACCTAAAACCAGCTCTTCTAAGAGAAGGCAAGAACAAAGACAATTCAAGACTACAGGCCTTCTCTCCTCCATTCATGTTTCCCTCTCATGTTACTCCTGTGATTCTGTGATTCCATTTCTCTGTCCCTTCCTGAAGTTCTGATGAGTGCCCCAAAGTTTCCATTACTCATGTCTCCATCAAGTATTTTCTGATATTACCCCACCCAAGTAGATTTCAGACATCCTGGCTTTCATATACACAAAAAATGTAAGTTTTATTTCAGGGCAGGAATCATGACTTGTTTTCTTTTCCAACTAGAGCGGTTCACCCAGTGCTAATGACACAGTACGAAATTAACATTTGTTGCAGAAGTGATGGAAGCTGAAGCACTTGGGGTTACAATACTTCAGTGAATGTTACACTGCTGGGATTCCAACTTACATGTGTCACACTTCAAAGCTTGTGTCACTTTGGTATAGATTATATCATTCTGCTACTTTTCTGGCAATGGACGAGTATTCTAATCTTTTCATTTAATAAAGGAATATGATACAAAACTCAACTTGCTCCATAAAGAAGTTAAACAAATTAACTGAGTTGTTACAAATGGTACTGTGGTTATGCATACAACAGTCAGAATAAAACCCGGGTCTGACCTGTAAAAAAATGTGTAAAAAAAGACCAGTGGGAATTTTTGTGTTTGAATTTACTGAATTCATTGAAAATAAATAATGGTATTATTATGACTTCAAATATGTGACTGATGAAAATTATCAGATTTAACCTTCTCAGAGTGGAATGTTCACCTGAGCCGTACTGCTTCGACAGAGTCAAAATGAAGTGTCAGCTAGCATATAGATAGTAATTGGCCTCAGCATTAGAGAAGCCTGGATTGAAAATTCACATAAAAATCTCTGTGATTTTTGGCAGTTTAATTAACTTATCATAACTTTAGTTTCCTAATTGCCAAGTAAGACTGACAATACTTATATTGTAAGTTGTGTGTATGTGTGTGTGTGCTTCCAAGGGAAGAGTTTACAGCTTTCATGAGATTCATCAATTATGGTTGTGAATGCTGAATACCTAAATCAAAGACCCACAGATTTTAGACATCTAGGAGTTAGACAAAACCATATGGTTTTCAGCTTTCCTGACTACTTTCCAGTTATCACACATTTACAAACATGCCCTGGAAAGAGATCAAGTGTTCCAGCCAAACACTGTGAGCACTGAAATGGGGCCACATCCTTTCTAAAATGAATAAAAATGTAACTGGTGGCTTTTTATCATCTATTGGATTGTGGAATGTTTAGAGTAGCATGTGGGTCAGTCAAACACCACTGAAATCATAACATAGGAAATCAAACAGAGAGCAGAGCTATATAATAACAGCTCTGATTTCTGGGAAAAATGTTTGTGTATGAATTTGCAGGCCCTCCAGATTGACTGCTGAAACTAATGATAAATATCCAAGAGATAAGTAATATAGATATTTGCATTTGGGTGTTTGGGATAAATAGAAATCTGAAATGAGGATATACACACACATATTCACACCTATGTACATACCTACATACGTATATTACATATATTACATGGCTACATACATATATGTGAGCATCTATACATGTTATATATGTCTATACATTACATATATAATGTATTATGTATATATGTATTATGCATATAATGTACATAATACATATATGTGTTCTAATGTATATATGTATGATGTACATGTATACATAATACATTATATGTGTATATATTATATATATGTCTAATATATTATACTTATATAAATATATAGTATTACATATGTAATATATTTACATATGTAGGTTTTTACATGGGTATAAATGTGTGTATTACATATATAATTTTAGAAAAATCATTTTTGTCATTTTTTAAATTAAAAATCAAAATTCTTGAAAACAAATATTCCAACAATGTGTATAATGTTTGCTGGTATGAGATCATTATATGTAACTTCTTTGGGAATTAATTGAAAGAATTATATGATATTATTGTGTTTAAAAAGTTCATATTACATGAACTAATTTCCCACATTTGCATCTTAAATTTGTCTCCCAAATCTAATATGGTTGTCTGTTGTAAAAACTATAACTAAGCCATAAGTAAAACAAAATTTTAAATTCCCATGTTATTATTAATGACACTCCAGTTTTGATTATTTACTTTAAAATATGATTGAAAAATAACAGTGAGAAGATATCACAAGATTTAACAATTATAAATGACTTTGAAAAAATAAAGTAATATGTTCACTATTTTTATGAGTATGTTTATATAGTTACATTTAAACATGTTTTATATGAAAACTTACACACGTGTTTATAAGCATGAATAATCTAAACAGTATAGTTTCATAATTTTGCACATAGTAATTTAGAACCAAAGTTTAAATGAAAAGCTAAAATAAAGTTTCATAAAAATGTATCTAAATGTATAGCATCCTATAAATAATAAATAAGTAGATAAAAGCAATTACTCAAATTATTTTACAAAATTTTGCAAATAGAACCTGCGTATAATTTTTTTTTGCATTATTTGTTAGTTGCAGGATACCATACAAGTCACTCACTTATTTCTAAGCCTTCTTTTTTTTCATATGTTATAAGAATGTTTAGGAGATTATCTCAACAAAATCCTACAACAAAATTTTGAGACTCATACTCTCAGCACTTCCAGATTTCATGCTAAGGCAATAAGGAACATAAAAAACTTAAGTCACTCTGTTGAAAAATTATAGAGCTACGTCTTGATATTAGACAACCTCATTTTAGAAACTTGTGTTGTCACCCACATTATTACAGTTACAAAGTATTCAAAACTAATGCACAAGTAGAAATAAACTGTAGTTAGAGATTGACCATCAGTTCTTAACCAATCAGGCCATGATTAAATCTTTATCCTGCAATGCCACCATTCACATTTATTTGAATAACCAGGTTGTTTCATTGTTAAATGTTTCTGGCTCTATGCTGTCACACTTGTTTTTGCTGTTGTCTTCATACTCTGTGTGTATGTGTTTAGTATCATCTTTGAATTTTATTCCAGAGTAAGTTCATTTCTTACAGTTATTCCTGATAATCCATGCCAACATAATGGTCATTTCTCAATGTCAGAGCTAATATATCAATTGCCATGAAGCCACAGCCTTCGTCCTCTATAGATGTTCAAAGTGCACTTGGAAGAGCACAGAAATCTATCAACGAGCCTACTCTAGGCATTTCTATTCATGGTTGCTCTAATAATATTTTGTAATTCATGAACTTCAGAAAGTATGGCTCTCTCTGAATACATCTATGATGACAACATGATTTGAATAAGGAAAGGGGATTCTAGATAGAATGAATGTTCAGGAAAAAAAAGGATAGAAAGTGGCCTGCACTGGATTTATGAGAGCAAACAGTAAACAAATTTGGATAAAATGGAGGTAAATTCATTCAGTGAATATTTATGTAAGACGTGAATACATGGGAGATTATAAGGAGCCTGTTTGGAAATTCTATACTAAGGAAATTAAATGAGTTATAAAAGCAATGCAGGCCGGGCGCAGTGGCTCACACCTGTAATCCCAGCACTTTGGGAGGCTGAGACAGGCGGATCAACTAAGGTCAGGAGTTTGAGACCAGCCTGGCCAACATGGTGAAACCCCATCTCTACTAAAGATACAAAAATTAATCAGGCGTGGTGGTGCATGCCTGTAATCCCCGCTACTCGGGAGGCTGAGGCAGGAAAGTTGCTTAAACCTGGGAGGCAGAGGTTGCAGAGTGTTGAGATCACGCCATTGCACTCCACCCTGGACGACAAGAGTGAAACTCTGTCTCAAAAAAAAACAAAAATAAAAATAAAAAAATAAAAGCAATGCGAATTGTTTCTTTGGTTCTATATAGGTTATAGGTTAGAGACATTTAACATAAAAATATAAATGAAGCGTTTTATATTGAATTGAAGTGAGATGCCTTTGTAAGTCTCACTTGTGTAGCACAATCATTAGAATTAAAATGTTATTTGCTATTATATTGTTTGTCAGTCCTCCATGGTCATTTTTTTTCTTGAAGATAGTGTTTAATGTAAAAATATTGGACTCATAACACACACATAATTTCCAAGAGATGCCTAGCATTCAGGAAGCATTCATTGTGTCACCTTATTTACTCTTTAAATGTTCTATCACCTCATGATAATCAAATAGTAGGCTAATCCAATTGTTAGAATGTTTGTTAACATGATTCTATTCAAGGATAATTTAAATTCACTTAAATGCTAACATTTAAAATCAACCAAATGTTCCACAAATATAGCCCCTTTATGAGTTGGACATTTTTGACATACTGGATGTTAACAATGGTATATATGTCAACTACATATATTATATGATATTTAATCCAGGAGTATTCTGGAGCCATGGTCTTATTTTTCAATTAGTTTTTAAATTTCTTCAGTGATTTTTATTTGGGTGTCACTTCTCTCTCTCTCACCCTTTTTTTTTTTTTTTTTTTTTTGAGACAGGGTCTCACTTTGTATCCCAGGCTGTAGTGCAGGGACATGATTACCAGTTCACTGCACCCTGGAACTCCGGGGCTCAAGCAATCCTCTCTTATCAGCCTCTTCAGAAGCTGAAATTACAGGCGCACACAATCATGCCCAGCTGACTTTTTTTCCGTTTTTTGTGGACGTGGAGTCGGTTTTAGCCAGGCTGGTATCAAACTCCTTCAGCCTTCCAAAGTGCTGAGATTACAGGCATGAGCCACTGTGCCTCGCAATTCTTTTTTTATTTTGAAAATTCTTGGAGAAGCTGGTTGATTGCCATGTAGATTCTCCATAGTCTTCATTTTCCTAAAATTATTGCCATAATATTATTTCACATACTATACATTTTCCTTCATGTACTGTAAGTTTGTAGTTAAATCTAGAAGCTTGGCCAGATTCACATTCAAATCATTAGGGCAAGCATAGCTGCTTCTGAGTACTTATATCTAAAGGCTTATAATGCCTTGTCTTTTCCTTTTCTCAGTATTAGTGGACATTGGTGATCATAAGTTTTTCATTAATGGGTGTGAAAAAGTGATATTCTTATTTTTTTTCATTTTTTATTTGTTATCTGGGATGCTACTGAAATGAAAATATGTCCTTTCATTTGCCAGTTTTCTAGATAATGAGTTGATTCCTAACACCTTCCAAACATGATTTTTTTTAGAATAATGTTAGCAAATTTCTGAATTCAACTCATTGTGGTAACTTTCCTTATTGATATTCACGTTTTCCCATCTATGGCCAGAGGGAGCTTTTTCAGTGTTCATTTCAATGACCTTTTGATCCTACCCTATTAATATTTAATACTCTCTTTTCTTTCTGGTATGATAAGATGTTCAGGTCAATTTTGTACATTTCCCATTCAAGAATTGTCATCAATTGAACATAGATAGAAATCATCAAAATTTATTCTATAATTTTATAGTTAGAAAAGCAAGGCCCAAAGAGATTAACTAACACCCAGTTGGAGATACCAATATTATGTTAATTATACTTGCAGTCTAGAATGTGAATGATGTTGAAGAAGAAGATACAGAGGAAGAAGATATTAAACTTAGATACTTCAATCTTGACATGATTGAGCAAAGGTCCTAGGAGAGAGATGAAGAGTGAATATATTGATACATATAAATAAATTAAATACTTAATTAAAAGTATGCTTGAAAATCATTCCAACTTTAATGCTGAAACAATAAACTTTACATTAAACTATCATTAAAAATTATAGCTTTAAAGACAGAAGAATGTTGTTCTTATGAAGTTTTACCACAATACACTTTTTAAAATCCTTACATTATTAGTATAAAAAAGATAAAATATTCAATCTCTGGCTACTATTCATATTATGATATAGTCAAAAAGAGAAAATTAGACTGTGTATTATCATATAAGGTAGAAAAGGAACTAGATAGATGAGGGCCAGACGTGGTTGTTCGTCCCTGTAATCCCAGCACTCTGTGAGGCGGGTGGATCACTGAGGTCAGGAGTTTGAGACCAGCTTGGCCAAAATGGTGAAACACTCTCTTTACTAAAAATACAAAAATTAGCTGGGTGTCATGGCAGGTGCCTGTAGTCCCAGCTACTTGGTAGGCTGAGGCATGAGAATTGCTTGAACCTAGGAGGCAGAGGTTGCAGTGGACCGAGATCATGCCACTGCACTCACTCCAGCCTGGATAACAGAGCTAGACTCCAACTAAAAAAAAAAAAAGAAAAGAAAAAAGAAAAAGAAAATAGATAGGTGAGAAAAATGTGGGCATTTAGTAAAGCAAAATTTTAAATAAATTGTTGTATTCATTACTTGATTCCAAAGGAAAAGAAAAAGACTCTCACAAACCTACAAACAGATTGATTGATATGTGTGGGAATTTATTTTATTGCATGAACCCTAACAATGTTCATATTTTAGACATTCATTTGTTCAAAGATGAATATAATATATTTTAACTATAGGAAATTTGGAGAATACATATCAGGAACTTAAATCACAGGATGTAGAGAAAACTGATGCTACCATTTTGATGTATCATCTATTTTAATAAATACTTTAAAACAAAGTGAGATATTACTAAAGATACAGCATTGTAACATATTATTTTTGTTTATTCATATAGTATTACATATATTTACCAAATATCCGTCTTTCATTAAACGTTTTCTAACAGTATTATTTCTAATATCCTCAAAGTATCTCATCATACAGAAATGATATATATTTGTTTGTTTCACTATTTGGGAACTTTCAAAATATTTCTTAATTTTCATTCTAATAAATGTTGAATATTTATATAGTTAAATATCTATACATGCTTTTTCAAATTATTTCCTTTTGATATATTTCTGGAAATAGAATCTCTAAGCTGAAAGGAGAGAGTTGAAAAGTTGAAAAGATATCGTGTTAAATTGGTTTTCAAAAATCTATAATAACCAGTCATAAGTGTATGTTTCCTAATAATACATCATGATGAGCTAGGGCAGTTTCTTTAAAAGATAGTATTTAGATGAGTGCTTTTCTAATAAGTAGCCAGAATAATAATCTCATTGTTGCAGTCAGTTCCCTTGGAAATCCACATCATGCCCTAAATTATTTACATATCTTAAGGTTCTTGTTGTTCTTGTTGCTAAAGCTATATTTGATGCAAATTATTTGCATTACAGACTCTATTTTCTAGAAAAAATTAATATATAGTATAAGAAACATCAAAACAATGGACTCTAAAAAAATCACATGAATTGATCATGTCTAATCTCATTTTGTGAGTAGTTTCAATAGATTAATGTTTGCATTTCCAGGCTCTTACTTTCACTGCACTTTATAAATATTCCTGAATTTAAATTGATAAGCTAAATGACAGTTTTTCCTTTTCTTAAACAATTACCTCTTAAAATCTTAAGTTGGCCTTTAAAGAGTTATTTCATTAAAAACATTTTTTTTTGGTATTTGCTGTTAAGTAAACAATAGAAGACATATTTGTAGTTATTCTACAGAAATAGTAGTTTATTTCACTGAGTTCACATTTTAATGTCACTCAGCATTGGATACTGGGTCAAAGTGGGGAAAAATGACTCTGAGGTTTTCCCTTCCTCCCCGCTGAGGTCTCAGTAGAAGAGCCCGAGTAAGGCCTCTGCCCAAGGCTTCAGTTGAGGATCACTAGGAATGAAGGTGCCAGGGCTCGGAGTGTAAATGTATGAAAGAAGATTGGCCAGGGGGCTGAGACCTTGACTGCAGCTCCCTTCAGAGACTTCAATGCACTGGCGGTGCACTCAGTCTGGTGCGGGGAGGGCAGCTTCCTCCATGAGGCCTTCCCAGGTAACGCCTTTGCAACTGCCTATGGTCAGGCCTAAAAATCACATATAGGTTTTTAACCAGTGGCGGACTCCTTACCATATGTAATTATGCCTAAATAAGCCTGAGAAAAAAATGGACCACATCTGATCAAATGACTCCATTAATGAACACATCTGATATGGTCATCAGTTACGTTATTTAAAAAATATTCTGACTTTATTTAATTGATTATCTTTTTTATACATTATAGTCCAACATATGATTTGGACTGAAAACTTTAGCCACTTTTTAATAATGTCTATTTATGAAGATCTTTTGAAGACAGATGGAATATTTTGTTTTTTAACACCCTGATAAAGCTACATGTTCATAGTACAGCAATCATCAATACAGAATAGTCACCAATAGGTTTCATTTAAGAAAGGAGTAGAGTAGTTTTAAATACACAGGCTTTTCAAATTACACAGATTTGAGATCAAATATAAAGGCTGAGATTAAAGTCTATAAGTCTCATTTTGATTATCAACAAACACATTTCATAAAATTGTTATGAAAAATAAATGAGCCAGAACATGACAAATAGCATATTCTTTAGCATCTACAGTATGGCCAAATAAATGACTAAAAAATACTTCAGTTTCAATGTGCACATTTTATACCTATCCATGGTCCTGAATCCACTTATTAGTTATGAGTACAGAATTGTGAATATCAGTCATGTCATAAAGGTGGTGGTAGGGAGAGGGAAATAATGCATGATACCCTTAAGGCTTAGATTCTCTGATAAAAACTGGAGGAATGACTCCCTCTTCAGTGCTTTTTGAACTTTTTTAATGCCACATAGTTCTCTAAAAAGTTTAAAATTATGACATAAAGACTGGTGACTTTTTTTATGTTCTAAGGGGTTTTGCTATGCATTCCTCTGTCAAGAAGAGATATAATTCATAGCATATTCAGTTTTTTTTAAGAAATCCTTCTCCAACATCATTACTATTCTTGATATATGATTTCCATACCTATTTGTTTACCTGTGAGATGTGGACATTGGTATTGAAGACACATCAAAATATCATAAAGGCAATATAGATGGTCTTCTTTAACTTTCACACTTATGATAGGTTATGGACTTACTACAATAGCCAAGCATGGCATTTAAATTGAATCCAATTTAACTCAAATATTTTATCTGTCTTTAGTTGTTATCAGAAACTAGTGATTTTAAATATATATAAATATGTTCTCTGGCTTTGACAAACTGAAAATTAGATCACAATTTAGGTACATATTTAATCCACCATAATTCAATGGAATAAGGAGTATAACCAATAGAATAGTAATGTGACTTGAAAACAAAGAAGAAGGAGCTGTTAATTATTTCTCTGTTGATTAGAGAATACTCTACTTATGAGGTCACAATTGGCTTTGGCCTTGACAAATAGATAAGCTTGTCCAGGAAAAGAAAACTGGAAAAAGTCATATAGAATGGAGGCAAGAACATGAGAAAAGACATAGAGTTTTCAAAACTGCAAAAACAAGCTGAACTAGGCCAAGTATATACATTTCTTCAATATAAATGTCCTTCAAAGTTTTAAAAATATATTCCAGGCTATGGAATTTCAAAAAATATCCATTTAACAGAGTTAGAAATAATAATGATTGAAAACTGGTATTTAATCATAAAGCCCACAGCACCTATAGATATTATAACTAAGAAAGTAATTATGATTATGAGATCATTTACCGTTGGTAGAGATCATACGGTCTATTTCTGCTATTTTTGTATGGGAACTGAGGTATCCCTGAATCTAAGGCCAAGGTCTGTCATACATGTTGGGACTTCTCCTTAGCTGTTCATATAGATACATAATAAAAGCAAAAACATTTATTTACAAAAAAATACACTGTTTATTTCCTGTTTGATAAAAGGTACTCAAGGTATTTTAATAAAAAATTTTAAAATGTTGTATCCAGTCAGGCACTGAGCATAAACATATTCCTTGAAAAATTTCCTACAACACAATTTACTCATATTTTTGTGTTACATTAATATACATGCTGCTTTGAGAAGTCATCCATGAAATCACAAAGAATTGTACGTTTTTTATGTAAATGTGATGCATGGCTGTTTTCCGAAGAAATGAACTCCCACAAATCTAAAATATAGTATGTATCCATGACAGCTAAATGAGAAATTTCAGTGAAATGCCAAACAACATTTAGTTTACTTTTTTTATACATTTTGTCCCAATTACTTGTGGATTTACTATTTCAACTTGAGTTTATTCTGTCACAAGCAAATTCGTATTGTTTACATTTTAAAGCAGTTGGCATCTGGGTTCTTTTTAATACTCAGAACTTCATAAATGTGCTGTGATAGTACCCATTGGTAGTACCATCCATGCTGGGCAATGATGGGACACTCAGCTAAATTATATACCACAGTGGAGCCATGCTGAAGTTGACAAGTGATTTAACACAATGAGCTGTTTCAACTGAGATAGACTGTGTTTTCTACCTTCAAGAGACAGTTATTTTGAAAGATACATTTCTTTTGTCGAGCTAAAAAGTACACTTTGTCTTAATTATACTTGACATTTCAAAGCTCATACCAAGAGTTTCTCCAGGGAAAGAAACAAACCACTTGTCTCCTCTAGAACAGGAGAGTAAAATGAATAAACAGTGAATGAATAAACATGTTTTCATTGAATCGTGCAAATTTTCTGGTGTTCGTTTGTTTGCCTTTTGTTTGTATCATGTATTTCTTAAAAAAGAGCTGGGTGGGCGTACCTTAATATTCTCAAGGACAAAGTATTGCTGGAAGAAATATTTTTGAAAATTAAGTGTAAAATTGTTAGTGTAAAAAGCAACACACTGTGTGTTTTTTCTTCCTTTATTTTGAAATTTCCATTTTTATTTTGGTTTCAGGGGATTAACGTACAAGATTTTTCCAAGGGTATATTGTGTGATGCTGAGTTTTGGGCTTCTGTCGATCCTATCACCCAGATAGTTAACATAGTACCCAATGGGAAGTATTTCAGCCCTTGTTCCCTTCCTTTCTCCCTATTTTTGGATTTCCCAGTATCTGTTGTTCTCATCTTTATGTCTGTGTGTACCCAAGATTTAGCTCCCACCTATAGGTGAGAATATGTGATATTTGGTTTTCTGCTTCTGCATTAATTTGCTTAGGATAATGGCCTTCAGCTGCATCCATGTTGCTGCAAAGGACATGACTTCATTCTTTTTTATGGCTGAATACTCTTCCATAGTTTATATGTACTACATTTTCTTTATCCAGTTAAACATTGATGGGAACTTAGGTTGATTCCATGTCTTTGCCATTAGGAATAGTATAGAAATGAATGCATGAGTGCATGTGTCTTTTTGGTAGAAAAATTTGTTTTTGTTTTTTTGTATATTTACCCAGTGATGGGATTGCTGAGTCAAATGGTAGTTCTGTGTTAAGTTCTATGAGTAATCTCTAAACTACTTTCCATAGTGAATGAAATAATTTACAGTCTCACCAACAGTGTCTAAGCATTCCCTTTTCTCTGCAGCCTCACCAGCATCTGTTGTTTTTTTGACTTTTTAGTAGTAGCCATTCAGGCTGGTATAAAATGGTATCTCATTGTGATTTTGATTTGCATTGCTCTGATGATTAGTGATATTGAGCAATTTTTTTATGTTTGTCGGTCGCTTGCATGTCTTCTTTTGAGAAGTGTCTGTTCATGTCCTTTGCCCACTTTTTAATATGGTTATTGTTTTTTTTCTTACTGAATTGTTTATGTTCCTTATAGATTCTGGACATTAGTCCTTTGGCAGATGCATAGTTTGCAAATATTTTCTTCCATTCTGTAGGTCGTCTCTTTATTCTGTTGACATATTATTTTGCTGTGCGAAGTTCTCCAGTTCAGTTAGGTCCCAATTGTCAATTTTGTTTTTGTCGCAATTGCTTTTGAGGACTTGGTCATAAATTATTTGCCAAGGCTGATGTACAGAAGGATATTTCCTAGGTTTTCCTCTAAGATTTTTAGGATATGAAATCTTACATTTAAGTCTTTAATCCATCTTGAGTTAAATTTTGTATCTGGTGAGAGATAGAAGTCCAGTTTCATTCGTCTGCTTATGATTAGCCAGTTTTCCCAGCACCATTTATTGAATAGAAAGTACTTCCTCCATTGCTTATTTTTGCTGACTTTATTGATGAATAGTTAGTTGTATATACACTGCTTTATTTCTGGGTTCTCCATTCTGTTCTATTTTTCTATGTGTCTATTGTTGCACTAATACCATGTTGTCGTGGTTGCTGTAGCTTTGTAATATAGTTTGAAGTCAGGTAATGTGATGCCACAGGCTTTAGTTCTTTTTGATTAGGATTTCTTTGGCTATTCAGACTCTTTTTTCATCCCATTTAAATTTTAGAAGAGTATTTTCTAATTGAAAAATGACGTTGGTAATTTGATAGAAATGTGTTCATTCACAGCAGTGCATTTTCTCCGAGGGTCTGAGGGGGTGAAATAAAATAAGTAGTAATAGCATCTGCCATTTTTATTCTTCAGGCTCTTGAAATCACTAGAGTTTAATGGACTTCAACTTTCTCCAATTTTAATTTGTATTCATTGCATATTGTCATTTTCTTCAGAAATATTTAATTTATATGGTTCTTATTCATCATGAAATGTTTCACGATACATGTTTTATCTCTGAAGACAGGAATATAAAAATTTATAATATAAAAGGAATATATGTGAATAATATAGTCTACCAAAATTGAAGTAATTTAACTTACAATTGAAAATAATTTAATAAAATATATTATGTATTTTTCTAAAGAAAAAAATAAATTCATATTTGTACTTCTACAAACTAGACAAGTAAAGTGAGCAAATTATATTAAACAGCAAAAGTATAATTAGATATCTGTAATTTGTTTTTTAAATTATATGACATAAATACAGCATCCCTTCCATACAGCAGTAATTTGAGTATATGAATATAAAATTACCTAAAATATTTTGAAATATGTAAGTGCAAACATTTTTTCTGAAGATATACTTTCAAAGAATCAAAAATATTCAAATAATTTCTCCTTTTTAACAATTAAAAACATATGGAAGTAAACTGTTTAAGAGTAACATTTTTGAGAAGTTTTAAAAAGGGAAGCTCCAGAAGGTATTGAATTGAGATGTTTGCTTAAATCAGTTTTCTAAAAAACTGAAGAACAAACTGTGGTTGTGTTATTTTGTATGAGTTAATTATTTTAAAATTTATTTTATATGCCCTCTCTATAATTCCACACATACCAAATTTTCTCAACAGCACTGTATATTCTTTTATAAAAATTCTGCCTGTGTCTATTTTTCTGGGTGTATTTTCCAGATTTCATTGATATTATTAGTATGCTACTCCAAAAGTGAAAACATTTTGCAAATGAAAATTTATAAATATGTTGACATATCAACAAAATCTAGGGGTTAATTTATTGATGACTTACTAATTATTAATGTTTGTTTTGGCACGAATTACTAATATTCATTAATTACTGATTAGTAATGAATTAATACTAACTGGTTGATTTATTACTAAGTGATTAAATTACTAATATTAATTATGAATATTACTAATTATAAATATTCATTAAATCAATGAATTACTAATATTCATTACATTACTAATAGTCATCAAATTAATGGTGGCATTTTGTAACTTTGTTTTACCTGGGATTATTCTTGTGCTGGGAAAAAACTACGACAGGTATTAGTCCTTGTCTTGTTGTGTGATCAGATATTTTTGATAATATCTACATTTTCATACAATAGGTTTTTTAATGAGCTCATATTAGGCAAAATATACAATCTTCATTATATTGTTATAAATATTAACATTTAAAATAAAATTGTTATATTTCTCTTTGAAATAGTCCCATTGGAATCTAAATGCCAAGGCAATTTGATAACTCATTGTTATCCATGAAGAAAAAATATACATGAATAAACTCTTCTTTACCAAACTAAAAATTTTGGCTATGTCACTTTTTCTTCTTACATTCATGTTTTAATTGCACATTTTCATAGATTATTACCCTAATATATAATATATTTTCAACTGGAAAGTCTTCTATTTATTATCATACCATAATGTTATTCTAAAAAATTATAGATGAATATTGACTTGTGTTTTTAGTTCTTCTGGACATGAGTCTGTAGGTGTTAAAATATTTCTTCAGAGCTGAATTGAATAACTTCAATTATTTTAGTATGGAATCAGTCAAAACATGTATACTACAAATTTTAAGAAAATGTCAAGCGTGAAATGAAATTTATATCTAAAATATGGGTCTTATACTATCTCTCTATATACATTTTAAAATCAAATAGTTCATGTATTTATGAATATTATCTGGTGCTAGAATTAAACTGGCATCATCATCAATTATATTTCTGTACTACATTCTTATGGAAGTAATGAGAAAACTCTGTACCTGAAAGTAAGTTGATGCAAACAGATGATGTTTTGTTATAGCAACATTAGCAAACTTTTCAATTGTTTCTGTTTTATGAGACAAAGTTCACATAATGTTGCCTACCAAAAATTAGAATTATTTTTAGGGATATAGTGTTTAACTAGATGATCAAACCTTTTTCCAATTTTTTAAAAGCAACTGATTTGCAAAAGTTTTGATAGGTAAGTCATATAATCATTCTCTTTTTAAACTTTTGAAAACCATACCCAAACTGGTTTTACCTAGACCTTCTAAATGACTATTAATGATACTTGCTGTTTTTTATTCTGAGATATTTGATAATTGAGATGCAACCAGATGAGATTAGATAGTGTATTTGCAAGTCATATGCATGAAAAGTGACTTGTAACCAGACTGTATAAATAATTCTCACAATGAAACCATAAGACAATAAACAATAGGATTAGGAAACGCCCAAAATACTTGAACAGACACTTAATGAGTATCTGTGAAAACAAAGAAGCATGTGCAAAAGATCTCACATAATTAACCATTAGGATATACTACGTAAAGTTATAATGACATACTACTATATACCCTTTAGAATGTCTAAACTGAAAAATGCTGACAATACAAAGTACTGGTGAAGATAACAGGTAACTGCGTCTTTCATGAATTGTTGTTGGGGATGTAAATGATACACCAACTCTGTCAAATAGTTTGTCAGTTTCATTTAAAAAAAAAACTAAACATATTCTTACCATATGAGTTAGCAATCAGAATGCTGCACATTTTTCCCAGAGAAATGAAACCATGTGCTCGCATAATAATCTATACACAAACGTTCATGGTAGTTTTTAACTTTAGAAGCCAAAAAATTAGAACAACTCAGATGCCCTTCTCTGCGTAAATGGATAAACAATCTGTGGTTCATCCATACCATGGAATTCTACTCAGGAAATAATAATAATGATAATAAAGGGAGAATACACTATTGATTCACTCAAATTGGATGCATTTTAATAACATGCTAACTGGAAAACAGTTAACCTCAAAAAGTTACATATTTATGATTCCATTTATATAACATTCTCAGAATGACAAAATTTGAGTGCTTAAGAACAAATCAGTGGATGCAAGGTTTAAGGTTAGGGCACGGTATGCCTGAAAGAGGTAGCGTGAATATGTTTCTTTGGAGAGAGAGAATACCATATCCTGATTGTGATGGTGATCACACATATTGATATGTGATAAAATTTTATAGAATTATACACCAAAAAAGAAGGTATACGAAAAATTAGTTTAATCTATATGAGGTCTGCACTTTAGTTTATAATATTATATGACTATCAATTTCCTCTTTTTGATATGGTATGATAGTTATTTAAAATGTTATCCTATGGGTTCTTTCTCCATTATGTTTTGAACTTCCTATGAATCTATTTAAATGTAAAAGTCAAAGTGTTTAAAATAGTAAAACTAAATTAAATTATTTAAATTTATGTAAATTATTTATATTATATGAATGATAACTTTAGCATCTAAAATCTTCACTGATATGGTTTTGCTGACAATTATTTCTGCTGTATCTTGCTCAGGGTTTAGTTTCCTTGTGTGTTTTGTAAATCTTAACTGTGTGTATAACAGATAAAAAACTATTATCATCATAATTTTGGAAGGCCTTTTCTGAAATAATTTTCTATCTTACCTGAAGGTTGGATACTACCAAGATAGTGCAGGTTAGAATGAAAACCCTTGTAAGGGCCAGTTTGTGACTACAAATTTTTAGAGATGTGCCAAACTTGGGACAGTCTGTTTGCCTTGATTTTTCTCAGGCTTATTCACTTTTAGTAAAAATAATGCCATTTGAGTGTCAGATTTATGGAGAGTATCTATCAAATTAATCACCACAGACAATTCCTAGGCCTTATTTCCTGTCCTTTATGCTAGAGGAGGCTATAAAAACTGAAGCTCTAATGTTCAGTCTTTGCTCTGAGAGTAACATCTGTGTCCAGTGTTTCACTAAATTTCTATAGCTGATTTTTTACTAGACTACAGTTTTCTTGATGCTTGTCAATGCAATTTTTTAAAAAAAAGATGCTTATTATGTGAGATATTTTAGTTGTGCTGTTTATAGAAAACAACTGAATTTCTATAATCTCACAGGATATCTTATTTGCCATTTTGCTAGATACAGACTTTTCTATTAAATTTTAAAAATACCTTTCAGTTTTGATGTTCATATTTTGTTTCTGAGGAAACATCATTGGTATGAAGCAATAGAAGCAATTTAAATCTGTAGGCAGGAAAAAAACAAAGCAAAAAATAAAATGCAGTTATATCAACCTAAAGTATAACTCAATACCTCTTATGTATTTTGATGATTTAAATAGTAAGTAGCTGTATTGTCTTATCCTTCATATTCTACAACTAAGTTCTTTTCTATAGTACTCAAGGAGCCACTCTCATGAGCAAAGCCTACTAAGTGTATTGTAAAAACTCTAAATACTATAAATAAATGTGAAATAAACAATGGGAAACAATATTGCTTTGTATGTACCTAATTTAAAAAAAAAAAACTTCATTGTATTCAAATAAGTACTATATGTAAATACCATTTAAAGTCAGGCTCCTACATTTGAATTACAACCTCTTGGGAATGTTCAAGCTCTCTTAACCTCAAATAATGAGAGGTATTATCATATTCAGTTGGTGTGAAATGAATAAAATGTAAAGTGCTGTCTCCGGTTTTGAAAAGCAGTTATTTAGCAGTGTGATAGATTTAAGCTTTTATTTTATAAATACAAATAAAAACTAGAGGTCAATTTAAGATCCTCTTTCTGTATTCAGTAACAATGCTATTACACTAACAGAAGGAGAAATGGTCCTTTAAGTGCTCACCATCTATTTCCACTAAGCTCTCTGCGTATTAATTTAACGTTTAATTTTAGTGTTTAAATTGCCTTTATATGTTCATTGATATTAGTATCTATATTAAGTCATGTGTTTTGGGAAGGAATAAATTGGCTAGAGTATATTTTGTGACAATTGTGTGGTTGGCAGGATGATCTTTAGGTGATTAATAATTGGTATTGATATGTATCCTAAATAATTACTAGCAGAAGTATGAAAAACATTAGTATGTCCTTTGGGAATTTGTGCTATACATGTAAAAGTGCATCTTTGGTATAAAATTTGCACTCTTACATATTCTTGAATGTAAATCAATTATTCCCAGTACCTTCAAATGGAATGTTTGAAAAGATTACCTGCAATTTTGTTTAATATAATGGTTTAGGTCTTTAAACTCCACAGTAGGAAAGCACTGATATCAAAGCGATTGCCACTGTCATTCAGCAAGGTATATTTTGTTTTTGCAGCAGTATAGAAAGAAACAGTGGGGAGATGTATCTCTCTTTATTACAGTCATTGAACTTTATCCAATCCTCAATACTAGAACCCTGTTACTTTTCAGTCTGTGAATATGAATGAATACAGTGTGCTTATTTTCTTGCTCTTTATTATTTACTATGTTAAAACTCACTAAACATTAGCAGTGAAAACTACGTTAATAACCCATGCGTGCATTATGGTAACCACAAACCCATTCCAGTACAATGAGATGAATGAGTTCAGTGAGAATGAGAAACAGACACAGCTTGGCAACAATTGAGAATATTACCATTGTCTTGCCTGCCATTTCCCATTGAGATGACTTAGGTTGAAGTTGAAGTCTGAGTTGTGTGCATTCCAAGACTGAAATATTTTGCTTTTCCAAGTAAATAGACTTTTACAGCCTCTGCTTCTATTACAAATCTTAGGACAATGAGATGCCTGAAAAGCAATTTGGGAAGGCAGTTTCCTTAAGGTTACCAAAAAATTGCATTGCTTAACTTGAGGAATTTTGTATTTTCATAGACTATATATGTGGGACATTCATAGATAAAAGTTTTTTTGTGACCCTAGCATCATATTAATATAATGCAGATAAAATCATGTTTCAAAGTCAATATGAGCATGTGTGTGAAGCCAGTGTGTGGGTCTGTGTGTCTTTGGATGTTTGACTTTTTCCTCAGCTAATTACCTGCTAAAAAGTTTGTGCTTTTACAGGTCCTTACAAAGTTGCCCAAATTCAAAGGGTACAGCGATAAGAGCTTGAACCTTAGAGACAGAGGTTTGCTCAAACATGTAGCTAAAAAACATCAGTAATTTATTTAAGCCTTCTTTGTTCCAATACACTAGAAAATGGGCTCAATAAGAACAAGTTCTCAGAGTATGAAATCAGTGTGAAAGTGCTCAAAGCTAATGCTTAGAATATAGTAGGGATTAAGTAAATATTAATTACCATATTTTCTCACATAAATGTCCAGAACAATTCTTCACCTCTTGGACTGACCCAGTTATTTCCCCTTTCCCACTTGTACTTTTCCACAATAGTTGCAGAATGTGCTGGAAACACCACATCCTGTGATAAGCTGGAACTGGCCAAAATAGGCCAGGCTCTGTTCCAGTCCTTCCTATAACAAGACGTCCTACAATGCTTTAGTCCAACATTTCACCTTACCCTGAGGTGTAAAATCCAAGGCAGGCTGCTTTCCGAGGTCCATCAGCTGCAGTGAAATAGGGCACACAGAGATGAGAATCCATCCATTCTCCATGGGCAGTTTGCCTGAGCCTTGGGTGACCAGCTTGCCATAAATCTTAAGCTTCTATTTTCCCTTGCTGCGTATCTGTGAGTAATAAAGTTGCTTAGCTTTCTGTAAGCATTGTGTAAATGTTCAAACTCATCATACTAGTATGAGCAGTAGAGATTGCAGCCCAAGATGCAATGGACTGAAGTGGTAACCAGAATACAGTGAACCTGCTTCCCAAAATGTTGTCAGAAATTTGGTGAAAAACTGAACAACCTCTTCCTGCTATGACTCAGAGTAGCAGTCTACAAAACTGTTACATTATGACATTAGTCTTTAAAATTGATTTTTTCTCTTTAAGAATTTTAGTACTGTTTGACAAACTGCAGTGCACTACTTGAGATCAGAAAAAATGTAGTAAATATTTTCTTATTGTTCACAATGTTTAATATAGGAATAGCTGAGTAATTTGTTATTCATGAATATGCATATATATCTTCCAGGTTACCTCAAAATAAAAATTGAATATAATTTTTACTAAATCATATAAGTGCATCTTTGGGAATTTATTTTAAATGAAATATTTATATAATCCCCTTGAATTCATTGGCTTAAGAGAACATATTTAATTAAGTAAGAGTGACATTTTCTCTGTTAAGATTAGAAAAGCGTATTTTAGAAAACAGGATTTTGTGTGGAAGATATATTTAAAATGAAGATTTCAAAGGAAGAAAACATTGTAAATTATAAATTAAAGATTTTTAGTTTGCAAAAAATAAGAAATATGTATAATGTGGAACCTTAGTCTGAGGAAAGGAACAGTAATTTAAAAAAAATTTAAATAATATTATATTCAGTTTTAAACTCAATTTTGGATTACATATTTTCCCCCAATTTATGCCAATGCAATGCATGAATTCATTAAAATTGACAATTTTAGAAGCTTGTTACTGGGCTTTCTTACTATTTCTCTGTACAGTCTCTCTATTCATAATGTATCCATGTCAATTGCTTTAAATATCATCTACATACTGGAAATTCCAAAAATTACTGATCAGTCCAGTGATGCTCCTTCCCTGTGTTGCAAATCCAACAGCCTACTCAGCATCTACACACCAAGGTCCTGTAAGTTCTTGAAAGTAACATTTCCAAACCAAACTACTGATTGTTATATTAGTTTTCTAAGGCTGCCATCACAAAATACTACAGATTGTGTAACAAAAATATATTTGTATATATATAACAAAAATATATTTTCCCCCAGTTCTGGAGACTGCAAGTCTATGTTCAAGGTGCTGGTGTGGTTGGTTTTCTCCGGGGCCTCTCTTCTTGGCCTGAGGATGGCTTCCCTCTGGCTGCCTCTTCATATGGTCATCTGTCTGTGTGCACACACCCATGGTGTCTCCACGTCTTATCTCCTCTTCTTTTAAGGAGTCCAGTCAGAGTGGATTGGGGCCCACCCTAAAGATCTCATATTAATTTAGTTACCTCTTTAAGGGCCATAGCTCTAAATACAGTCATATCCTAAGATACTTGTAATTAAGGTTTCAACATATCAATTTGGGCATAAATACAATTCAGTCCATAACAATTGTCTTCTTGATATTTTTTTTTTACTCTACCAATCTTCTTCTTCTCATAAATTGACATACCTTCAACTCAATTGCAAGCCAGAAACCTAAAATCATCTTGCATTCTCGCTGTTCCTCAACCCCAACATCTGATCCCTATGAAAAATTCGTATTGGTTTTATAACCAAGATATATCTCAAGTATCTTCATTTTTCTTCCTCTCTGTTGCTGTAACCCTTTTACGAGTTGCCCAAAACAATCAACTAGATTATAATAATGTTTTCTATTTAGTGCTCGATGTTTTCCCTCCACGATCCAATATTTTCGTCATGGAAAAAAAATGATCTATGCAGCAAAAATCATATTTTCCCCCTTGACTTCTTCTCCAGATCATACTGGCCTTCTCTCTTGAACTCAGAGCCTTTCAATTATTGTCCCCTTGCTGAAATACCTATTCCCTCATATTCCCTAGGTCTGTCTGGTTCTCTCTTTCTCTCTCTCTCTCTCTCTCTGTCTGTCTCTTGCTGGCCATTTTCCTTACCTTCCTAGGTATCCTTTTAAATGTCACCAGGCCTCCTTCCTCTTTTCGGTCACTCTAAAGGATGTACCATAATGATTCTCTAGCAAAGACTTTATGTATTTCCTTCACAGTACTGTCCATGCTTTACAAGTGTTTCATTTAGTTGCTAGTTTTCTTACCCATTATCTGTCTTTCCCACCCACCAGAGAGATACTTCCATGAAGGCAAATAAGTGGGTTTTTTTGTTTTGTTTTGTTTTGTTTTTTATTGCAAGTGGAATCTAAGACTTAATACAGTGCCTGGCACATACTGGGTTCTCAATCAAAACCCGATGAAAGTACTCATAAGTGAGAGCATTTGTGTTTTAAGAGCTGGTAATTCAATTTATATAAATACAATCGTCACCCCTTAATAACTGTTTTACGTGCATGTTCTCAAATACATTTTATAAAGAAGAAAATAAAGAAAGCTTTAAATAATTAGCCAAATTGGGTTTAAAATCCTGTAATATTTGAGACATGAGTCACTTCTTGCTTATGAGTATTCTTTCTAGATATATGTGATTATTAGAGAATATGTTTATAAGTGGTGTTTTTAAAACAAAAACAAATTTATATTTCTTTGTATTTTAGTTCATTAAGATCAGAATCAGAGGAAGAAGGCAGTAAAACTGTGTTTTTATAGACGAATAAAGTAAGTTAAAAAAACACCATACAGAAGTTGTCATTATTCTCCTGAGATTTAAAGTGGTGAAGCAATAGTGACTTCTCTCTAGAGCAAGCACAAATGACATAATAGTTTCAATCCAGAATTCTGAGTTATTCACGTACTAAAAGACATCTTAAGTTCTACAGTGAACTAAAGAAACAATCTTTTATTATTAACAGCTTTTTAGAAAATTATACCTTTGGATTACTTTAGAAAAATGTAAATTATCTAATTTTTAAAGCATTAAAATATTATGTAATATTATTTAATTATATATTTTATGTCAGTACTACTATTTGAACTGGCTTACAATATGAGGCCTTGGAATTTCCTACTATCCTTTATTACAGAATCACTCCAATGCCCACAGCCCCACAGACACTTGGAAAGAGCCACCAAATTGCAGTACTGAGGTCACTGGAGAAAGCAGCCAGCGTCAATGTTGCATGTCCAGCCAATTCACCCCAAGGTGAATTGCAGAAAATTTTACACACTCTAGTTTACTAATTTATGTATCAGTAAAGGGTAATGCAATTATTTAATATAGTTGTATAACATGCATTATTAACTCTGAGAGTTCCCCAAATACCCATGTCCATATTTTAAAACACGAGTTTGAAATATAAATCATCAGAAGTGGAAGTTGGTTGAGACTTTTATCTGTATAGATGCAGATGTGAATTACCTTGATATATACTCTTCTGTGTCTCCTTTTCTATTAGAAGTGGTTCATGTTTTGCAGCTGGGGAATTCTGTCAATCTGCTTTTCCCTGAGGAAAGTTAGCATGCATTGAAGATATATATTTTTTTCACTTTGAACTGCCTCTTTCTCTTCTTCCCCTTTTGTCTTCAGTCCACAGTGCTTAAAAACTTTGTGGCCTGCCTAAAAATTTATCAGGGTTCTGTCCATTAGACAGAAGCCAAGGCTGTGAATCTTTGTTGAGACTGGTACCTATTCCATTTGAACTAAATATTGCCAAGGCAGGTACCACATATTATGATTTTTGGAAGCCTGTCAGTGTGGCTGAGTTGGTATATGAGGCACACCATTAAATCTTTCTAAAATCTTAACGAAAAGCATGAAAATATTAGAACCACACTCAAGTTCATCTTTACACAGAGTCTACTTTCTTTCTTTTTCTTTTTTCTAATATTCTTGCCCTTTTTAAAAAATGGTTGTTTTTTTTATTATACTTAAGTTCTGGGATACATGTGCAGAACGTGCAGGTTTGTTACACAGGTATACATGTGCCATGGTGGTTTGCTGTACCTATCGATTCCTCAAGGATCTAGAACTAGAAATACCATTTGACCCAGCAATCCCATTACTGGCTGTATACCCAAAGGATTATAAATCATTCTACTATAAAGACAACTGCACATGTATATTTATTGCAGCACTATTCACAATAGCAAAGACTTGGAGCCACTTTCTACTTGTAGAGGTTCGTGCCATCTGGAGACACTGGAAGTGAAAAACAACATTATTTTTAACACTCAGTGAGTCCTACCTTATATATTCTCTAATTTTGTTTTGAAAAAATTAACTATACAAATCTAATGTCTTCCATTCATCTTTAACTATGTTTTAAAAACGTTTTAAAAAATGTCCATGCATGCACATTTTCAATATTCTTTCTGAAAGTTTTCTTAGAAAATCCATCATTTCATCAGGCAAATTTTATATTTTCTCTATTACTGCAGGTGACAGTGCTGCCAAAACTTCTACCACTATTTAACAAGCATCACCTTCTTTTAAGCCTTCGATGACAATATCTCATCTGTATTTCCACTCTTCACCAACAAGTTCTTAGAGTTCCTTCTTGCCTTCACCTACCACCTGGTCCAAAGGCATTGCCACGTATTTTAACTTTTGTTATATCAGCTTCCGACTTTCAGGTACAAAATCCTGTTCTTGTTCTTTCTAAATGTGTAACATGCTACCCTGAAACGTATTTGCTAAAATAATTAATTTTATTTTATCTCATGATTTTGCCCGTCAGGAATTTGTACATGTCTGGCCTGGTAATTCTTCTCTTCTGCTTGAGATCAGTGGAGCTCACATGGTGGCACTGAGCTCAATGAATGGCTGATCTGGAGGGTCCAGGATGCAATCATTCATTTGTCTTGTGCCTTAGAGGGAAAGGCTGAAACTGTTCAAGATAGCTTCTGCAATAGTCAGACTTCTTAAATGTCAACTACAGACAGTCAATGATGATGCTCTAAGACATCAAAGGGAAAGTTGCAGCTTTTAATGACCTTGCCTCAGAAGTCCTCCAAAATCACTTCCACTGCATTCTATAAGTCAAGCAAGTCACTAAAACCAGCCCAGATTCAAGTGGCAACGAATTAGACTTCACTTCTCAGTGGGAATAGTAGCAAAGCATTTGTGTCATTGTTCATCTGCTACATAAGCCATTCTAGCTAACACTAGATTCTATAGACCATGCTCTATAATGTGCAATATTTCAAAATCTTCGATTTCACTTTATCGTTGATATAATAGATCCTCAAAGTGGCTATTTTTCAATTCATAAAATGCATCTTGTTTATTTAATATAGTTTATTTCTAGAATTCTATGACCTTATGACTTAGGTTAGAAATTATACTATCAAGAACTATACAAAGGTAAAACAATCTCTTATCACTAGCAAGAAAACCAGCAATTAAATAAAACACTTAATAAACCATGAAGGTTCTGTTAAGGAAAGAAACGAGGTATTTGATAGAGAATGACTAGGGGATGTCCTTTTAATTGACCAAAAAGGGGAATCCTGGTGACATTGGAAAGGAGATGTAGACATTGTACTTTCTTTTCTTACATAAGGCTATAGCCACCATTGATAGAGGTGGTAATTTTTATTATTAATATAATAACGTACATCCCATGAGCAATCAATACATGCTGTTTTGACAATGTCATTTACAGTGACAATCGATATAGTGCAGATATAAGATTAAAGGATTTTTCTTTGTTTGTAAGGAATGGAAATACCAATGGCAAAGATGAATCTCAGCAGCAGATCCAGTTGAAAACTCAGAATATTAAAATGTTTTAAGAAGCTGTCACCAGGAAAAAAGATGATCTTATTGTTTTCTTCAAATATTGGCATTATTTATGAATAATATTGTAAATATTTGTGCTTCTTTTAAAATGCTAACTCTTCATTCTTCTATGTTGTATGAAAAATAGTTGCCTTAAAATCAAATTTTATTATTTATTATTTGAATTACATAAAATAAAATTTCATTTTAAATTCTATCAATTGTGGGGAATAACTTTTAAAGAATTATCAAATTGCTTTATTTGTTTTAATCTTCAGTTATTAAAATTATTCATCACAGCTTTCAAATAAATTTATATTGTTGGATATCTGACCATATCAAGTTAATATTTTCTAACTTTCTCCCATACACCCACTCAGGAAAAAAAACTATATATTATTTTATGAAAGAACATAGACATAATGAATTCACTGTCTTGATTTTTGTTGTTATTTTTTGATATGTGAGGTAAAACTGTAATTTTTAAAAGTAGCAATAGGTAAGAAATTTTGATTTTATTTGTGGAATTATTCTCGCTGTTATGTCTGTGAGGATTTCAGCTCTGTGTTTGCAAAAGAAAGAAATTCTCTCCTTTCAAAGTCTTATATTCCTAAGTAATCCAGGCACGGTCCAGTGATAACAAGACCATGAAGACTTGCCAGGGGTAGTGCTTTGCTATTGATCACGTCCTCTCTAGTTTTCCATTTCAGGTAATAGCCTAGGCAAACAATCAAGCTCAGAGAACAGGTCACTGCTATTTCTTTCAGATTTGCTTCTTTTCTACGCAATTAGAGTTATACTCAGGATATTTGAAAAATTATTTTAAACTGTCTATTGTCAAATGACTGTGACAAATTTGTGATAAGTATCAGAGTGACAGCCTTCCTTTAGAGATTCCCATGAGTCTGCTTTTTGTTCAATTTCAATGCTGTTGTCTACATACCCAGAAGCTCTTCTAAGGGAACTTTCTAACTAGGTCACCTACTGAAGGGATCATTGTTAGATGATTAACTTTTGTACCAGGCGTGAGCCATCATGTTACCAAGGGTAACCTGTTATCAGATGAGTTGACAGATGTCTAATTCTCTAACACAACAACAAAAAAATTGGGACAATCAGATTGTTCTTTTTTCTAAACCTGAATTGAAATTCTAGGAGAGGTTTAATGGATTTCATGAATCTCAGACAATGCCATGTCAAGGGGAAAGAAGATAAGTGAGCCGCTATAGCATTTTGAGGGGAAAAGCCAGTGTCTCAGTGATTACGCAGCCGATCAAATAGTTACATATTTATAAGGCTATTAAAAAGTTATATTTTCAAAAATAAAATGCTTAAAAAATAAGCCACCCATATATGATTTTAAATGAATCTGAAAACGGTCATTAGAAAACTAAGAAGTTAGGACTCTAAGAATAGGAAAAACTGTGATATAATATAAATATCTGTGAGCAATGAATTAGTTAATAGTGTTTCACAATGTTTTCATGATTGAAATAATAGAATGTAAATATTGAAATATCAATTATTAATCTATATAACAACGTCATTTTCTCATTTTTATCTATAACTAATATACTTACAATTTCTTAGTTTTCTCTCTGAAGCTTTATTGTTAATATAATCAAGAACGTAATTTAATTCTGCTATGTTCTTTATCTTTATTTTATAAGAGTTCTTAAGGTGATAAAATACTAACTTAAAAAATAAATGAAAAAACCTTTATGTATTAAAATGAAGTAAAGTTCTGTATGTGTTCAATAAAAAGCACAAGGTATAAAATAGTCATTTATGTAAAAAAAGAAAGGTAAACTATACATAAATGTTTACCTATCTCTGAATGGACAAACAATATATCAATTTTTAGGGGAAATGTGATACCTACTGATACAGACAGGTTGTTTTAGTTTGGATCCCTTAAGCAGCAGATGCCTACATTAGATAAGATGCAAGAGATTCTTTAGGGGAAATATCTATAAAAGATAAAATGGAGAGAGCTGAAAGTGAGGAGAGACTTCAGACTGCATGAAGGTCTGACCCCTTTGAAGGAGAGATGGGAGGAAGGGTGATCAAGCAGGAAGAGTCTGACTGCAGCTCAGTTCTGTAAAAGTCTTTGTCAACCTGATGGGGAATTCTTGAGCTAACATTCCTCTTTAGAGGAGTCTCACTTCTCACAGTAAGATCCTGAACTAGTAGCCCTATCATACTCAGTCACTGGCTGGCAACAACCCATAGAAAGCACAGCTGCAGCAGAAATGTGGTTGGGGATTTGAACGAGCAGCAACTAGGACCATGAGATCCCCTCAGCAGGATATGTAAGTAGCACAGTTTTATATAGCTACCACACAGGTGTGAGAGATGAGTTAATTCTAGGTATTACCAAAACAAAAGTAAATTAAAAAGGCAGATATTTATTAATATGGACAAATACATTTGAAAACAAATAACAAAAGTATACTTTTAAAAGTTTTTTTGTTTAAAATCATCCTTTGGTGTCCAAGGGAGAGAATACAGTCATGGATTCTTAGTTTCTCTTTCTGGTTGGGCCAGTAAAGCCCTCATTCCTCTTTTCCGCTTATCACAGGAGACAGAAACTAAAAACCATGGCTTCAGGCTGCTGAAAGTCTAAAACAAAACAAAACTGAAAACAACAATAACAACAAAATAAGGTGGGTTGTAAAAGCTTACAACAGTAAGAATACTTTTTAAATCTATAAAATTTAAAAGAAAAGAGAACGATCTGTATCAACAGAAAGTCACATTAGCACATGTCAGCACATAAACCATGAAGGATGAAACAATTTGATTAAAAACTAAACACATTTTTTGTTTTTAAAAATTATGTTGCAATATACAGAACATTAAATGTACCATTTGGACCATTTTCTGTGCACAATTCAGTGGCATTAATTACATTCACATTGTTGTGTAAGCATCACCGCCATCCATCTCCAGAACTTTTTTGTCATTCCACACTAAAACTCTGGACACTTTCAATTCTAATTCTCCATTACCCTGCCTTCTGGGATTCTGTAACCTCTGTTCTGTTTTCTGTCTGTATGAATTGATTATTTTGTGTACCTCATATAGTAAAATTATAGAATATTCATCTAAGTAATAGGCTTATAATCTTATTGAGGATTCCTTGTACAAGATGACTCATTTTTATCTTGCTTCTTTAAAAATTCTATATTTTCTTTTAACTTTCAACAGTTTGATTAGAGTGTGTCTCTGTGTGAGTTTCTTTGGGTTTTTTACACTGGAAATATATTGAGTTTTTGGGGTTTGCATTTCTTGTTTTTCCTCAAATTTGAAAATTTCTTTCTGTTACTTCTTAAAATAAGCACTGTATTTCTCTCTGTATTCTCCTTCTGAGACTCGGTGATGTATATTTTTGTCTGTTGAATACTGTCCCATAGGTCTCTTAGGGTTTTCACTTTTTTCTCTTTTCTCCACAGACTTGATAATTTCAAAGATCCTATTTTCAGGTTTGCTGATTATTTCTTCTGCCTGCTCAAATCTGCTGCTGACACCCTTCACTGAATTTTTCAATTCAGATATTGTATTTTTTAGTTCCAGAATTTCTGTTTGGTTAATTCTTATCATTTCTATCTTTTTGTTGATAATCTCATTTTGTTAATATTTTTTCCTGATTTCTTATAGTTCTAAGTCCATATTTCTTGTTAAGCTCTTTGAGCATATTGAAGAGAGTTGTTTTAATGCCTTTGTCTAGTAGGTAATACATGCAGTTTTAGAGATGATTTCTGTCACTTTATTTTCTTTCTTTGAATCGGCCATGTTGTTCTGTTTCTTTACATGCCTTGTGATTTTGGTGGGGAAGAGGGGTTGAAGAAACAGTCAACATTCCCAGTCTTGCAGACCAGCTCTGTGCTGGAGCAGTTCTTTTCTAATAGGCCAGATATGTTCTGTACCTTGGAATTAACCCAGCATGAAGGCTTAAGTTCTTCTCCAGTTTTTTTCTGAGCATGCATCTTGCCTAGGTCTGAGTGTGACTTTTTAAAATGCCTCCTTATACATGGCGATTTTCAGTGTTGTAACTTCCAAAGGAATCTTAGCCCAGCTTCTCCGTGGAGTCTTAGGAGGTCTGTTGTATGTCTCTGCCTGTAAAGTCTTGCTCCAAGTATCTGTGGGAATTAGTCTCCCTACTGCTTTTCCAAACCTTGGATCCCAACCTGAGATCCAAGTTAGTGAATATAGAGACCAGTCCTTCAGGGAGCCCCCAGACAGGTGAGAACATTGCAGGACATACCTGTTTTGCTCTCTTTGGCTCAAGGGAGGGAACTAGCAACTGGAATGCCACCTCCTCCAGCTCAAAACCATGTTGTGCAGAAATGGGTGGGGCAAGGGCCAGTAAAACACCATGAAATTTGATACTATTTTGAATTTGGCATTTTTTTTGAATAAGCATTCCTTTGGTTGGTGAAGTTTTTTGTTTTGTTTTGTTTTCCCAGAATTCTTACAAGAATTATTTTAGCCAGTTTCTGTTTGTTAATTTGATGTCACTATGAGGGAATGAGGACTTGGCCCCTCTTAGTCCAATGTGTTGCTGAAAAAAAAATGTATTTTTAAGTATTAAGTTAAATGATCTAAGCAAATCCATTAAGAATCAAAATTTCTTAGATGGAGATAAAATTAACTACCTAAAAACTGTAAAATAAATCATGAAAGCAGAAAACATGCTACTTATTATCTTCTTATCTTAAGGCAGTTTACTTAATTCTTTGTCTCACTTGAGTTATTCACGTATTGAGGTTAATAACCTCTCAGAGGGTTGCTTTGAGTATTAAATTATTTCATATATGGAAAGTATTTGAAAGAGTACATCGTACATAGTTCTCAAAGTGTAGATATTTTTATCTTTACTATTGTTTCATAACATCATTATATATGAAACAAATATTTAAAATAACAGATTGATATAAATTGTTTTTATTAGAATGACCAATAATTCATAGTCCAAGTTGTTATTTTGAATTTGAAGGTAACATTATTAAGAATCATAACTGAGAAAACCGTAATAAACCAGGACTCCTCTGGGTACATCTGCACATAATTATTATGAGTAATTTAACATTTTTCTGACAGAAAAATTAATATAATAATAAAACCAAACATGCACTTATAAATATGAAATAATATATATTGAATGCTTTATTTTATGCATATATTTGATAAATAATACTCTTTTACATAAAATAATAGCCACTTTAACAGGAATTATAAAAATAAATGAACTGAACTACATCTAAAGTGGTTAATTAACAATATTAAACAAAAAAAGCAAGGTAAAAGAAATTTATTAAAATGACATTAGAAATTAAAAAGAAAACAGTAAGCATTAGAAATAATACATATAAAGGAAAATAATGTTTAAATATAAAGAAAATTTTAATTCATTAAAATGTAAAAGTTCAAACATGGATTATAAATGAAGAAACAGTTAATTATAGATATGGTATAACTTTTTGAGTTAAGGAAGCAATATTACTATAAATTACAATATTTCAGAATCTCAGAAATTTTGCAAATATAAAATGCTCAATTATATACTTGAATTAGGCGAGATAGTTTTACCTGAGATTTATTTCACATGTTATATTCACTAATCCAGAATACAATAAAGCAGGGACGTCAACCCCCGAGTTAGGAATCAGGCTGCACAGCAGAAGGTCAGCTGGCGGGTGAGGGAGCATTACCACCTAAGCTCCACCTCCTGTCAGATCAGTGATGGACTTAGATTCTTATAGGAGCGTGAACCCTATTTTGAACTCCAGAAGTGAGGGATATTGGTTGTGCACTCCTTATGAGAATCTGAGGTGGAACAGTTTCATCCCAAAATTATTCCTCCGACCCCTCTACCCCTGACTATAGAAAAATTGTCTTCCACGAAACTGGTCCCTGGTGCCAAAAAAGGTTGGGACCTCTTCAATAAATGACAAAATTTCATCAGGTAAGTAATTTTGAAATTTGCAAGGTACACACACATACATACACATTTCTACTTCTACCCACATACAGACATACACACTAGCAAAATCTCACTTACAAATATGAATGTATTTGGCACCGATTAGTCACATTAAGTATAGGCACATCTTTGATTCATTGATTCTGTGTTTATATCCCAGGAAAATACTTGCAGACATAGAAGGAATAGGTGCCAGCCTAGATGTTTATCATAGAGAGAGTAGGGTTAAAAACAGAATGTCAAATAGCAAGAAGAAAACACTAGTTTAGATGTTACTACGTAGATTTTGAGGTCCATAGCACATTGTGCATAGCGAATGGAGTAGAAAAAAGATACATTTATTCAACATGATATAGTTTGCAAAAATGTAACATGTAGGTACACAAAACAGAAATACAGAAATTATAAAATTCACATGAAAATACATGCAATGCATATTTAAATGGTTGCCTAAGAAGAGAATGTTGAAGGGCTTAGGGTATAGATAAAGATGAGATTAGACAGACAGACAGATGATAGATAGATAGATAGATAGATAGATAGATAGATAGATAGATAGATGATAGATAGATATAACTAGGAGCAAGATACACACAAATACATACAGATAAATGTATATATGCACACACATATATGTATAATGCATGACTTGACTATATTTTATCCATTTTTATATTTTTTATATTTTATTTAAAGATTCACTTTTCTTAACCCTGTCTTTATGCTTTAAATTTCAGTTATTTCATAATTATTTTAATTGTACTATAAACTAACTTCAAATAGACAATTCTCTAAAGTACAAAAGAAAATAAAATAGACTAAATTATCTACTTCATACATCTTACATTTTAATGATGTGTGTGTATATTCGTGTATGTGAAATAATGCATGTAAATATTTAGAACAACTTCCTGGTCCATACCGAGGGAATAATCAATTTTGTTAACTTAGCAATTGTTATGATCAGATTTGAATATTCTAGTAACAATAACTGATAGAATTAGAAATGAAAAGAGATTTACAAATCAAAGTACCCTAAAGAGAGTTAAATATAATTTATAAACCTATAAAATAGTTCCCAATTACATGTAAGAGTAAGGGATAACATCAGGTCTGATCTGACCCAGTTTTGCATAAAAGATATAGAGTTCTGTTTCCTTTGAAACTTCTGTATTAAAATAAATGAGGGTTGATGTGTGTCTCTTGTTTCCTGTTAGCGAACACCTGGCCTGTGGTAGCTGTGAGCTGTCATACAAGCCATTGACATACGTGAATAGGGTGGTATAAAAGACTGGCAGGAAGCCAAGGCTAGGGACACAAATGCCTTCTTGCTCTTGAGCCATCTCTGTCCACTGTGTGTGAGGAGACACAGGAAGATGCACCCTTGGGCAGCTGCTGGGCCTTCTGATGACATGACAGTGCTCTCTGTCCATAAAGCTAATTAGACACAGTATCAGATTGAAGCCTATTGTACACTGCAAGCCTGTTTGTCAATTCAAATTCATGACCACTTTGTGCTGGTTCAAAGTATAATCCACACTATTCAATATGAATTCCTTCAAATGCCTTAATTGAAAAATAAAAGCAGCATAATGAAGGACTAAAATATTTACAAAAGAAAAATTACGAATGAACAAGTAACACTTAGGAAATATTCAAGTAGCATTAAAGAGGAAATCAAATTATCACAAGAAAATTAGGTAATTTTGCTTGTCAAAATTGTGTAATTGTGTCATGTTATGTTCCAGACATTATATAAAAATATTCAGATTATATCTGCAACTCTCTCTTTTTCTCTTTCTTTTTTCTCTGTAGTTATGTACAGAGATATATAAATAAAATAAATGCAATAAAATTTTGATAGTAGTTAATATTCATTAAAATCTTATATGAATCTTATTCTTTATTCTTTACATTTCAATAGTTCCCAATAATTCAAAAAAAATGTTATTAAAGCATATGGTTTTTATAGAAAATGACAACATTCGGCATTGTTTACATAAGAATTCATAAGAATTAACCCTATCTCTTCTAGCAAGGTTGGTCTGTTAATTCTATGGAGCTATATAGTTCTGAAAAAATATCTGTGGATGAAACTACCACTATTATTAGCAAAAACTACAATATTTTACTTCAAAACTATAAGAAGGACTTCTGCACTTGACAAAGAAGAGAAAGTAAATGCTGAAAAAATTTCTACACTCAAATTCTAAATTCTCCATATACCTTCTTATACATTGTAATTTGTCAATACACTTCTTAGTGAAAGTTCTATTCAGTGACCTTTGATATTGCAGCCACATTAACAACTTTCACTTTACATCTCAGTAAAAACTATATGCAGGATATTTTGTCATTTTCATTTTAATGACAATAAAAGTTTTTATTTCCTACCAGTCAGTGTGAATGCCTAACAGTATAATTTATCCATGTGTTGACAGTTGTTCATTGCCAGATACAAAAGCAATTGATAAGCCAACTTTACTTTAGTAAATACCAAGTAAATATTGAGAAAGTTAAATGATACTCTGAGGAATATAATCAACTATAATACTGATTTGCTGTTTTTAATTCCTTTAAATACAGCTTGGAGGAGAAGAGTAAAACAGATGCATTGAATGAAGATCTCACAGTGACATGAAAAAGAGGCAAAGCTTTGTGTGCTGGAAAACTTAGAGGATTCTCCTTCATTGTGGAAGGTTTGGACTGGGCCTTAAAGATTGAGGACCTATTGGGAACCATTAGACTTTGGCCAATCACGAGACTATATGAACTGCATATAGTAAAAATATATTGATAGTAATATAGTTTGGTTTTTATTTAATAAACTAAGAAGAAAAGATGAGTTTGGGGTCAAAGAGCAGAAGGGAGAAAGGAAGGGCAAAGGGAAGGGGAAAGAATAGAGACATAAGAGAAAAATCAGTAAGCAGACTTGAGAAAGGTAAGACTGGAATCTTTGTACAATAGGTCTGTTTTTCTAGTGACTTTTTAATTGTAATAATTTCCATTTTTCTGATTTCAAAATAAGGTACATATGATTAAAAATGTAAATTATGTTTAAAGTAAAATTAAGATATGAATAATAAATTAATACTAATAATGACTGCCTACATCATA
Organism: Homo sapiens; assembly: GCF_000001405.40. Taxonomy (NCBI): domain Eukaryota; kingdom Metazoa; phylum Chordata; class Mammalia; order Primates; family Hominidae; genus Homo; species Homo sapiens. Next base: position 178,314,604 of record NC_000004.12, on the reverse strand, counting down.
CATTTGGACACAAAGTATAGTCCAGGAGCACCTGGGATTCCCAAAGAAACTTTCAGGCAGTCAGGTAGAAACCGCTTTCATAATAATACTGAAACTATATTTGACTCTTTCACTCTCATTCTTTCCTGTGCATTCTATTGCAGAGGCTAAATGTACGCCATTGTTCTGACAGATCACTGAAAGTGTGTCTGTGTATTCTTGTGTTTCAAAAGGTTCTGCTTAAATTTATAATATAATAAATATAAGTAGTTAGGTTTGACATAAATAAAAGCTTTTGACATTCTCAATAATTTTTAAGAGCCTACGACACAAAGTTTGATAACCAGTGACTAAGAATTTCTTATATTCAGATCCAATTCTTTCTAGTCTTCTAGTGTGTGTACGGGTGTCATTCAAAAATAGTGACTTTAAAAATATATGTCATTTAAAATATATATATACTTATAGAATAAGTGTAAATATATGGGTGTATATATATTTGTGGTATTTTAAACCTATTTAATTTAAATTTGTATTATAGGTAATCATCTTTAAACTTTATATATGTGTACTTTTTACTAATTATTTAATAGATAAATGGATGTAGCATCTGTTAATAATCTTATTTGGATATACTGTACAGATATTTGTTGTTGTTGTAAAAAAGATATATTGGACATCTACTTGTGTTACTTATGTAAAAATATGTATTCATAGAAATTCTTCTATACATTTGTACATATTTAGAATATTTGCATTATTTGTACTAATGCAATATTTTTCTTTATAGACAGATGTGTACTCCTTATATAATCTGTTTAAGTTCTTTGCCTATTTTGAAGAATTTAACAATTATTTTTCACATATAGGCACTCTTTGTATATTACAGGTAAAACATCACTGTATATTACATTTTCCACAAAGATATTCTCATTTTTATTTGTTTTTTATACATTTTGTTTTAATATTTAACCATATTTTTATGGCAAGACATTTTATCATTTCCGTACTGCCACAGTAATGTTCCTTAACAGTAATAATGTTGGATTCATCAACCACAAATCCCAATTTTATGCTACTAGGAGCATTCATTTCACAGTTGTACATCTATGGGCAAGTTGGGGTTCAAACAAGGACTAGACTAAGTAGAGTTTGGATCCAACTGAAAAAAAGGATAAAGGTCTTCTTCATGAGTCCTGATCCTCCTAGAACTAGTGACTAGGCACCTTCTTTACCAACCAAAAGGGAGGACCACACGGAGAAAAGCATCCCCACACAAGCACTTTTCCAGCCTTTTGTTCTGGCTTGCCTTTTCCCAACTGATGTTTAAATGGACTCAAATAATACATCAGCTTTGGTTCTGGCTTCTTTCGTTTAGCAAAGTATATTTAAGATTTATCTTTGTCATGGTATGAATTAATGGCTTATTCCTTTTATTTCTGAGTAGTACACCATTGTATTGATATTTCTTTATCCATTCACCTATTGAAGGTCATCCTCATTTACATAATAAGTTTAATTATTAACAGTTTATGAAGTATCATTAATATATTTCCATGTTAGTAGATGTTATTCTATAACATTTTTAAAGGCTGCGAAGTACCCGATTGAAACCCATTTTCTGAATATACTATAATTTATTTAAATAATTATTTTAGTTGCTGATAATACATTACAGGGAAAAAAAAACAACTATGAAACAAAACCTTGGCTATCTCTATGACTCTATGCTTACTCAAATATTCTAGAAGTAAACTTGTAGAGTTGAAAATATGTGAATTTTAGAGCATTTGGACTCAAAATTGTATGTATTATTTCTTTTCTGCAAATCAGTAATTTCACACTTAGTTTTTGAGAAAAACATATTAGGTTTAAGGCAATGACAGAGAAACATAAGATAGAGCAGGAAGAAGAAATCGTGCTTCTGAAATTTTACATGGGACCAAACTGTGTGACTAGAATTAATGCCAAACTAATACATTAGACCAATTACAGCAAACATCTGATCCATAAGGATAACATTATTCATATTTCTTAGGACTAATTCCATGTAGGTAAAGCTGTACTTTGTCACATATTCTTATAAGAACACTTCCTATCAGCCTACCCCTTACCAAAACCTGCAGGTAGAATCTTCTGTAATGTAGTATTTCAATCAGTACAAATATAGGCTATGTGTCAATTCAGTGAAAACATCAATCAAATTAATACTTTGAATAAAAATTAAAAAGTGACTAGTTTCCTGGATTATATTTTTTCAAAGATTTATTGCTTGTCCTAGATATTATCTGAATGTACTTATGTTCTGTTTCCTGCCCAATGAATCAGCTGAAGTCCACAGTTGAATTCATACATTCATACCAATATATTTTTTTCCCCTTTAGCACCTTGGAAAGTACGAAACCAATAGAACATTTTATGACTACTTTCAACTCTCATATACGGCTCTGAGTCCATGGTAAAGAAAAATTAATTTATGATTTTTTTTACTAGCTTGCACTTAAGTCATAAAAACCTTGCATTTTAAAGGGCTATATAAAGTTAAGTACTTTCTTGAACTTTACTCCTTAGCTCTTAAATGTATATGTATTTTTTTCTTTTGAACTAAGAGGTGGCATATTGTCAGGAGTAAATAAATACTGAAATTTATGAACATAAGAATTTCATGTATTTCAATTTTCAGGGAAGCTTGACCTCGGCTAAAGCTCATTGCCCAGCCCCATTATAAAATTATATATTTAAATGTCGCTTCCAGAATCTTCACTTCCTGCAGATACATTACCAATGCAAGAACTAAGAACTGTTATTTATGAGGAAAACACTTGTTAATTTTCTTTGATTTCTTTGATAATGCTATCGATGTTTCTTCTTGGATTAATTCAACTATACATAAACTAATTGCACTATATTTTAGTCCTTTCAAATTTTAAACATTTATGATTCTATTTCACCATTACTATATGAAAGGCACTACTCCATCTAACCTACCTCAATAATGTGAGCTTATTTTAAAGCTGTAAGAATAGAAATCAATTTCCACAATGTGAAAGTAAACGAAATTGTCATCTAAAAACTTTGATAATTTAATTTCCAGAACATATTAAAACTTAGAAAAATATCAAGCCTTATGATTGATGTCAAAAAATCCAGCATCTTAACATGCCTTTTGGATTTTATGTGATTTGTATGAGTGGGTTTTATTATCAACAAGTTCCATTGGATAATAAGATTATAAATATATATAACACTGATTTTAACAATGTTAAGGGTAAATAAGTAATACTTTAGGGAAATTACATTCACTCCATTGATAAATACTTAAATTAATGGCATATAACCATTGCCATCTTCTTTTAAGCATAAAGGAATGGGCCATAGATGAATGCACTGTTCTCTTATTAAAAATGCATTAGACTACAAAGCCCATCTCATGATGTAGGAAGAATTAAGAAGTTTTCTAATATCATTAGGCAGAACTATACTTAAATCACTACCAAGAATTTTAATATTCTTTGTACTGTGAAACCACATATATTAAATTACTATTACTTGTTTTTTGTGAATATTAACATCCTTCATAACACTACTACCACTAATAAACACTACTACTGAATAAAATGATGCAGAAGAAGCAATATGAATAAATTTTTAAAGTTGAACTTTTAGCACACATAGTAATATATTTTTGAACATTACCAAGAATTATATATATAATACACATATAAACATTTTGTGTGTAAACTTTTATATTAATTATAGTTTGCATGTATCCTTTAGCACTTGCTTAATTTGCTAAATATTATTTTGTTTAATTAATGATTTGTTAATTAATGATTAGATTACCCTTTAATCATTTCAACTCAAAGTATTCCATATATTGGATAATCCAGATACTGAATGTGTCTTCTTGTGCAAATGAATAATAAAAGTTTCTCTCGTTGATCCTTTAAACTCACTGTGTACCTTCTTCAATTTAGATGTCATCTTGGGCAGAACCCACAATTTTCTTATAAATTTCATTTAGATCTCTTGGAGAGTGAAAATTCACTTTCAAAAGTTAAAACTACAGCCACTAGAAGTTAAAACTTTGATCTCACATAAAATCCTATCATTCTCTACTAACTGGTCTTAGGAATCAACAATGGGGTTGGGATTTATTACAGTCAACGGCCCTTCCTCAGTGTCCTCCTTCTTCTCCATCTTTGATTTGACTCCCTCAAATCAGGGCATGAGAGATAAGGACAAAAAAAAAATAGCTCTGTTTAACCAGAAGTGTTTATAGTTCCTCTTTAACTAGAAGTGCCCTCAGTCATGACAGGCTTTCATGAAAATATCCCAGGCCTCTTTCCTCTGATACAGCAGTGTTCTCTCTAACTGGCAGTACGTCCATCTAATACTGCTCTCAGAACCCATCCCATGGACTGGAAGAGAGGGAATGGAAGAAAGAGAATGTGCTGGAAGAGAGAGAATGAAGAGGAACAGTTCCTGCCTCACTCTCAACTTCCTGTGGGGAAGCTGTGAGTCAATCAAGTAGCAACTCTGTGCATCACTGATTTTCCCATAGGAAAGTTTGCTGCTTACAATGACAAACGCTTAAAACACAGACTCTACACTTTGTTATCTCATTCAATATCCTGCTCCTAAATGGTAATTAACTTAATAACAAAATCTATTGCTGATAATATTTCTATCCTCCTTAAAAAACTGCAAAGGCTTTTATAAACTTGAACATCTATAATTTCATCCCCATTTCCTGCCTGTTGCTGTTCTATAGTATTTTATATCTCCATGTTTTTATGCCCTGTAAATGAGTCACTATTAATATGATGGTGTTTATACAGTCATTAGCTCTGGCCTAAAATATATCAGTTTCTTTACTCACAACTACCTCTTGACCTCTTGAATTCAATCTATTTTTTTTTTTTTTGCTTCAATTTCCCATTTCTGAAGTTTATTTTAACTGGTAGTTCCCTGATGATGCTCTGTGAGTGGCAAATTATCTTTCTTTTTTCCCTTTTTAAGCCATTCACTTGAATTTTAGTTTAGATATGTTCATAGAATTCTATGTTGAGACATTTTATTCCAGAATTTCCTCAGCTTGCCTTATTAAGAAGTTTGTTAGTGCAATTACACTTCCTTAACTGTTAATTTTTTGCATGGTGTTTTGTAATGATGAGTTTTATCTAGGGGTTGATATGGAGTTTTTGTCTTGCTAAGGCTACATTGAGCTTGTTGAACCTGAGAAATCATATAGTTTATCACATCAAACAAAAATAAGCCGTTATCCTCCTTTTCTTTTGGTCCAACTCTTTAGTTTACAGTCATCCCTCAGTGTGCATGGTTCCAGGACCCCCTTGGGTCCTGGCTGAGGTGGCATCTGTCAGTTCATACTGCCTGACTTGTAGACCCATATCCTCTTCCCTTTTCCTTGTGTGGACATTAGATCCAAAGGCCCTTGGTGACTAACCATCTACCTGACAGCAACAACACCTTCTTATGGTCTTACTTTACTGATTATCAGCTCCTACTTTATTTCTAGTAGTTGGTGATTTTTCTCTCTTGCAAGCTCAGCTACTCATTTAAAATAATGTTTACTATATATCATCTTTCTCTTTTCTGGGTATTTGTAGCAGGAGAGTTTCAGGTTTAATAGTATAATTTTTTATTAGACCTGGAACTGGTTTTAGCCACAGTTTACAAAATGTTATATAGTGTACATATGACTTCTGAATTAAATTAGGGTTTAAGCATTTTTTGGAAGTTCATCAAAAGCAAATTAGAGACATTATTCTAGTGATCACGTAAGATTCTAGCATATGGATCAGACATTGATTATATATTGATTTTTCCATTCATTGAGCTAGAATTGTTTTCTGTAATTTTTGTTATGATAGCTAAGAAAGGTGGCTCAGTGAGATCGCGCCACTGTACTCCAGCCTGGGTGACATAGCAAGACTCCATCTCCAAAAAGAAAAGGTGACTCAGAAGCTAACTCCTTGGATACAGTTTCCCCACTGTTTCTGTGAACTTGACCGTTTTTGTCTTACCTATACTTTATCTTAATTTCCTAAAATGTAACCTGAAGAAATAATTGTACCTACCTTTTAGAGTTTTTTTTTTTTAAACACATTGTATGAGTTAATATATTGTCCTGTCTGGCAAGATTATAGTAGAATAAAATACAGATCCAAATTGCAGTGGCTTGGCTGGAAAAGAAACATTTATTTCTCATTCACATCGAATTTGACGTGTTTCACTGGGAATGTCCTCTGTTACTTCAGGAAACCAGGCTCTTTTCATTTTGTAATGCTTCTATGTCATCACAAACCACGTGTTTACATGGCTTTCAAGGTCCTCTCAGCCAGGAAAAAGAGGAATGGACAAGGCACACTGGTTTATAATGGCCCTAGCCCAGAAGCAACCCACATCAGAACTTTCCACAGTCTATTAATCAAAAACAGTAACATGGCCCCGGTGTAAATGGTTTGAAGGCTAGATAACAGAGGGGCGCACATGGAATACTTGATGAGCAATAACAGTCTTTACCATAAATATATTAAAGTTTATATTAGAGCCTTGTCCATATTAAACACTCAATATATATTAGCTCTTATTATTATAAGTAGCACTGTGATTAAAGTATTTACAGATAAATCTCTACTAGAGTTATGTTATTTAATTAAGATTCCTAGAAGTATATCTATTATTCTAAAGGATATAAATATTTGTGGGTTTTTATAAAGTTTCTCAAATTCATTTTGAGAATAAGAGTGTTACAAATTGATGATGAGCATTTGTTTGGGGATGTCCATTTCATCAGATAAATGACAATAATAAATATGTTTTCCCAATATGTCTGTGAGTTTTTAAATCAACTTTCTAATCTGCCTTCATTAATTTAACAAATTGGATTTCCTCTTAATTTGCATTTATTTAATTACTTTTGTAAGGTTGAACATTTTTTCTGTATTTATATTGCTCGTTAGATTCTAGTCTAGAGGAAATTATCTGCTGTAACCTCTTTCCATTTATCTATTCATGTCTGCCATGTTTTTCTCTCATCAATTTGTTTTGCCTCTTTTTTAATCAAACATTCATCTTTTATGAATGGAGGTTGAAAATGTTTGCCTTTGTTTTTCATGGGTCTTTATACTTTCATATCTTTGTATAGGAAATTCCTAAAAAAATTTCAAAGTATCATTTTCTCTTTTTCATATTTTTGGGTATAATTTTTAACACTCCTTACAGTAATCTCATGAAGTTTATATTAACATCTTTATTTTATGAATGAGGAAACTGAGGCTTAGTAAGGTTAAATGAACACTTCAAAGGCATCATGGCTTGTATGTTGCAACCTCGATGAACTCAGTATTTAAGATTGTTTTTCTAAAATCACAATATACACACAGTACCCTGCAGTTAAGAGAATTGTGTGCCCCCGCTCCTCAAAAATGCTTCTGCCATAATCACTGGAACATTTGAATATGTTCCTTTCCATGACAAAATGAACTTTGTAGAAGAAATTAAGGTTGTGGCCTTGAAATAAGGTTGTCCTGGCCCATTCTGACCACATGAGCCCTTAAACACAGAGAACTTTCTCAGGCGGGACTCAGAGATATCCAGTTAAAAGGTAGCTAGAGAAATGCCAAGATCGAGAAGAACTGAGCAAGCTGTTGCTGGCTCTGAAAAGCAGGGCTCAACATGACAGACCAGACATAGGCTCTAGGAGTTAAAGGCTGCCCCCAGCTCACAGCCAGCAAGGAAACAGGGACCTCAGAATGACAACTAAAAAGCAGTGGATCCTGCCAACAACTTAAATCAGCTTGGAAGCTGATTCTTCCCAGAGTCTCCTGGCAAGTACCCAGCTGGTTAACATCTCAATGACGACCTCGTGAAACCTGGAGCAGAGAAATCAGCTGAGTCAATCTGACCTCCCAGCTACAGAGCGGTGAGCTAAAAAATTTACATTGTTTTCAACCTCTGCATTTGTAGTCATCTGTTACTCAGAAATAGGAAATGAAAACATGTTTGTAAAATTGAGTGGGATATACAATTTAACCAAATCATACTTCCTAACCTACCTCATTAAGATATTGTTTATTACGTATTCCGCTATTTAATAGTGTTGTGCCTGCTAGGGCATGTTTCTGCACACTTGCCCAGAAAACGTAAAGAAGCTGTGTATGGTGTACTGAACCTATTCCTGTACCCTCCCTCGGTCTTCAAGGTTGATAACCTATTTTCCAGGTTAACAGTGCTAGGTCTGCTAGACTTACTGATACACGGTAGTCACATGATTATAAATGTGAACCCTTATGTTCCTGAAGTATTCTCCAACGTGCTCTTGTTTTTAGGGGTTATATCTCTGATTTTAGCGGTTATTTTCTAGATAGTAGTCCTTTGTCAGTTATGCTATGTGTAAATATTTTCTGCTCAAACTATAGCTACCTTTTCATCCTCCTTAAATGTTCTTTTATAGTAATTTTATTGAAATCCAACTCATCAGTTTTTTTCTTTATGGGTAATATATTTGATGTCAAGTTTAAGAGCTTTTTGCTTAGCTCTAGATTCTATTCTTCTATACACACACATATATATATAGTGTATTAGATATGAGAAGAATTGACATCATTAATGTATTTAGTTTTTCAATTGATAAACATGGTATGTTTCTCCATTCATATATATCTTCTTTGATTTCCTTTATCAGTACTTTGAGTTTCCTTCATTTATTGAGAAATTTTAATCACACTGTATTTTTAATTTTGGCATGCACAAATTCATTATTAGATATAAAAATACAGTTGATATTTGTATGCTTATGTGGTATCCTATGAGCTTGCTAACTCAGACTCTAGCAGTCAATTTTTCTTTTTTTTGGGGGGGTGAAGGATGATTATTTGCTATTTTCTATGTATAAGATCATGTTATCTGCAAATAGAGAAAGTTTAATTCCTTCCTTTCCTAGTAAAATGTCGTTTATTTCTATTTTTTTTTTTTTTTTGCCTTATTCCACTGGCTAGAACTTCCAACATTATTTTGAATAAGTGATAAGGGGTGACATCCTTGACTTGCTCCCCAGCATAAGGAAAAAGTGTTTAGTATCACCATTAAGAATGATGTTGGCTGCAGATTTTTAATATTTTGGGTCAAGGTAAGGAACTTCCTTTCTATTCTTGTTCTCTGAGAGGTGTTTTTTGTTGTCGTTGGTGTTGTTTTATTCATGAAAGGCAGTTGAATTTTGGCAAATGCTTTTCTGCATCAGTTGATATGATCATGTGTTTTCTTTTTCTTTAGTCTGTTAATATGGTAGATTATATTGATTCATTTTCAAATATTAAATAAGTTGGAATCATAGAAATAAATTTCACTTGATTGTAGTGTATAATCCTTTCTTTATATTTCTGAAATATATTTGCCAACATTTTATTAGAGTTTTCAGTTTTCATATTCATATTTATATATTTATATTTTCACATATATCATTTTCTTTTAGCCCAGTCTTTTTTCTGATTTTGACATAAAATTAATAATAGATTCATAAAATAAATTGTAAAGTATAACTTCTCATTTATGAAAGAGATTGTTAAAAATTGGTGTTATTTCTACTTTAAATATTTGGTAGAACTGCAAGGGAATCTCCATCTGCGCCTAGAGATTTCATTATTTGCCTTATTTAATTACAAATATATTTTATAATAGTTACAGGGTTATTCCAGCCATCTATTTCATGTCAGGTGAGTTGCAATTGCTTTCATCTTTTTAGGATTATATCCATTTTGTCAAAGTTGTCAAATGTATGTCTATAAAATTGTTTCTAGTATGCAACAATCTTTTGATATCTAAAAGTTCCTTAGTAATACACTCTGTTTTATTTCCAGTGTTTGTAATTTTGCTTTCTCTCGCTTTAAATTTCTTTATAAGTCTTGCAAGAGGTCTGCAAACACATTTGTCTTTACGAAGAATCAGTTATTTGTTTCCTTTATTCTTTTTATCTTCCTGTTATATGATTTATTGGTTTTTGCTCTTATCTTTATTATTTTCTTTCTTATTCTTGCTTTAGATTTACTTCCCTCTTCATTTCCTAAGTCCTTTAGGGGGAGTTTAAATTATTGATTTGATACTTTTTCTCTTTTCTAAAATATGAATTTAGAGCTATTAATTTTCCTATCAGTAATACTTAAGCTGTGCCAAACACATTTTGGTATGTGGCATTTTCATTTTCACTCAATTTAACTTTTTTTTTAAAATTTCCTTGAGCCTTCCTTCTTGACTCATGGATTAAGAAGCACATTGTTTAGTTTCCAAGTGTTTGGAAGTTTTCATGTTATCTTTTTCTTACTGATCTCTAGTTTGATTTCATTGTATTTGGAGAACACACTATGCGTGATTTGTTGTTGTTGTTAAGTGTGTGTTAAGTCTTGTGTTATTGCACAAGATATGGTCTATCTTAATTACTTTTAGCACTTGGAAAGACTGTATGTTCAGCTATGTTTGGGTGAAGTATATTCTAAATCTTAATTAGATGGTGTTGATGAATTCTGTTAAATTTTTCTGATTTTATAGCTAATTGTTCTATCAATTGTTGAGATATAATGTTGTGTTGTCTACTATAAATGTGGATTTGTCTGTTTTTACTTTTAGTTCTATCAGTTTTTGCTTAACAGGTTTTCTTTGTTGTTTGGTTTGGTACATAGACAGTTAGGATTACTATATTTTCTTTTTGTTTTAATCCTTTTTATTATACAATGCCTGTATTAGGGTTCTCCAGAGAAACAGAACCAATAGGAAATTTACATACATTACATAAATGTCTACCCTTTTTGTTTTATTCAAGCCTGTTATGGTTTGAGCGTCCCTGCAGAAACTCATATTGAAATCTTATTTCCTAATCCAGCAATGTCAGGAGCTGGAATCTTTAAGAGGTGGGGCCTAATGGGAGGCATTCAAGATGTGACGACTCCACCTATATGGCCAGCTTGGTGTTGTTCTTGAGGTCTTGAGTTCTCACTCTCTGAGACTGGATTATTTCTCACAGTAATATATTAGTTAATCCAAGAGCAGGATATTAGAAATCAAGGTTCTTCCTCAGGTTTGCCCCATTTGCCTGTGCCCACTTCCCCTTTGACCTGCCATGTAATGACACAGCACAAAAGCCCTTGCCTAGCTGGGCATGGTGATGAGCTACTGTAGTTCCAGCTACTCAGGAGGCTAAGGAAAGAGGATCCCTTGAGCCCAGGAATTCAAGGCTGTGGTAAGCTATCATTGCACACCACTGCACTCCAGCCTGGGTGACAGAGCAAGACCCGTTTATAAAAATAAATAAATAAATAAAAATAAAAATAAAAAACAAAGGACCTTCCCAGGTGACAGTGCCATGCCCTTGAGCTTCCCAGCCTGCAGAACTAAACAGGCCTCTTTTCTTTATGAATTACCCAGTCTCAGGTATTGTGTTATCACAACACAAAATGGGCTAAGACAAGGCCCTCAAGGGATTGGATGCTGCCCACCCATATTGGTGAGGGCAATCTGCTTTACTCAGTCTATTATTTAAATGCTAATTTCTTCCAGGAACACCCTCACAGATACACCCAGAAATAATGCTTAACCAAATATTTGGGAATCTTGTGACCCAGTCAAGTTGACACATGAAATTAACCATCCCAATGCCCCTTCCTTTCTCTATTAAATTTTTTCCGATGAGGTTTCCTTTCTCTACTATTAAAGCAGCCACTCTTATTTTTCTTTGATTAAAATTATCATGATATATCTTTTTATACCTTTTTTCTTTGAATCTGCCTATAGCATTATATTTGAAGTGAGTTTGTCATGCACTGCATAGAGAAGATGTATGTAGTAACTCACTCTGCCAACAACTGACGATTAACAGAAATGTAATTATGATTTGTTAGAGCTTAAGTCTGCTATTCTGCTATTTTACTATGTTTTTCATTTGTTTCTTTGCTTCATTTCTCTGATTTCTTTTACCTGCCTGTAGGTTACTGGAACACTACTTAAAATTACTTTTTTTTTTTTTTTTTTTGAGACAGAGTCTCGCTCTGTCACCCAGGCTGGAGTGCAGTAGCGCGATCTCGGCTCACTGCAAGCTCTGCTTCCCAGGTACACACCATTCTCCTGCCTCAGCCTCCCGAGTAGCTGGGACTACAGGCGCCTGCCACCACCCCTGGCTAATTTTTTATATTTTTAGTAGAGACCTGGTTTCACCATGTTAGCCAGGATGGTCTCGATCTCCTGACTTCATGATCACCAGCCTCGGCCTCCCAAAGTGCTTGGATTCAAGGTGTGAGCCACCATGCCCGGCCTAAAATTTCATTTTTTAAAACTTAAAATATGTTTGATTGTAATTCTTCGTATAGCTTGTTTTGCTGTTTGCTCTAGATATTACATTATGTATAAGTAACTTATTTCGGTCCACTCATGTTTATTTCACCAGTTTGAAAGAAGTGTAGAAACTTTACCTTCTTTTAAATGTACTCTGCTTTATTTATAGTCTAATTACTTAACAATTTTCCTCTACATACCTTTCAAAACCCATCAGACAGTTTCATATTTTTTGCTTCAGTAGTTAAATTTTAAAATGAAAGAGAACAAAAACATAATATATAAGCTCATATTTTTGCTTAGTGTGTTCTTTCTTCCTGAAGATTTAAAAATCTTTTTGTAAATTATTTCCTTTCAGTTTATAAATGTCCTTTTGTCATTTTTTTAGGGTATGCCTACTAGTGACAAATTGTCTTATGTGTCCTTCATTTGAGAATGTCTTTAGTAACTCTTTATACCTAGTGAGTATCTTCACTGACTTTAGAATTCTGGATTTATGTTTATTTTCTTTCAGTATTTAAAAAGTACTGTGTTACTTCCTTCTGGTATGTATGGTTTCTGATAAAAAAAAAATTCACTGTCATTTAAATTTATTTTTTCCCAGTAAGTAAGCTGTTGTTCTTCTCTGGTGGCTCTCAAGATTTTTTTTTGTTACCTTTAGTTTTTAGAATTTTAGTTATAATGTATTGTGGTATGAATTTCTTGGGTGTATCCTGTTCTGGGTTGCTTAGCTTCTTCAGTCTCTGGGTATGTGTCTATTGCTAAGTGTTGGAAGTTTTCAGCCATTATTTATTCAAATACTTTTCAGCTCCACCCTCTGTCTTCTCCTAGAATTATGATGACATATATATTAGATCTTTTTTTGTCCAGGGCGTTTATTGTCCCACTCACTGATGTTCGGTTTTTATTTTTTCAGTGTCCATTTCTCTCTGTTCTTTATAGTAGGCAATTTCTATCATTCTAACTTTCATTTCATTGATTTTTTTTTTCTTTTCTTCCTGGATTCTGCTGCTGAGTCCATCCACTTAAACTTTTAGTTTAGTTATTATATTTTTCAGTTTTAAATTTTTCATTCGATTCTTCTTCATATCTTTTATTTCTTTGCTGAGACTTTCTTTGATGATGATGATGATGCTTTCCAGCTTTTTCAATTTTTCAAGTTCACTGATTTTGATTAAAGTGCACCCTGTACTCAATATCTTTGTGTGTGTGTCTGCTGGTGTGTGAAATTTTTTTATTGAGTTGAACCCCAAAGATATTTGTTATTATTGACACAACTTTAAAAAAAACTATGAGTATCTTTTTGTAATTTGAGTTTTCTACTTTTAATTCACATTACGCTTTTAAAAAATAAATTTTAAAAACAGTAAGGAGTCTCATCTGTTCAAAGGTAACTGAATAATTTGATAAGCCTACTGGTAAGCCATCTACTTATCTGTATTTATATAAGAATGTATGTATTCATATTTCCTTTTTAAGGTCTTTATTATTAGAAAATCATTGGTTTCTCTCCTTTCTCTTTTTTTTTTTTTTTTTTTTTTTTTGAGATGGAGTTTCACACTTGTCACCCAGGCTGGAGTGCAATGGCGTGATCTTGGCTCATTGCAACCTTGGCCTCCAGGGTTCAGTCAATTCTCTTGTCTCAACCTCCTGAGTAGCTGGGAATACAGTCATCTGCCACTCTGCCTGGCTAATTTTTTTATTTTTAGTAGAGATGTGGTTTCACCATGTTGGCCAGGCTGGTCTCAAACTCCTGACCTCAGGTGATCTGCCCTTTCTGCCTCCCAAAGTGTTGGGATTACAGGCATGAGCCACTGTGTCCAGCCTGGTTTCTCTTGAAGAGATGCTGTTTTATGTATTTCCTTTTTAAAAAGATAATTTCTAAATGTATTTAGATATTTATATAAGATATATTTTATTCCACATTTCACCTAGGAATACCAGTAATAAAATATCTTTTAGTTATTTCCCCAAGAGAGATGAATGGTCATTCCCATGTCAATGTACTTAAAAGTAGGTCCTGTCACTGACCCCGGGACATACAATGTTTGGGACTTGGAAGACTAAGGTGGTTGTATTAGGCTAGCAGAGGCCAGGGTATTCTTGAGAAATGCAAGGAGCCTTGCCAGTGATACTCTAATAAATACAGTTTGGTTTCCATTCTCCTTTTTATTTTTTCTCTTTGTCCTCATGATCTTCCATTTGTACTTGGAATTGCCTGTTAAATAAAGTTTAATGTATATTAATAGGTTAAAGGAAAGAAGAAAGAAAGTATAGACATGGAAAATAATAAAAATTAGAGCTAATGAAAGAAAGTAAAATATTATAAAATAATCTTATATAAAATATACTTTCTTATTTCATCTCAATTCAGTTTTCACCTTTTAACTCTACCTAATTTGCATTTTGACTTGTCTCTCTTCTTCCTACTTCCTTTTCACAATTGAAGACTCTAATAACTAACCAATTTTGGTATTATTTGCAATTGTGAGAAGATCCCAGATTTGGGGATGATATCTTTCAAATTCGTCATGATAACCCAAATACGTGTCTACCCAAGTGTCTAGTTCCCACATTCGAATTAATCAATGCCCCTAGGTTCTTCAACTCTTCATTCACTAACACCAACCTCTTTTATAGGTTCCACTCTAGGTGGCAGCAGGTATCAGGGAGTGTAATCAAAGGGACAGGCTGGCAGAATACTAGCGACCCCAAACAATGTACACAGTAGTAGACAGCACATCGGTAGATGCTGTGTTTGTTTTAAGTCCTGAAGAGTATCTTATTATCAGATAGAAGAGGTGATATAGCATACATCCTTCACACATTGAATACCTCATTTTAATGGCAAAGCCAATCAATAATCTACCTGGACCCAAGAAGCATTCAAGCTTGCAGGCTCAACACATATTGTCATCTCAAAACTTCAAGACCTTTTACCCTGTAAGCTTTCTGTATATCTGTCACTCAAACTTCAAAATGTCTTCCCAGATGTCCCAAAACATCCCAAAATACAGCCAGTTGAAACTCATTTACTCATTTGTTTCACTTGCCTGTAACACTGTCCATCATAATATAAGTGTCTTTGATGTCTTTTTTTTTTTTGAGACCAAGTCTCACTCTGTCACCCAGGCTGGAGTGCAGTGGCACAATCTCAGTTCACTGCAACCTCTGCCTCCCGGGTTCCAGCGATTCTCCTGCCTCAGCTTCCCAAGTAGCTGGGACTACAGGCTCATGCCACCATGCCCAGCTAATTTTTGTGGGATTTTTTTGTTTGTTTGTTTTTCTTTTTCATTTTTTTTTTAGAAGAGACGGGGTTTCACCATGTTGGCCAGGCTGATCTTGAAATCCCGACCTCAGGTGATCCACCCACCTCGGCCTCCCAAAGTGCTGGGATTACAGGCGTGAGCCACCGCACCCAACCTATCTTTGATTTCTTATAGTTTTTCTGTTTTGCAATACATCTGTGGTCACAGCAATGTAAATATCCTGTAACCTTCTCAGAATTATCTTGCCAAACTGAGCAATTTTTATACAAATATGAATATCCTCCACGTACCTATGACCAAAGGGTCTTCACAAATCTTCTTAGTAAATATATTCTAATTATATGTTAATATATTATACTTTATATGCATTTGTGTATATTTCATTTTAGATTGTTGGCATGTGCTCTGTTTCCCAGAAGTAGATGCAGAGATGAAGTGTGGAGTGTGTAGTAGACAGAATAATGGTCCCCCACAGATACCATGTCCTCATTCCAGAAACCTGTGAATATACCTAACATGGCAACACACCATGTAGATATGAATAAATTAAGAATGTTGCTATGGGAAGAATATTCTGGATTATCCAGGTGGGCCCAATGTAACCACAAGCATCCTCCTAAGAAAGAGGTGGAAAGATCAGAGTGAGAGAAATATTGATGATAGTGGCCGAGGTTGGAGGGCCATAAGCCATGGAAGGCAGGTAGCCTTTAGAAGATGGAAAAGGCAAGGAACCTGATTCTCCCTCGCAGCCTCAAGAAGGCCTCTGTTTCTGCCAACAACTTGCCTTGGGAATTTCTGACCTCTACTACCAAAAGATAATAAATTTGTGTCATTTTACACCACTAAACTTCTGATAATGTGTTACAGCACTGTTAGAGTAGGTAGCTAGACAGACATGAGCAGAGCAGGAGGGGGCTCCCCCTCCGACTGCCCCCCCGCCCCACACCAGGAATGTCAGATAACCATCAGGTGATGGGCAGGCGGTTGTTAACTCTCTCTCTAAGTCACAGCCAGTGCCAGGGAAAGGCAATCTCCTAATAAACAGAAACACCCGAAGCTGGTGATCAGCAGCCTCTTGATAAGATCTCAGGACCTGGGTGAGTGGACTCACACATGTGCACTAAGACGCAAAATGGCAGAGTTTAACTGGTATAGGGCATCCTAGGGCCATTCGGCTGGTAAGGGAAGAACGCCTTAAGTGAACATGCTCACAGCTCCAGGAAACACACTGTGCGTGCCAAGTGAGCATGCATACAACTCCAGTAAACATGCTGTGCATGCTCCCCTCCCAAGTGCCCACAGGCAACTGTGCATGCAGACAGCCCACTGCAAGGGAAGAATCAGAGAAGAAAGAAACCCAAGAACCTGCAATATGCCAACATATTTATACTCAGGTTACTCAGGTTTAACCCTGAGTAGAAAGGTTAAACCCCACACTTGATCTCAAGTCACCCACTCGGCCCTCTTCCAAATTTACTTTACTTTCTTTTCATTCCTGCCCTAAAGCTTTTTAATGAATGTTCCCTCCTGCTCCAAAACTTGCCTCAATCTCTTCTTCTGCCTCATTCCCCTCAGTTGGATTCTTTCTTCTGAGGAGGCAAGAGTTGAGGTTGCTGCAGACCTGTACAAATTCGCCACCAGTAACAGCAAAAACAGAAAGCAATACAGGCTGCAAAAGTTGATTAGCCATGAACACCTGTGAAAGGGAGGGAGGAAGCAGGATTGTGCAAAGACAAGCCTGTATCAGTACATTAGGGATCACGGAGCAAGTATCGCCAACCAGAGTGTCCCACATTACTCTGGTTGGGAGATGACAGAAGTTTCCAACTTCATATCCCCACTGCGTTCAGCAACCAGATAAAGCCTGTCCTGAGGAGACATAGCCTTGAATGAGGTGGCCCTTGGAGCCTGTAGCAGACCCTCTCATCTGGATGCTGTCTGCTCGCTGTGCTGGCTGGAGTGGGACAGGAAGCACTTCCCTGGAAAGGAAGAAGTCTTGGAAATCTGTCTTCCTTAAGAAAGGCCTTCTCTGAAAATCCAGGTGTCACATCACCATGTATAGTCCACTCCACACCGGTCTGGATTCTACAGATATTCCTTTCTTTCCCATTGTGTAACAGCTGCCCTGCCTCCTGGTGGTGAGGGTACATGACCTCTCTGATGACAATGAGTCATCTTGTGCCTGCTGATGCCTGGACACAGGAGCCCAAAATATCCAGGTGGCAACTACAGTTTATAATTTAGTTCTGAAAGGTTTGAGTGCATCAGCACTGTCTAGAGTGAGGGGAGAGGACACAGCTCACAGCTGACAGTGCACACATCTGAACAGGGAAGTTGTGTTTTCTATTTGCTGACCGGTTAAGCCCTCTCTCTCTCTTTCTCTCTCTTTCTCTGTTTTGCAAGAGACAAAGTCTTTCTCTTTCATTCAGTATGGAGTGCAGTGGATTAATAGTAACTCAATGCCGCATCAAACTCCTGGGCTCAAGTATTCCCCTCACCTAAGCCTCCTGAGTACTGAGATTATGTGCATATGCCACCTTGCCAGGCTAATGTGTGTGTATGTGTGTGTGTGTGTGTGTAGACAGTATCTCACAATATTGCTCAGGCTGATCTCGAACTCCTAGCCTCAAGCA